>NC_000023.11:4637488-5262488 GCF_000001405.40 Homo sapiens | reverse complement strand
TGCTTAATCTAAAATAGTTAGAATTGCATGTGATTATCCCCTAAAGGCATAATTCAGGAATTGCTGACTAGCCACAACTTGGGGTTTTCAACACTCTTGTCTTCCGTGAGATATAAGAGCTTTCTTACCTTAAAGACGTTAGGCTGGTTGTGAATAACTGTATAAGAACCCCTCTAGGTTCTTACACAGTTTCGCTTTGGAAATCCGTTTAGTTTTCATCCGTATTTTCTTTCATCAAGAGTTTAAACATTAGGACATTTCTCAAAAACATATTTTCAATGCCAAAAAGTTATTCACGATGTTTCCGACTTCAATTGTTTTTATATTGAGTTGAAATTTGCTTGTGATTAAAACATCTGAGCCACTTCGATATTTTTACCAAAAATATAATATTCATGAATGAAACATATCTATAGATATATATAGCATATATATGCACACAAGACAATTATAAAGTCATTTAAAGTAGTTTTATTTGTTGATGCATATAATAAAGAGAAAATATAATTCCAATATTTGAAGACATGATATGCGGTATCAGCCACTAATTGTCAACTTAAATTATAGTTTCTTATCTTTAAAAACACTGCGTATCAAAATCGTTTTTGCATTAAAACAACTTTTAAAAATAAAAATGTCATATTGAACAAGAGCTATTTGCAAATTAATTGAACTCACTAACAATTGTTATTCCATGGAGAAGGAGAACTATTTATTAGCTAAGGCAGGCCACCCTGCTTTTCCCAGAACTGATGGTCATTCTTTGAAATCATTAATTTGGGGTTAATAATTATGTCCCAAAAATGTATCATGCAATTTTAAGAGTATAATTCAAATTAAAAGAAAAGAAACTACACACACACACACACACACACACACACACACACACACACACACACATTTCTGCTTGGCAATGGATGGAATAACATTATGCCAATGATGAATTGACTTACAGGTATTGCCAATTTTTCAAATAGATCACACATTTAACCATTTGCTAAGTTATAGTCCACAGGCAAGGGATGATAATTGGCAAATTAACAGCCCAAGTACAGATGACTCAAAGAAAGACAGGCTTGGAAGCCATTGCAATGCATTCACTAGAATGTGCATGGGTTTGGTCATGCTTCAATAATCTTCAAGGAGATTTATTTTTATTATTTATTTATTTATTTATTTATTTATTTATTTTTTGAGATGGAGTCTCTCTCTGTTGCCCAGGCTGGAGTGCAGTGGCAAGATCTCGGCTCACTGCAAGTTCCGCCTCCCGGGTTCACGCCATTCTCCTGCCTCAGCCTCCGAGTAGCTGGAACTACAGGCGCCCACCACCAGGCCCGGCTAAGTTTTTGTATTTTTAGTAGAGACGGGGCTTCACTGTGTTAGCCAGGATGGTCTCGATCTCCTGACCTCGTGATCCACCCACCTCGGCCTCCCAAAGTGCTGGGATTACAGGCATGAGCCACCACGCCCGGCCTTAGTTTTATTTTTTAAATGAAAGCATGTAACACATGGTTAAGAAATGATTACAGACTGAGGCAAAGAGTTTCTTTAAATTATTATTGTATTAGAAATTAAAATTAGATTGTATTAGAAATACTATTGCTTCCATTGTCCTTCCACATCAAAGCAATATAATATATAATATGTTAAAATAAATGTCAGTGAATTCATAATATAAATACAATGAATAAAATTAAGATATTTAGAAGAATCTGTGAATGATATGCATATGATCTATAAAAAGAAAGGTTTATTTTATTTATTTTATTTTATTATATTATGTATACATTTTTTGAGGCTGGGTCTTGCTCTCTTGCCCAGGCTGGATGGAGTACAGTGGTGTGATCACAGCTCACTGCAACCTCAGCCTCATGGCTCAAGCAATCCTCCCACCTCAGCTTCCCAAGTAGCTGGGACTACAGGGGCACACCACCACCTTTGGCTAATTTCTCTCTGTCTCTTTCTCTCTCTCTCTCTGTTTTGTAGAAACAGGGTCTCACTATGTTTCCCAGGCTTGTCTCAAACTTCTGAACTCAAGTGATTTTCCTGTCTTGGCCTCCTCAAGTTCTGGGATTACAGGTGCGAGTCACCATGCTTTGCCAAAGTTCATTTTAAACAAGATAAAATATATACAAACCATTAAATAAAATAGATATTTTAAAATATAAGGGCATCTGTTATGAAATCTACTCATAAAGAGATATAAACAAACATAAATTTTACGTTTTTATTAACATTTAGAAAAGTGATGAGGTAAAAATATTCCATATACATTGTTCCATATTCCAACAGTATTCCATATATGGAATATTCCATATTCCAAATAAAACAGACACCGGAGCACACTAAATGTACCATTCTGAATAAAGATTTTGGTAATATTTTACCTTCTTAATTACACTATCTCACACACTCCAAGATTTTTACAATGGATCTGCAATAGTTTTCAATTAGAAAAAGGTGCAGTATCTCCTGTGAAATATAAAAATGTGGCTGTCTTTAAAAATTGTAAAATTACATTTACGAACTCATGAGAACATGTATTATGTTAGCAGTGTTAAAGAGTTTTCTGGAAGCTAAACTTCTTTATAGCAGAGTTAATATTTCAAGTTAATAATTATTTTGAGGGCAATAGTGTATTCATTAGATTAAAAACCTCATTTCATCTTTGCATCAGCATGAACTACATAGCATTTCATGGCTCAGATGTTTGGTGAGCACAGACTCTGGGTGATGCTGGATTTTGACTGCAGCTCCCAGAGTTAAAATAACAGATATGAGTTATACCTTTTCGGAGGTTTGGGTATGAGAAACATGCAGGATGACATTCTTTCTCTCTCTCATCTCTGTTGACTCTTTGCCTTTTTTTCATCTCCAATTTCCTGGGTTTTTTTTTTTTTGTTAGTTTGCTTTTTGTTTTTTTAAGTTTCTTCTGATATGATTTCCCCTCCACGCAAGGTGTCTAAGGATTCTTGCATCCAAGCTTTCGTAGAACATCTTGCCATAGAATGTTCAAATGCCCAAATGGTGCATTGTTGGGACACCAACGAATGTTTCTCTAATATTAAACAGATAATCCGACAACCTCTGTGCTGAATTTTCTATTGTCAACATATCTTTCCTACCCAATACCACATAAAATAACAATAGGAACTGCCTTCATCAGATAAAGTTCCAGGTGAGAGATTTTCACGGTAGAAGAGAGGATGGATTTTTGTTTCTGCAGGGCCCCTGAAGTCAGATGCATGAGCAGAGGGTGAGTACGAATTGTCAAGTTTGTGCTGCTAGAAGCTTCCACTGAGAATTTTTAAATCCGCCTTAGCTTCAGGGTAAACTTCTTTCTTCTCTTCCAAGAGATGAAATTCTCTGTTTCCCTGCAGGGAAACCTTTCTTCCTTGAAGTACCTACAGCAGCTTCTGTTTAGTTGGCAAAACCCTAACAGATGCCAACCTAAATTGATGAGGATAGTGAATTCTGTGATTCAGAAATACTACACTACACTTCATGGATGAATGAATGTTGAACTGTGGATAATAAAGAGGAAACATGGAACTGTGTTCCATTGGAATGGAAAGTCTTCATTGATGGAGACAACTCTCTGATTTACTTATTTAATTCTAATTCATTAGGGTTATTTATTTTAGACCAATTAAACAGTTTGAATTCACATCTTCACACATCAAAGGCATCGATAACAATCTTCACTGCATTTTAAACGTCTAAGTCAAGTTTACATCAGTATTGGAAAGACCTATTTTCTAAAGCAAACAAATGTATCTCTGCCTTGCCATGTGGTAGAATTTGGGAAATGATATGTACTTTAGAAACCATTTTATTCATTACCTTTATTTTATAATTGGAGGAAAATAATATTGATCCATAAAGAGTAATTTGTTGTGGTTGGATTCTGGCTGGAATACTTGATTCTGAACAATCAGGACAATAATTTTTATATCCTGATTTTGCAAAATAAGTCTAATATAAGTAGTTGTAATAATGGGGTTTGTGCAACTGCTGAGAAAAATTTGAGAAGCATTATAAAAACAATTGTAACTTGAAAATATTTTTTTAATAGTGTTTAAAACTCCTGAGTTTTCATTTTCAAACTTTCTTCTTTATAGAATATCTTTATAGAGCATAAATTTTAAATTACTAAGCAAGTGATTCCTAAAGCCATATGTAATTAATTTTATTTGTTGTTCTCTGATTCAAATATATGCAAAATTGAGATTGAGACTATATAAGCTTCTACTTTAAGAAATTAAATGTTAAAATAAATTATGTGTTTATTATTATTAATCTTCTCCATAACCGTAGATAGATGTCTATTTTCTAACCTATTTTATGTGATCTGATATTAACTTAAACAATAAACTAGTAGCTTTTGCAAAACATTTGAATGTTTACATTAATTCAGTAAATAAGAAACTTTTTTTCCAAAGCCAGTGCATATATACCTCAATTTTGAGTTGACAAAGGTGCCCAAAATATTCTAATACCCATAGAAGGTAGTTAACAATATAAGAAAACTTATTTTTAACTCAATGAACGTACTTAATTTCCACAGACTTTTTAAAGCAAGTTGACTAAAACCAGGTGGCAGATGGGGCCATTATATACTGATGCTTTAAAAATGAAACAGTAAAGTGATTAGATTTGTTACCACTGCTGTTATTTTTGAAGCAACATAGACTCTTCATCATGCCCTAGGAAAAGTAGATTTGATAATTACACAAAATAAAACATTCAACCAGCTCTGTTTGATTAGCAGAGCCATGGTGTGGCAATGAGCACTGAAGACCATTTGAAAAATGGACAATTGATTGCCAAATTTCTGTGAGCTTTTCTACCCTGGGATATGTTCTGGGCCAAGTGTGAACAACGGGTTCAGATATAAACACACCCATCGGTTTCCTTAAACGGGTTTCTATGACTGGCATCCAATCTCAGCCAATCCTTAGTGACCTTTTTGCACTAAGGGCAATTGAGTACCTGTGAACACACACACATACACATACACATACACATGCACACACACACTTCATCAAAAGAAAACCAATCACTCCATCTTCTCTAAGCCTTGGTCAGCAACATCTACTTTGCTGGAGATGTCTCTTTGACTCTTAATAGATGTGGTGGATCAAGGATTTTCAAGGTCATGGGATTATCAAAGATGGACAGGAGAAAAGTGAAAACCCCAATCTCAGTCTCAATTTACCCTCTATTCTCTTTCTCTCTTTTTTTCTCTCTCTCTCCTGTCTCTCTGTCTCTCTCTCTCTCTCTTTTACTTTCTTTTCTCTCTCTCTCCTGTCTCTCTGTCTCTTTCTCTCTCCCTCTCTCTTTTACTTTCTTTTCTCTACCACCCTCCCTCTTATCCTCTCTCTCCTGATTTCCTCTCTCTCTTCTCTTTCCCTCTCTCCCTCTGTCTCTGTTACTCTCTCCCTTCTTTTTCATTTCTGTTTCTTTCTGTATCTTATATTCTCTTCTCTCTCTCCTCTCTCTTTATCATTTTTCTTTCCCCACCTTTCTCTCCCTCTTTCTCCTTTCCTTCACCTTCTCCTCTTTCCCTCTCTCTCTCTCTGTCTCTGTCTCTCTCTCTTTCTGTGCCCCCGCCCCCAACTTTCTCTCTTGCAGAGATAGAATACTGGTGCAGAGATAGAGATTTATGAGAAGAATAGGCTCACAGGATTATAGGGGCCAAGAAGTCCCACAATGGCCAGTCTGCAAGCTAGAGAGCCAGGGAAGCCAGTGCTGTGGTTCAGTCCAAGCCCCAAAGCCTCAGAACCAGGGAAGCTGATGGTGTAATTCTTGGTCTGATAATCTGGTGGGGATGGGGGTTGCTGCAAGTCCCAGAATACGAAGTCCAAAGAATCTGGAGTTCCAATGTCCAAGAGCAAGAGAAGAAGGTTGTCTCCACTCCAGAAGAAAGTGAGCAAATTTGTCTTTCCTCTGTGTTTTTGTTCTATCCAGGATCTCAACAGATTAGATGTTCCTGTTCCCATTGGATGACAGTGGATAGTATTAGCTCAGTCTACCGATTCAAATACCAGTCTCTTCTGGGAACACCCTCACAGACACTCCCAGAAATAATGCTTCACCAGCTATCTCGATAACCTTTAATTCAGTTGAAGTTGCCACTTAAAAGTAACCATTACAGGCCGGGTGCGGTGGCTCACGCCTGTAATCCCAGCACTTTGGGAGGCCGAAGCAGGCGGATCACGAGGTCAGGAGATCGAGACCATCCTGGCTAACAGGGTGAAACCCCGTCTCCACTAAAAAATACAGAAAAATTATCCAGGCGCCGTGGCGGTTGCTTGTAGTCCCAGCTACTAGGGAGGCTGAGGCAGGAGAATGGCGTGAATCTGGGAGGCGGAGCTTGCAGTGAGCCAAGATCGTGCCATTGCACTCCAGCCTGGGCAACAGAGCGAGACTCTGTCTCAAAACAAACAAACAAACAAACAAACAAAGTAACCGTCACACCTTGGAAGACAAGGAACATCCAAGAGAGATAAAACCCAGAGCTTCTCTGCCATTAAATTTGGATACGTAGGTCATTTTCCCTCAACCTCCCATGCTCTCCTGCATCAGAGGATGAAACAAAATGTGCATTGCTTAGTTGTCTTCTGTTTGCTTCATTTACACATCATCCATATGAGCTCTCCTCCTGCAGGGGAGACACAGTCACTTTATCTATTCTCCGATACATTGGAAGAGTCTGTGTTCTCTGAATTGATAGAGCATTCCTCCCTAACAACCATTTTAGTGTCAGCAAACTAGAAATACTCTCATGAGGAAGAATTAACACATATATTTTCAGTCTCTAAAAATTATGCAGTTTCTTTCACAGTTTATAAAGCCTTTCTATAAAACATCTCTGCACCAATTATTGGCCACACTATGTATCCATCAATATTGCCGTTTTTTTCATAAGTCCTTCTCTGCTGATAGTAGGAACTGAACAAAATTATTATTATTTTTAAACTCGTGAAGTAATGATCATTAATCCAGTAGACAGGCTTCCTTTGGGAAAAATGATTGCAAACATAAAGTGTTATTATTAAGGGAGAAAACAATCCTATGATATTTATATTGTTATATGATGTATTTAAGAGTTTTCCTTAATCTCTGTTTTATAGAGGAGAAAATAGAGTTAACTTAACTTTATATAATCTTAATAGATTTATTGGGCTAAATAGTTGAACTATATTAAAAACAAACAGTAAAGCATTTTAGAAAATTTCTATCCACGACTATATTGTATCTGTTCTATCTTCTACTACATCAAACTCTTTCAGGAAGACTAAATTTGCCTACACGCTTTTTTAAAAGAGTGATTTAGGAACCATTTTTTTAGTCTGGTAGACTTCTAAGGAGTAAACGCAGCCAAGTATTGATAATTCGTTAGTCATCTTAATGTTCTTCATTTTATATCATTTCTTTAAAAAGTACAACTTTTAATTGTGTCTTTTCTAAAACCTTTATTATGTCAAACAAAAATTAGCATGAAAATATTATTACATTCCTTCATCTAGAAATGTACTTACTTATAAATCAAACGTTTATTTTTGCATTATCCAAATGGAACTCTCATACTTAAAAATAACTCCTTATAAATTATCTATTTGCCTACATAGTTTTCATCTGATATCTATTCATTATTTGTAGCATAAACAAATATCAGAGAACTACAATGGGCCATCCAAATCCAAAACCTGAAATCAGTTGTGCTGTATATTACAGTGCAGAAGTCTGAATTTGAATTCTGTTTGTCTTAGAGCTCAGAAAATATTCCCAGCACCTCTGATTTGGCTTGCCTTTTGGTATCACAGAATCAGGGTATACCCAGAGATTAAGTTTTCTAAATATCTTCCCAAACAAATTGAAGCTCTTCATATTATTAAAATCCTTGTTATATAAATATCTATACATCAAGATATATAGCTTTAAAGATTGGGGTCTTGCTGTGTTGCCCAGGTTGGAGTGCAGTGGTGCAATTATAGCTCACTGCAGCCTTGATATCCTGGGTTTAAGCAATCCTTCTGCCCCAGCCTCCCAAGATATGTATTTTTAGAAATCAGGGTCTTGCTGTATTGCCCAGGCTGGAGTGCAGTGGTGTCATTATAGCTCACTGCAGCCTTGACCTCCTGGGCTTAAGCAATCCTTCTGCCCCAACCTCCAGAGTAGCTGGGAACACCAGTATGTGCCACCATACACAGCTAATTTTATTTTATTTTTCTTATTTTTGTAGAGTTGGAGTCTTACTATGCTTCCAAGGTTGTTCTTGAATTCCTCACCTCAAGCAGTCTTCCCACCTCAGCCTCTCAAAGTGCTTGGCTACCATGCCTGGCTAAGACATATATTAAAGTAAAAACATAATAGGGAAGTATGGCAAATAACAGGTATTATACAAAGCACACATACATTACTTCTTCCAGTCTTCACAGTAACTATTGAAGGGAGTCACTATTAATATCCATAGCAAGATGCTGAAACTCAGAGAAGTAAAAACAATTTGTCCAGAAGTACCTGAATACTATGAAGTACAGACAAAATATGAACCCAAGACATCACCCTGGAAAGATCAACACGTGTGTTTGTTGTGCTACAGGCACAAGTTTGCTTTATGGTAGCTATCTGGAGACTTACCTCAAAGTTGCTTCTATATTGCATTTGAAACAAGTAGCTAGCAATTGGATATATTGGAATTCTCTCTGCTGTTAGAAAGTAACCATGTATTCTTCCACGTATTTTTAATAAAACATACAGCATAATTTCTTTTAATCCCTTTTAGGTTGTCTCAACTAAAGGAAGAGGGTTTTTATCAGGTTGCTTCTTCGTTGTCCTGGATGGATTTATAAAATTTTGTATCATCCAGGATAGAGTCACTAAACAATAAAGGAAGCGATGAGAACTCTCCCATGCAGAAAAATTGCAAATCATTTGTTTCGATTCTCTGCCTTCGTAAGTCGCAACTCCCCTAGTGTGCTTTGGGCATAGTGACTTTCTTCCAAAGAGTAATGTATGAGAAGAGGAAAACAGATTACCTTTACAGTGGAAAAAAACGTGAAATAGTACTATCTCAGCCTGGAGTTCAAATTAACATCAACAGTGACAAGTCTTACTGAGAGTGTGCACTCTTCACAGCATAAGATGAGAACAGCGCTTTACCTCTGTGGGCCTCTTCTCAAAACCCATAACTCAGGTCCAATCGTGAGAAAGCAAAATCAGACGAAGTCCAATTGAGGGTGTGAACCCCGAAAATTTGAGACAGGTCTCAGTTAATTTAGAAAGTTTCTTTTGCCAAGGTTGATGACACGCATCTGTGACACAGCCTCAGGAAGTCCTGACGACATGTGCCCAAGGTGGTCGGGGCACAGTTTGGCTTCATACATTTTAACGAGACATGAGCCATCAATCAATATATGTAAGAAGTACATTGGTTCCGTCCAGAAAAGGTGGGGACAACTCAAAGCAGGGAGGAGGCTTCCAGATCACAGGTGGGTGAAAGACAAAACAGTTACATTGTTATGAGTTTCTGATAAGCCTTTCCAAAGGAGGCAATCAGAAGTGCATCTGTCTCAGTGAGCAGAGGGGTGACTTTGAATAGAGTGGGAGGCAGGTTGCCCTGACACTTCCCAGCTTGAAAGGGCCCAAGATATTTTCCTTTCACAAGGGTCATTCTGCCGAATATCTGATTACTACTCCTTACAACAACAAGGATATCAACAACAAGAAAATCCTGGAAAAAAAAGCTAAGATTTTGTTCAGTTGTCATTGCGTATGAGAAAACTCCCATGAACGTGTTGCCAAGAGCGATAAACATAGTCCCTATCTGTGAAGGGCAGATTTGAAGAACTAGAGATGTGAGGGTGCTCATGGGTCAGCGTTTACACTGAATTTTCAGAGTCAATGGCATGTTTTTAAGTAGATGGCTCCTTTTTTGTTGTTGTTTCTTAAAGGGGAAGCCTTCACATTGGCCTCTATACAGTCCTTGTAACGTTCCTAAATATCCCGAAACACAACAGAGAGCTCTGAAGACTGCCTGCCACAAACATTTAATTTTACAGATTAGAGTCCTGTGAAGTATATGTAATGCCTCTCTTTTGTTGCACGTGTCCATTGGAGGTGTCCTGTGCCATTTGGCTATATTTTTACTTTTAATGGCTGTAGTTTATTCTCACTGCTAGAAAAAAGATGTTGGTCATTAAACCACATGGTCAAATGTGATGTTATAAGAGAACCTATGAACTTCATTTTGTCTGGGAGGCAGGCAGCATCTATCTGTCCTGTCTCCTTACTCTGGTGGTCTTAGAACTTATTTTACTCGAGATTGTAGAAGACCACATCGCAGGGCAGCTGAAAGCAGGGTCACTTTAAGGCACCTTAATCTGTAATGTAGTGAGCTCCTCACTGAACCTCTAGCTCTATCTCTGCGTCACAGATCTCCCTCTTCAAGAGTCAGCCAATACCAAGCTGCTGGAGTTTATTTTTCAGCCCTCCTACTTAAACCTAGTTTGATATCACTTTCCAAAGTTCATTTCTTTCACTGCCAGCACTAAAATGAGTTATTTACAACTCTCTGGTATTCAGCAATCTTCTATGCATCACAGTTTTATTAGATACTTCAAAAATAGGGCAATTAGTAGGATGGAATCATAAATTCCAAAGACGATCAAATAAACTCTCTGTCTTCAATAGCCTGCTAGCAGAAAAGGGATCTTTAAAACTGGAGCATGCATTTGCATTTTTTAAAACTAGGTATTTATAGCTGTTCTCACCATGACCAGAATCAGGACAAGCAAGCAACTTTAAAAGATCATCTAATCCCAGAAATCTGCCAGCTTGAATGGAATGAGTTTCAGATGTATTCCTGATGGGGCACAACCTGGACTGTGAAAACCATCTTCTTTCTTCATGTTGAAAGGAAGATGCCATTAATCACTTCTGTTTCCTATGGATAACAGTGGAAAAAGCATATTTTTAGTTACTGGACTCTGTTGCATTTGTGGTTTTATTTTACTTACGCTCCAAAGAAAACAAATTTGAACTTACATAATGACGCTCCCAGTCACCTCCTACTTTCTCTCCCTCCTTCCTTCCCTTCCTCTCTTCCTCCCTTCCTCCCTCCCCTCCCCTCCCTCCCTCCTTTCCTTCCTTCCTTCTTCCCTCCCTCCCCTCCCCTTCCCTCCCTCCCTGTCTTCCCTCCCTCCCTTCCTTCCTCTCGTCTTTCTTTCCTTCCTTCCTTCCTTCCTTCTTCCCTCACTCCCTTCTTTCATTCCTTCCTTCCTTCCTTCTTCCCTCTCTCCCCTGCCCTCCACTTCCCTCCCTCCCTCCCCTTCCTCCCTCCCTCCTTCCTTCCTTCCTCCCTTCCCTCCTTTCTTCCCTCCTTCCTTCTTTCTTTCCTTCCATTCTTCTTTCCCTCTTTCTTCCTTCCTCCTTGTTTAGATTTTTCTCATTTAAAAATCAACTTGCTAATTGGACTGATTCTGTGACATTTGAATCTCTGCAAAAAGAATTAAGTTTTAGATAAAACTTTTTTCGTATCGTAAGCAGAGTGCAATGCATTAGAATTAAATAGTACATTATAAAAAGCACTATAGTAAATGCATGTTGTATGGATAGGTTGAGTTTTTACATCATACTAGTTTTTAAAAATTAGCTAGGTGTGGTGGTGCATGCCTGTCGTTCCAGCTACTCAGGAGGCTGAGGTGGGAGGGTCACTTGAGCCCAGGAGGTCAATGCTGCAGTGAGCTGTGATTATGCCACTACACTGCAGCCTGGGAGATAGAGTGAAACCCTATCCTTAAAATAATAATAATTATTATTATACCATTTCATTAATTACTACACTTGTAGCTTTGAGAAATTAGATGATCATATATTTTTCAGTGTCTGCCCACATAATTTAGTTAATAATAAGCCTCCTTGTTCTTTTTTCCTTTTTTTCTTTATTTGTATATTCTTAACTTTATTTCATAAAGTAACAAAGCGAAATGACTAAACTCTAACCAACCTAGTGGAATATATATTAAAAGAATAAATAGAGTCTGGAGGAAAAAGGATTTTGACAATATCTGTGAATTCAGTCCTGGTTTTTTTATTTCTCGCAATTGCTTGTAACAAGACTTGGACTCCTCATATGTACAGAGAAATAGCATATGTAAATGATGTGTCTGTTTAGCCATCTGCTGAACGGTTCATTTATGTCGTAACCAAATGGCAAATTCGCAGTGTTAGAAAATCTTAGGTCAAAGGGAAAAAATGGAGAAAAGTAAATTTTGTGTCAAAGAACTAAACACAGAAAATCCCTGGCTTGGAAGTTGCCTTCTGAGGCCTTCAGCAGAAATGTGGGGTTCTTCATCTCACTTGCAATTTGTAGCCAGTATATTGATGGATATTTTCTCTCTGCTTGGTCTCTGTAAAAGACTAATTCACATTGACTCCACATTTGAAAAATGAACGCCAAATAAATTGTAAAATTGTTTTCATGATACAGGGGCTGCTTTTTAATTTCAATGCTAAAATTATCACCTCCAAGATTAAACATTTTAGGTTCTGGTAACCAAGGCAGATTTTATCAGGGTAATTTAAACAAAACAGTAGCCAATAGCAAATATGAGAAAAAGGAAATAAAAAGACTATAATAAGTGTTCTAGGCTCATGTTTCTTGACACCCACCATATTGGGAAACTGAAACAAATACTGTCTGTGAACTCCTACATGTATTTCAAGAATGGAGTGTTCATATACCAGAAGGATGGATATATGCCTCAGCCATACCGTCTGACAATTTTTATTGGCAGATTTTATTGGATAGATTTGTAAAATTTTCTAAAATAATAATGTTATTTGGCCTTTACCTATTATAAAAATTGCAAACATTTTATTCTAAGTTAGGAGTCAGCAAACTAGACCACTCTTTTGTAAACAAAGTTTTCTTAGTACACAGTCCTACCTAGTGTTTATGGCTATTTTCAAGTGATAACAATGGCGATTAGTGGCTGTAGAGACTATATGGTTTGGAAATTCCAAAATATTAACAGCATTATCTGACCCTTTACAGAAAAATGCTTGCTTACTCTTAATAGGGTATGATATTTGGTTTTCAGTTTAGTTTGTAGTCTTTGGGCATGGATAAATTTTTAATTAGGTTTTATGTAGTTATATAAATCATGTTTTTTTCCTTTATGGCTTCTGAGTTTTCTCTTTTGATTTTCAAGGTCTACCCAATTATGATTCTACCCATTCCTCTTAACTTGATTCTGCTACACTTTATTCATATGTAGGCATAAATATGCATGGGTATGGCTTTTATGTGAAAGGTGTTTGCCATATTGGAATTTTATATATATATATATATATATATATATACACACATACACATATATATGTCATCAGACATATTGATGTATACTCATATTTCATAAAATGCACACAGATAAAATCATCACTGTATATTACAATGTTACCAGTCCTGGTCAATAGTGTAAAGAAAGAAAAAATGAACTAGTTGAGTAAAGATCAAAAAGGAAGAGTTAAAACTTCCATTAGTTGCAGAAGATGTGATTATCTGCAAGAAAAAAAAAGATATGACTTAGATTTAGTAAGAGAGCTTAGCAAGAATACTAGATAAGATTTGTAAGATTAACTTAACCAACTCATTAGCATTTTTCTGCTCCACAATAATGGTGTTCTAAGTATAATACAAATGACATTCATTGCACTGTCAGTTTAAAGGCATTAGAACATTGAGAATTAATTGATCTAAAGAACATACAAGGTCAAATAGATGAAACAATTAAACTGGCAAAGATGAACATTTATATCTTAAAAATCATCACTAATGCATTCAATTCTCCTACAAGTGTACTCTACACTATTAAAGCAATATCAGTGAAGATTCCCGTTGATTATTTCAAGAAATTCTACAGAAATTTTCTGAAATGTATATGGACCACAAAAAAGTGCGTAGTAGGTGAGCCACTCCTGATAAATAAGAATGAATAGGGCTGAATGCCTTACCAGAGAAATATTTTACAAAGCCACGTATATTGTTAAAGCAACTTGTTAGTGGTGCAAAGATATAAATAGACTAGTAGACTAGCACAGAAATCTATAGGATTATGGCTTTATGGGAATGTCATATACAATTCAGTTGGTGTCATGGATCAATGCCAAAAGACTGACCATTTAGTATATGACATCAAGAAAACTAACTCTAGATATGTAATAAATAATAGTGTTTCTTTCTTTGTTTCCATATACAAAGTTAGATTCTAGAAAGATAAATCAACATGCAAAATAATAAAGAATAGAAGAAAATGTAGAAAGCACGTATGTCGTTTAGGGTTGTGAAAACATTTCTGTTTTTTGAAAATGCAGAGGACAAGGAAATTGATAAATATTTTTATTATAGAAATATAAAATATGTGGGTAAAAATAAAAGAATTGATTAATTGAAGAAATATGTTTGCAATGTCGAAACATCACAACAAAGAAAAAATATTTAGAGAATTAAAAATTTCTGCAAGTCTATAAGGAATCCAATGGCCAGAACAATAATGTGGAAAAAAATAAATGGAAAATAATAGAAGAAATCCAAAGTGCACACTGCAACATAATCATAATGCTCTTATTTCCTGGGGCTTGCAATTAGATGGCTCAACCTGTACACCAAATTGCTTCCTTTACATGCCTGCACAAAATAGGTAATAATCACTACTTCAGGCAAAATATTCAGAGAAAAGTCTGAGATAGTTTCAGGTAATTGGAGAAAATTGCTTCACTACTTTTCACTTAAAACTTTCTAGTTATCAGAGAAATATAAGGATGAGGACAAATTCCGAGAATGCGCTTTAGTGATAAAAAGCTATCAAACTAATACCATGTGAAATGTGTTTGTTGCAGGTTTATTCGGCCAGGAGTGTTGGCAAGACTCCTGTCTCAGGAGCCGAGCTCCCCAAGTGAGCAATTCCCGTCCCTTTTAAGGGCTCACAACTCTAAAGGGGTGCACGTGAGAGGGTCGTGATTGATTGAGCAAGCAGGGGGTACGTGACTGGGGGCTGCATGCACCGGTAATTAGATCGGAACAGAACAGGACAGGGATTTTCACAGTGCTTTTCTATACAACGTCTGTAATCTGTAGATAACATAACCGATTAGGTCAGGGGTCGATCTTTAACTACCAGGCCCAGGGTGTGGCACCAGGCTGTCTACTTGTGGATTTCATTTCTGCCTTTTCGTTTTTACTTCTTCTTTCTTTGGAGGCAGAAATTGGGCATAAGACGATATGAGGGGTGGTCTCCTCCCTTAGTAACACCAATCTTATTGCTACATTTTCTAATTTTAGAAAATATAGTATTGTCAGGTGGGACGCAGTGGCTCACGCCTGTAATCCCAGCAATTTGGGAGGCCTGAGGAGGGTGGATCACCTGAGATCAGGAGTTTGAGACCAACCTGGCCAACATGGTGAAACCCTGTCTCTACTAAAGATACAAAAATTAGCCGGGCGTGGTGGCAGATGCCTGTAATCCCAGCTCCTCGGGAGGCTGAGGCAGGAGAATCAATTGAACCCAGGAGGTGGAGGTTGCAGTGAGCCAAGATCGCGCCACTGTACTCCAGCATGGGCAACAAGAGTGAAACTTCATCTAAAAATAAATAAATAAATAAAAACGAAAATATTGTTATTAAAATGGTTTGAATGATAACAAGGAATAGTAATATTTTTGTTTAAATGAGTTAATACATTTATATTTTTCAGTTGTAATATCTAATATGATAAATATGAAGTAATATACCCCAACATAAGGAAATATTTGGGGGTGGTCATCAATAATTTTTAAGTGAGTTAAAGTGTTGAAAAGTTCATCACCATTGATTATCTATCTATCTACCTGTCATCTATCCTTGTATCATCTGTCTACCTATAACTATGTCTATCTATTATCTATCCTTGTATGATCCATCTAATATCTATGTATATATCTACCTACCTATCCATCTATCACTCTGTCTACACACATACCTATAAGGATGTGTACATAAATTTGGTGTTAGCACCTGCATTAAAATTTATATGTTGATATTTATCTTTTTTTTTTGAGACAGAGTCTCACTCTGTCTCCCAGGCTGGAGTGCAATGGCGTGATCTTGGCTCACTGCAACTTCCACCTCCTGGGTTCAAGCGATTCTCCTGCCTCAGCCTCCTGAGTAGCTGGGATTACAGGTGCCCACCACCAAGCCCCGCTAATTTTTGTATTTTTATTAGAGATGGGGTTTTACCATGTTGGCCAGGCTGGTCTCAAACTCCTGACCTCAGGTGATCCGCCCACCTCGGCCTCCCAAAGTGCTGGGATTACAGCATGAGCCACAGCTCCTGGCCTGGTATTTATCTTCAATGCACCAATGGGGTATATGTAATATATTGGAATAGAATATGAGCTCTGGATTTCTAGCTCTGTATTGTTACCCTAGGTTTGTCCCTAAGGTGTGATTTTGGATGACTTATTTAATCTCTCTGGGCCAGTCTCCTCTTGTAAAAGTGCAGTAATCCTGTGTCATAATGTTGTAAGCATTAAATGATTCAACGTAGTTAAAACAACCAGAATAAGGCATGTAAATATTAGCTAGCCTTAATTTTAATAAAATGCTGGTAAGGAAAATCCTAGATCTGTTTTAATAACAAAAAATAAAATCCCACTAGCACACAGAATTAAAAAGTAGCAGACCAAAAAATTACAGGGCAAGGAGGTACATTACAAAGCAATTTAAATCTTACTGTAACATTTTGGCATAATGTTACACACAGAATTTCTATATTTGTCTATATCCCTCCCACACTAGCCATTGCCACATAATCTAGTGGTAATTTAATATTTCATAGCTTCAACTGTATAGGCAGGACTCAATTCAGTGAATGGAAAATTAAAAAAAAAAACAGAGAGACAAAGAAGAAGGAAGGAAGAGAGAAAGAAAGGAAATAAAGGAAGGACAGATGGAAGGAAGGGAAGAAAGGAAGGAAGGAAAGAAGAGAGTAAGGAAGAAGAAAGAGAGAAAGGGAGGGAGGGAAGGAAGGAAAAGAAAGCAGGGAGGGAGGAAAGAAAGAAGAAAGGAAGGAAACAAAAGGAAGAGGGGAGGGAGGGAGAGAGGGAGGAAGGAAGGAAGGGAGGGAAGGAAAGAAAGGAAAAAAGAGAGGGAGGAAAAAAGAAAGAAGAAGGAAGGAAGGAAGGACTAAAGGAAGGGGGGAGACAGGAAAGAAGGAAGAAGAAAAGAAGGAAGGAAATAACAAAAGAAGAAGTGAAGTGAAGAAGGAAGAAGGAAGGAAGGAAGGAAAGAATAAAAGAAGGAAGGGAAAGAGGGAGGGAGGAAGGGAAAAGAGAAAGAAGAAATGGAAGAAGGAAGGAAGGAGGGACGGATGAAAGGAAAGAAGGAAGGAAAGAAGATTGAAGAGGAAAAGAAAGGAGGGAGAGGAGAAGAAAAATAAATTTACATTGGCTCCCTGAGGCACATCAAAGAGGATGGGTTATGGCAATCCTTGATGAACAGAAGGCCCACGAAACACGAACAGGTATTCTTTTTGGTATCCAGTGAGAGTCATAGCATCGACTTGGAGTTAAAGGTTGGTATTTTGAACCTTAACTCTACCTGGATTGGTAGCCACGGACTCTGTAACTGTCACACCAGGTACTGCTTTAGCATCTGGGTGAGCACCAATACATCCATGCCTGTCTGTTCCTATCTCTTGGGCTTGGCCATGAAAGAGAGAGATCAGACACTCAGCTCAGCTGAAATTTGCTTTGTGTTTGCTCATTAGGAGAATACATGGGGCAGTTGGCACCTAGTCCTAAGAAAAACTCAAGGCTGCTTGGTCAGGTTTAGACTGTTAGAACTGGCAGCATCCTCACCACTGCTAGTTAACCTTATTTAGGGGAGAAAAGGCTATGAAACAATTCATGCTCCGAAGTATCATCATTTTGCCTCTTTAACATGTACAGACACTAACCATACGCTTGTTGAATCTGTATTTCAGGACATTCATCATGATCTTTTCCAAAGAGAGAGAAATAGATAGGTGGAAATATTTTCTGCAACAATGATACGCTTGTTTTTTTAAAAATCCTTTCTTATTCAAAATAAATTCATATTATTTTATTTCATTAATCATTTAAAGGAAAACTAAGATCGGGAAAAAGACTGTACCGATTTCTAGAAACTCTTTTTTACAAAGGTGTTACTAGCAATATCAAAGGTGTGAAGGTAAATGACGGGATGATATATTCTCAGGTAATTAACACTATGCAAGCTAATTGGATTCTGGGATGGTATGCAGCTACTCCAAGTTCTGAAATGGACAAAGAAAGAAAGATATGGTTTACGTGACCAAAAGATTTTTAAGACAATATCAATAGCTAATGTTTCTTTAAGCAGGCAATAATCATTCACAGTGCTATACACCTACACAAAATTCTATAAGGAGTTATTGTCCTATTATCTCAGCAACTGGTACTATTTAAGTAAAGTTGCATGTGTGTACTGTGAGTCAAACAGAACATATTCACTGTGCAATGCAAAAAGTTAAATTCCTGAAGAAATGTTATTTAAACATTAAACATTAAAAATGTTATTTAAATGTTACTCTTAGTTTTGGTGGGACCTCCCATATCATGTTTCTTGTAGTTCACATTCATCACTTGAAAGAAAAGGAGCTTAAAATATGAAATGCAGAATATACACACACAAGCACATTACAAATTCGTAAATGTAATTATATACACATTTATTATATATACATAATATAGTATATATTTATTATATTATACATTGTATTCTATATGGAAAGAGAGGGATCAGACACTCAGCTCAGCTGAATCTTGCTTTGTGTTTGGTCATTAGGAGTATACATGGGGCAGTTGGCACCTAACTTAAATAGTACCAATTGCTGAGATAATAGAACAATAACTCTTTATAGCTTTTTGTGTAGGTGTACAGAACTGTGAATGATTATTGCCTGTGTGAAGAAACATTAGCTATTGATATTGTCTTAAAAATCTTTTGGTCATGTAAAACATATCTTTATTATATATTCTATATAGAATATTATGTATATGTGTTGTATTGTTTTCTTGCTACCAAATTTCAAAATTTAAGCAATGACTTGCAAGTGATACAATATGTTAATTTTACAAAAGTAACTGCTTTGTGAAAATGTTGATTTTTAAAATTTTATTTATATAATAAACCTGTAATATTTTTCTCTGATATTTACCTTTAAGATAAATTTTAAAAGTTAACCTGTTTTTCTAAAATAAAATTACAAAAGAAATAATATCAATTCAAGAAGACTGTATCAGGCTAAATAATTTCTCAGTGTTGGCATGGAAATAGAGAAATGTGATTAATTATTAATCCTTGAAGCAGAGTGGATACCTCCTACCTCCTTGCTAATAAAACATGTTTTTCTTAATATTAGGACCATTTTCTCACACTGGATGAGATGGATTTGCATGGATTAGCTCTGTCTTCAGATGGAGGACAACTTATTTGCAGGGAAAGATAACAGCATCATTTTCTGTACACTATGTGGTTGAGGGACTGTCTCTCATCAAGTGTTTAAATGTTCTCTTGATTATTCCCAACTACTTGATAACAATGTCTTCACGCCTGGTGGCATCAGGATTAGTTAGAATTCTTTTGAAAGTAAGTGATAGACAAAAAAGTGAATGCAATGTGAAAGGAAAATATCTTGGGCCCTTAAAATGACTAAGCTAAAGGGAAAAGTCTAGCTGGGAACTGCTTAGGGCGAACCTGCCTCCCATTCTATTCAAAGTCACCCCTCTACTCACTGAGATAAATGCATATGTGATTGCCTCCTTTGGAGAGGCTAATCAGAAACACAAAAGAATGCAAATATTTGTCTCTTATCTACCTATGACCAGGAAGCCCCCTCCAACTTCAAGTTGTCTCACCTTTGGCGGGTTAGCCCGCCTTTCCAGAGCGAATCTTGTTGATTGATGTCTCATGTATCTCTAAAATGTGTACAATCAAAGTGTGCTCTGACCACCTTGGGCACATGTCATTAGGACCACCTGAGACTATATCATGAGCACGAGTCCTCATCCTTGGCAAAATAAACTTTCTAAATTAACTGAGACTTGTCTCAGATTTTCAGGGTTCACAACAACATGGAGAGAGAGATACTCACAGAGAGAGAGAGAGTGAGAGGGAGTCAGTCATGGAATGGGGGCTGTGGATATTTACTGTCATGTAAATCCACGATAGATAGTACTTCAGTTTCCCGGGACCCTTATTCATTTGCTTGAAATAAATATTTATAAGATTGAAAACAAATAAAAGTATCTGAATAGTATGAGGGATAAATAACAGAGAATAGTAACAATTTAAAGTATTAGTAAACTTGATCATCTGAACGTCACTAAATAAGCTTCCGTTCAATTTATGTTTATATAAGCTATTTCTGTATTTTTTCAAAAAAATCTTACTTGGTGTATATTTAGATGGTAAAGGTTTCAATTTTGTGACTAAAATTTGCATTACTTTATCATGCTGAGCTCTTGTTGCCATATTCTGGGATGTCAAAACCGCAGGTAAAATTTCATCAGGTTAACAACTGAGATAATTTGGAAATCAAAAAGTTTTAAATTCTGGCAACACTTGACTAAATTAGAAGGCATTCAGGAAAAAATAAAAAGAAAAACTAGTAAAGATTAAAATGATGCAAATAAAATTTGCCACCCTGGTGCAGTTGAATGAGAACATTAGTGTTTCCATGGAAACACATTATACTCTTTTAAATAAGAAATAAACATTTTCATTATGCAAATGCTTATATTTATCATCCCCTTTTAGCTGCTACATTGTCTTTTCACTACCAGATTTCAAAATTTAAGCAATGAATTGCCGGTCATCCAGTGTGTTTATTTTACCAAAGCAACCGTTTCTCTTTTTTTCCTTATGTTTATTTTTTCTTTTTTTAAGACACTAAGGAAAGTGCTTCCTTAATCATAGGATTCTGATACTGGGTGTTTACCTTGTTTACTCTAACGTATTTGTGATTAAAAATGATCCATGACATTGGCATCAACTGAACACTTTTTATACAAGGTGTGGTGGAGCATTTTAATTATTTGTGCAGGAACAGGCCATTTTCACTTCTTTTGTCGTTCTTCAGTTACTTCAGGCCATCTGGATGTATACCTGCAGGTCACAGGGGATATGATGGCTTAGCTTAGGCTCAGAGGCCTGACAGTGATTTACTCTGGAATGTTCTTTTCCTGCTTAAATAAATAAAATAATAAAAGGAGAGACCAAAAAACATCACGGAGACTAACAAAACAAGGCAATCATTTCCTGTGATCAGAAGAGCCACGGTACAGTTGACCCTTGAACAACACAGGTCTGAACTGTGTGGGTCCACTTTAAGCATGGCTTTTCATTCTCCTCTGCCACCGTTGAGACAGCAAGACCAACTCCTCTTCCTTCTCCTCCTCAGCCTACTCAATGTGAAGATGATGAAGATGAAAAGCTTTATGGTGATCCACTTCCACTTAATGAATAGTAAGTATATTTTCTCTTCTTTATGATTTTCTTAGTAACATTTTCTTTTCTCTAGTTCATTGTAAGAATACAGTGTATGATGCATATCACATACAAAATATGTGTTAGTTGATGTTTAAGTTATGAGTAAGGCTTCCAGTCAACAATAGGTTATTAATAAAGTTTTGGAGGTGCAAAAATTTTACATGGATTTTCTAGAACTGCCAGTTGACCCAGCAATCACACTACTGGGTAACTACCCAAAAGAAAAGTAATTGTTTTATCAAAAAAACACCTGCACTAGTATGTTCATTTCAGTCCTACTTACAATAGCAAAGATATGGAATCAACCTCAGGGTCCATTAACAGTGGGTTGCATAAAGAAAATATGGCACATATACACTATGGAATATTACACGGCCATTAAAAGGATGAAATCATGCCCTTTACAGCATCATGGATGCAGCTGTTGATCGTTATTCTAAGTGAGTTAATGCAGAAACAGAAAGTTAAATACTGCATATTCTCACTGTACATTCTCACTTACAAATAGGAGCT
Organism: Homo sapiens; assembly: GCF_000001405.40. NCBI lineage: Eukaryota > Metazoa > Chordata > Mammalia > Primates > Hominidae > Homo > Homo sapiens. Next base: position 5,240,378 of record NC_000023.11, on the reverse strand, counting down.
AAAAAAATGGGTACATGTGGACATAAAGATGGGAGCAATAGACCCTGAGGATTCCAAAAAGGGAGAGTAAGGGTGGGGGATAAGGGATGAAAAACTACCCATTGGGTACTATGTTCACTATTTGGGTGGCAGATTCAATAGAAGTCCAAACCCCAATATACAAAATATATCCATGTAGCCAATCATCATATGTATCCCCTGAATCTACAATTTAAAAATAAACCAAAAGCTATCTACAGATTTTTGTCTGTCGGCCCTCCTAACCCCTGAGTTACCAAAGGGCCAACTGTAATGCAATCATATTGGTGTGGATGAAGCCCCAATATAGCTGGATTTTGTCTAGAAGGAGGCAGAGATGATCCAAGCTGGTTATTTTTGATATCAAGAATTAGAAGTGCTTCACAGAAAGACAGAAACTTGAGTTTAGGGGTTCCCTGGTAGAGGCAAGGAAAAAAGTAGGTGCAGACTATTGCACCAGGGGCCAGGCTTTTATGGAGTTTCAGAGACATGAGACTTGAACCACACTTGTAGTCCCAGATACAAACTCTAGAATGGAATCAAGCTTCCAAAGTCTCAGAAAATGAGACTGGCACATCCACCAATCCCACCATGTTAGGAGTCTTATTCCACTCCTCATGAAGTTGCTGACGGTGTTTAATAAGGATATGCAATTATTATGGGAATATGATCTGTTTGTCTTAGGGAACATGTTTAATCCCATGCAAGAATCACGTGTCTGTGGTAGTAATATGGGGTGGCTGTGTCCCCACCCAAATCTCACCTTGAATTGTAATAATTCCCATGTGTTAAGGGTGGGGCCAGGTGGAGATAAATGAATCATGGGTGCAGTTTTCCCCATACTGTTCTTGTGGTAGTGAATAAGTCACACAAGATCTGATGGTTTTATAAATGGGAGTTCCCCTGCACATGCTCTCTTGCCTGCTGCCATGTAAGACATGCCTTTGCTCCTCATTCACCTTCCACTGTGATTGTGAGGCCTCCCCAGCCATGTGGAAGTGTAAGTCCATTAAACATCTTTCTTTACAAATTACCCAGTCTCTCTGGCATGTCTTTATAAGCAGCATAAGAACAGACTAATACATGTAGTTACTCTAAGTAAGCTAGTTGAGAGCTTTAGGTTGCTCCACTTCATAAATTTCTTTTTCATACTTAATTTTTTAAGTAAACTTTTAAATTAAAGTATAGCATAATTACAGGAAAGTGTGCACAAATCCTAAGTGTACCATGCAATGAATTTTTCACAAAGGAAAAGTGCCCAAACTTTTTCTTTGAAAACGCAAATTTATCCTATAAAACAAAATCACGACAAATCAAGAAACAGAACACTATCACCACCTGAGAAACCTTCTTAATTCCTCTTCCAGTAACTTCCCCATAGTAACCACACTTCCAATACCTACCATCATAAATGTGTTTTGTCTGTTTTGAATATTATGTGAATAAAACCCTTTAGAAGATGTCTTTTATGTCTGGCTAATTTCATTCAGCATTATGTTTTTGACATTTGTCCATGTCATTGTAAGTTGTTTGAGTCCCTTCATTCTAATATTCATTTATTGTCACTGCTTGTATTCAATTTTATGAATTCATTAAACATTTATTTATGCTGCCTTGTGGGTGGCCATTTGAGTTTTTTCTAGTTTTTGGCTAATGTGAATAATGATGCAGTGACCATTTATGTGTTTATATTTTCATAAGCATATGCGCTCACTTCTGTTGTTATTTCACTGGATTTTAATTTGTTATAATTATTTTTCTGATGATCTGTGGGGGTGATAAAACAAGCAATATTTCTTTGTAGATCCGTGGATCTCTGTAGGATCTCACAGTGAAACATTTTAGTTTGGATAATGATATTTCTAAGAATGCAGAACTTAGAAACACAGCACGATGAGGCAAAAATCTGCAAGTGGGTCATCTAGTAGTAGACATGGCCTCTGCTTACTCATGTTTGATTAATAAATGTGAGGATCATGTGAGAAGAACAGCATCTGGATTCTATGTAGCATTCTATGAAAAATCAGCACAGGTTTGAAAGATACTTTCTCCCTGATGGCTTTACCTTGGAATCCACAGAGGACTCTTTCAGCATTCCATAAACCTGGTGTCTTTGGGGTGACAGAGTGATGGTAAAAGCTGTAAATTTCAGGCATCAAGATGCTATCTTATTTCACTATAACATAATTTCCTTCACCAGAAAAAAAAAATATGTTGGACAATAGAATGGAGAATAGGCACAGATGAAATTGAAATCACAGGAATGATAGCAGAGAGAGGCAAATAGAAGTTTTGAATAAATATCTGCCGCAGAGATGGAAAAATGCTCGTTTCATCTCTGACAGAATGGATCTCATAAACTATACTTTCCATCAGGTGGACACCTGGTCCCCCTGTGTCTGTGATATGGTTGGCTGTGTCTCCACCCAAATCTCATCTTGAATTGTAACTCCCATAATTCCCACGTGTTGTGGGAGGAACCTGGTGGGAGGTAATTGAATCATGGGGGCAATTTCCCCCTTACTGTTCTCCTGGTAGTGAACAAGTCTCGCGAGATCTGATGGTTTTATAAATGGTTTCCCCTTTCACTTGGCTCTCATTCTCTCTGGTCTGCCGCCATGTAAGATGTGCCTTTTGCCTTCTGCCATGATTGTGAGGCCTCCCCAGCCACATGGAACTGTGAGTCCATTAAACCTCTTTTTCTTGGTAAATTACTCAATCTCAGGTACGTCTTTATCAGCAGCAAGAAAACGAACTATTACAGTCTGCTCCTAAATTAGGGGCTCACACTGGGTCACCATTGCAGATCCAGCAGAGAAAGCTGTTCTTAGTTCTGCCAAGGGAAAGTCTGTATTATTTACCATGCATATAACCCACAATTCTAAAACCATGGCTTTATTTTTCCTAAGCCCTTTGGGCAAGCATGAGGTGACTGTTTAAAGAGATGACCACAGAGGGAGGTTGTCAAATTAATCTGATTTTAAGAGACTCTTCCACTATTGGTTTTTGGTAGCATTCCCCTGAGTCACAAATACAACTATCCTCTGAACTCAATTAGGAAGCACCAACCTCAAAACTCTTCTCCAAAGCTCCTTACAAGTTCATTTCTGAAAAATAAAATAGAAAGGGAAAAATCTTCACCCCATGCAATGCATGCATGCAGATTCTTAGTTATTCCCAAATCCAGATATTTCATAGAGGAAGTGTGATTTATCACCACAGGCAAAGGTCAATGACTTCATAACCCAAGAAAGTGAATAGGAAATGCATGGCAGAAAAAGGTAGAAAGCAGCTACTATGTCTGTATAAAGCATTATGTGAATCAGAAGTGCAGAAGGCATTTAAATCCTCTTACTTGCTTATTACCAGTGTGTATTTGAATACCTTTACCCTCTTCAGATGATTTATTTAAGACTTGTTCAGTGACTACCATGGCCATTTATGTTGCAAAACACTTCGGTGGAGTGACGTAAGAAAATATTTTCTGAGTGAACTAGGAGGAAGTTTACCCAAATTAGAGCAGAAATGTTTTGGATGTTTTGGATGTACTAAGTTATAAGCGCAAACGATGCCCTAAAGTAGGAAGGAGCTTAGGGTGTAATTTGAGAAAATCTATATAAATACCTATTTTTAATAGTTTGAAATGAGGACATAACGAGTAGTACTGTTCAAAAAAGGGGTATGTGAGAACACAGGTAGGTGGACTTTAATTTTTTTAAGAGAGAGAGATGTATTTTAGAGACACATATCAAGATGTCTAGTTTAGGGAGATTTGTTCTTGCAGGACTTTCCTCACCAAAATTTCAACATTGAAAGTTTTTCATCAATGACAAATTACCGTGCTAACTCACACTGGAGCTGGCCAGCCATCGAAAGTGAGTTGATGCATTGCAGATACCAATGACTGCAGGGTTAGAGAGAGCTGGCTTCAAGTGCTGAGAGAAGATCGGGATGTAGCACCACTGCCAAACACCGGCCATTTTATGGGAAACGAAGTCACTCCTGCAGTTGAATTGGGAGTCTATGTGATCTTGTCAAATAAGAAATTGTGGCCCTCTACAGGAGGCATGTGTAACTGCTTTGGAAATGCAACCTGTGGGTGGTTGTATGTGTTTCTTTGCATGCCTGTGACACACGCTCCTCTCTGCCGCTGGAACTTCAGCAGAACAAGTACACCGGCTTTAATGGGAGAAGGCTTGGGCATGACAATGTGAAACGATTCAGTGTGTTGATGCTCATAGAAATGGTACAAAGTGGAAATCATGAAACCCAGCAGATCAGACATTTGTTCAACATTTGCTTTTCCTTTTGCCTCTGATTATGGCTCTCTTCAAGTGTCTTTAATATCGACACTAAAGAGTGCCAATGAAATGAAGCAAGGAAATCTGCCTTTAGCGCCGATGTAGCTGAGAGCTAAAAAAAAAAAAGACAGACAGAGAGAGAGAGAGAAAGAGAAAATACTCAGAAATGGTCAGCGTTGGGGAAAGAGTCACTATTCTTAGAGAATAGGACAAAAAGAAAACTAGATCAAGTTTCATAGGCTAGTCAAAAGATGTTGCATATCCAGGCCAGGTGCAGTGACTCACGCCTGCAATCCCAGCACTTTGGGAGGCTGAGGCGGGTGGATCACCTGAGGTCGGGAGTTCAAGACCAGCCTGGCCAACATGGTAAAATCCCATCTCTACTAAAAATACAAAAATTAGCCAGGTGTGGTGGTGCAAGCCTGTAATCCCAGCTACTTGGGAGGCTGAGGCAGGAGAATTGCTTGAGCCCAGGAGGTGGAGGTTGGAGTGAGCTGAGATTGTGCCACTGCACTCCAGCCTGGACGACAGAGCAAGACTCTGGAAAAAAAAAATGCATATTCAGACAGTAATTCATCTCTGTCAAAACAAAAAATGATACATTTGGAAAGTGCTTGAGCCAGTGATATTTAGCAGGTCACCGGGAGAACCATAACCCTATTGGTCTAATGGATGGAAATTATGGCAGGTATTCTTCCCAGTATTCAAAGGAATAGAGAACCTTGAGGAGACATATAAAGTGACATTTAAAAAAAATCCACAGTGGCATTTTAATCTTGGGAAACTGAGAGAGGGGATAAAATGACAGACAGAGAGATAGAGAGACACACAGAGAGACAAGAAAGGAAGGAAGGAAGGAAGGAAGGAAGGAAGGAAGGAAGGAAGGGAGAAATAAAGGAAAGAGAGAAAGGAGGAAAGAAGTAAGGAAAGGAAGACGGAAGGGAGGGAGGGAAGGGAGGGAGGGAGAAAAGGAGGAAGGAAGGGAAGAAGGAGGAAGACAAGGAGAAAGGAAGGGAGGGACACAGAGGAAGAAAGGGAGGAAGGAAGGAAGGAGGAAGAGAGGGAAGAAGAAAAGAAGGGAGCGAGGGAAGGAGGAAGAAAGGAAAGAAAGACGGAGAGAGGGAGAGAGGAAGAGAGGAAGAAGGAAGGAAAAAAGGGAGGAAGAGAGGAAGGAAGGGAGGAAGGAAAGGAGGGAGAGAGGGAGGAAGAGGGGAGGAAGGAAGGAAAGAACAAAGAAAGGAAGGAAGGAGGGAAGGAAGGAAGAAGACAAAAAAAATAAGAGATGTTTATATCAATGAAGTCATGGAGTATTACCAGAGATCCAAAGGCACCAGAATCTGGAAGAATGAACAGACATAGCATATTCTTCTGAAAATAAGCTAGAAAATGCATGAGCTCACCACTCCATTGCTGTATAGGACCTGCAAGGCCTATAGAAACACTCTACATTTTATAGAACAGATAAATATTTGAAAATTCAGCAATCAAGCAAAAGTATAAATGCAAATTACTGCATTTCCCTAACTATATTCCAGATACTTTTTTGTATGTAAATGAATACAAAATAGAAAAATAGAGGAAAATTTGTTTCTTCTTATGAGGGTGTCTTCTTGGGAACTGCTTTAATGGAAATTAATTTCATTTATAAGAAGCAAAAATACCCAGATGAAAAGGGATGAGGGGTGACAGAACAAGTTTGGAAGATACAAGTTTTGAAGATAAAATGATAACATAATCATTGACTTGGGTGGTTAAATCCTAACTGCATTAAGAAGGATGCATACCCAAGGAAGAAACATACATAAGTGAATTTTCACCTATTAATTGGTCACTAAATTAAAAAGCATTCTGTGGGCAGAAACATTTCTCACAGCCCAGCTCAATGGTAGTTGAATAGATTTCATCCTCAGCTAACTGAAAACTTGTGGTTCTCGGATAGCTGCAGAATATGCACCTGTACAAACACCAAAATCCCCACTTGGAGAACCAAAATAGAGAGAATTTCATTTTGGCTATCTGCGGAGGGACTTTACAAAACAGTGCATGGGGGTTTTGGTTTAATGATGACTAGACACATCTACTTGACAGAATCATCTGGACATTTTTTTAGTATCTTCCTCAAATCCTTGCCCACCGAAAAATCTTCTTGTACAACTCCTTATGTAATAAGATAGCAAAGCATGGATCTTAAGCTTACTGGGTATTTAGACAGATCTCTGACCTATAGCAAACGTTATCTAAAAGAATGCTATTTTTCAAAGTACCTTAGATTACATATAATGTAAAATTTTTCAACTGCTTTGAACAATTCAGGGAGAGTTGAATGGGGTGTGAAAGAAAACCGGAATGTTTTCACTCAATTATGAAGAGAATTAAAATAATTATAGATATACAGAGAGTATAAATGATATCTTTCCCAACAATATAAAAATACTAACAGAGGGAGGGGATTAAAGGGAGCTGTGAAAATAGTGAATGTGTTAGTGGCTACATAGTTATAGCAACAAGTTAAAAAGTATGGTCTCCATAATCAAGAAATTGAGGTATACGTACACGGTTTAAAGATTAGCAATATAATAATAATAATGTTATAGTTGATATTTTGAATCTTTAAAATCTGCTATGTAATCCACTTAGCCCTTACAAGAATTATTTATTTAAATCCTTTTAACAACCTTATAAAATTGCAACTAAAACGCCAGGCGTGGTGGCTCATGCCTGTAATTCAGCACTTTGGGAGGCTGAAGCGGGCAGATCACTTGAGGTCAGGGATTCAAGACCAGCCTGGCCAACATGGTGAAACCCTGTCTCTACTAAAAATACAAAATTAGCTGGGCATGGTGGCCCACGCCTGTAATCCCAGCTACTCGGGATTACAGTATTATATATTACTATAAAATCAACCATGAGCCTGAGGGCAAAGTAACCTGAGAGCAAGGTCAATGTCTATTAACTCATTTCTGCCTGAGGTTGCAATTTTTTGAATTTTTGCAATCAGACCTTGGCGATGACCTTGAGCAGTAAGATATACACAACTCCCACATGCTTAGTGTTCTAATAATGGAACACTAGGCATACATGGATTTTAAGAAAGAAGCTGTTAAATAAACCATGGTGTCTTCACTCAAGGAACCACCAAGCAGCATTATTTAAAATGCTACCGTTTAATTTTTACTATTCTAAATATGATATGGAATGTTGGTGTATTGTGTGTATGAATATAATTATTAGATAAACAAAAGTGGTACACTACCATATATATTTCAACTTACAGAGTAAATATCTGTGATGACACACAAAGGATGGAAACACTAAAAATAAAATAAAAAAAATAACTTTAAAGAGTAAAAACCCACAACACATTTATCTAGAAGTATCTGAGGTGCAGTAATGATTTTACAGTTCTTAAATTATTTAGTACTGCTGAGTTTTCTTAGACACTTTTTATATAGTTCTTGATTTACTAAATAAATCCTCCTTGGAAAACAGTGTTATAGAAGAGTTTATTTTTTTTTTAAAGTCTAGGTATAAATTTTATTTGGGGGATTGCTAAAACATTTGAAAACAAATCTAATAATAAGATAGAAATAAGGTTTATTGTATATAAAATCATGTTATGCTATGCTATATATCAATGTATTAAGTGCATTGTAATCAATTTTGCTCTTCAGATATGTTTTTTCTGCTTACACCAAAATATCTATTTTATTAGAAAACACGAGACTCAGTTATCCCCAATTCCATGATGTTGGACACCACTCTAAATATCCGAAAACTGGATCAATGCTTCTTGTACATAGGGAATCATGACACAATTTATTTAGACCAGGGGCCACTGATCTATTTATGAAATAAATGGACTGAAATTTAATATAGCAATACAAATGGACATCCCACATGCATTATTATTAAACAAGTAATTGAAATAACATAAACCACGAGGTGAAAAGTATACAAAAATTAGCACATTTTAACACACAATGTATTGCAGATGAAACAAAATGAGAAATATCTAGAGTTAGGCTAATATTCCATTCAACATGTTTATGTCTCCAATTCACTGAATTTAACATTGGCAGAGTGGATTGAAATACTCTTTATGTCCTACTTTACTCACAAATGCATTCTTGGACAATTTTACAATTTATCAATTCAATGATTATTTATTGATGATAAATACTGCTTTATTGAACAGTGCTCTAGGTGCCTCAGAAACCCCAGTAAAAAAAAGATACCAAGATCCCTGCTCCCCTCAAATAGCTGTTCTAGACATTGGAGACAGATGATGAATGCTAGCAATTATGCTAAGAAATGAATAGACCGTATATTTAAAGAGGACACACGCTAAGGAAACGGGCAGGAGGAACAAGTCATGGAAGAGTCCTGGGTAAGGAGAGAGAGTTGCAATGTAAACAACAAGGAGAAATTGGGGCAGATGTAAAGGAAATGGAGGAGCTGGCCAAGCAGAAGCTATGAGATGATTCTTCCGAGCAGAGGATGCAGACACATGGAGATTATTATTATCTTAACGGCAGTCATAATAGAAGAAGAAAGCAGTTGCTTATCAAACTGGGAGACTCCTCTCCTGTGAAGTCACTGAGCTCTTTGAACTACAACTTTATTAATATTGATAGTAGTATTAGTATCAATGTCACTTTTTTTTTCTTTTTTAAGACAGAGTCTCACTCTGTCACCCCGGCCAGAGTGCAGTGGTGCAATCTTGGCTCACTGCAACCTCCACCTCCCAGGTTCAAGCGATTCTTCTGCCTTAGCTTCCTGAGTAGCTGAGATTACAGGTGCCTGCCACCATGCCTGGCTAATTTTTGTATTTTTACTAGAGACAGAATTTCGTTCTGTTGGCCAGGCTGGTCTCAAACTCCTGACCTCAGGTGATCCACCTGCCTGGGCTTCCCAAAGGGCCGGGATTACAGGCATGAGCCACCATGCCCAGCCAATGTCACTTTTTAATAAGAAGAATGGTAAAACAAGACTAAGCAAAATATATTTCACATGTATGATGATATACAGTCATATATAGGCATATCTCAAATATACTTGCAAAATATACAGTGTATATCTGAAATATACAATAAAATATTATATGTATTTTTTTACTCTCAGATAGTTTTTCTTCCCAGTATGTTCTTTCATTACTTAGCAATTTCACAAAATTAAAAAAAAAATCCTTGTCCCGTGGTGATTTGGATTCATCCTTTTTTTTGGTTAAACCTAAATAAGATGTATATTTCTTTTTCACTTTGACATAGTAAAATATTTTAAAATGTGGAACAGGAAAACGATTATATTTTTTCTTAAAAATTTTCTTCTCTAAATGTAACATTCATGACAGAGATGATGACTATTCACTGAAATGAAATATCAAACTCTGACACTCATGTTTAATCAAAGAGTTCATTTTAAGCTTCCTAAAGAAAGCAGTCAGCTTATGTCGCTTCATATATTTAAACAGCTACAGGATACATCTCTTTTGTCAAGATGCTGTTATTAACAAACTATTTTAACATATCAAGTGATTAATGGAATATACAATTTTAAAGCTAACTCGTATTTGAGAATTAGTTTTAGTCGTATGCAGAAAAGAATCATTTCTCTTATTCAACGGACAGAACAGAAATCTCAGTGTAATAAGGTTTTGCTTTTGATAACATGGTCCCATAAGTTATTTGAACCAAACTTTTTCCTAAAAACAACTTGAACTTTGAGGAAAAAGATGAACTTTCAAAGCATTAATATCCAAGTCTAAGTGAAAGTTTAAACATGGAGAATTTTTTTAAAAAGTAAAAATAATAAAATTGTAAAACCACTTTTAATTATTTTATTAAAATAAGTGGCAATCAATTAAACAGCTTTCTTCACAAAATTAAAATTGGATGTCTGAAGCTAGTGGAATGGTGTTTTCAATGTGATGAATTCACAGGGTTGGAGATTATTATATTTTTACAAATATAGTTTTCTTTCTGAATTCAGTAAAATTATTTTGGATTATATGCCGTTTTGAAGCAACCAAGATTCTTTTATTTAGACATGAAAATACAAAAGTCTATAAATTTAAAAAAAAGAAAAAAGATCTTTCACGTTTTCAAGTGGCTATATTAAATCTAATCAAAGAAATGATACAAATATTTTTTCTAAAACATTTCTTGTTAGATTCTGTGTGTGTGTGTGTGTGTGTGTGTGTGCCTGCACGTGTGTGTGCATGTGTGTTTCTTCATATCTTATTAGGATGCTAATGAAAGTAGTAATGATTTTAGGACACTTTCCAAATGTTCATTCTAGCAAACAAAACAGCAGTTTTTTAATTTAATCATTGTCAGGTTCCGGGAAAAAAAAATGCAACTTAAAGAAGTATGCTGCTGTAAAGTAAAAGAATTTGAAGTGAAGCCGGGCGCGGTGGCTCACGCCTGTAATCACAGCACTTTGGGAGGCCGAGACGGGTGGATCACAAGGTCAGCAGATTGAGACCATCCTGGCTAACACGGTAAAACCCTGTCTCTACTAAAAATACAATAAAAAAGAAAAAAGATTAGCCGGGCGTGGTGGCGGGGGCCTGTAGTCCCAGCTACTCGGGAGGCTGAGGCAGGAGAATGGCGTGAACCTGGGAGGTGGAGCTTGCAGTGAGCCGAGATCGCGCCACTGCACTTAAGCCTGGGCGACAGGGTGAGACTCCGTCTCAAAAAAAAAAAAAAAAAAAAAAGAATTTGAAGTGGGAAACAAATTACACCCCTGCTGCATATGTACATATATGATCTGCATGGAAATTAGCCAAGTTTAAAAATGCACGTGCTTCTCTAATTCAAAATAAATTAAAATAAAAGGAGTTGGTCTGATGGTTTTCTAAATCACACATCAGCTTATCTTGAAACTCAAACGCAATAGAGCTTGCTATTGTCCTTGGGGCTGAGCAAGGAACATATGTTGATTCATTTAATACACAGGCTCAGAGAGTAGACATTTTTTATAATTTACAGATTTTTTAAGAAAGGTTATATTTTGTTTAAAAAATGTTTATTTTAGAAGTGGTTTCATTTTTCTATTTTCTAGAGAACAGCAATGACAATTAAATTGGTTGTGGATGAATTCATGAGGGTTTGGGAAAGGGAAAATTTAAGGTCCTGTGTCCATATTTCAGAGTCAATATAGGAGCCTAAATGTGATTGTGATTCATACTACAGGAGTTATAAAAGCAAGTTAACTGCCTTTTTTTTCCTGAGAAGCTCAAATTTATTTATTTTTATTCTTTATTTTTGTGGGTACATAGTAGGCAATATGGTTTGGCTGTGTCCTCACCCGAATCTCATCTCGAATTTAGCTCCCATAATTTCCACATGTCCTGGGAGAGACCTGGTGAGAGGTAATGGAATCGTGGAGGCACATCTTTCCTGTGCTGTTCTCCTGATAGTGAATAAGTCTCACAAGATCTGATGGTTTTATAAAGGGGAGTTCCCCTGCACATGCTCTCTTTCCTGCCACCATGTAAGACATGCCTTTGCTCCTCCTTCGCCTTCCACCATGATTGTGAGGACTCCCCATCCATGTGGAGCTGTGACTCCATTAAATGTCTTTTTCTTTATAAATTACCCAGTCTCGGGTATTTCTTCATAGCAGTATGAAAAAGGACTAATACAGTAGGTGTATCTATTTATGGAGTATATGAGATGTTTTAATGTACATATGCAATGTGTAAAAATCACATCGTAGAGAATGGGGTATTCATCCTCTCAAGCACTGATCTTTTGTGTTACAAGCAATCAGTTATGCTCTTTTAGTTACTTTTTAAAATATTTAGAAATGAAACAGAAAGCCTAAACATTGTTTCTTCTCTCCTGGTCTTTTAGCAATACATCTTCTCCTTGATTTTTACAAATGTTTCTCTCTCTTTTAAAAGTCCTTTCTGTTTATCTTCTTACTCAGCCTAAAATCCAAGGACCTCCATTAAAATTACTCCTTTGAGCACATGATTTTCTCTTTGCCCTTCTCCTCTCCTAGTTGCCTGAATAAACCATATATCTGGTTAAACCAGTTATTTGACCAATTTCTGACTGTACTTGAATATTTCAACATTGCCAAAAATACAGGCACACATAACATACAAAACACATAATCATGAAGAGTGATCTCACTTTATAGGCAAAAACAGGTTTATCCAATGGCTTCCCACTCTCCATAAATGCTAATATTTTTCTTTTAAATATTTGAATAAATATAAGGGGTACAAGTGCAGTTTTGCTACATGGATATATTTTAGAGTGGCACAGTCTGCACTCTAGTGTAACCATCACCAGAATAATGTACATGGTACCCACTAAGTGATTTCTCATCCATCTCTCTACTCCCACCCTCACACCCTTCTGAGCCTCCAATGTCTATTATTCCACTCTCTATGTCCATGTGTGCACATTATTTAGCTCCCTCTTATTAGTGAGAATATGTGGTATTTGAGTTTCTGTTTCTGCATTGTTTCACTTAAGATAATGACCTCCAGTTCTATGCATGTTGCTGCAAAATATATGATTTCATTCTTTTTTATAGCTGAATAGTATTCCATTTTGTATATATATAATATGCCATTTTCTCTTTCTTCCTTTCCTTTTCTTTTCTTCTTTCTTTCTTTCTTTCTCTTTTCTTTTCTTCTTTCTTTCTTTCTCTCTCTCTCTTTCCTTCCTTCCTTCCTCCTTTCTTTCTTTCTTTCTTTCTTTCTTTCTTTCTTTCTTTCTTTCTTTCTTTCGTTCGTTCGTTCTTTCTTTCTATGAAGTCTCACTCTGTCACCCAGGCTGGAGTGTATTGGTGCAATCTCAGCTCACTGCAACCTCTGCCTCCTGGGTTCAAGTGATCCTCTTGTCTCAGCCTCCTGAGTAGCTGAGATTACAGGCATCTGCCACCATGCCCAGCTAATTTTTTGTATTTTTAGTAGAGACAGGGTTTCACCATGTTGGCCAGGCTGGTCTCAAATTCCTGACCTCAAGTGAGCTGCCCACCTTGGCCTCCCAAAGTGCTGGGATTGTAGGTATGAGCCACCACACTCAACCTTTTTTTTTGAGAGGGAGCACGGTCTTGCTCTGTCACCCAGGCTGGTGTGCAGTGGCACGAGCATGGGCCACTACAGCCTACAACTCCTGGCCTCAAACAATCCCCCTGCTTCCCCCTCCCAAAGCACTAGAATTACTGGCATGAGCCATGGCATGTGGCCTATATCACATTTTCTTTCTTTCTTTCTTTTTTTTTTTCTTTGACTTCTTTCCAACTTTTATTTTAGGTTCAAGGGTTATATGTGCTGGTTTGTTCCATGGGTAAATTGTGTGGCGTGGGGGTTTGGTGTACAGACAATTTTGTCATGCAGGTAATCAGCATAAGACCCTACAGGAAGTTTTTCAATCAATCCTCACCCTCCTCCCACCCTCCACCCTCAGGTAGGTCCTGGTGTCTATTGTTCCTCTCTTTGTGTCCATGTGTACTCAGTGTTTAGCTCCCACTTATAAGTGAGAACATGCAGTATTTGGTTTTTTAATCCTGGATTAATTTGCTTAGGATAACGGCTACCAGCTTCATCCATGTTGCTGCAAAGGACGTGATCTCATTCTCATCTATGGCTGTACACTCTTCCATGGTGTGTATGTGCCACAGTTTCCTTATCCAATCCACTGTTGATGGGCATCTAGGTTGATTCCATGTCTTTGCTATTGTAAATAGTGCTGTAATGAACATACATATGCATGTATCTTTACGGTAGCGTAATGAATTTTCCTTTGGATATATATCCAATAATGGGTCTGCTGGGTTGAATGGTAGTTCTATTTAAGTTTGTTGAGAAATCTCCTGACTTCTTTCAAAAGTGGCTGAACTAGTTTACATTCCCACCAGTGGTGTATGAGCCTTCCCTTTCCTCTGCACCCTCACCAGCATCTATTATTTTTTGATTATTATTTTTTTTTTTTTTGAGATGGAGTCACGCCCTGTCGCCCAGGCTGGAGTGCAGTGGCGCGATCTCGGCTCCCTGCAAGCTCCGCCTCCCAGGTTCACGCCATTCTCCTGCCTCAGCCTCCTATGTAGCTGGGACTACAGGAGTGTGTCACCACGCCCGGCTAATTTTTTTTTTTGTATTTTTAGTAGAGATGGGGTTTCACTGTGTTAGCCAGGATGGTCTCGATCTCCTAACCTAGTGATCCGCCAGTCTTGGCCTCCCAAAGTGCTGGGATTACAGGCGTGAGCCACCGCGCCCAGCCTATTTTTTCATTTTTTAATCATAGCCATTCTGACTGGTGTGAAATGGTTTTTCACTGTGATTTTGAGTTGCATTTCCCTAATGATTAGTCATGCTGAGCATTTTTTCACATGCTTGTTGGCCATGTGTATGTTTTTCTTTTAGGAAGTGTCTGTTCATGTCCTTTGCACAGTTTTTTGTTGTTGTTGTTTGTTTGTTTGTTTGTTTTTGAGACAGAGTCTCACTCTGTCGCCCAGGCTGGAGTACAGTGGCGTGATCTCGGTTCATTACAACCTCTGTGTCCCAGGTTCAAGCAATTCTCCTGCCTCAGCCTCTTGAGTAGCAGGGACTACAGGTGTGCACAACCACGCTTGGCTAATTTTTTGTATTTTAGTAGTGATGGAGTTTCACCATGTTGCCCAGGCTGCCAGGCTGGTCTCAAACTCCTATGCTAAGGCAATCTGCCCACCTTGGCCTCCCAAAGTGCTAAAATTACAGGTGTGAGCCACTGCGCCCGGCCCTCTTTCACATTTTTAATGGAGTTGTTTGCTTTTTGCTTGCTGATTTGTTTGTTCCTTTTTTTTTTCTTAAGCCAGTCAAATAGGTTCTGGATATTGGACCTTTGTTGGATGTATAGTTTGCAAATATTTTATCTCATTCTGTAGGTTTTCTGCTTATTCTGTTGATAGTTTCTTTTGCTGTGCAGAAGCTCTTTAGTTTAATTGGGTCCCACTTGTCAATTTTTGTTTTTGTTTCCATTGCTTTTGGAGTCTTCGTCATGAATTCTTTGCTAGGGCAGAAAGTCCAGAAAGGTATTTCCTAGGTTGTTTTTTCTACAGCCTTTATTGTTTTCGGTTTTACATTTCAGTCTTTAATTCATCCTGAGTTGATTTTTGTATGTAATGAAAGATAGGGGTCCAATTTCAACCTTCTGCCTATGGCTAGGCAGTTATCCCAGCACCATTTATTGAATAGGGAATTCTTTCCCCATTGCTCGTTATTGTCAGCTTTGCTGAAGATCAGATGGTTGTAGGTGTGCGGCTTTATTTCTGGGTTCTCTAACCTGTTCCATAGGGCTATGTGTCTGTTTTGTACCAGTAGCATTCTTAGTTACTGTGGTTGTGTAGTTTAGTTTGAAGTCAGGTAATGTGATGCCTCCATCTTTGTTCTTTTTGCTTAGGATTGCTTTGACTATTCGGGCTGTTTTTTGGTTCTGTATGAATGTTAAAAGTTATTTCTTGTTCTGTGAAGAATGTCATTGATAGTTTGATAGCAATAGCATTGAATCTGTAAATTGCTTTGGGTAGTATGACCATTTTGGCAATATTGATTCTTCCAATCGACAAGCATGGAATGTTTTGTCCATTTGTTTGTGTCATCTCTGATTTCTTTGAGCAGAGTTTATTAATTCTCATTGTAGAGAGCTTTCACCTGCCTAGGTAGCTGTATTCCTAGTTATTTTATTCTTTCTGTGGCTATTGTGAATGGCACTGTGCTCTTGATTTGGCTCTCAGCTTGGATGTTGTTCATGTATAGGATGCTATTTATGTTTGTATACTGATTTTCTGTACTGAAACTTTGATGAAGTTCTTTATCCAGTCTAGGAGCCTTTGGGCAGAGTCTATCATGGTTTCTAGGTATAGAATCATATCATCGGCAGAGATCATTTGGCTTAGTATCTTCCTATTTGGATGCCTTTTATTTCTTTCTGTTGCCTGATTGCTCTGGCCAGGACTTTCATTACTATGTTGAATAAGAGTAGTGAGAGAGGATATCCTTGTTTTCTTCTGGTTTTCAAGGGGAATGTTTCCAGCTTTTGCCCATTTAGTATGATGTTGGCTATGGGTTTGTCATAGATGGCTCTTATTATTTTGAGGTATGTACCTTTGATGCCCAGTTTGTTGAGGGTTTTTTACCTGAAGGAATGTTGGATTTTATTGAAACCCTTTTCTGACTTTATTGAGATAATCATGTGGTATCTGGTTTTAGTCCTGTTTGTGTATACCACATTTGCTTTATCCATTCATCTTCTTAGGGTAACAATGTCCTTCGGAGACAAGTATTTCAGATGTCTTTCTCTCTACTTTAAATATTTTTACTAGAGGACATTCAAGCCCTCTCCCTGAAGACAATGCCTTATACTTCACTGAGAACATGAAACCCACCAGAAGAGGGGCTGATCTCTAATCCATCAACCTGAAAGAACTATCCGTATTTTGACTTTGCCTGACTCATATTTTAATAGATCAAATGTGCCTACTTTTATCAAACACTTAAATCTCTACCTGGTTATGGATTTCTTTCATGTTCTTATTTCACCATGAGTCTTTCTCTCTGTATTTTTCTCATGAGCAAACAAACACACTCTCTTGACTCCAATATGAGAACACAGAAACTTCTGCAGTTTCATTTCTCATGCTCAGTACCATCTTGTTTTTCTTTGTCTTAGAGGAAATAAAATAGTAAGAGAACTGTCTGTGTGCTAACTCAGTGTTCTACTCTCATTCTTTCCTTAACAATGTTGAATCATTCTCTGTCCTTTTTCAGCTTATACCAGTCTCATTGCACTAATTGAAATATTGCACATATGTCTCTCTGTCCTGATACATTTATTTTAAATAACATGACAACAACCTCTTTCTGGACAGGTTTGTAGAATTTCCCATTAAATCCAACTCTGCCTGCTGTCACTTCTAAGGTTGCATCTTTGTATAATTAATTTTTTATTCTGCCCATGCCTATTATTATAGTAGGCATTCCAATTCTTCTCAGATCAAACTTGATATTTGCTAGTTCCCCTGAAAACAATTCGCAAGAAAAACAACATAGTTGTTTATTCAGAACGATCCTTTGAATAAGGATCCTCTTCATTATTCAAAAACTGACCCTCTTAGAAGAGGATCACTTAACAGGGAGCTATCAATTGTTCTACTTTACATAAAGAATGAAGTCCAGGCAGCTCAGCAGGACTTGGAGAATCAATGGTAGTCAATCCATGCAGGCAGTACATCTAGGCACCTCTGTGTTTTGTTCCAAATCTACCTAGCTGCATAGTCTCCACACCCTAATCTCCATCATTTTGGGCTATGCTCAGATGGACTCTCTTGGAACAGGAAATTATGGTAACATGTAAAGTAAGCAATCATAAATATTTATTGGATGAATAGATGGCAGGAGCTTGGGAAATGAATCATGTCAATCACACGATCTCCCAGCTGTGACTCCTTTGTAATATCATCTTCAAATAGGGAATCCTGAAGTGTATTTGTGTAAGAATGAACTATGTATTAAAAATTACATGGTGATGCCTGGCATTTAATGATCAAACTGTAATAAAGAGTATTACTCTTTGAATATCCTTTATGCCTTCTCTCCCTAAGTGTTTCTATTTTGATTGTCCAGTAAAAGGCTCAGGTTTTTCAATGATCTCAGTTGCAATCAATTTATCTAACCATTAGGCTTCTTTAAATGTGCCTTTCCAAAGTTCTTATAGCTAATTTCTTAATTGTCTAATCATGATCCTCTTCATGAATAAATATGATTTTGGAGGGCATTGTTCATGTTTTCTTCATTAGAGCTATAATTATATCTCTGATAGTGTTGTATACACTAGGCATGCATTAGCTTTTGATGACAGAGTGTTTGGATAAATAAATGGGGAAGGTTTTGGGTAATAAAACATTCATGAGATTTTTAGATTAGAAAAAGCTTATTTACAAAATGGATACATTTGATTATTAAGCTGATTCCATTACTACACACAATTGGTTATTATATATATTTATCTATACATATTTAATCAATATATCTATGAATATTATATATATTCTATGTATAGATATAGATAAATAAATATAGATAGATAAATATTGTTGGGTCAATCAGTCAGGGTTTAATTAGATGAGTGGAACCATTATAAGACACACACACACACACACACACACACACACACACACGTGTCTATATATATATATACCTGTATCTATATCTATCTTCATTTATCTCTGCATCTGTATTTATCTCTCTACATTTATCTATATCTATGTGTGCCTATCTATCTCATTTATCTATCTGTTTCTCTTTTTTTGTTTTTTGTTTATTTTTGAGACAGAGTCTCACTCCGTCTTCCAGGCTGGAGTGCGGTGGCACAATCTTGGCTCACTGCAACCTTCACCTCCCAGGTTCAAGCGATTCTTGTGCCTCAGCCTCCCAAGTGGCTAGGATTACAGGCGTGCGCCACCACACCCAGCTAATTTTTGTATTTTCAGTAGAGATGGAGTTCCACCATTTTGGCCAGGCTGGTCTCAAACTCCTGACCTCAGGTGATCCACCCATCTCAGCCTCCCGAAGTGCTGGGATTACAGGTGTGAGCCACTACACCTGGCCTTATCTGTTTATCATCTATTTATCTGTCTATCCATTTATCTATCCATCTATCATCTACCTATCCATCTGTCATCTATCATCCACCATCTGTCTATCATCTATCTAGCCGTCTATCTACTATCTATCTGCCATCTATCCATCTATTATCTATCTATCATCGACCTATCAAATATCTATCTATCCATCCACCTATCATCTATCCCCATGTGTCATCTATCTATCATCATCTATCATCTATTTATCTATATCTATCATCTGTCTATTTATCCATCTATCTATCATCTATCTATAACTTATCTATCATCAGTCTATCATTTATCAATCATCAGTCTACCTATCATCTATCTATCATCTATCTATCTATATCTATCTATCACCTGTCTATCTACCATATATCTATCCATCTATCTATCATCTATCTATCATCGGTTTAGCTATCATCTGTCTGTCTACGTATCTATCTCTATTATTTATCTATCAACTATCTATCATCTATCCATCTATCATCTATCTATTATCTGTCTATTTAGCTATCATCTGTCTATCTACCTATCTATCTATCTATCTATCTATACCTTATCACATCACAAGGCAAAGTGGAACTCATGGGCACTCGCCAAGCTACAATCCACAGATGACCTCTCTCTCTCTCTCTCTTTCTTCTTTGTTTATTCTCTCTGCAAAAAGTAGAAATAATAGGTGTCCAGAAACATAAACTTGAGCAATCACCTACCCAGATCTTTTGTTTCTTGCATTTTTTTTCCTTTTCATGAAATACATTCTTATCTACATGAGAGCCTCCAAGTTCTCAAGCCAAAGGATGACTGATGTCCCAGGCATCTCAGACATCTGTGTGGCTAATTTAGATCAGGGAAATTTCTACTGCCCTTAAAATCCCAGCACCTCTGTGGAAATGGCCTTCCTCTGTGTATGGTAGACTATGGTGAAAGATAACTTTGAAGAATAAAGAAACAAATAGAAGTGAGTTGAAGAGAACAAAATATTTGATATTTACTATTTTAGATGGCATTTTAGTATGTGGCTTTAAAATTCACATTCTCTGTAAAACCCAGAGGAAACAGTGAATATTTTTCTTTTATTCCCCTTTTCCATTTCATTTTTCACATTTCATTCTGCTCAAATTCACCCTTGACTTCATTTCTTTCTTGTTTTTGTTCCCTTTATTCTACCTCAATTTGTTTATTTTCTGAGCTAGGATGAAACAACATGAATCTTGAGATAACAGAAAGTACTGAATAAACTACTAATCAAATGATAATTTCTCTTTTCTTGAGTTTAACATGAATACCTAATAGATACAAAAAAGTGAAGAAAAGCTATTGCTGTTGTAATCCACTAACTGCAGAACTTGAAGTTTGGGAGAAGTTCCTGCATTCAGATTGGAAAAGCTCTTCCTTTCTGATGTTTCTGTGTCCTAAGTCTGGATGACTACATCTCTTGCTCATTTTTACTTAAGGCTCAACATAAATAATCAATAAAATTACATCCAGTTGGCTATAGTTGGTGAAATTCACACACTTTGATGAATGATTAAAACAGTCATATAAAAAAGTAGTGAACAGGCCAGTTATTTTCACTAGCACATAGTTTGATTTTGGGACAGTATGCAAATGCTCTGTTTACAAGTATAGAAAATCTGGATAAACGTGAAGAGCTGAACAAAATCATAAAACTGTGCTGCATTAAATACAGAAATATCCCTAGGTTAAGTTCATTCTACATGCTAAAAATGTAATGTTTGGAACTAATTGCTTGTCAGTGGTTACAGTAATCTGATTACCTTTCTTAATAATAAACTAAAAATTGTTGATCTTAAGGAAGGGTAATTAATGTTGCTTGTATACTGTGCTAGCATAAATTTCTAGGAGCTGCAATTTCTTGCCAGTATAAATGACTCAAAAATGAACCAGTGACCCACATGGACCTAACATGCAGAACCACCCAGCCATCTCTGAGAAATTATTTTAGACATGATGTAAATACTGAAAGACAGATCGCTGAAATGCAAAATTAGTGCTTAGCTTGTTCAGTGAGATTGTAATCATTTTGAAATGCCAAGTAGCCATTGCAAACATAAGCATTTACCTGTAACATGCTTACGGTGCTGTCAGAGTTTGGGTTGGTTTGGTTTTTCTTTCTTTTTTTTTTTTTGGACTACTGTGTTGAGAAAACAACTGCACTCAGACATATGGATGCTTAAATACTCAATGCTTAAAGTGTGAGTAGCTAGTGGTATGTCTACATTGAACAAAAGTCATTTCAAGGCTTCTATCTTCAACAGTAAATAGCAGCTTACTCTCTTAGGCATATGAACGTCACATTTTATTAATATTTTATTTTAAAAACACAGTAAGACAATTCAATCATCACTCCCTCCTTCCATACTTTAAAGATGTTTATTTTGATTATAAGGTGAAGACATCTTTTAAGTGGCTCAATAATGAATACAATGCTTACCCCAGATCTTGTGTGATGTATGGCTATCTCCCACTTATATACCCAAAATTAGAAATTGGCTGATAAAATATCAGTGGGCATTCTCGTATCTCAAACGTATAAACTCTGTCAGCCATGATGGCTCTGGAATTTCTATTTCACAGGAATGTATTACTATTATATTAAATACAAAGTATTAATAATTACATATGTTTTGTATACTTTTATATGCAATATTGTATACATATATTATCTAGTTATTTAACTTCACTCGATCTTTTCAACTGTCATGAAGTTGATTTAACCACCTATGATTAATACAAGATAAAAATATACAATCATCTAAATTATTATTTATAAAGTGCATAGGACATTTTCTGAACATAGCAAAGCACCATATATTTCTTTATGGGAAGTTTATGTTCACAGTAGTTTTGTAATTCTCTGATGAACACATATCATAGATAGAAGTAAAGCTCTGAGATGTCCCTTTCCTTTAAACCAAATGACCAAGTTTCTTGGCATAGGATAAATGAGAGATGAATATGGTAGCAACTGTTTGGCAAGGAGAGATAGGTCATGTTGGGTGAAGACAATCAGGGACACTTCCTCACACTGGTGTTAAAGAACTTTGACAGACAGAAGATAGAGACAGAAAGAGAACTGAGAGAGGGCAGTGGAACTAGGTGGCCCCCCTGCTGAGGTGGGGGGACACTGTTGGTTGGCAGTTTTAGAAAGAACTAATAAGAGCTGAGTGTTCACTCTCTACGTACCATGCCACATCTCTCTCTCCTTTCCTTCCTTGTTTCCTTCTTTCATTCCCTCCCTCCCTCCCTCTTTCCCTCTCTCCCTCCCTCCTTCCTTCCTTCCTCTTTATCCTTCCCTTTCTTTGTTCTCCTTCCTTTCTCCCCTCCCTCTCTTGCTTCTCTCATTTCTTCTTTCCTCCCTTCCTTTTTCTCTCTCTCATTGTTCTCCTTCCTTCCCTCCTCCTTCTCTCTACCCCTCCTTTTTTTGAGACAGAGTCTTGCCCTGTTGCTCAGTCTGGAGTACAGTGGTGTGATCACGGCTCACTCTGCACCCTCTACCTCCTAGGCTCAAATGATCCTCCTGCCTCAGTCTCCCCTTGGGTGGGACTGTAGGTGTCTACCACCACACTTGGCTAATTATTAAAATTTTCAGTAGAGACAAGGTCTTGCTATGTTGCCCAGGCTGGTCCCCAACTCCTGAACCCTAGTGATTCTCCTGCCTCGGCTTCCCAAAATGCTGGGATACAAGCATGAGCCATGGTGCCCTGCCCTGCACTCCCTTCTCTCTCTCTCTCTCGCTTCACTAAGTCTATCTTTTCTCTGTTTTGGTCACTCAAAACCATCTAAGGTTTCTTCCATTTCCATTTCTAAGTCTTTTTAACAGGAGTACATTTCCCGTTTATCTTTGTATAGATTGGTTCTCTTTCTTACATTTTAAACATTTTCACAGATTTCATAGCATTTCTTTTATTATGCTGGAATTTTCAGGAATCTCTACAAGTCAGTGTTTGCAAACCATTAGCTTTGACAACTATCTGACTGGTTAATATGCCACCACCTATGACTTACTGTCCATTCAGACACCAACAACATTCTATACTTATGTCTTCAGCTTCATTGCAAATTCATGTATATAATACGTAGCACAACATGTGAACTTTTCCACAATTGAGTGGCAATGAGTCTGATTATCTGTCCTTCTCATCATATGGTAATCTAAATACTGAAAAAAAAATCACTGGCTGCCTGAAAAAGAGTTTAGCCTACTTATATCCTTCTCATCACGTGGTAATCTAAGTACTGAAAAAAAAAATAGAGAATAAATAATCTTTGGCTGCCAAAAAAAGAGTTTAGCCTATGTGTATCTTTTTCTTAAAAGTGATTCATGGAAAATAATAATACAAAGTTACTCTTCTCAATGAATTTGTTTCTCAATCCCCTACTCATTCACTGCATACTTTAGGGGCAATATTTTTTTTCTGAAGCCTAGCTCTGTTTCTTATAGGCTCTGTTCTATTATCAGCATCTATCTATCTATCTATCTATCTATCTATCTATCTATCTATCTATCTATCTATCTATCATCTATCTATCATTATCTACTATCCATCTGTCATCTATCTGTATCTATGTATCATCTATCTATGTCTATCATCTAACTATATTTATCTGTCCATCTATCATCTACCCACCATCTTTCTATCTACTATCTATCATCTCTCTATATCTATTCATCTATCAACTACCTATTATCTACCTATCTGTCTACCTATCTATCTATGGTTTGGTTAAGAACTGTTTAGGAAGAAATACCTTCCCTTGGTGATCTCTACCTCCAGCGATGAAATAACACTATGCTGTAAGTCGACAAGCCATACTCTTTAGCAGGTGTTCCACACATGAGGCTTTTGGATACTAAAGGCCAATGAATTGTATTAACTGTCTTCATACTTTCCATCTCTTCTAATTCGTGTTTCCAAAGGCTGGTATGAATAAATTAACCATTATTTCTCAATCTGGCTAATTAGTGCATATAATTAACTAACATCCTTAGTTTCTAAATGCTATGAGGTTGTCACAATCCCTCCCCTGTATTATAACACCTGATTATCATAACCACATTTTTATATTGAGATGGGCAATATCAATGAAAATAATATTTCACACATCACTGTGTGTGATATGTCTTCCCCCAAATTCTGATCAAAATGCCTGGAAAAATACAAGTGAAAACTCCAAATGGCTACAAAATGTAACTATTATTTACGTACAAAATTTAATGAGAGAGAAATATACAAATATATATAAGTTTATTATTAAAATGTCTGTGGGGCATATGTATTTTAGAGTCAGATGTGTATGTAAAAACATTGAATTTACACATGTCAGACAAAACTCATAGTGTGGAACAGAGCAGATATAACTTTCTTTTTAAAACATTTTTAATGGATACATCATAGTTGTACATATTTATGGGGTACTTGTGATATTTAATACAGGCATACAAGGTGTAATGTTCAAATCTGGGTAATTGGGATATCAGTTACCTCAAACGTTTATCACTACTTTGTGTTAGGAAGGTTTCAAATATACTCTTCTATTTTGAAATATACAATAAATCATAAACTATATTCATCCTATTGTGCTATGATGCACCAAATCTCATTCCTTCTATCAAACTGTATTTTAGTACCTATAAACCATCCCTTTTTTCTCCCATCTCTCACTACTCTTTTCAGCCACTGGTGACCACCATTCTATTCTCCACCTCCATGAGATCCACTTCTGTAGCTTCCACATACGAGTGAGAACATGTAGAATGCTTATTTTACTTAACATAATGTCCTCCAGTTCCATCCATGTTGTTGCAAATGACAGAATTTCCTCCTTTTTTTTTAAAGGTGGAATAGTAATTCACTGTGTATATATACTACATTTTCTTTATCCATTCATCCTTTGATAGACACTTAGGTTGATTTCACATCTTGGCTATTGGGAACAGTGCTGCAATATGAGTATGAGTAGATTAACCATCATTTCTCAATCTGGCTAATTAGTGCATATAATTAATGAATATCCATAGTTTCTAAATGCTATGAGTCTTTTCCCAATTTCTCACCTGTATTATAACATGTGATTATCATAACCACATTTTTATATTGAGATCAGTAGTATCAATGAAAACAATATTTCATACATCACTGTGTTTGATATGTGTTGCACCCCAAACATGGGGGTGCTGGTATCCCTTTCATATATTGACTTCCTTTCTGTTGGATAAATACCCAGCAGTGGGATTGTTGGATGATATGGTAGTGCTATTGTTAGTGTTTGGAGAAACCCCATACTGATTTCCATGGAGGCAGTACTAGAGATGCTGTATTAGTGCCTTGTCATGCTTTTGATAAAGGCATACCCAAGACTGGGCAATTTACAAAAGAAAGGGGTTTAATTGGACTTAGAGTTTCACATGGCTGGGGATGACTTACAATCATGATGGAAGGCAAGGAGGAGCAAGCCACATCTTACATGGATAGCAGCAGGCAAAAAGAACTTGTGCAGGGCAACTGCCGTTTTTAAAACTATCAGATCTCATGAGACCCACTCACTATCACAAGAACAGCACGGGAAAGACCCTCCCTCATAATTCAATCATCTCCCACCATGTCCCTACCACAACACATGGGAATTATGAGAGCTACAAAATGAGATTTGGGTGAGGACACAGAGCCAAACCATATCAGATGCCAAGGAGAAAGGAAGTGCAGTATCTCCTCTCAAGTCTGCTTAAGTGAATCAATGACTTGGTGACGAGGTGCTGTTTCAAAACACCAGTGATCTTATCTAGAGACCACTGTGGTCATAGAACTATTTCTGTTAACTTGAGTGCAATGAGGAATATCTTTGAAGAAGGATAGAAGATACTAATCTGACATACTTTGTATCTACCACTCATGATGTTTGATGACAGGTGTCACCCACAGTTTAGGAATTTTTTCCAGGTTTAAAGAGTTGCAGGAGACACTTTAGTACTCCCAGCGGAGACCCCTGCTGCACCTACACGGAATGATGCTTTCCTACTCCCCAGGTCTCCGCCTTTCAATTCAATGCCTGTGAGGGTTGTTTAAGAGCATTCTCCTGGCTGGGCCTGGTGGCTCATGCCTGTAATGCCAGCACTTTGGGAGGCCAAGGTGGGTGAATCACCTTAGGTCAGGAGTTCAAGACCAGCCTGGCCAACATGGCAAAATCTCATCTCTATTAAAAACACAAAAATTAGCCGGGCATGGTGGCACACGCCTGTAGTCTCAGCTACTCAGGAGGCTGAGGTGGGAGAATTGCTTGAATCTAGGAGGTAGAGGCTGCAGTGAGCCAAGATCGCACCATTGCACTCCAGCCTGGGTAATAGAGCAAGACCCTGTTTCAAAAAAAAAAAAAAAGCATTTTCCCCACCAAATCTTCCACATACAAGTGTTCTTCTCAAATTCTATTTCCCAGGGAACCCTAAGACCAGCTTGGTGTAAATAACTTTATGATTTTAAAATGTGTTTCATTTTCATATAATTCTTTATACCCACAGTATTAGTCAGCTTGGCCTGCCATAACAAAGTTCCACAGACCAGTGTGCTTAAACAACAGATGTTTATTTCCCCACAGTCCTGGAGCTGGAAGGCTAAGATTAAGGTGTAGACAGGGCTGGTTCCTTGTCAGGCCTCTCTCCTTGGCTCATAGATACCATCTTCTCTCTGTGTCCTTATATGATCATCCATCTGTGTGTGGTGTCTATGTCCTAATCTCCTCTTTTTTAAATTTATTGTTATTATTTTTTTTGAGACAGAGTTTCACTCTTGTTGCCCAGGCTGGAGTGCAATGGTGCTATCTTGGCTCACTGCAACCTCCGCCTCCCAGGTTCAAGAGATTCTTTTGCCTCACCCTCCCGAGTAGCTGGGATTACAGGCACCCACCACCATGCCCTGCTAATTTTTTGTATTTTTAGTAGAGATGGGGTTTCACCATGTTGGCTAGGCTGGTGTCGAACTCCTGACCTCAAGTGATCCACTCACCTTGGCCTCCCAAAGTGTTGGGATTACAGGCTTGAGCCACCGCACCTAGCCTACTAATATTATTATTATTTTTGGATACAGGTTCTCCCTGTGTTACCCAGGCTGGAGTGCAGTAGCACTATCACGGCTCACTGCAACCTTTGCTTCATGGGCTCAGGTGATCCTCCCACCTCAGCTTCCCAAGTAGCTGGGACTACAGGTGTGTGTGCAACACCATGCCCAGCTAATTTTTTTCTTTTTTTTTTGTAGAGATGGAGTTTCACCATGTTGCCCAGGCTGGCTTCAAACTCCTGGACTCAAGCAATCCAGCCTCCTCAGCCTTCCCAAATGTTGGAATTACAGGCATGGGCTACCATGCCCAGTCAATCTTGTTTTCTTATAAGGACACCAGTCCTATTGGATCAGGGCCCACCCTGGTGACCTTATTTTACCGTAATCACTTTTTTAAAGACCCTATTTACAAATACAGCCACATTATGAGGTCTTGGGGGTTCAGATTTCAATATACACATTTTTCTGGAAACAATTCATTCAATAGCACCTAACAATGATTAAAAAATCTTTTGGAATTTCCAGTTTTCCTACTATATTTTAAGACACTGGGTCCTTCATTGTAAAAACAGAAGATTAAAAAGAACATTGAAATGAGATGTCAAAGTAGGACTGTAAGGAAATAAGGCAACTTACGAATTTACTAGTAATTATTTTCTGTATTATATGAAGTATATATAATACTTTCACAGATATATGCACACAAATTAGTGTAGATATACTAAATATAAAGGTGTTCATTGTTTCATCTTAATACTTCATCTACATTTCAAAAATTAGTATTCATCCAAATGTGCACATCATACAAATTCCAGGACTCATATTTTCACTTACTCACTGGTGAGAAGTTGTAAAATAATTTACAGTTTAATGACATTTGAGAGAAAGATTCCAGACATATGTTGTTTAAATTGGATTGGGAAGAAAGAAAATTCACCAGCTTTAATCTCATTTGAACCTAATTGACTTAAATTGTAAGTTTAATAAATGCAATATAAATGGTTCTGAAAATGTTTTCAGGTCTTCATAGATGTTACTAGAAATGACAAGAAAAGATCAGCATTTTTTAACTAAATAGGTCTGGGAAGCATTAGTTCAAGCTATGACATGTTTATTGACTCTCGAGCTTCCAGAGTTGTCCTGGTAAACATAAGAACTCTTCATGGATTGGATAGGATGTGTAAGATTTTCTCAGCAAATATTTCAATAAGACCTTTATTTTTTTCCTGCATGCTGCACGTTCTTTTTGTTTTGTTTTATTTTGTTTTGAGACACGGTCTCATCCTGCTGCCCAGGTTGGAGTGCAGTGGCGTAATAACAGCTTACTGCAGCCTCGACCTCCTGGGATCAAGCAATCCTCCTGCCTCAGACTCTATAGTAGCTGGGGACTACAGGCACGTGCCATCACACCAGGCTATATATATTTTTTATTTTTTTGTAGAGACAGGGCCTCACTATGTTGCCCAGCTCAATGCTGCACATTCTGAGTGCAGGTTGTGTGGAGAACTCTTTGGAAAGTCTTGCACTGTGACCCTTATTTTTACCTGGCATGGTACCAGCTCCCGAAATGCTGACGCTAATATCCTTATGTGCATTTTTGGATTGCATAATGGCACATCTCTGCAAAACGATTGTTACTATCAAAAAGACGAGAGATGACAAATGTTGATGTTGATATGGAGGAAAGGGAGCACCTGCACCCTTTTGGCAAGAATGTAGATTGGTGCAGCCATTCTGGAAAACAGTATGCAGGTTGCTAAAGAAATTAAAAATAGAACTACCATATGATCCAACAATCCATATTCTGGGTATATACCCAAAAGAGATTAAATCACCATCTTGTAAAGATATCTGCATTCCCATGTTCGTTGCAGCACTATTCACAAGAGCCAAGATCTGGAACCAACCTAAGTGTCCATCAATGGATGCATGCTTGAAGAAAAGTTGGTATCTACCTATGTACTTACCTATCTATCTATCATCTCTCTATTATCTATCATCTATTTATTTATCCATATACTTTATCTATCTATCATCTATGTACCTATCTATGTATGTATGTATCTATCATTTATCTACCTACCTATCTTATCTACTTCTATTTACCCACCTACCTATCTACCTATCATATCTATAATATTTATCATATCTATCAACCTATCTAATTTACCTGTCTAATCTATGTATCTATCTACCTATTTTTCTGTCTGCTATCTACCTATTTATCTATATCTATCTACCTGTTTAATCTATGCTATCTATCTGTGTATCTAATCTTTCTATCTACCTGTCTGTCTATCTATCTTTCATCTGTCTATCTATGTTTCTCATCCATCTGTCTATATCTATCTATGTATCTATCAATTCAGCATTAAAAAGAAGGCAATCTTTCCATTTGAAACAGCATGAATGGACCTAGAGGACCATATGCTAAGGGAAATGAGCCAGATGCAGAAAGAAAATATTGCATTTTCTCACTCCTATGTATAATCTAAAACAAACAATGAAACAAAAAAATGGTCAAATATACAGAAATAGAGAATAAAACAGTGGTTATCAGGGGCAGGGCTGTGGAGATGTAGCTCAAAGGATACCAAGAATCAGATATGTAGAATTAACAAGTCTAAAAATGTAATGTACATCACGAGGTCTACAGTTAATAAATTGCACTTTATTAGAGATTTTGTTAAATAAGTAGATTTTAGCTCATCTTGTCACTAACCTTTAACTGTGTGACAGTAACATCTTAATGATAGGTATGTTAGTTTTCTTCACTATAGTAACCATCTTACTATCTCATAGCATCATGATGTAAACCTTCAATATACACAATGAAATTTATTTAAAATAAAATAGCATTTTAAAAAACCTCAAAGGCACTGGATATATAAGGATCCACGAGGGGCAAAATGACACAGACAGCCACATTAGGAGCAAGAATGTTCTGTAGGTGGTTGTGGAACGTGTGCATTTCCTCTTTCCAAGATTGTGTTTCACGCCTGCTCTGGGAACCCTTCTCTGTATATGCACTGCTCTGACTCTCAAATATTTCCTCTTAACAAGGACCACACCTATTTGCTTTAGTGTCAAGCATTGAAACAATATTTTCTGGCCAGGCACACTGTGGATCACACCTGTAATCCCAGCACTTTGGGAGGCTCAGGAGGGAGCATCACTTGAGGCCAGGAGTTCACGACTAGCTTGGCCAACATAGCAAGAACCTGTCTCTGCAAAAAATAAAAAAAGAAACAATGTTTACAGTATTCTTCATCTAGGTAGACAGGAAAGACAATTAAGAGGCAGGATATTCATGTTTAACCATATTCTCTGACATGCAGGGCATTAAGCTGGAATGAACGTGATCTTGTCCTCAAGAATTAATGCTTTTTTGTAGAGGCAGAGCATGTCCAATATTCCATAATTAGCAAAAAGAGGAACCAGTGCTAAGTACCACTTTTACAGTATGCTACTAAGAAAAAAGCCAAATATATGTAATATGAATTATCTAATTTGTACTAATCAAGGCCAGAATTGATGAACTACAGACCACTTACATTATACTTGCTTTGTAAAGATAAATTTAGATTTTTATTGAAGACTACTAAACATGCATACTTCCTCTGATGAAGCTGAACTTCTATACCTGAAATTAGTCTAATCAAAGAAAAATCATCCTGGTATAGCAAATATAAGTGACTTATCTCCTAATTTCACACATCACCATCTCCCTGCTTGCTTATTGATATGAAGTTAATCAAACTTAGGAATCTGCATGAATTGATGTCTCTATAAATATTAACAATGTATTTTTCTTCAGAAACACATTTCTTAAATATCTATTTCTTTGTGTAGAACTATCAAAAGATATTTTCCTTTCATTATGAATATCTCCCATTTTATATCTACTGTATGTGACACATCTTGTATACACAACAAATAGATAATTATTCACAAAAAAATATGGAGTACAATGTTGTGGGGGATTAAAAAAGAAAGAATGTAGACATAGGATGTAAGCACATTTTGGAGCCAAATTTCTAAATGTGCTCCCATCTTAAATCTATAAGCTTTCCTGTACACCCAAATATGAAACCAATCTATATTTTTGTCTTATGTGTCAAATGTGGAATCAAAATAGCTGAACTGGGGGAAATTTAACATTTTCCCATTTAGAAAAGTCTAATAAGACCTTCTAATAAATCTATGATGTACATCAGGTGGATCAAGAATGCCATTACACTTCTAAAGGACTTATCTCCATGAATCGGGCCAGGCACAGTGGCTCACACCAGTAATCCCAGCACTTTGGGAGGCCCATGCAGAAGGATCACTTGAGGCCAGGAGTTTGAGATTAGCCTGGGCAACATAGTGCGACCCTGTCTCTACAAAAACAAAAACAGAAACATACCAAAGCAAAATTAGCCGGGTAAGGTGGCACATGCCTGTTGTCCCAGCTACTTGGGAGGCTGTGATGAATAGTTCATCACCTGAGTCCAAGAATTGGAGGCTGCAGTGAGCCATGATTGCACCACTGCACTCTAGTCTGGGCAACAGAGTGAGACTCTGTTCTCCCCTACTGCCGACCCCTGCTGAAATAACTTATCTCCTTGAATCAAATTTTGTTTTCACCAGTCTTCCCATTAATGATGAGACATACCAAATTTTCTACTTCTTGGTCACTGAGAAACAAATAATCTTAGAATGTTACTGAATATCTAATTTTGGTTGCTTGAGATAACTTTGGTTCCCAAGAACTTTTAAGCCACACACACACAAAAATCTAGGTGCTCAAAGATATTAACTACATGTTCTTTTCAAGAAAGTACCTCCTGAGGTTATTAAAGGACATGCCATTAAAATATTTTCTGAAATTATTCAAACCATATCTAATGTGTGCATATAAATGTCCCGAGGGCAGTTAACATTTCTTCAAGGAAAATGTGAAGCCTGGCTTATGATGCTATGTTTTAAAAATATTTTCATGTTAACTTGATCTATTTATGTTAAGATTATTGGAAAATGTTACTTTATAATCTTATATGTTTCTTGGCTTATCAATCAACTCAAGATCTATTTAAGACCGAAATTTGTTAATATGCCATTTATCCTCTCAGTCATTGACAACCTTGACAAACTCTCAAATTTCAGTGTTTCACTTTCTAATCTGTTAGAACTCTCAACATGATGACGATGGCCATTGAGATGTTTCTTAAATAGAAAGTTTACAACATTAAACTTTACTTAAAACATAAATACATAAATCACTTACTTAAAAACATAAATACATAAATGACTTATCATTACTTATCTTTGAGTGTGTCTCAATTGTATGTGAGTGTTCATGAGTAAGAATGGCATTGTTAAATCTTTGTCTATAAATACCTGTAGAAATCTTAATTTACATGTCTTTTACTAACTCTTAATATGCACATCTATGAAATCCATTGCAATCCAATCTGTACTTGCAGCGAGAAGAAAAACAATTAAACCTTTTACAGGTAGTTGAGAGCTTTAGAATAGGGAAATAATTTTATTTTTTACTTTATGCTTGCCTGAGTTTTATGTTTTTGTCAAAAAGGTACATATTAGTCTATAATCAAAAAGAAAAGAAAGGAAAAATCAACTTAAAATGTTACATTAATGCTATAAGAGTAATGATCCATAAAATGTGTAAAAATAATTTCTGCTACAATAGTCTATAAATAAGACAGGGTCTATAGCTGCTTTATAAATAGGATCTCTTAATTTTAAATCAAGAATTTTCCATGAGAAATGACAACTTCTTCTAAATGGGTGATATTAGTGGGCATTTATAACACAATGTTATGATTTTGTTTCCAGGAAATAAATACTTTTGCATTCAAAGACATGTTTTTTTTTCTTGAACTAGTGTATATATATATATATATATATATATATATATATGTATATATAGAACAATGTTTGTTTATATAATTATCTTGATGAGTAAATCAAAAGATTTTTAAACCCAACCATATGCAACTTCATTCTATTATAGGATATGTATATATATCTGAATGATTCTAATTTTTTTTTTAATGATAGAGCTAGGGTCTTGCTATGTTGCCCAAGGCTGGTCTCGAACTCCTGGGCTCAAGCAATCTGCCTGCCTTGGCCTCCCGAAGTGGTGAAATTGCAGGCGTAAGCCACTGCACCTGGCCAGATATTTTAAGTTACTTAAAATTATAGAAATGCATGTAAGAACAATCATACATTTACACAGAAACCATATGATTATGCAACTCTCTTTAAAAATAGGGTTTGAGCAGTATATGTTTTTGTAATGACTGTACATAAGAGTAATTAATTTAAAAAATCTTGATGAACATTTAAATAATGGTAAAAAGAAAAAATACCTTAAATGCTAATTTTTTTCACAGTTTTAGTACATAAAACTATATAAAATGATATATAATGTAATTCTTCATTGTTTAGCAATAAAAAATCTGTATCTTTTGGACAGAAATGTATCTTATAAAATATTGCATATGTAATATAATTAATTGCATATATATGTACACAAAGACAGACATACAAACCCACAGCCATATATACTTTATTCTTTTAATTTTTTCCGTGTACTCATGACATACAGACATATTGGAGGAAGTTATTCTAACATTTTCACAGTATTTTACTTAAATAAATTTGAAAAAAATGGAAAATATTTAAATAGAAGAGTAAGTATTCACTTAATCATTTAATAAGGAAATATTCCAACATCATCTAAAAGCTACTTTCCCAGTACACTTCCTTTTTTACTCCAGGATGATAGGTTTATTCAGACCCTGGTGTTTTACTGGAAATTATGATCTTTGAAAATGGGTAGATTTCAACTCAGAAATTGACATGAATACTTAGTAGATACCTGGAGCTGGCAATTAGCTAGAAATCTATGAACTTCCTTTATCTCACCTGTAAACTGAAGATATCTATTGCCCAGGTTTATTACATAATAAAAGAAAATTCAAGAGGAAATTAAATACTAAATTGGAAAGACAATTTTGACTTTTTAGAAAGTAAAAATTGATATGAGACACACCCTTCTTTTGAGAGAGGGAGAAAGACAAAGAGGAAGATCTATGAAAGCAATCTTAATATGTTTCAGTGTATTAGGTTGGTGCAAAAGTAGTTGAGGATTTGCCATTGAAAGTAATAGAAGTAATTGAAAGTAACAGAAGTTTTCAACACGTAAAGAAGTTCTCTTTCTTATTTCCAATCTTGAAAAATAATTATATTTTTGAATGATTTTAATACCAAGAGGTCATTAAAAATTAGACTCCAGAAAAAAAGAAAAAGCAAAATACTAACATTTGAAATATCAGATATCTAGTTTTCTCTTTTTATTTCTTCGTTGCTTGGTTTTTTCTTTAATTGAACCCTTAAAAGAGATTGTTCACTGTCGAGATAACAAATTACAAAAAAAAAAAAAAAGAAAGAAAGAAAAAATAAGCCTTTTCAGGTTCTTTGATTCTAGACATCTAAGGGCTCTGTCTTCTGTATTGGTGCTCAAAGGATTATAGAGTTGTGGAGTTTTTATTAATTCAACCGTTGAATTGCGTTCTCCGGAGGCCACTTACTTAAATAACATGTAGCAGAAGGAGCTAAATTGTGGGAGATGAACTTTGACAGAATCCTGCTTGCTCTTTAACTGGACAAGCAGTTAATGGTTGGGGAAAAATAAAGTAAAGCTGAAAGGAAACGTGCTAATAGACAGTGGAACACTTTTCAATGGAGTGTTTTGTAATTAAATGTCTTTGGTTTGTTAGAGCAGACAGCTCATGTCACTGGGAGCTTGATCGCAGAATGGATCGGTTAGCCTTATACCAGAAAATATTTATTTAATTTGAAAGTTTACAAACTAAAAAATAAGAAATTCCTGAGACATGCAGAGACTACCCTTTAGTAAATTATTGTCCAAAACACAAACTGTTCACAGTTCATAAACTTGTGAAGATAGTATTGTGGATACATTTACAGATAATTAATTACAGTGTTATCTATTTCTGCTGATTTTTCAAAGGGGTATCCGAACCACGAACACATTGTTTTGCCTAGTTTGGGACCCAGATCCAAGGTCATTTTTTTTTATGAAGACTTTTCCTAAGACTGAGAAGCACAGATCATGTGTAAACGTCTACAAAATTACCTGTAAATTGTCCATTCTGTAGACTATTGTGATTGTCTTTGCATGTTCTGTAGGCTGCTATGTAGTCAAGACAGATTATTTCCAACTCCTAGAAGCAGAGGGTGGAATGGTGGTTACCAGGCTCTGTGGGCAAGGGCTATTGAATGCTAGTGAGCTAGTAAAAATAAAATTATTATTTGTAGGTTCTATAGTAGCCTGTCTAGAAAAACAGGCGGCAATGAGGAGGTATTCCTGAAACGACGTGAAGTTTCAGTAATGCAGAATGATGCAGTTCTGAAGATTCAATCTATAGCATAGTGACTATAGTGAATAACATATACTTGAAATTTGCTAACAGAGGAGCTATTAAATGTTCTTACCACCCCTCTGCCACACACACACACACACACACACACACACACACACACACACACACACACACGTAATTCTGTGAGGTGGTAGTGATGCGGCATCGTTTATCTGGGGAAATACCCAAGGTTCGTTGTCTCACGCCAGGGAAATCGAGGACTCAGACACACAAGAAGTGAGTTTGGGAGTGGATGTTTAATAGGTGAAAGAAAGATAAAAGAGAATAGTACTCTCTCCTGCAGAGAGAGAGGGAAACCCGAGTGGTTCTTCCGGTTTCTTGGTGAAATGAGTGGGGCTTTAAAGACAAGCTGGAGGAGGCAGTGTCTGATTTTCATAAGGCCCGAGAGATTGGTCAGACCAGGTGTGACGTTTGCCATCCCACCCTAATCTTTTATTATGCAGATGGGGTCTCTCCCTGGCTGGCGCCTTGTTGCCTGTTCCTTACTGTACATGTGGTTAACAAGGAAAAGGGAAGATGGAGCCTCCATGTTGAATGTGTCTGGCCCCCAGGTAGCCTTTTCCTATTGGCACAGCTGCCGGTATTTACCCGTGCAAGCTTCCAGCTTGCTTATCTATGTCTGCAGCTCAATTTTACAAGCTGTTGTTTGTTAGAAAAGAAATGATTTGGGGGCTGCTTTTCATTAAAACGGAAACCTTACTGAGGACTTCCTTACCCTCACTATCTGCCTAAATAATTTTTTTAAACTCCTGTATCAGTAGTTATATTATCCTTGATCATGGTAATCATTTCACATTTCACAATGTATGGGTATATCAAAACATTGCCTTGTCCACATTACATACATACAATTTTTATTGGAGCGTTATACCTCAATAAAACTGGGGGAAAAAAAAACACTATAGGAACAACCTGGCAAGTTCTAATAAATAATTGTTAAATAAATGCCTGGGGCTTGCTGGCTGCTCGAAGTACATATTCTGTTTGGAAAATGAAGTTTTTCATGACTTAAATGATAACCATTCCCAGTTTTTTTTTCCCAAATTAATATCATTATCTGAAGAAGCCTGGATCTTTTTATTGCTATCATAAAATGATTGCCAAAATAGTTTTCACATAGTTTAGAATTTTTTGGAAAAATGTTGATTTAAAAATAAGTATTTTAGAATGTTTTAAAAAACAAAGTACTTGAAAAAATATATTTTCAAAGTATTTATTGAATTATTTCACAGTCAATACTTTCTAAAGTACTTTCTCAAACTAATACCCAGCATCATGCTTAACATAAAAATAAGAGGAACAATCCCATTAAAATCAAGGACAAGGCAATAATACCCACAGCCACCAGTATATCAGTGTGATTTAAACCTGCAGGGTAGTCTAGGTGGAAAATTTTAAGAAATGAAACAAGAGTTATGATATTGAACTGGAGTAAAATAAAATTATTATTTTTAAGTGCTATAATAGCCTGCCTAGAAAGCCAAAAAAAAATAATGATAAACAATTTGGATTAATGTGAGGGTGGCACTCACAAAATTAATGTAAAAATCATTATGCTTATAGTTTCTATCTATCTATCTAGCTAGCTGGCTATTTATCTATCATCATCATCATCTATCATCTATGTATTATCTACCTATCGATCACCTATCTATTCCTTTATCTACTCCATCTATCCATCTATCATATCTATCTATTCATCTATCTATATATCTAATGAATCAGTCTATTTTATCTATCTATCTGTCTATCTATCTATCTATCATCTATCTACCTATCTAACTCTCTATCTACCTATCTATTGAGGCTATCCAATATGCATCTATTGATCTATTTATAATCTATCTATCTATATATCTAATCTATCTACCTATGTAGATATCTAATCTATCTATCTACCTATATAGATATCTAATCTATCTATCTACCTGTGTAGATATCTAATCTATCTATCTATCTATCTATCTATCTATCTATCTATCATCTATCTATCTACCTATCTAACTCTCTATCTACTTATCTATTGAGGCTATCCATCCATCCATCTATTGATCTATTTATAATCTATCCATCTATATATCTAATCTATCTACCTATGTATCAAATATGTCTATACATCTATCCACCTATATATTGAAATATCTATAATCTATCTATATGTATTTACTTATATATCATGCATCTATGTATCTGTGTATGTGTACATGTATCTATCTATCTATTTACTTACCTACCTACCTACCTATGTACCTACCTATCAAATCTGTCTATCTATCCATTCATCTATCCATTGATATATCTATAATCTATCTATCTTTATCTATCTAATCTATCAAGATATACAGTAGACCCTTGAACAAAATGGGGGTTAAGGGAACCAGACCCCTGCATAGTAAAAAATACTACTACATGCCTACTGTTAACTAGAAGCCTCACAGAACACATAAACAGTAGATTATCACATAAATAGACTAGAATCTAAGAATGGTTTACGCATTCATGACCAAATTTTCCCTTTTTCTTTTTCATCAACGTTTCTAGGCTACATGCTTTTTTCTGTGTGTTTTTTTTTTTCAAATTGTTGCAGATTTTTGAAAAATTTTTCAATACATTTTTGAAAAACAAATCTGTACATAAGTGGATCCATGCAGTTAAAATCTGTGTTGCTGAAAGGCCAACTATACATCTAAATTTGTAGAGAAATACACATGATGTGCGGAAGAAAAGCACAGAATGTTACTGGTAGATATAAAAAACAGCTATACTTTTGTATGTGTGTTATAAAGATTTACTTTAAAGTTAACTAAAGTAAGTAATGTAAAATGACTAAAATAGTATAAAATGACTGTAAGAGTAAGCAATTAGATTAATATGCCAAATTTTGGATGTTCTTGATCAAATATTTTTTATAATGAAATGGTGTCTGTATTTAAATGCTGTAAGAGTAGACCACTGGGTTTAGGCCATGACAAAGTAGCTGATATTAGAATTACCTTCTGTTTATAAACAATCAAAGTAAGACACAACGTTTAGAAACACTGGTTTTGAGTATTTAACAAAATCGTTACAGGACTGGTATCCTTAAGGGAGAAACAAAACAAAGCAAAACATCAAGTAAATCCCACATTGACTCCAGGATTTTGCCTGGGAGTGATGGAGGATACTATTAATTCAAGACAGTGATAATTTAAGGATGGGAAGTCGAATCTTTAAATCATCCACTAAAAATTTTATTGCTGCCTAACTAATAGCTTCCCAAATTAACAGCAAATCATCTCACAGCTTCTGCAGCTTGAGGAATCTGAGCTCAGTTTGACTGGGTTCTCTGCTTCCTGGTTTCTTTAGAGACTCCAATCAAAGTTTAATTCAGGTCTGTGATTTCACACAAAGGCTCATTTCTTCTGGGTTCATATAGTTATTGGCAGAATTCCATTTATTGAGGGCTGTTGTACCGAGGGTCTCTTTTTCTACCTGGTTTTTGACAGGAGGCCACCCTATTGGTCTCTCCAATACGGTATCTTTCATTTGTTTTATTGAAGTATGCAAGCTGAGAAGGTGATAGACAATGTTCTATTGATATTGGGAGCACATGTAAGCCACAAATAGGCAGATAGCTACATAAGGTTTTGCTTTCTGAAAAATGTAGTTTGGATAGGATGTTCTTAATACTCGGCAGGAGATCAATTGGAGGGAATAATGTAGTCCCACTTAGTGCTATGTGCAAAAAACAAAACAACAGAAACAAAAACAAATGATTCCAAGTATAGATTATATAGAAGTAGCTATAGAACAGAAAATAAAGTTTTTAGAAAGTGTTAGTAGGAGGATTTCTTTTTGGAGTTGAGGTAAATAAACATTTTTCAAGGAAGATGCAAATGTGTTTCATCATTACTTAATCAAGGGATCAGTAAATTGTACTTAGTTAAACTGCAAATATTGTGTTCTGCAAAAGGTGCCATGACAAGAATAAAAGTTTATTCCAGGTACAGCATGTGCACCTGTAACCCCAGCTACTCTGGAGGCTGAAGTGGGAGACTTGGGCCCAGGAGTTCAAGACCAGCCTGGGCAACATAGTGGGATGCTGCCTCACCAAAAAAAAAAAAAAAAAAAAAAAAAAAAAAAACTTTATAGATGTGACAAATATATTCTACAAGGATTTAGGTTTTATGTCCAAAACATATAATGGATTCCAATTGAGAATGTGTGACTAATTTAGCAGATTTTTAAAACAGCATATCTAATATCCCAATAAACAATAAAAATGTCTAACATCAAGGAAATGCAAATAAACCACCATGATATCGGACTAAATACTCAACTGAATTGCTCAAACAAAGCAAAACTGACAAAACCGGTCAGAATGTGTATCTTTTGAATTGCCATATAAAACTTAATGCTGGCTGGGCATAGTACCTCATGCCTATAATCCCAGCACTTTGGGAGGCCTAGGTGGGAGCATCACTTGAAGCCAGGAATTCCATGCCAGCCTGGGCAACACAGTGAGACCCCATCTCTACAAAAACTAAAAAAATTAGCCATGCATGGTGGCAAGCACCTGTGTTCCCAACAACTTTAGAGGCTGAGTTGGGAGGATCACTTGAGCCCAGGGGTTCCAGGCTGCAGTGAGCTATGATCACGCCACTGCACTCTAGCCTGCGTGACAGAGCAAGACCCTGCCTAAAAAAGCAAAAGCAAAAACAAAACCAAAAATACCTTAAAGCTGAATGAGTAAATTCCCCAGCACCTGGAATTTTCACTGCAAGACATGTGCCCAAGAAAATGTTGCACACAGTAAACCTACTGACATACGTACAATACATTTCATGATAGTATTTCCTTAATAATCCTAAAATGGAAACAATCAAGGTAACCATCAACAAAGGATCCATAAAGAGATTTTGGGAAGGCTACATAGCAAGAAAAATGAATGAGCCAGTGCCATGCGAAACAGAATGATGAATTTGGTAAACATGAGGTTGAATAAAAGACTTAGGCGGCTGGGCGCTGTGGCTCACACCTGTAATCCCAGCACTTTGGGAGTCCGAGGCGGGTGGATCACGAGGTCAGGAGATTGAGACCATCTGGCTAACACGGTGAAAGCCTGTCTCTACTAAAAATACAAAAAAAAAAATTAGCTGGGCGTGGTGGTGGGCGCCTGTAGTCCCAGCTACTCGGGAGGCTGAGGCGGGAGAATGACATGAACCTGGGAGGCGGAGCTTGCAGTGAGCCGAGATTGCGTCACTGCACTCCAGCCTGGGCGACAGAGCGAGACTCCGTCTCAAAAAAAAAAAAAAAAAAGAGAAAAGACTTAGACAGAGCTACAAAAGAACACAGTGAAGATTTTCATCATTCTATGTCTGGATTTGCCTAGTGCTTTTCCAGCGTCCTGATTTGGTGGCAGTTCTCTGAGCTCTATCTGTGTGATTTGTGCACTTCTCAGTTTGCATATTATAATTCAATAAAGCAAGTTTACTTAAAAATGAAAGAATGCTGCATTAATATTCCCAGGGGCATGTCGAGCTGGTTGAAGCTAGAATTACACCAAGATGAAACCATGCAAAGAAAGAACTATCTAGTGGGTATTTCTGCTTGTGTATCTACTTCAGTCACAACTTGAGACAGGTCAGAGAGAAGTTCTTGAGAAACTCCATGAGAAAACAACTCTGAATTTAGAAAGAAAGCTTCCAATTGTAAAACTTTACCTTTACTTCCACAAACCTCTTATCCTGACCACCACCCCCTGCAAAAAAAAAAAAGGGTTTTTGAGGGACGGAGGCATTATGCATCATTCGGGTCCCTTTCACCTCACACTGACGCAACCTTTTCTAAAAGATTCTAATTTTGTTACCAAAAACAATTGAAAAAAAATGACAAGTAACTGTATAATTGTTTTTGAAATTTTTGCTGATTTCTTTTTTTTATTATTTATTTTTGAGACGGAGTCTCGCTCTGTCACCAGGCTGGAGTGCGGTGGCGCCATCTCGGCTCACTGTAAGCTCCGCCTCTCGAGTTCAAGTGATTCTCCTGCCTCAGCCTCTTGAGTGGCTGGGACTACAGGCGCGTGCCACCACTCCCAGCTAATTTTTTTGTATTCTTAGTAGAGACGGGTTTCACCATGTTGGCCAGGATGGTCTTGATTTCTTAACCTCGTGATCTTCCCGCCTTGGCCTCCCAAAGTGCTGGGATCACAGGCGTGAGCCACCGCGCCCAGCCCTGCTGATTTCTTTAGAAGAATTTACAATGGATTTTCTGAAAATATTCTATTCCTCTAAATTTTATTTGAATCTCCCATAAGGAAAACATCACCCTTTTCTTTTAGAATACCAACTGAAAGCATTTGAAATCAAGTCATATGTTCACTTCTAAATATTTCCATTTATATTCAGAGTCGTCATTTTAAATTACAACTAGAATATTTACCTCTGCTATCATTTAACACAAAGATTAGAAGTGTCAAACAGAAATACTTTGAGGAGGATTAATCATTATGAAAGGAATGATGAGAAAATAAAGAGATAATTTTTTGTAGGAAGAGCTCATGAGTATGTTTATTCTAGTTAAAAACATAATATAACTCTTCTATGTTTCATGAATTTTTATATGCATTTTGATGGTTGTAGAAAGGACATTAAGTTTTGTATATTCACACAATGCAGAGTGTAGCTGGAAATAATGTTTTTCTAATATTAGGGACAGCCGCAGTAATTTATGAGTTAAAAATTTGTATATGGGAAGGATGAAAGCAAGGATATGAACAACAGTAGTAAAAGCCTGCTGAGCATGGGGGAGAAAATTGAATTTAAGTTATGGAAGAGTAATTTTAATACTGTTAAAAGGTAAGCAGGACTTCTAGACATTTCTGAGGTGGACATTTCCACGTTGTGATGAACTGATGAAAGAACACTCTCCAAAGAGGAGGAGAGGACAAATTATTCAAAGTATTTGCGATTTAAATGTACTTTGTGTTGAATGAATTATATAGTGTTTATTAGCTACAATGAAGAGGGAGCATGGTTATGCAAAGTTTACCATGAACACAGGTCATGAACATAGTTCTAAAGGTTGTAAGTCGAAATTGTTGCAGTTTGACGAATCAAATCAACCTTAGACACCCTACAGTTACAAATGGCAGTGATAC
The DNA here is from genome assembly GCF_000001405.40 of Homo sapiens. Lineage (NCBI taxonomy): Eukaryota > Metazoa > Chordata > Mammalia > Primates > Hominidae > Homo > Homo sapiens. The sequence goes on along the minus strand of NC_000023.11, from coordinate 5,197,744 downwards.
TGAGCTGTTTAAATAATTTTATCTTTAAAGATTATTTTCAAGGGCCTTTCTCAAGTTGACAGTATATTAATCCTGGAAGAGGTATATATTGTAACTGGATGGAGTCTGTATCAGTATCAATAGATACAGTTGTTACAATTGATGCAATTGTTATAATTGACACAATTGTTACAATTGATGCAATTGTTATAATTGACACACTTGATGAAATTGTTATAATTGACACAGTTGTTACAATTGTGTCAATTTTAACAAAATCTTAAATAGCTGGCGGAACGACTTTGTCAAAAAAAAAAAGAATTACAACAAATGAATCACACTCACTATTTTGATAAGAAACATCCTTGCAGTCCAAATAAAGGGGATTATATAAAATTAACACATAAATCTGACTTTCACTCATTATATCTAAGTTAGCCAAGTTTTGCTGTTACTCGGTAGGTTGTGGTGTTTTTCGGGACTTTTTATGTGTCCCATTTCACTCTATTGCTAGGCAGCCTTAATTGTATTTTGATTGCATGCAGGGAACCTAACTGACAGCCTACGTATATGAAAAATGCAAGTTACACATTTTTCCATAGACTGTACCAACAAAATACATTCAGGGAATAAAAGAGCACATGGATATGAAAATGTACTTCTGGATTTGTTTTTAAAGTAGTTTGGATTTGATGTAGAGCAAAGTCTAATGAAATCTATGCATAATGCTGAATTTCAGAATGTTATTATGGATTTCCATTTTAAGAAGTACATGCTCATGGAAGGAATGATGTTCAGACAATGGCCATAGGTTCAGAAAAGGACAATCAAAGCAGGACTCCCAGAGAAATTACTGAGGCTACGGTAGCAAAGATTATAGATGGTGATGCAGGAGGAGATAAAGCTATTCCATTCTGATTTATGCCTTCAAATCTTCAAAAATTTTTTGGTCAAAAAGAGTGCTTTGAAATATTTAGTCTCAATAAGAAATAACTTATTAAGCAAACAACTCTGTGAAACCATTATTTGCCTCAAGGAATATATAGTCTACCTAGGGAAGAGTATAGAACAAATACATACGTTTTTTAAAATTTCAAACAGGTTTGTTACAAGGGTATATTGTGTGATGTTGAGGTTTGGGGTCTGATGATGCCATCACTCAGGTAGAGAGACCAGTACCGAATAAGCAGTTTTTCAACTCGTGAACACTTCCATCACCTCCCTATTTTGGAGTCCCCAGTGTCAATTTTTTCTATTTTTATGTCCATGAGTACCCAAAGTTAGCTCCCACTTATAAGAAAGAACATGCAGTATTTGGTTTTCTATTTCTGTGATAATGGCCTCCAGCCGCATCCGTGTTGCCGCAAAGGGCATGATTTCATTATTCTAATGGCTGCGTACTATTCCATGATATATCATTGATGGGCACCTGGGTGGATTCCATGTCTTTGCTGTTGTGAATTGTGCTGTGATAAACATATAAGTGCAGTTGTCTTTTTCTTTTTCTTTTTTTTCTTTTGAGATGGAGTCTCATTCTGTCACAAGGCTGGAGTGCAGTGGCACGATTTCGGCTCACTGCAACCTCCGCCTCCCGGGTTCAAGCGATTCTGCCTCAGCCTCCCGAGTAGCTGGAAGTACAGGCATATGCCACCACACCCAGCTAATTTTTGTATTTTTAGTAGAGACAGTGTTTCACCATGTTAGCCAGGATGGTCTCGATCTCTTGACCTCGTGATCTGCCCGCCTCAGCCTCCCAAAGTGCTGGGATTACAGGCATGAGCCACTGCACCTGGCCTGTGCAGTTGTCTTTTTGGTAGAACGGATTTATTTTCCTTAGGGTAAAAAAAAAAAATACATTTCTTTCAGAAATATATTAATTTATGTGTATATAGATAATATATTATATATACACAATTAAATATTAGAAGAAAGATAAATAACACTTTGCTAATACATTACTAATACAAAGGATGAAAACACATTACCAACGGGCAAAAACTTTATAAGAGGAAAATCTTTAGATTAAATATTGAACATGGATAATGAATTCACGGGCAGAAATGTGGGCGACTAGTACAGAGTGATGTCAGTATCATAGCTTGGAGTCAGTATGTTTCAAACACAGGAACCACATGCAATTTCATTCTTTGCACTCTGTGGATTCCTAAAAATGTTTAAGCAGGAACTGACCTAAGATGAGGTTTACTTACATGGAATTGGAATGAAAATGGACATATGGGTGATAGGTATTGTTTTTCTAAGCTTGCATGTCATGATAGAAACCTGTTCTTGTAAAAATATTTACTTTTGATGAAATATGACAAAGGCACAATATTTTATTTGAGAGCAAATATAGCCTGTGAAAGTTTTAACGAAACTTTTGGCAGTTGGTGTCATCCTACTTCCTGCTGGCCCCATGAATAAGTTAAAGAAACACCATGAATTCCGGTTTTTGTTTTTTGGGTTTTTTTTTTTTTTTCCTTTGGTAGAAAAAAATCACTCCTACACAGATCATGAATTAGGTGGACACAGCAAACACACTAATGATTTTTCACTTTACACATTTGGTTTCTATTGAACACGACATTGTCTCAATCATTTTCAATCCAGAACCAAGAAAAATGGCACCAAAAATACTTATTTTAACTCTAGTAACACAAGGAATTGAGTTACTCTGTTAACTAAAGATAAATGATTAAAGAGTTTGGACCTCCTCATACTTACATGCAATTTCAAACCAAGAAAAGGATCAAACACTTTGTTAGTTGCTACATTTTTTACAGCTGAGGTCTTGCTCTGCTGCCCTGGCTGGAATGCAGTGGTGTGATCACAGTTCACTGAAACCTTGACCTCCTGGGCTCCAGCGATCGTTCTGCCTTAGGATTTGACACGTTAATATAATATATTTTAATAATAAGTCAATTTGAAATTGATTTCTAATGAAGACAAAATGAAATATTAGTAAGTAGTACACATATTGGTTAAATTTAGTTTAGCCTAAAACAACCTCCTGACATATTTTAAGTTCATCCCAAAGGTTTCTCTCTACATAGTGAACTGGAACCTAAGTGGACATATAAACAGACTGCAACTTCTTTTTGTGCCAATCCCCAAGTTGGACAATCAAAGGGAGCCAACTGCTTAAATCGTATTCAAATAAGGTAGACACCCTGCTATAACCAATCTGGCTATTCCTGTACCTCACTTCTGTGTTCTGTACCTCATTCTCCTTTTTCTGTCCATAAATCTTGACTATCTGGCTATGCCAGAGACTCTCTGTGCCCCTGTGGTTCAGGGGCTGCCTGATTCATAAATCATTATTTGCTGAATTAAACTGTTAAATTTAATATGCCTAAGGTTTTTCTTTTAACAATAATATGCATATATATACAGTGTATGTGTATATATGTGTGTATATGTATATAGTGTGTGTATCTATGTGTATATATACCCAGTTTTATATATAGATTATATATAGAATTCTACATATATAATTATATGTAAAATGATTCTAAAAATATATAAAAAATTCTGTATATAAATTCTATACGTGTATATAAAATTATATACCTGATACACACATGTATGGATACGTATGTATGTGTATATATATACATACATGCATATATGTATATATATACATATCAGGTATAATTACGACTCACCTAAAAACTACAAATAACTGCTTCATTTATATCCCTGTCTGAGCCATATTAATCATACTGAGATTTGGGAGAAATTCATTATCATATATGAATCTGATTCTTATATATGTGAAATAAAGACAAAAATAAATACCTACTGTATGGAATGAGTGTGAGAATTTAATAAATTAATACTTGGTAAGTCATTGCAAGGATGCCTGGTATATAGTAAGCTACTATTAACAATATATTAAGTAGTTCAAAAAATATTTTAGATTGAACACAACCATTCAGAAGGATTAGCTGAAATTTTAGCACCCAATAACCTCTAAAGAAAAATTAATTTAAAGGCAATGGAAAATTACTACATTAATTTAAAATTACTACTTGATGATAATAACCTTCACTACACTGGAATATATAGCAAATTTTTCATCCCATTTGATGAGCTCTGTAGCTCATCATAGAATTAAAATATATGATGAAAACCATGTTCCAGGAAAGGGCACAATCTACCCCAGTCATATAATGACATGCTGGTAGTCAAACTTAGGTTCTTAGATGTTAGTCTACTGAGAAATAATATCCACAATGCCTATTATATGCATAGGAATTGTACATCAAGCGAAGACAGTTTATGAAAAATTAAAATGGCTGTGAAACTAGAGAAAAGAGTTTGGAACTACGGACGGACAGGATTTTTGTTTCTTTGCCTTTTGCTATTTTTGCATATTTTGCATGCTGCAATTCCCTAGAATCACTTGGTGGTCAGTTCTGGCCTTCCTAAGCATTTATGAAATGAACTGTGTCTACTTATTAGTGTCTTCAACAGGACAGAGAAAAATTCTTATTGGTCTTCTCCAATTCAATGATGAAAATAAAAGTTTGATCTCTGAATTATTAAGAGCCACAAGGCTGATGGCTGAGTCAACCACATTCCAGTTTCCCGAAGGCTGTAAATTTATCTACAACACAGGTTAGACACTTGGAGAGATCGAAGTTGATTATCCACCATGACAATTGAGTCTTCCTTTACTTTTCATGAACAGCTAAGAGCTTACTTCTGAGCAGGAAGAAGCTATGAATTCTTGGTTGGTTCTGTAGGATGTGGCATTGTATGGTCTACCTTGCCAATACTTACTTATAAGGAATTATGCATTGTCAAGAATTTTATATTATCAAGAAATTCATTCTGGTTGGCACTAGTGGACTTTAAATGTAAAGTAAGGGTTGGGTTTTGACATTTAATCTCCAAGCTAAACACAAATCGCAATGTACAAATGTGATTGTGCAAAGTAACTTCTGTTTATTTGTTTTTTCCCATTATAGTTATTACAAGAACCAAGAAAAAATGTCACCCATGTATTCGTATTTTCTCTTAGCTCTGCTGATTCTTTCTCTATTTTAGTACTTGGTCTTTGACATCTGTTTAATTAAACTAAGTGTTTGTCCTCTGGAGCATATCTTTTGATCCTAATGCTTTTTAAAATTTTATTTTATTTATTTATTTTAGAGACAGGGTCTTGCTCTGTTGCTCAGGCTGGAGTACAGTGGTGTTATCATAGCTCAGTGCAGCCTCAAACTCCTGGGCTTAAGTGATCCTCTCATCTCAGCATCCTGAGTAGCTGGGACCACAGGCACACACACACATCCAGCTAATTAAAACTTTTTTTGTATAGACAGGGTCTTGCTATCTTGCCCAGGCTTTGATCCTAACTCTTATTGTCAATAAAATTACCTTGATCATTTGATAATTTCATATTATAAGCCTTCTTTATTTTTTTTTATTGTTTGACTTGTAAAAGCAATGTATTACTGCTGCCCAGGAAATTATCTTCAATCTCTCATATTTTATTTTTATTTTTGAGACAGGTTCTTACTCTGTTGCCATGGCTCACTGCAGCCTAGACTTCCTGGGTTCAGGGGATTCTCCCACCTCAGCCTCCCAGGTATCTGGGACTACAGGCTCATGCCGTCAGGTCCAGCTAATTTTTTCACAGAGATGAGGTCTTACTATGTTGCCCAGGCTGGTCTCAAACTCCTGGGCTCAAGTGACCCATCCACCTTGGCTTCCCAAAGCGCTGGGATGACAGTCAGGAGCCACCATGCCTGGCTCAATCTTTTATTTTTATTAAGGAAAATGTAGTTGTGAAAGAAGTCTGGAGAAATCTGGGAAAGGCTGTGCAAGCCAGCAGTAAGTAAGAATAGTTTAACACAGAATGAAGGAGAAAGAAAGAGAAGCATCTCTGGCTTCGGTGGAAGAATCTCTTAGGCCACCATGCATCAAGCAGCCACCTCTGCAAACGTGCTGGGATACATTTGGAAGGGCATCAACTGGTCCTGAATCAAACGATAGTCTTTGTAACAAGAAGCCAGAGAGCCACATCCACAAGGCTGCCTCGCTGCTATTTTTCTCTGCTTCTGTACCTATTAATAAGCCCCAAAGCATTATTGTACTAATAATAAGCAATACAAAAGTAGGTATTATAGCATATTGCAGCAGTATGGTATTAATAGTTGTTTAACAACTCATTCCATGTTCTCTTTGCTTTTTTTTTCCAGCAACTGAGTTGAACAGGGTGAGTCTTTTCTAATGAGTTCTTCCAAACTTTACCTGTTTGGGGTCTGACTCACTGATGGTCTTGATTTTGTTGGACTAACCCATTTTCCCATTGGCAAAGACTATTGGTTTACTGAAATATAAGTGGCACCCCATTGAGTCCCTACACTAAAAACTAACTGCTTTTTGTTCCCTCTTGTGTAGAAAAAACACATTTCCCTATGAAAAATGGTACCAAATACCATGCTGAGTAGTATAACCCTTTCATCTGCTTAATTACTCAGACATTAAGAACCCAAAATCGCCAGGGAATATACATTAAAATAATTAAACTGTTATGCAGAGGCTTTGAAAGCCCCAGAAAAGATTATCAGCTATAGAAGTTGAAGAAAATATTCCCTGATATTAATTACAATGCACAAATTCTGAAGCTTCTTTGTATTTTAAGTGAGAGAGAGAGAGGGTGTGTGTGTGTGTGTGCGTGTGTGTGGTGGAGACAGGGAGAGATGAGGTTGTGGTGGATGAAGGAGTGTCTTGCTATAGGCTAGAAGATTGTTGTTATCTGTAATCATTGAATAATAGGATATTGAAGGAAGCCAGCATTTTATGGTAACATGATTCTATCTGAATTTTAGGAAGGTCTCCGAGTTTCATGAAGACTAATGATTCGGAAAATAAGTTAAAAGTATAGATTGGGAAACTGGCTGAGAAGCTGTTGCAATAGTTTTTGGCAGAGATTACAGATACCTAACCTGAGAAAATGACCATGAAATGAAGGAAGGGACATATTTAACAGAGATGAGATATTGAATCCTGAGTTGACTGTCTCTCCGGAAAGACTTGGCAACACATTATTCTCGCTACACAGAATCCTTCAGCTCCAGCAGATATTTCTGTAGATAAACAGTGAGCTGCTGAAGTGAGTAATGAATGTTCCGAATACATTGCTTGATGGTTTTCTTGTAATGACAGCACAGTAGCGAGGCAATTAGTCGTCCATAGTCTGAGCCATAGTCAATGTTTCACAGGTGTGAAAACGATTTTTCTTCAAATGTAAGAATAGACATATTCAGTTCCTAGTAGTTAGATCAGTTATGGATATTTTCGTAGCAAAGCCCACTCATGATTATTTTTCTGCAAAACTAATTTGAAATACATATTTAAGCAGCTTTTAATGTGTTTTCAAATTTGATGTGATATCCTCTATTTTGCTGGGGCATAATATTATGTTATCCAGGTAATGTTGCATTTTTGAGAGAGAGAGAGAAAGAGAAAGAGAGAGTCCTGAATCAACTAAATATTCTAGCAATTCAATTCTGGGTTTTCACAATCCAGCCCAACCAGTTACTAATAGACATCAAGCAAAAAACACATCTTGCCTAAATCTCAGTTTCTACATGTCAAATGTAGACTGCAATTCACACAAATCCAAAAGGTTGTTGTAAAAATCAAGTGAAAATGGAAACATAGGGATACTATCAATGTTCAATATATATTTGCAAATAATGCCCTTGCTTTTATCTTGTTTTTATTTTTGGAAAGTCAAATACAGCAACACTAACTGTACAGCTAATTAGAATTTAAATTTAGAGAATCCAAAATTCAGAAAAAAGTTATTTATTACTTCACAGTATCTAAAGAAACTTCCAAGTAATTGCTTAGATACTTTTAATTATCAAATATGCTATAATCAAATCACTATAAAGAAAATCAGACTTTGTATTTTAAAGAAAGTTAAGCTAATAGTTGCCAAAATTTATTTTATATAGTCTAATTAATTTCTCTAAAAGATAAACAAATGTTATTATAAACATACTTCCTTTCACCACTGCTAGAGAGATTTTTATTTTTAGAAGAGTGGGCCGGGTGTGGTAGCTTATGCCTGTAATCCCAGGACTTTGGAAGGCTGAGGCAGGAGGATCACTTGAGGCCAGGAGATATGGTTTGGCTGTGCCCCCATCCAAATCTCGTCTTGAATTGTAGTTCCCGTAATCCCCACAGGTTGTGGGAGGGAACCACTCAGAGGTAATTAAATCATAGGGGTGGTTACCTCCATGCTGCTGTTCTCATAATAGTGCACGAATTCTCATGAGATCTGATGGTTTTATAAGGGGCTTTTCCCCCTTTTGTTCAGCACTTCTTGCTGCCGCCATGTGAAGAAGGACATATTTGCTACCCCTTCTGCCATGATGGTAAGTTTCCTGATGCCTCCCCAGCCCTGCATAACTGTGAGTCAATTAAACCTCTTTCCTTTATAAATTACGCAGTCTCAGGTGTGTCTTTATTGGAAGGATGAGAATGGACTAATACACCAGGTCTCAGCCATCCAGGAGGCTGAGTTGGGAGGATTGCTTGAGCCCAGGAGTTCGAGGTTACAGTGAGCTATGATTGCACCACTGCACTCCAGCCTGGGTGACAAAGCAAGATCCCATTTCAAGAAGAAAGAAATAAAGAAAGAAAAAGAGAGAGCACGTTAAAATACAAAGAATAATGTAACAAGTATAACTAACCTTTAGTACATAAAATAGAATCTGAAAAAAGAATGAGTATGTAACAGGCTCCGATGTTTATTATTAGTTCAATTCTCACCCTGAGCTCACAATCTAAAATTCACCTACATTTTTACCATTCACAAACACTCTTTCAAATTTTCCAAAATATTTTCACATTTGAAGGAAAAAGTGTCATTAGCAGTAAGCTAACATCTTTTTTGACCACAACTTCCAACACCATCTGATGAACAATTCATTTACAGTATTTCACACTTACAAACAAGGTTGATAGGAACATGTCACACATTCCTGAATATGAAAGTGAACCAAAGTTTTTCTAGGGTATAGACGCTCATCTGAATGTGTTGTATATAAAAACATACATTTCCAGTTATACAAAAACACTTCTAAACTCTTCAACGTGGCTATGATAATTTACACATGGGCAGCAACTTATAATATTCATCCTCCCAAACATCCAAAACTGTTATCATAAGATTCTCAAAAATATTCTGAATCATTTGATTGTCAATATGAAATTATAATACTGTGTAAAAAATATGTTTGGGCTGTATCTGCACTACTTCCTTCCATTTAGTTGCCATACATTTGTAATATGTATGATATTTGATAAGGCAAAATTATCTTTCAGAGCCTATGCAAATGTTATTCACAACTGTAGAATATTAGATAAGAGCAAGTTATGCATGCAAAGAGAGAGACAGGACTAAATCTTCAACAGGAAAGAGAAAATGAGTCAATAGAAATACACCCCCAGGTAAATCAAAGTTTGAAATTATCATATTTATATTAAATAATATAGGAAACAATGATATTCTGAAAGATGCTAGGTTTGTTAGCATCCTGCTCCACATAGATCTAGAATCAACAAATATCTAGGAGGAAAAAGGGTGGAAACTCAGGCTTGGCATCTGAGAATTCATTTTTACCAGCATCCTGGCCACTCAAGTCTCTCAATAGTGTCTTTCTTGTGTTACAGGGTCAACAGCTCTGCAGTTTGGTTGCTGGTTATTTCTTTTCTTGCCCAGTAGGAACTTCTGCCTGGGTGCCATAGATTCTTGTCCAGCACTTTGACTTGAAAAATGCCCAGAAGTACAAAAATAGCTGCAGCTCACCAGACTTTTCATTTTGCCATTATTCAGGTAGTTGTAGTATTTGCAGTTCTTGCTTTCACCACAACCATCTCATGCTTCATTGATTTTTTTTTTGTTTTTCATTGTTGTTATTGTTACTATTTTTTAGTTGTTATTAGTTGAAGCAACATTCTCTATATTCAATTTTAGAGGAAAATGAAAATGCTTTTTTATTCATTTGAGTGATTGTATATCCTGTTCCCAATATTTACATCTTATAAAACAACTAATTATGTCTAGTTATCATAAGCATATACTAACAGTAAAACATGGATATATGCACATACATATATTCAGATAATAAAAATATAGATATGCATATATTAATAGGTACATCATATAGATAATATAAAATGCACCTACATTTACACCATTCAAAATAAAGAACTGTTCAAATTGTCCAATATATTTTCACATTTACAGGAAAATAATATTACTATCAGTAAGCTAACATCTTTGACCATAACTTCCAACACTATTTGATAAACAATTTGTGTATAGTATTTCACACTTATGAATAAGGTTAGATGATTAAACATGTTGCCAGTTCCTTAACTTGAAGTTGAGTGACAATGTTTTTAAGATATAGATGTGCATTTCAATTGTTGTATATGAAAATGTACATTTATATGTAGATATGTGTGTCTATCTGTGTCCTATATGTATGTATATGCTGTGTGTGCATGTGTGTATATATACACATATTCTATACATTTTTATATCTGTCATATGTATCCTTATACATATGTATATTCCTGTCATATTTTACTTATGCATCTTTTTCCTTTTTACAATATAAACTTCAATCATATTTATTTAAAGTTTTTAGTTACATTGTTTCCTGATCTCTACTTCCTCTGGTGTCAATTCTCTCCCAGAGTGTCCTGCAGATTCTGGTGATGAGCTGTCTTGTCATTTAGATGTCAGACATATTCTGAACTAAACTGTTTGGCTCTCCTAGCCAGGACTCTTTCTGTATGCAGTTTCCAGAGAAGACATTTTGCATTTCTGTAGACCCAGGCACAAGAATACGTGTCATGGCATCACAGTTTAATACAGAAATTCTTTTGGAATATTAGTCTCACATAGACAGTCAATTTCAGTCCCTGCGTTCATGCATATCCTAAGCACTATGCACCATGATTCTACTTGTACTCACCAAAGATAAAACATTTAAGACCAACAATCCATTTCCTTAGGATCAAATATCTCAGTCCTATGCATGCACATATTTCTCCTATATACACATATGTATTCCATACATCTAATGTTTTATTTCTATTGATTTGGAGAAGAAGAAATTTTAGCATGTTCACCATAAGACATGCAGAATCACTGAGAAACGTATTTAAACCAGATTTAACAAAAACAAACAAACAAATAGAAAGATCACTAGCTAAAATGGTCTCAAGAATTCCATTAATATTTCAACAATGTTTCTAAAAATTCACCACGGACTTAATCCCCAGCAGCTGCCAGCCCGCTCCAGTGACTTGTAAACAAATCATTAACGAGCTTAATATTCTTTCAACAAAACACCCCAATTTCCAGCTTCCCCATTTCCAGGGGGGAAATGGTCCAACACATGTTGATTCGTTAGGCAATCTTAACAAAGACTTAGCTATAAATCTGACAAATATCTTTAATTTAATATGTTAGCATACTTCATATAATAGAGGTAGTACCAATTCAAGAGTCGTTAGATTTTAACAAATTTCATTTTCTCCTTTTAGAGAACACATCTTAAAATGTACAACATTTACTAGTCAGATACATTTTAATAAAACATTCCTTAAAATTTGATTTAAACAGATTCTATAAAAACTCAATTAGTGGTGTTTTGTTTCTGTTGAAATTGCAATGGATTTTCTATTTAAATTGCAATGTATCTTTCATGTACAGTCATTCACAATTTGCACACACAAGAATATCAAATTTAAAGCAATGGGAGGTATACTAGTTATATATCTGTCCCACTACCAATAACATTAGTAGGAGTTCATAGCAATACCTGAGTTAAGGTGTCTATAGGCTGACCTCCAAATATTTCATGTTATCTTACACCTTAAAATCATGAAGTAAATCAGAAAAGCTTTATATATAGTATAGATTAAGTACAGCAACTAAACATACACATTACATGTACAGAATATCTAGGAAGGGTCAGGTGCTGTGGCTCATGATTGGAATCCTAGCACTTTGCCAGGCCAAGGTGGGAGCATCTCTCGAGCCCAGGAGTTTGAGACCAGCCTGGGCAACATAATGAGAACCCATCTCTGTAAAAAATAAAAAATATCAGAGCATGATGGCGCATGCCTGAAGTCCCAGCTACTCAGGAGGCTAATGTGGGAGGATCACGTGAGCCCAGGAATTCGAGCCTGCAGTGAACTGTGATCACACCACTGCACTCCAGCCTAGGCAACAGAGCAAGACTGTGTCTGTTCAATAATAATAACAATAATAATAATAATAAATAATATCAAGGAAGAATATATAAAATTTAGGAAAGGACAATTTTCTATCTCAATATTTCAACTGTTACTACAGTACACTCTATATGACATTAGATGCCTGAGAAGATGTTAACTTAACTGTTTTCTGAGTCTCCATATTATCTTTAGACAAGCTGAAAGCAACTGTAATACATGTAAATATAAAAATCGTACTAGGAGATGTAAAATTTCAACTGCTCTGGGGATACTCTTAGGCTTATAAATGTACTAATAATTCTTCTTAAGCATGTATTTAAGATCTAGAGATGTTAATGACTGTCAATCCAGGGTTATGATAGAAAGAATTTTCCAAAAAAATTTGGCCAAAAGCCACTTCTCTGTATGGCATGTTAATGAAACTTTTTCTGGATAATTTACATTATTAGATGGCGACATGCACATATATTTTGCATGTTAAAGAAAGAGTTTATATACACAAAATGAACTCAATAACTGCTATTGAACAACTCCTGAGTGAAAAATATTTTCTTTGTAAGTGCTGAGGATATGATATTAATACTTTTTTAATTAAAAAAAAATTTGAGACAAGGTCTTGCTCTGTTGCCCAGGCTGAAGTGCGATGGCATGATCACGGCTCACTGCAGCCTCAAGCTCTGGAGCTCAAGTGATCCTTCCACCTCAGCCTCCTGAGTAGCTGGGTCACAGGTGTGTGCCCCCACACTTGGCTAATTTTTTTATAGGGTCTCGCTATGTTGCCCAGGCTGGTATCAAACTCCTGGGCTCAAGTAATCGTCCTGCTTTGGCCTCCCAAAGTGCTGGGATTACAGGCTTGAGCCACTGTGCCCAGCCAGTATTGATACATTTAAATGAGCCCTATGTCAAAAAATGTACAATCTATCACGAAGACGAATGTATGCACAACCACCTCAAAATGACCCAGTGGACACAGCTACAGTTTGATACCCTGAAGATATTTTATATTTATTGAATAGTATTCTATATATTGTATTCTATATTAGTATTCTATAGTCTTACTAGCAGAAATGCCTGTGCTCCTGAGTATAATGCATTCATCAACGCCAGACCTAATAATAGCTCTTATTGAAAAGTTACAATTCCATCTGCATTCATCTACTTACAAATAAGTAATATATTTTTATATAAACTACTAGATGAAGACTTTGCTTCTGTCTTTTTCGCTAAAAGTCCAACCTACAAAATATTACATGCTTGAAGTGAAAACTCATGGTTTTGGAGAAAAACCAAAACAAAACAAAAACCAGTTTTTAAGGAACTATCTGCTTCAGTCTTAAAAATACCTAAAAGTAGACTTACATTTTTTCCTTTAAATTTCACTTTTATTTTGTTGATCATGGCTACAAGCTGGATTGTACACAGAAAACTACAATTTATTTGAGTAGAGGCTGCCACTGAAATCAGGAACTGGCTTTTTTGTTTCATTGAAACCTCATTGTGATATGTTTTTTTTTGTTGTTGTTCTCGAGACAGAGTCTTGCTCTGTCGCCCAGGCTGGAGTGCAATGGCATGATATCAGCTCACTGCAACCTCCGCCTCCCGGGTTCAAGCAATTCTCCTGCCTCAGCCTCCTGGGTAGCTGGGATTACAGGTGCCCGCCAGCATGCCCAACTAATTTTTGTATTTTTAGTGGTGACGGGGTTTCTCCATGTTGGTCAGGCTGGTCTCGAACTCCTGACCTTGTGATCTGCCCGCCTTGGCCTCCCAAAGTTCTGGGGTTACTGGCGTGAGCCACAGCACCCGGCCTATGATATGTTTTATTTGTACATGCTATTACTCATTTCCATGCAATGGACTCCCGATATTTTTTTAACTTGTATCACTGAACGTTTTCTGTTGCTATAGTACAGATCTTTCTGATGACAAACAAAATATACTGTTTACCATGGAGATTTACTTAATGTGTTTTATTTCCCTGTAGGGAAAAAGAGAGAGAGAGAGAAAGAGAGAGAGACTTTTAACTCTCCTGAAAAACATGGCTGCTTCTTTCTCTCTGAATTAGAATTAAATTGAAGATGGTATTCAGACCTTGCACTTTATATGTAGGTCTATATCTCTTCTGGTCATCTCCCACACACCTTCAACAGCACGTCACTGCCTTTGGAAACTCATTCTTTGAGATGTTTTTGACACTTGTTTACAAAAGATAGAAAAAGAACAGAAAATTTGAACAAAGCATCTATTAGCTTCCCTGTAGTGTATTTTCATAACATGTAAATTACATATTCCTGGAAAAAAGCATTATAACATTACCTGTATCAATGGCTTCTTTAATATTTCCTTCTGGGACTTTCCAAGATTCTCATAGTCTTCTTCAGTTATACTTTTTTTTTTTTAACTTTTAAGTTCAGGGATGCATGTGCTGGTTTGTTACATAGGTAAACTTGTGTCATGGGAGTTCGATGTATAGATTATTTCATTACCTAGGTATTAAGCCTAGCACCCAATAGTTATTTTTCCCGATCCTCCCCCTCCTCTTACCTTCCACCCATCCTTTAGACCCCAGCGTGTGTTGTTCCCCTCTTTGTGTCCATGTATTCTCATCATTTAGCTCCCACTTATAAGTGATAACATGGAGCATTTCGTTTTCTGTTCCTGCATTAGTTTGCTAAGGACAGTGTCCTCCAGCTCCATCCACGTCCCTGAAAAGGACATGATCTTCTTTTTTATAGCTGCATAGTATTCCATGGTGGGTATGTACCTCATGTTTTTTATCCAGTCTATACATTTTTTCTCTGCCTAAGAATCACTGAAAGAAAGGCAAAAGGTGTTACGCATCGGTATCTGTAAAAAACTTAAGTATGCTAGCGAGTTGAATGAATGTGGAAAGTAGGTCTTGGAGGGCATAACTTGGTATAATCCAAATATTTCCTATAATACAGACACCAATTGCCTCGGACCATTCAGGAACTTAAGACAAGTCAATCTTTGATGCTGAGCTTCCTTCTATTGGGTGCAAGCTCTAGAGACACAGCAGGGCACAACAAAGGTAGGACCTGAGTGGCCATAATCCCCAAATGGTAACTTTTTGTTTTCCCTCTATCACGCCCTGGTATTTCAATTTTGTTTCCTATCCTACAGAATCCCAAAGGATGACCTGAATATCCCATCAAGCACAATCGCCTCGAAATACGCAGTGGAGTGAGAAACCTTACTATGTACGACAATTCTTGTTATTCTTATTTGTTATGTTCACTAAAGTCACTACCAACACTGCATTAGTGAATATTGAACCATTGTTTTTAAGGAAAATATCGGGTTATGTTCCTGCAAGCCTCTGGACACAAACATTTTCATTAACTGATCACTACACAACTTTTTTTTTCTTTTTTTAATTGAGACGGAGTCCCACTCTGTCACCCAGGCTGGAGTGCAGTGGTGGGATCTTGACTTATTGCATCCTCCACCTCCCAGGTTCAAGTGATTCTTGTGCTTCAGCCTCCCGAGTAGCTGGGATTACAGGCATGCACCACCATGCCCAGCTAATTTTTGTATTTTTAGTAGAGACAGGGTTTTACCATGTTGGTCAGGCTGGTCTCAAACTCCTGACCTCATGTGATCTGACTGCCTCTGTCCGCCAAAGTGCTGGGATTACACGTGTGAGCCACCACACCCAGCCAGTTTACAACTTTTTAAATGTATATTTCTGTTTAAAGATACGTTACCTTATTTGAGATATACTTTCTATTCTTCAACACTGAATCCATGACCAACTGTGCTGTCACTCATGTCTTAATGAATTGTTTTCTTTGTAGGGCAAGTCACAGCCTTCTCGAACTTAGGAACAATAAACATCACTTCAGGGCTATATTTGGGGGCCTTTTTAAACATCAAAGTCACCAACAAAAAGCACAAAAACATGAAAAACCTGGCACAAAACAGTTCATGAAAAGAACACGTTTATTATATGAGAGTCGAAACAAGAACGCAGAGTCACCTCATTTCACCTCAACTGCAAACATGTGTTCTGATTTTTTGCTACTCTACAAGTATCTGTGAGTGACCCCCAGCCCACCACGAGTATTGATTTGGGGGTTACTGTAAATTTTAGTGAATTTTCAAATCCAGATTCTGTGAATAATGATATTTGACTATATTTTATCAAAGACCAGCCCACCCTTATTCATTCTTTTAAAAATTTTCCCTTAGAGACCAGGTCTTGCTCTATTGCCCAGGCTGGAGTACAGTGGTACAATCATAGTTCACTACAGCTTCCAACTCCTGGGCTCAAGTGATCCTCCTGCCTTAGCCTCCTGAGTAACTGTGACTACAGATGCATGTCCCTATGCCCAGCGAATGTTTTAATTTTTTTTAAACAGGGTGTCACTACATTGCCCAGGCTGGTCTTGAACTCTTGGCCTCAAGTGATCCTCCTGCCTCAGCTTCCCAAAGTGTTGGGATTACAAGCACGAGCCACTGCTCCCAGCTCCTTCCTATCTTAACCTTACAACATACAAGCTGTAGCACATCTTCCTGTGGTTACATGGAGATAAGAACTGTCACCAAGGGTAAGAACACTGGATGTGATTGACAACATCTGATTCTGATTTATTTGCAAAATCACAAGTCCATCTTGAAGATGCAATTTTAACAATAGCCATAAAATGAAGAAGTTGGGGTTGAGCTGCATGCAGTCATGAACAGACATTTGTGGTATCTGGTTGAAATTGCCAACTGCAGAATTCATAAGGTGATAGCACCTGCATAGATCAGAGACAGGGACAAACCAGAACAGTGATTTATCTGGGAATGAGAGAGTCACCTCCGGGGATCTTCCAGGAATATTTCAGAACAAGAATGCATTCTTTCGTTGTATTCTTCTCTGCAAGTCTCTCATGACCTCCTTCCCTTCTCTACATCACTCCTTGGGGATCGCTGACTCAGAAGGCAGGCAGGCTTTGTTTCCCCTGTGCTTGCATTGTGAACCTCGTCCTCTTAATCATAAATAATGAATACCCATTTTCGTTTTGACTTAACGTCCCTGGTAACAGAATCTCTCTGTTTGCTCTCTAGAGGTAACTCTGCTGAAGAAGATACCGATGACATCTAGCACGTCCTGGCTTTGCCTTCCTTATTCAAATCGACTGCATATATTACTAAGAAATCCTTTGTTGAATGAATAATGCTGAAGTCACGAGGCCTGCATGTGTGAGAGAGAGAGGAAATAGGAACACTTATCGCTTTAGTGGGATTATGCCACTTTCACACTCTCCTGTTTAACGTGTTATTAACTATTCTCCCTAGACCAACTATCCCTGTCTCCTTCTCTCTCCCTTTTGCTCCCTCCCCATCTTTCCTTCATCCCTCTTACTCCCCAAAGCTTAAGAATATGAGAGCTACAAGACCAGGAAATTTTTTTATTGCCACCTTTTTGCCTCGGTGAATACTTTAAGTCTTCTAGTTTTACCAACATTATATCCAGAATGCTTCCACTCAAGTGCTTCTTTAACTGTCAGCCACCTTACGTTATTATGACATTTTGTATAATAGCATGGTCAATATTTTCTATATTTTAAAAAGAAAAAGCAACAGAATTGTGTAACTTTGGAACCATTTAGGCCACTGCTTAATTCGATATAAATATACAGTGTGCTAATCTGCACAAGGCATTCTTCTGCACATAGTACATTTGTTGATACATTTTATTCTCACCACAATCCAGGCAATGTACTTAAGCTTAATATGAATAAAAAATAAGGCAAGTAAACATTAACCTGACCTGATTCGTGAGAATCCTAACACTGGGAAAATTTAAATAAAGATCTTTGTATTAGTTTATTTTCACACTGCTATAAAAAATTGCCCGAGACTGAGTAATTTATAAAGAAAAAGGGTTTAATTGACTCACAGTTCCACATGGCTGGGGAGGCCTGAAGAAACTTACAGTCATGGCGGAAGGGAAAGGGGAAGCAAAGACCTTTTTCGCATAGGGGCAGGAAAGAGAGAGCTAGCAAGAGCAGGGAAAACTGCCTTATAAAACCATCAGATCTTGTGAGGACTATCTCACTATCACGAGAACGGCATGGGGGAAACAGCTCCAATGACCCAATCACTTCCCACTGGGTCCTTCCTTAGACGTGTGGGGATATGGGGATTACAATTCAAGATGAGGTTTGGGTGGGGACACAGTCAAACCATATCAATCCTAATTTCCCACATCTAAGGACTGTGAGAGCTGCTCCAAGAACACAGTGATTCTCGTCTGTATGTTTTATAACCCTGTGCTACCCAGAGAGACACACCTTTCTCTATAGTGCATAAACATTTTTCTTACTTACTAAATCTAACATCTATTTCTCTTATAGTCACCAAATGAAAGTCTTCAATGTGTCAATCACTGGACTCTGTCTTTAAATCTGCTCCAGTTTGCTTTACTGAAATTCTTTCACCAAGCAGCAGGTGAAAACAACTTGTGTTTTTCTCATCCTGAATCTGATATAAACATCTTATGCAAATACATTCTGGATCTTCATGCCTTCATATTCTCTGGGGAAATGTAAGTCCTAGGTAAAATTTCACTTTCAATTATCCACACCTGGGAGAATTTTGGTTTAGAAGAAGAAGGGCTATGGAGAAGAGATTCTAAAGAAGATTATTGGATCTAAAGGACAGTGATTTAGTTGGCCAATCTCTCTGATATCCAAGCAATTGTCAGGACCTGTGTTGGTGGTTGGTGACAATCCCTAGAAATAAAGATGTCTGACAACTAAAATTTTATAAAAGATAGCTGGCCATGGTGGTATGCACCTATAGTCCCAGCTACTCAGGAGGCTGAGACAGGAGGATTGCTTGAGCCCAAGAATTCAAGGCGGCAGAGAGCTACGATTGTGTCACTGCACTCCAGCCTGGGTGACAGAGTGACACCTTGTCTCAAAAAAAAAAAAAAAAAAAAAAAGTCTAGATAAAAAAGGAGAAAAAACGAGAAAAAAAGTCATAGATAGTTAAAAAAAATTGACGATGAGCACAAATAATAGAATGTAAGTATAAGAAAAATTCCAGCAGAAGTAAGGCTGTGATATGAGTGAAATTTAGACAGTAGAATGTCAAATATAAATTTTATTTGTATTTTATTTATTTTCTCCTCATGTGTATTGTTTTTGTTATTTCTTATGTGAAGTAACAATTAGTATGATTAGTAATAATTGTATATATCTATCCTTTATCAAATATTTAGATACCTGGCAATTTTAAGCTTGAAATAATTACAAAATAATTTAGGCTTCTTTTACGACTGAGGAAAAGTTTTATATTTGGATAATAATTTGCATTCTTTTTACCACTGAGAAAAAAAATTGAATTAATGGCTTCACTGGGTTTTTATTAAGGCTCTAAATATGTAAAATGTGTTTGTTATTTGGTATTGCTGTGACTATCTTCAGTGTTATAAATAATAAAGTCTTTCCTTATATATTTAACCTAACAGGCAATTTTTTTTTTTTTTTTTTTTGAGATGGAGTCTCACTCTGTCGCCCAGGCTGGAGTGCAGTGGCACGATCTCAGCTCACTGCAACCTCCGCCTCCCGGGTTCACTCCATCCTCCTGCCTCAGCCTCCCCAGTAGCTGGGACTACAAGCACCCACCACCACACCTGGCTAATTTTTTGTATTTTTAGTAAAGATAGTGTTTCACCATGTTAGTCAGGATGGTCTTGATCTCCTGACCTCGTGATCTGCCCGCCTTGGCCTTCCAAAGTGCTGGGTTTACAGGCTGAGCCACTGCGCCCGGCAGAGGCAACTTTAAAGGCATGAATAGTTTAGTTCATGAAAGGGAAAAAACATATGTGATTTATAGTAAAGATACAATAGGTACATTCTCTTAAAAATTAGTATAGTTTTACGTAGTCCTGAACACTTTGTTTAAATGTCAAAGGATTATAAGAAATAAACTACCAGGATATGTTTTTAGGAATTCAAAGTAAGAATTAATAAGATGATAGGAATGTAATGGTGATATATTTTGTTCAACCCTCTTGAAAATGAAAAAGCAAACATGACAAGCCAGAATCTTACAGGCCATTTCTCAGGAAAAATTCGAGTCCTAATTCATAGTAGAAATTGGAACAGAATTCTGCCATCCAGCACCCTTTCATGGTCTGAGCTGTGTGCTAATAAGAGGAGATGATAAAATAACAGTCAGTGTTGTACAGGCTTCTAACCATTCTTCTTACCACTTGAGTATGTCGACAGTATTCATTATCCCTGAGGAAAAAAAAAAAGCTAATTCAAGTTACCAAATGCAACTTTAAAGATGTAAGTATGGGTTTTACCAAGCAATGTGCCATCTTCCACTGACAGGTTGTTGAATGTGTATTATTTTCTTTGACTCTGACAATAACTCTTAGTTGGTGTCATTATCACACAGATTGGAGGAAAATGGCATTAAAAGCAGAAGGGACTTACTCAAGTTGACTCCTCTCCCACAGTTGAAGCTGAATTCTAAGTAAAAATCAGAACTAAAAATAATTGGCCCCATGCCAAAGCACTGGAGCGGGGAAGAAGCAAGAATTGTGCAAAATAATTGCCTTCTAAACAAAATGCTTTATGAATTGCAAAATGCCAATCCCTCCACATATTTCAAGAAAGACCCTGTCTTTAGGTTTTGTAAGTTTTTCTGTTGTTTACATTTTTCACTCTCTCTCATTCTCTCTCTTTGTGTCTCTGTCTCTGTCTCTCTCTGTATGTCTCTGTCTCTGTTTCTCTCTGTATGTCTCTTTCTCTGTATGTCTCTGTCTCTGTCTCTCTCTCTCTCTCTCACACACACACTTCTCTGGAATTTCATGCCCTTCCTTATTCTTGTTTCACTTTCTTTCTCTCGTTTTCACCCCTTTCTTTCTCGTTCCAATGACTTCTCACTCCTGAAAGTCTTTGCCCTCTGGTAAATTATCTTTTCCTCTTTTTTAATACCCCCCCTCCTATGAGCATACTCGACTCTTGACAATATCGAAATATTTCTTTCAATTCTGTGGCATCCTGCTTGGCTTGCCCATTAAGTATCTCTCTAAAGCTCCTTAGAAATGCAATGTTGATTTCTTCCCCATGTTTACTCCTTATAGCATAAATATCTGGATTAGTGAGGCTGCTTAATCTTACAAATAACCTCGGAATTGCCATATGTCTTTATCCTATGGCTCAATTCATCTCTGTACTACTAGATGCTCTTAGCCACTGTTCATTCCTTTAGAGTAAATGATTCACCCTCACTGTGTCCCCTGGCCAATTATCTACTCCTTTGTCTCTGTGTTAAGTGGTAAAATTTCTCCAGGTCCTGTACTAATTATTTTTTGCATTCTTTATCACTTATTTGTAATGGGATATATTCTGTGCATGACAACACAGAACTATCACATATTTCCTGAAGCAGGTTTTTTCTGTTCTCTTTCTCTTTTTCTCTCCATCACTAGCTTCTTTGGAGAAGCTAGCTGCTATAATTTCCAAGCCTAGCAGTTTCTACCAAGGGCATCTACTTTCCAGGAGTTACTTCTACCATCTAGGCTGGGCATGGTGGCACATGCCTGTAATCACAACACTTTGGGAGGCCGAGGCGAGCGGATCACTTGAGGTCAGGAGTTCGAGACCAGCCTGGCCAACATGGCGAAACCCCATCTCTATAAAAATACAAAAATTAGCTGGGTGTGGTGACGCATGCCAGTAGTGGAATTGTGGAAGACCACCTATTATGGACTGAGCTGTGCTTCTCTCCTGCCCTCAAATTCATATGTTAAAACTAATCCTCAATGTGACTATACTCGGAGATAAAGCCTCTAAGGAGGTAATTCAGTTTCCATGAGGTCATGAAGTCATAGCCCTAATCCAGTAGGACTAGTTTCCTTATTAGAGAATAGAAAAAGACACCATGAAGACATACACATAGAGAAAAGACTATGTGAGGTCCAAGAGCATTAGCTCATGCCTGTAATTCTGGCACTTTGGGAGGCTGAGACAGGTAGATCTCTTGAGTCCAGGAGTTCACGACAAGCCTGAGCAACGTGATGAAACTCCTGCTCCACAAAAAATTTAAAAGAAAAAGTTTAGCTGAATGTGGTGGTACACGCCTGTAGTCCCCACCACTTGGGAAGCTGAGGTGGGTGGGTCACTTGAGTCTGGAAGGTGGAGGCTGCAGTGAACCATGATCATGGCACTGCACTACAACTTGGGTGACAGAGAAAGACCCTGTCTCAAAAAAAAAAAAAAAAAAAAAAGAAAAGAAAAAATAACCACATGAGGACACAGAGAGAAAGGGAGAAGATGGCCATCTACAAACCAGGAAGAGAGACCCCTTATCAAAAACCAACCCTATGAACACTATGATCTTGGACTTTCATATTCTAGAACTGTGAGAAAACAACTGTTTGTTTTTAAGCCATCCAGTTTCTGGGATTCTGTTATGACATCCTGAGTTGACTAAGACATGTGGCATAAAGTGTCTCAGAGTTTCACACTTGTCACCATATGCAATTCAACAAAAACAACTCCATTTCAGACAATTTTCACTTATCATCTCTTTATCATTGGGTCCTGTACCAGTGGTATGTCATGTCCCTGTAATCTAAAAGGAGCTCTCTTGAAAGATGAAATGGTATTTAATGAGAGACTGTGACCATTCATTGTCCTAAAATAGGTTCCTGGTCAGTGCAAACCAGATCCACTACTAGTGTCAGCAGCAGAATATTTTTCTAATGGTTATGTTCCAATCTTCCTTCTGGAGGAGTTGAAAGTGGGTCAACTGTTGGGAAAAAATTGGATATTCGCCTCTGATATGGTTAGGCTTTGTGTCCCCACCCAAATCTCATCTTTAATTGTAATTCCCATAACCCCCATAATCCCCACGTGTCAAGGGAAAGACCAGGTGGAGGTAGCTGAATCATGAGGGGCAGTTTCCTACACGCTGTTCTTGTGATAGTGAGTGAGTTATCACTAGATCTGATGGTTTTATAGGGAGCTTTTTCCCCATTCATTTAGCATTTCGCCTTCCTGCTGCCTTATGAAGAAGGTGCCTTGCTTCCCCTTCCCCTTTCCCTTACACCATGACTGTAAGTTTCCTGAGGCCTCCCCAGCCATGCTGAACTATGAGTTGATTCAACCTTGTTGCTTTATAAATTACCTAGTCTCAGGTACATCCTTATAGCAGTGTGAGAACGGACTAATACAGCTTCTTCTTATAGCATTTGTCTGTGGACATGGAGATTGCTACACCATTTGTTGTTAACTATAAGGATATTGTGTGTTAGAAATCACCTTGGAATATCAGTGATATACTTCTTGTTGGGTAGTGATAGGCAAAAAAAATACTCTTCTGTTATTGTCTTGATGAGATTTGTTTTGAGAGCACTTTAAGTTGAATTAGAAATTTGACCTTTATGTGGAGTGGGAGATTACAATACATTAGAGGTATTTCAAGGACAGTAATATTTATTCAATTGTCTAGTTTCCCTGAGTAATGGGAAATATGATGTAAGACATTCGTAATCTAAATAATGTATTATACCTTCCTCCCTCTGTGTTAAATACTTAAAAATATGAGTTGAACAAAATATACTATGGGCATATAAACCCAACAAAATATCATAGTTGTCATGACATCCATCCAAGGAGCCATTACTCAGATTTCACTGACCATTTTCAGAATGATAAGATATGGTATTTTCCACATATTATTAGGGAACGCATAACTCCAATGTTTCCAGTTTGATTTGTCAAAAGTACAAAACAGAGTCTCATTATCATCAATGGGTTTCCTATGTTGCCTATGCCTTGCCATTCTGGGGGTTTTATTCTCTTGAGGCATCAACTTGTATTGTCCATATGATATTCACTCCAGAATGCATGAGCGCCAGAACTAAGACAGTGCTCCAAATAACAAGTGTTCTGTTAAGGCTGGCACCAGCAAAGCCAAATGCTGTTCACCCAGATGGTCTAATGTAAAGGACAATATAGCAGTCAAGTTCATGAAAACAAGAAGAGTAGATTTTGAACTGAGTATCCAAAAAGCTGAAAGCCCCAAAAGCTATTTTAGCTAACAACTAACTAGCTAGATAGCTAGATAGATAATAGATAGAGTGACAAATCATTCTATTTATCAATTATCTTAGATAGATAATAGATAAATCTATTTATTAATTATCTCAGATAACGATAAATCTATTTATTATCTTAGATAATGATAAATCTGTTTATCAATTATCTTAGATAATGATAAATATGTTTATCAATTATCTTAGATAATGATAAATCTGTTTATCAATTATCTTAGATAATGATAAATCTGTTTATCAATTATCTTAGATAAGGATAAATCTGTTTATCAATTATCTTAGATAGTGATAAATCTGTTTATCAATTATCTTAGATAATGATAAATCTGTTTATCAATTATCTTAGATAATGATAAATCTGTTTATCAATATCTTAGATAATGATAAATCTGTTTATCAATTATCTTAGATAATGATAAATCTATGTATCATTTAAGGTAGATTATTCTATTTATATATTATCTATCTATTATTCTATTTGTCTATTAATTTATTTTTAATAGATAAATAGAATAATAGCTCTATTTACATCTATATTCAGATAGAGAGATAGACACATAAATAGATAAAAAATAGATGACAGATAGTATAGATAGATGATAGATAACATCTATTTATATCAAGGTAGATAGATAGGTAGATAAAGCAATCATACATCTATATCCAGATAGATAGATAGAATGATAGGTGGTGGATATCTAGATCATGATAGATAGATAGACACCTTTAGATCTACAAATATAGATGTAGACTTTTTATAGATAGATATAGACATAAATATACAGATATAGATTTACAGATGTATATATATATACACAGATATAGATAGATATAGACAGAGAGAGATAGAAAGATATGTGTACAAATGTGTGTGTGTATGTCAAGTGACTATTTTATTACTTTGTGGTATGATTGTATCTGCCTTATTCAACAATTCTTTTTTTATTTGTTTGTTTTTGTTTTTGCTTTAGGTTTTGTTTTTGAGATGGAGTTTCGTTCTGTTGCCCAGGCTGGAGTGCAGTGGCGTGATCTCGGCTCACTGCAACCTCCGCATCCCAGGTTCAAGCTATTCTCCTGCCTCAGCCTGCCGAGTAGCTGAGATTACAGGCACCTGCCACTATGCCCGGCTAATATTTTCTATTTTTAGTAGAGACGGGGTTTCACCATGTTGGCCAGGCTGGTCTCGAACTCCTGACCTTGTGATTCACCTGTCTCAGCCTCCCAAAGCGCTGGGATTACAGGCGTGACCCACTGCACCCAACAATTCTTAGTGGCAAATACATTATAGCTTAATTTGATCCTTTATCCAGCGTAGATGGATTGCAAGAAAGTTCTCTCTCAAGAACACTTGCCCCATTAGGAGAAATTATATTAATTATTTATCATCAGTGGAGAAATTGTGTGTCACCTTTTGTTTTGTATTTTGTGGCAACATTTCTCAGCATATTTTATGATCTATCCATGGTTTAGCCTGATGTGTGGAATTAGGACTATAGCAGGTGGTTACTGATTATGGGGTAGAGATACATGTAAATTAATAAATGCAATACATAGTAATAACTATTATGATCATGTTGAAGCAGACATGAAGCTCACTGAAGGTGTAAAATTTTTAAAAAAGTGATAGGCCAGGTGCAGTGGCTCAAACCTATAATCTCAGCAGTTTGGGAGGCTGAGGCAGGAAGGTTTCTTGAGCTCAGGAGTTTGAGACCAGACTGGGCTACTTGGTCTCTACTCTGTTTCTACTAAATATTAAAAAATTTAGCCAGGCATGGTGGTGTGTACCTGTAGTTCCAGCTACTAGTGAGGCTGAGGCAGGAGGATTGCTTGAGCCCAGGAGATCGAGGTTGCAGTAAGCTATGATTGCACCACCGCACTCCAGCCTGGGCAACAGAACAAGACCTGGTGAATGGGTCAAGAGATACTCAGAGTGGAAAAGCTGACGAGGGTAGATTCGACTGAAATGTGCTATGTCCAATGAATGAATGAATGTACTAAGTAATATTAAGGAATTTTAGTACTGGTTAATATTTGTGTGGGATTGGTTTACATGTAAATGTAGTATTGACTTACTACAGTTGATTGAGAAATTACTAATACTTGCTTATATGCATGTACTGTAGGCTGTTTAGTACTGTATGGTTCATATATGCACTATGTACAATCAAGCATTGATAGTACTATATATTATTCATGGTGAATAGCAACAATGCACGGAGTACATAAAAGTATTAATGTGTCAGTATTAATGGTCAATACTTATATAGTACTTAAAATTCATGACGAATAGAATACAGAGAGTAGTTTAATTAGAATCTCAGCTTTGGCCGGGTGTGATGGCTCACGCCTGTAATCCCAGCAGTTTGGGAGGCCAAGGCGGGTGGTTTAGGAGGTCAGGAGATCGAGACCATCCTGGCTAACACGGTGAAACCCCGTCTCTACTAAAAGTACAAAAAATTAGCTGGGCCTAGTGGCAGGCGCCTGTAGTCCCAGCTACTCGGGAGGCTGAGGCAGGAGAATAGTGTGAACCCGGGAGGCAGAGCTTGCAGTGAGCGGAGATCGCACCACTGCACTCCAACCTGGGCAATGGAGCAAGACTCCATCTCAAAAAAAAAAAAAAAAAAGAATCTCAGCTTTGGGTGTTGATGGTGAAGCTGGAGTGCTTTTTCTCTGAGTTGCCCTGGGGAGAGGGTTCTTCATTTCTGGTTTACAAGACCAGTGTATTGGGTTGTACTACAAGGGCAGTTTCATTTAAGTAGTTTATTTTCGATTAGGGAAATGAGTGGTATTAGGGCAAGAATAATAGAGAAGTATATTATGGATGCTATCTGTCCAGTGATAATGAAGGCCAACTGGCTGTCCTCCAATTCATGTGAGGGCCAATAGGTTGGTGACTAAGAATCAGAACATATATTGACTTAGTGGGTGGAATATTATGCTTTGTTGTTTGGATGTGTGAAGTGCAGGAATGACTGCCAGAATAAGAATAGATAATAGAAAGGCTAATACACCTCCTAGTTTATTGGGGATAGATAGTAAGATTCCATATGCAAATAAAAAGTATTACTCTGATTTAATTTGGGGTGGGGTGTTTAGGGGGTTGGCTAAGGTGTAATTATCTGGGTCACTCAAGAAATCAGGTGAAAATAGTACTAGCATTGTTAAAAGAAGGAAGAGGAAGATTACACCTAGGATATCTTTGATTGTATAGTAAGGGTGGAAGGTAATTTTATCGAAGTGTGGTGAAATTCCTGAGGGGTTATTAGACCCTGCTTCATGGAGGAATAGTAGGTGAAGCGTTGCTAGGGCTACAATGATAAAAGGTGAGATGAAATGAATGGTGAAGAATCGTGTGAGAGTGGCTTTGTCAACTGAAAATCCGCGTCAGATTCATTGAAAAAGGTCAGCCCCGATCTTGTCCATGGGATGGCTGATAGTAGATTTGTAATCACTGTAGCGCCTCAGAATGATATTTGGCCTCATGGAAGTACATAGCCTATAAATGCTGTTGCTATGGTTGTGAGCAGGACAATAATGTCAATGTTTCAGTTTTCTAAGTATATGAATGAGCCATAATATAAGCCTCGGCTAAAGTGTAGGAAGAGACAGATGAAGAATGTTGAAGCGTCATTAGTGTGGAGATAGTGGATAATTCAGCCATAGTTCACATCTCGATTAATATGGGCCATTGAAGAGAAGGCAGTTGTGGTGTCTGGTGTGTAGTGTATGGCTAGGAATAGCCCTGTGATGATTTGAAGGAATAAGCAGGTGCCAAGAAGTGAGCAGAGGTTTCATCATATAGAGATATTAGATGGAGTGGGGAGATCGATGAGTGAGTAATTAATAATTTTTATTAGTGGATTTGTTTTCCTTATTATAGTCATTAGTGTTCTTGTGTTTGAAGTACAACGATAGTTTTTCCATCATTAGTCATGGTTATAACCCATGTGGGAATAATGACATATGCTTTATTCTTGTTAAGTAGTCTTTTGGTTATGAGATTTGTAGGTTTTTCTTCTAAACCTTCTTCTATTTATGGGTGGTTAGGGTTAATTATTAGTGGTCCTGCAGGTTGCATTATTGTGTTCAATTATGGTAGGGCTTTTATAGGCCTAATAGTCTTTTTGATTTATTTGGGAGAGATGATGGTTGTTTTTTGTCATACTATGGCGATTGCTATTGAGGAGTACCCAGAGGCGTGAGGATCAGGTATTGAGGTTTTAGGGAGTTTCTTATTGGGTTTAGTAATAGAGTTGATGCTAATTTGGTGAACAGCTGAGTATGATGGATTGCTGGTCATAGTTAATTTTAATAACATGGGAAGTTGAGTGATTTTTGATGGTGAGGGGTCAGGGTTGATTCGTGAGGATTCTATAGGTGCGGGTGCTTTATATGATTATGGATGTTGACTAGTGGTAGTTGCTGGTTGAACATTATTTGTTGGTGTTTATGTTGTGATTGAAATTACTCGGGGTAATAGATTATATAATTAAAAGTAGAGTTTAAAAGGATGGAATGAAGAAAGAGAGGAAGTAAAATTTAATTAGGCCTTTTTGAGTAGTTATAGTAGAGGAGGCTGTGACTCCATTAAGTCACATTGGACTCCATTAAGTCCATTAAACAATAGAGAATAAATTCTTTTGGGGTACTGAAGACAAGAAGAAGTCTTCTACAGGAAGCATTTGAAGGCACTGAGGCACATCTATTGTGCTGTGTCCAGGCACATTTTTTGCAGCATCTATAATGTATCTGAAAGCAGAAAGATCTCAATACTGGAGTGTTCTGGATAAAAACGTCTAAAACTTACCATTTCCACAACCAGCATCCAAATGGTATTTTGGGGCTTTTATTTGTTTGTTTGCTTTCTTTCTATTTTCTTTTGAAAGTGAGCAGCTTAAAAGATACTAGTGTGAAGCGAAGCTTGGTGGCTCAAATCTGTAATCCCAGCGCTTTGAGAGGGAAAGGGAGGAGGAACGCTTGAGGCCAGGAATCTGAAATCAGCCTGGGCAACATAGTGACACTCTGTTTCTACAAAACATTTTAAAAATTAACCAGGTGTGGTGGTGAGCACCTGTGGTCCCAACTACTCAGGAGGCTGAGGCACAAGGATGGCTTGGGCCAGGAAGTTCGAGGCTACAGTGAGCTGAGATTATACGACTGCACTCCAGCCTGGACAACAGAGCAAAGCCCTATCTCAAAAACAAACAAACAAACAAACAAACAAACAAACAAACCATACTAGCTGAGTAAGGCCACAAGAATCGGATCAGGATCAATGATAGAAATTGAAAAGGTTGTCCACAAAAGCCACTATGGAGGCAATAGTGCAATGCAGAGATAAGGAATGTCTACAGTCAGAGTGAGTATGGAGTCATGACTGCTTATGAGAGTATTTTGAGATGGGTAGACAAGAAAGGGAGCATCAGCCATCCATCATTACTGGAATCCCACCAAGGAAATTCTTCAGCCCAAACCACAGCTGCCTTAAGACTCAGATAGGCAAGGAAAGTGAAGCGGCTGCATCCTCTGAAAGGCAGAGACATAACTCCGACGCAGCCATGTGTGGTCCATGTTCTCATTCGTATCACAGAATCAATACTTGACATTAATTTTGTTTTTCCATTAAGAAAGATTTTATGTTTTTTACTTTGCTTTCTAGTACTTCATTCAATCAGGAATACAGCACAATGTGGACCACCGACTAGATGGGCATTAGAGCAGTGGTCCTCAAGTGGGGCCTATTGTGCCCCCCGCCCCCTACCAGGAGACATTTGACAATGTCTGAAAACATTTTTTGTTGTCAATAAAAAAGATGGGGTAGGTCCTACTGGCATCTTGTTGGTTGAGGCCACGGATGCTGCTAAACATCTTACATTGCCCGGCACAGCCCCCACCACAAAGGCATATCCAATTCAATAAAAAGAATGAAACCATGTCGTTTGCAGCAAGAAGGATGCAGCCAGAAGCCATTATTCTAAGTGAATTAATGTGAAAATGGAAAATCAAATACCACGTGTTCTCACTAATAAGTGAGAGCTGAACATTGAGCACACATGAACACAAAGATGGGAAAAATAGACACTAGGGATTCCAAAAGCGGGGAGAGAAGGAGGGGAGCGTCATTTGAAACAAAACTAAACTAAACTAAACTAACAAAGAAAAACAAAAAAAACTACCTATTTGGTGCTATGTTCACTTTTTAGGTGACAGGATCAATAGAAGCCCAAACCTCAGCATCGTCAATAAACCCTTGCCGCAAACCTGCACATGTAATCCCTGAATCTAAAATTTAAAAATTCAATATTGGTTTCAAATGCCGATGATGATGAGGCAGAGAAACCCTGTTCTAGAAGTTTAACAGCTTTTCCGGTTGATGCCAAATCACCGATTGTATGGGTGGACTTATGGCATCCAAATGATTTGGAATCTGAGACACATTAAAGTAACCTTAGAACCCGGCAGCACAAGTGTGAGTGAGTCATGTGACCTTTGCAGGTTTCTAACTTTGTGCATCTGTTGCTTAGTGTCTCATAGAAGAATGGACTTCTGAACTAGGAATGACTGCATTTCTTAGGGGACACTCACTTTTCCTGCTCATTGCTCAGTGCTTTTCAGCAGGGTGGGTACATACCATTAAAAAAATAAAACAAAACCTACACCCACACTTATTTTAGAGACAAAGATCTCAAGGCAAATAACAAGACCTATCTAGGGCAAATGAGAGTCTGCCTCAGTCCAAGTTCTTTGTGTTTCTTTCTTAGCAACTGATAGAACAGATAATCCACTGGTCCATAATAGCTTCCCAATACGCTGGGAGTCAGTATCTAATTTCCGGTTATGCCCCAAGATCAAAAGGGAATGGGAGCTGGGCATGGTGGTGCGTGCCTGTAGTCCCAGCTACTCGGGAGGCTGAGGCAGGAGAATCGTCTGAGCCCCAGGAGTTTGAGGGTGCAGTGAGCTGAGATCGCACCATTGCACCCCAGCCTGGGCAATAGGAGTAAAACTCTGTCTCAAAAAAAAAAAAAAAAAAAAAAAGGAGGGGGAGGGAATGGAAAATGCCAAAGAGTATGGGGCTTTGAAGACCTCACTGGAAACAACGTCTGAACAACCTGAATATGTTCAACTATCTTGTTGACCTCTGCCTCTGTTTATTTATTTATTTTTTTAATTTGGCTCCAAGTCTGGTTTTCTAAAATTTGTTTAAAGATGCATGTGTCAACATGTATATGTTTTACATACATGTATATAATGTACTTTATATGCTTATACAGAAAATGCTATGTAAACTCTTTAGAGACCAAGGGCAAACTTCTTTGTCTCTAAAGAGTTTCTGAAGGTTCATTGAAAGTCAACTGACAAAATGCAGATTAATCAGAGAAAATGCATGCAAATTTATTTAATGTGTATACACAGGGGCCTTTAGAATAAATACCCCAAGATACATAGGAAAATGTCCATTTTTAGAAATAAGATTGGACCAAAAAGGCCTGATCTAAAGCTAATGGACGGAGTGGGAAAACCCAGCCAGGCCTGTCTGTCTAGACTCTTTTTGTCCTCTCTGAACATTCTTTCTTCCTTCTGGGTGTGGGGTAGGACCCTCTCTGGAATGGAGGGTCTTACGACATACAGTCAAACAAGGTAGGTCCGGGAATTTCTTCATGGCCAGTTTCTACACAGAAAGTTAGGGTCATGTTTCTAGGTTTTCTGGCCGGCTTTGGGGAAATGGGGTTCTGATTTCTAGGACCCACCTTGAGGAAGAGGGATTCTAGTTTTTATGGCGCCTCGAGGGAAAATGCAACCAAGAGACAGGAGGGCAGAAGATGATCAGAGAGAGCTGCTTCTGTGGCCTGTATTTTGGGTCTTGTTTTCTAACCTCCAACAAGAATATACTTGCTATTGCATTTATCTATTACAAGAACTAGCAGAGCATTCATAAAAGGAGCAAATTTATTTCTGGAAAGCGTGGAAGTAGATTTTCTTACACTTTAAGCTTGCTATTTATCCTTCCAAGTTCATTGAAAGAACAAATCCTCTCTATCAATCATTGTTTACTCATGCCTTGACAAATATTAAGTATCAGGAAAGGACTCGAATCTAGATGAAGGATATTGGAATGGTGTCTCTAAAAGCAAAGGACCTTCATTTTTAACAACAACAGGCAAAACAAAACAAAATTAGCAGGTTCTAATAACCAACTTCTTAGCCTAATTTGCTCAGAAATTTCACTTCTTGTATCTTTCATTCATAACAGTCCAGGAAAGTGTTCAGATACCTCCCCCAGTTTGAAGATGTCATAAATGAATCTTGGAAATTTGCTAATTACTCTGAGGCTAAAATCTCAAGAGAAAACGAGATGTAAAATTCCCTTTCTTCCTCTAAAGTAGCCTCTTTGGAGTCACTAAGATAACACCATGTCCATATGCTCAAATGCTTTGTTTGAAGTTACTGAGCTAGACCATCAACTTCTGTGGCTGTTTCTCTTTCCTTAACATCTGTATGAGAATCTGTAATCTGTAATACACTTTTTATTGGCTTGACTTTTCATTGGAACCACTGTAGAAAGAAATGTCATTGCCTGCTCCCCTAATTTTTGAAAGTTAAAAGGAGGAAATCATTTCCCCCTGTCTCTATAGATGCTGTTAGGTAGATAGCAGTTGGAAAGAAGAAAGAAACAGAACTTTTAAGACATATTTTTCTACGTTCAGGTTTCCTTATTTATTTCTTGCCCAATATATTATAAGGCAAAGGATGTTTACTTCTTTCCTGTATGATGAAAAATTTCCAAATCACATGAATGCAAAAATGGACACTTTTGACATAAAAGATCCTTCTTTTTATTTTATGCTATTATTTTGGTGGGGGAGGTTAGGGTCTCACTCTGTCACCCAGGCTAGAGTGCAGTGGCACAATCATAGTTCATTGCAGCCTCCATCATGACTGGCTAATGTTTGTATTTTTCATAGAGAGAGGATCTTTTCTTGTAACCATGCTCATTGTTTTAACTTTTTGTCTGTGGCTGCTTTCATGCTACACTGGAAGAGTTTGTGGCCTGTTGGCCAATAAAGCCCTAAATATTGATTATTGGAAAACAACGGCAACAGTAACAACAAAATAAAACCCGTAGTAGTATGTAACTCAGTACCTCTTCTATACATTTTATTGAGAAGTATAGAACATGTTGAGGTTTGAAGTTACTGTATCTATTGCAAAGACAAAGAAGAAAATGCCTCTTTGCTCTCTGAAGGTTCATTGACAATCACTGACAAAAGGCAGATTAATAGCAGAAAAGACACACAAATTTATTATGGTGCACGGAACTCTTATGAAACAGAATATCTCAAAGAAATGGCCAGATGGTTATTGCTTTCATACCATCTTGAGTTTACAGAAAGAATGGGGGTTTGGGTCCTGGCAACACAGCTTATAAGAGGAGAGAAGAGGAGGCCTGGCCAGCAAAAGTGGTCTTGTTATGCAGATGAAACCTCCCAGATAGCAGCCCTTGGAGAGAATAGATGGTAAATGTCTCTTTCAGACCTTTAAAGATGTCAGTCTCTCAGTTCCTCTTTCTTAAATCCCAACAAGGGAGTCCATCAAAGAAAGCCGGCTGCCTAAATGCACACTTTCTCCACAGATGCAAATCTCCTCCACAAAAAACAGCTTTTCTGCTATTCTTGTGTTTCCAGCACTTCTGACTAGTCATCTTGACATATATCAATGAAGTGTATTTTGGAGTAAACTTTTTTTATTTCCTTTACTACCTTGGAAGCCAGCAGGTTTAATTAGATTCCACAAAAGACAGGCAACACTGTGATTACCATTTCATTCACATAATCAATATTATTTCGTAGCTTTCTGTGAAAGAAAAGAAATAAGTGAAAGCGTAGGTAAAAAGAAAAAAATGATCACTATGCTTTCTGAATGTTTATAATATTTTAAACGTTTTATTCATATTGAAATAACATAGATGACAGATTTTGCAAAAGCAGTATAGAGAGATTCTGTGAAACTGTAGCAGGACGAGCCGCAGACAAAACCTCTCAGACACCGAGTTGTAGAAGGAAGGGCTTTATTCAGCTGGAAGCATCGGCAAGCTACTGTCTTAAAATCCAAGCTCTCCGAGTGCACAATTTCTGTCCCTTTTAAGGGCTCACAACACTGAAGATTTCACATGAAAGGGTCGTGATTGATTTGAGCAAGCAGGCGGTACGTGACAGGGGCTGCATGCACCGGTGGTCAGAGAGAAACAGAACAGGGCAGGGAGTTTCACAATGTTCTTCTATACAATGTCTGGAATCTATGAATAACATCGGTCTCTGAGTTGATTTTTAACTACTAGGTTTAGATCAGGCAGGCCCAGGCCTGGTTTCGGGCCTGGCGCCGGACTGCCTGTCTTTGGTTTTACTTTTTTGTTGTTTCTTCTTAAAACAGGTACTGAGTATAAAACAATATAAAACAATATGAGAGGGTCTCTCTCTTGCTTCGAAGCCATTATACACTTTTGACTAATAATGATAGTTTACATAACAGTAGGACATTTCAGAGGAAAGCAAATTCTTATACACTGTTCTTGGGGATGTAAGCTAGTACAGCCAGTATGGAGAACAGTATGGAAGTTCCGCAAAAACTGCAAATGAACTACCCTATAATCCAGCAATCCCACTAGTGTGTATATACCCAAAGGAGGAAAAAAAAAAATCAATATATAAAAGGGGTAATTGCACCCCATGTTTATTGTAGCACTATACACAATAGTCAAGATACAAAATCAACCTAAGTGTCCATTGATGGTTGAATGGAAAAAGAATATGTGGTGTACATACACCATGGAATACTATTCAGCCATTAAAAAAGAAGAAAATTCTGTCATTTGTAGCAGCATGAATGAGCCTGGAGGACATTATGTTAAGTAAAATAAGCCAGGCGCAAAAAGATAAATGCCAATTTTGTCACTTATATGTGGACACTAAAGAAGATCTTATAGTAGTGGAGTGACATGATGGTTACTAGAGGAAGAGAAGACAGGGGAGATAGGGAGATATTTGTTAAAGGATACAAAATTGTGTTGTCTTTAGATTCAGAGTAAAACAAAACAGAACCTTCAGAATATCTCTTAAGTAATTGTGTAAGTATTCTTAAATCCAGTCTATTTCAGCACCATTTTGGAAAATTTTTATTTATTATTATATCTTATCCATGTAATCCAATATCATTGCATAGTAATTTTAATACTGCTGATAACAAGGCAGTATGTAATAAGTCAGTTTATCCAGTGAGTACTGAGTCTGAGACAATTTCAACCAAACTAATTTTTAAGCTCACTTTTGATGATTGAAACACTATCTTTTCTAAAGCATTACTATACACTGCCAAATTTGGGAATAGATGCACCAATACATCTTTGGGAGAGTTTTATAGATACATGCCATTTTTAAAGAATTTATCCTTTTTTTTTTTTTTTAACAAAGACGGAGTTTCCCTATGTTGCCCAGGCTGGCCTCAAACTCCTGGACTCAAGCTGTTCTCCCATCTCGGCCTCCCACAGTGCTGGGATTACAGGCGTGAGCCACCATGCATGGACTAATACATGACAGTCTTAAAGATATGAAGGATTCTGAGGTTGTAGTCCTCATATTCCCATTTATCTCATATTTCCTGCAGTGTAAAAATCAGGTAAATCTACAGGATGGCCATGCACTAGGCAAATTCAAACAAGAACTAGCCATAATTACAATTTTTGTACTAGATTTGATATTCTGTTTTTCTGAACACAGATGAACATAGGCTTAGTTACATGGTATGCAATCATTGCTTGGTGGAATGTATTATTTTCTATTTCTTATAGGATGAAGAATTAAAAAGAGTTTCCATCAGTTGGAAGAGAAATCAGTTGACATTCAGTCTCTCTTCCCGAATGCATTGTCTTCTCTTCTGCCTTATGTTATAGCAAGGGCCTGGGCTCCCTCCATATGCTACCATCATATTAACATGCTATGTCTATGGCATCATACTATTTAGACTAGAAGCTCAAGGAGTGACCATTGGCCAGGCATGGTGGCTCACACGTCTAATCTCAGCACTTTGGGAGGCTACGGCAAGAGGATCACTTGAATCCAGGAGTCTGAGACCAGCCTAGGCTACACAGCAAAGTCTCACCTCGACAGAAAATTAAAAATAAAACACTAGTCTTGTGTAGCGGCATGTATATACGGTCCCAAGCTACTCAGGAGACTGAAGTGAGAGAATTGCTTGAGCCCAAGAGGTCAAGGTTGCAGTGAGCTATGATTCTCACCACTGCATTCCAGCAGGGGTGATGTAGCAAGACCCTGTATAAATAGATAAATAAAAGAATCAAAAAGAAAATTGTGTCGTTCA
Organism: Homo sapiens; assembly: GCF_000001405.40. NCBI lineage: Eukaryota > Metazoa > Chordata > Mammalia > Primates > Hominidae > Homo > Homo sapiens. The sequence goes on along the minus strand of NC_000023.11, from coordinate 5,161,023 downwards.
TACAATGGAAAACTAGGTAATCAGAAGATCTGACAAATTTATATGAGCAGACATGGAAAACTGCAAGTCATAATTTAGATATAATATGATCCCAATCATTTTTTTAGATAGAAATGTATTGCATATTGATACACAGGAGGGAATGATATGCAGAATGTCAGGATGGACACTGAAATGTTGACGATGACTCATTCTGAAGAGAGGAGTAGGACTGGGGAGGACAGGGAATAAATTCTGTAACACTGCAATCTTTTCCATGGGAATTTAATCATACAACTAATAAGAGTGCAGACTAAAAATATAAATGTACTAACGAATTCCAGATTCAATTTTTTAAAGATCCAACAATGTTTTTAGCAACCCCAGCAACACTAAATCAAACACATACTCTCTCAATGTGACTATTATGAAAAGAACGCTTTCACTGAAATGTATAGAATTTTTGTCACTTTTTTCCCTTAAGTAATTTTATTTTATTTATTTATTTTATTTTTTCACTTTTATTTTAGGTTTGGGGGTACATGTGAAGGTTTTTTATATAGGTAAAGATGTGTCACAGGGGTTTGGTATACAGATAATTTCAACACCTAGGTATGAAGCCCAGTACTGAATAGTGATCTTTTCTGCTCCTCTCCCTTCTCCCCTTTACCCCTTTGCAATTTTAATTTTAACCATATAGTTAGAGCCATAAATTTAAATTATTTAACGTTTTTTCTGAAAAGTGGAAAATGTCTACTTGTAGAGTTTTACATAGACAGATAAATAGTTAAGATTTTTTAGTCATATGGTTAGGATAAAACTTATTTTAAGCAAAAGACAGATGAGCTTAGCTAAGCCATCTGATCTCAAAGGGTAGGATGAGTCATGAAAGTAAGGAGTTTTTTTGTCAAAACCAAGTTGAAGTTCATTGTGGTAATGCACACATCTTCTACAAGGTCTGGGAATCAGAAGTAGTGGGTATAGAGAATAAAACACATCACGCCATCACCAGAAAACTGCTGAAATGTAATGCATATAATCTGAACACGACTCATCTTCAGGCCACATGGCATGGAGTCATAATTTCGTTATGAATTTAAGCAATTTTGCACAAAAAGAATGTGGACAGAGCTCAGTAACCCAACATCTTAGAAGTTAAGCAAAACATCTCCCTGTCTACAGATCCAGCTTTGCAAGAAGGTCTTATAAACCACCAGGTAACATTGTCTTCCAGCATACTTTAATATCTTTGGGTTTATTTAGTTTGGGACCCAGTAATTTATCTTAAAGAAAGCATTTTACTTAACTTGGCCGGTAAATTATCTTAAAGAACACTACTTACCCTCCAGAAGAGACAACAATGGTTGTTTGATGAAAAATGTCTGTGTCAGATGAATATACCCAAAGCATTGACACAAGAACCTTTGCTTTGAGAACATGCCACTGTTTGGAGATTATTTTCTCTGCTTGGATTCTGTACTTTCCAAAAGTTTTTAGCTCATTGAGTTACCTTTTATTTTGATTCTATGACTTGTCACTTGCTTTCTTTATTTCATATAGGGTCAACAAGGATTGAATGATCTGAATGCTTTCTCTCCATTTCTCTCTCTTTGCTTTTGAGTTTAGTAGATTTTTAGTATACCTTTCTATATTTTTGTCCTGTATCATCTTTCATTGTAAAACATTTAAAATTAAATACAAATAATGCATAAAATCTTGAAATCATGTTCAATATCACCTGCATAATTTGTGTAATACCTATAAGGAGACATATTCTAATCATTCCAACATACAGACTCAATCTACTCCTATCCTTTCTGGATCCTCTTACACATATGTGTCTTCCTTATATTTTGTATTAAAGTTGTAACACCACAAATTTTTGGACATAATCTCTGATAGCATCTTCACTGGAAATAAAACTCACTTAATAATGCTTAATGATAGTCTGAAGATAGAACTCAGCTTTCCCTTTCATGTTTGTCCAGATGAATGAAAACTCCTTCAACAGCTCTTTCATTTTTTCCTTCAGTTCCCTCTTCTTCTGTTGTATTTTATTCGGCACCAAATTCTTCTTTGATGTAGTAATCACTTGAATATTTCTCTTTTACATTTTCTTCAGAATGCTTTACGGACAAATAATTTAGATGTCATGAAATGCACAGATCTTAACTGCATATATCAATTGATATTACCGTATTTATGCAATATATTGCACAACCCATAAGAATATAGAACATATTATCACCCCACAAATTCCTTCATGCTCCTCTCCTGAAGAAGCCATTGATTACATTTCTATAGCACTTCCCACCCTACAGCTTAAAAGCAGAATCAACAGTATGTACTCCTTGCCTATTTCATTCTTCTTAATATATTTTAGATTTTGTCACATTGCTGTATTTATTATTAATTATTTTCTTTCTATGACTGTGTCATAATTTTCTCATTCATTCACTTATTCATAGATAACAAGCATATTTGTAGTTTTGGACTATTATGAACAAAACTGCTATGAAGATTCTTGTAGAAGGCCTTTTGAAGACATGTCTTTTGGTTTTTCTTGGATAAAAGCATGGCAGTTGGATTGTTGGATCATGGAAGTTGTATATATGTTTAACGTTTTAAGAAACAGGCTGACAGTTTTCTAAAGTATTTGTACTATTTTAAACAGATCCTTGCCAATATCTTTATATTTTAGCTATTCTAATGTGTCTTGATGTTATCTCATTTTAGTTCTATAGTGGATGTCCATGATCCCAACAATATTGGGTTCATTTTAATGTGCCTATAATTCACTTGTTTATCTCCTTTTCAGAATACACTGATGCATCACTTAACAACGAGAATGCCTTCTCAGAAATGCATCATTAGGCAATTCTGTCATTGGACGAACATCATAGAGTGCACTTACACAAACCTAGGTAGTATAGCCTACTATACACCTAGTGTATAGGGTCTAGCTTAGTGCTCCTGGGCTACAAACCTTTACAGAAGGTTACTGTATTGAATACTATAGGCAATTGTAATACAATAAGTATTTACACACCTAAACATAGAAAAAGTACAGTAAAAACATAGTGTTAGAATCTTATGAGACCCTCCCCCCCCACCACTCCATCACCTATGTGGTCTATCATTGACCAAAACGTTTTTATAGGGCATATGATTGTACTTAATTTTGCAAAAGTGTAATTGTCCATTTTTACCTTTTATGGCTAGCGCTTTCAATATTCTCCCTACAAAATGTTTGCCTACCCAAGGGCATGAAGGACTTTGCCTACCCATTCTCCTATTTTACTTTCTTGAGAAAGGCCATTGTTTAACTTTCATGATTAAGTCTATAATTCATTTTGAATTGATTTCTGTGCATAATCTGAGTTGGCAGTTGAAGTTTCTTTTTAACCATAAGGATATTCAAACATTTCATCAACATGTGTCGAAGATGTTTTTCTTTCCCATGGAATTCCTTGATCAACTGTGTTAAAAAGAGAGTTTAACTATGTGTGAGTCAATTTCTGGACTGTCTCTTTTCTTCCTTCAATCTATATTCTCTTCTCTGGCCACTATCAAACTTTTTTTGGTATCAGTAGATTCAGGCAATGTCTTGAAGTCATAGTGCATGATGTTCTACTTTTATTCTTTTTTATCTATTGCAACATTTTGCATTTTAATAAATTATAGAATAGACCTTTTAATTCTTGCACAATATTTGTCTAAGATATAGATTGAGAGGACAATGAATCTATGAACCCAAATGGGAATAATTAATACCTTAGCAGTCTGCATCTTCCAGTTCATGAGTACAGTCTATCACTTCATTTATTCAGACATTCCTTAGTTTCTCATCTCTCAAAAATATTTGTGTGTGTGTGTGTGTGTGTGTGTGTTGACTAAGAGTCAAACTCCGTAAAATATTTGAAGAGATTTATTCTTAGCCAAATATGAGTGACCATGGCCTGTGACACAGCCCTCAGGAGGTCCTGAGAACATGTGTCCAAGGTGGTCGGGGTACAGCTTGGTTTTATATATTTTACGAAGGCATGAAACATCAATTAAATACATTTAAGAAATACATTGGTTTGGTTCACAAAGGTGGGACAACTCAAAGGGGAGGCTTCCAGGCTATAGGTAAATTTAAACATTTTCTGGTTGACAATTGGTTGAGTTTATTTGAAGACCTGGGATCAATAGAAAGGAAATGTTCAGGTCAAGATAAAAGATTGTGGAGACCAAGTTTTATTGTGCAGAGGAAGCTCTCGGATTGCAGACTTCAGAGAGAGCAGGTTGTAAAATGTTTCTTATGGGACTTAAAAGGATGCCTGGCTTTTAGTTGATTATCTCCTGGATCTGGAAAAAAAGGAAAGAAAACAAAGGGGAAAGGGGCTTCTCTATAGGATGTGGGTTTTTGCCACAAGAGACTTTGCCGGGGAATTTCAAGGTATGGCAAGGAAATACATTTTGGGGTTAAACATTCTTTCCTTGTCTCATAATGTTATGCCAGAGTCAGGTTGAAAAGTAAGTCACAATATATAGGATCAAATAAAACCCATCTGATGAGAATTTATGGTTTATAGGGCATGACTCCCTAGACCCCTTAGATAGGAATTAGGGCAAGATAAAAAAAAATCAGAGTTAAGTCCTCATATATAAAATTTTAAGCCATGAATATCACATTTTTTGGTCACACATTTTGCAAAATAATCCTTATACCATATTGAATGACTTTTTTAAATGTTGAATTGTTTCCTACTAGAAAATAAAAATAGATTTAATTTCTGAACATTGAATCTGTATCCTGAAACCTTGCTAAACATATTTATTAGTTTAGAATTTGTTTTTGTAGAAGTCTTGGGATTTTTCCTGTAACAATCTGTAAATAAAGAAAAAAATAACTTTTTTCTCATTCTATGTACTTTTTTTTCCTTTTTCTTTGCATAATGTACTGTCTCAAGCCTCCAGCACAATGATTTGTAGAAGTGGTGAAAATTAACATTTTTGCATTCTTCTCAATCTTGTGTACATTTTTACTATACCTTTTAAAGTATATTTTTTAATTATATTAAAGAATGACATTTTAATTTAATAAAAGTATGTCTCTCTTGTTATTCCCATTCTTTTCACAGATTCTATACACCTTTTAATGTAAAGACTGCAACACAATTATAAGATATATTTTATGTCTTTGTTTCATGAGTCAAACATGTATCTTTCCTTTAGGCCAGGTGATATTAACTTTTCCTGTTCTTTACAGATTTAGTTATTTTCTATAGCATGTGTTTCCTTCTGAAAGGCAAGGTCTAGAGACTCTTGAATTTGCTGTCTTCCGTTGAAGGGTTGAGGTCTTTCAGGAAATTACACTACTATCACCTTCCATTGATTCTGCAGAGAGTTGGTTAAATTCTTTTTAAAAAATGAGTTTCTCTTTATTTTCACTTGGCCCTTATTCCTAGAACACAGTCTTTTTGCTTTGCATGCAACCCTTGCAGGGTTTTAGCAAAATCCCGGGATTTTGACCCAGCTATTTTAACTGAGCTGAATTTGACCTTCAACCCGTGTCTCCCCAGCAACAAGAAGCTGAGAAAACCTCTCCTCAGCTCTTTTAGCCTAAATTGATTGCTCTCTGTGGGGATCCTTTGAGTCTCACACTGAATATTTGAAATTAGTTGTTAGGCAAGGATTTGAAGGAAATTCCTATAGATTTAGGGACTCATCACACTGTGATGTCTACCGTTGCATATAGCCAACTTTGCTTTACAAATTCATGGGCACTATTGAATGTAAATCTGACTCCCCAAACCTGTCAAACAGCTATTTCTTCACATGTTCTTTCCGTGTACTTTGCAAATTAAGTGCCCTCATAGGACTCTCTGTTATATATGAGTGTCATCTGCTGTTTTTGCTCTTTACACAAGGGTGTTGACACCTCAAATTTATACTTGACTTTCATTGCATTCTAGTGACCTTCAGAAATGAATAAATATATCTCTGTATAATTTTTATATAAACTATATATACTTATGTTAAACTGTATATATAAAAACTATAAGTAAAACTATATGTAGTTTATGTATATTAGTTTTATGTAACTATACCACTATATATAGTTATATAACTATAACCATATGTTGTATTATATTATATATTTATATAGTTATATATTATTTTTATAAAGAAGTTTATGTAAAAATAAGTTTATACAAGTTTAATAAGTTGACTTTAATAAATTCAATTCTATAAGTGTAATAAGTTAATAATATATAAACTTATTTATATATATATAAACACATATAAATATATATAGTTCTATAGTCTATATATTATATAAAATAATTTTATTTATAATCGCGCCAGTGCACTCCAGCCTGGGCAACAATAGTGAAACTTGGTCTCAAAAAAAAAAGTTTATTTACATATAAACATATATATAAATAAACTTATTTCTATATATAGACTATATAAACTTATTTACTTACATATAATGTATTACATATAATATTAGATATATTACATATAGTTATATAAAACTATGTATGGTTATTATGTTTGTGTATCTTTGTGTGTGTGTGCGTTTGTGTGTATGTATAGTTTTGCTTCGTGTTGCCAGGAAAAACACAGTCCAATACAAATCCTTCTGCCAACACCTTCAGCGGAATTTCTTGTCATATTTTTAGTCTTATAAAATGTTATACCTTTAAGGTAATTCTACTAAATTTGAGGGAGGAACAAGAATAAGATAAGGAAATGCATAAAATTAATTGTCTTTCATGAAAAGTTACTTTTAAAAAATTAATTGGGAATGGATTAAATATTATTTAATTAGACTCTGTCCGTAGCCTGCAAATTGGATACCAAAGTTCTCAGCATTTTAAATATTTCATGGATCATAATTTGCATTTTAATTTCCCCTTTATTAATTTATAATAACTTAAGGTAAATACAAATGTAAGATATATATACCTATGCAAGCACCACCAGAGGAAGGTACAGTTTCTATATCTCCAAATATTTGCCTATTTCCCATTATAGTCACTATTCCTGTCATCCAGCAGCAGCCAAACATTGGTCTAATTTTGTCCCTTTAGATTAGATTTATTTCTTAGAATTTTAGATGAATGGATCATGTATCATATAGCCTATCGTGTCTGGCTTACTTCATTCAGCATAACGTTTCAGAGACATGAATGTAATTTTGAAGTTCAGTAGTTGTTTTACTTTTTTAATTTAAAATACTATTTTATGGCAGTTTTAGGTTCACAGAAGAGTTGGGGAGAAAGTACACGCAACTACCGCATACACCCTCTCCCTCTGAAGACAATTTCCCCGTTACTAACATCCTATATTAGTGTCGTGCATTAGACAGAATTAATGAACCTTCGTTGATACACTATTGTAAACTAAAGTACTAAGTTTACAGTAGGGGTTACATTTGGTGTTGTACAGTTTTTTGGGGTGTTGAAAAATGTTTAGTGTCATTTACCATACAGTGTCAGATAGAATAGTTTCACTGCCCTAAAATTTCTCTTTAAGCTACACCTTTTTATTCCTCTTCTCTCCCCTCCAAACTCCTGATAGCCACTGATCTGTTTACTGTCTCTGTAGTTTTGCCTTTTTTGAGATGTCATATATTTGGAATCATGTGGTATGTGGACGTTCATACTCTCTTTCTTACAAATATGCATTTACGGTTCCTTCATGTTTTTTCATAGCTTGATAGCTCATTTGTCTCTATTCCTGAATAGTATTCCATCCTCTGATGCATCACTGTTTGCTGATTCATTGACCCAATTAAGGACATCTTGTTTGTTTCCAAGTTTGATCAATTATGAATGAAGCTGCTATAAACATCCAAGTGCAGATTTTTTGTGTGGATGCAAGTTTTCAACTCATTTAGGTAAACATCAAGGTGCACAGTTGCTGGATCCTATGGTAAGATTAAACTTAATGTAATTATTGATACTGTTGGATTAATATGTTTAGTTCTGTAAGAAACCATCGAATTGCCTTCCAAAGTGGCTGTACCATTTTGCATTCCCATCAGCAATGAATGAGAATTACTGTTGTTCCACGTCCTTGTCATCCTTTAGTGTTTTCAGTATTTGATTTTAGCCACTCTAAAAAAGTGTCTAGTGGTCTCTCATTGTTTTAATTTTTAATTCTTTAAAGGCATATGATGTTGAGCCTCTTTTTATATGTTTATCAAACCTGTGCATATCTTTTTTGGTGAGATATCTCTTCAGATCTTTGGCTGACTTTTTGTTGGGTTGTTTTTTTCATTTCTTATCCTTGAAATTTAAGTGTTTTTTGTAAATTTTGGATACAAGTCTTAATCAGATATGTGTTTCAAAAATGATTTCTCCCTGTCTATGACTTGTTTTGTCATTCTATTAACAGTATATTTTGCACAGCATAAGTTTTCAATTTTAATGAAGTTCAATGTATCACTTTTTTAATAGAAGATAAAAAAGTGAATATGAAATATGAAAAAAAGTGATAAATTGAACTTGTGATACAAATAATATTCAGGAATAGAAAGAAATGAGCTATGTATTGTACCTCAAAGGTCATTGCCAAATCTAAGGTTATCTATATTTTCTCTTGAATCTTGGTGATTTACTGTGCTAATTTATGTTTTATTTCATTAATTTCATCAATGATTTCTTTTTTAGTCTACAAATATTACATGCTTTACTAAATTCATCCTAAGTGTGTCATATTTTCTGCTGCTTTTGAGCATTACACATTGTTTTAATTTTCCTTTCCAAATATTTATAGCACAAGCATAAAAATAAATTTAATTTTGTTTATTTAACTTGTTCCTTGGAAACTTGCTGAACTCATTTTCTTGTTATTTTGTAGATAACTTGGTATATTCTTTATAAATGATCATGTTGTGTATGAATAGATGGAGTTTTAGGTCTTTGTAATCTATGTTCATTTTTTAACCCCTTTTCGTCCTTTTTGGTACTGCTAATAGCTCTAGCAAAATTTTGTCTAAAAGTAACAGAAACAGACATCTTTATTTTGTTCCTGATTCATGAACAATAGCATAGCCTTTCACCATTAAATTTGGATGTTAGATTTAAGATCTTATTTGATAACTACATAAAGCTCTGCAGATTTTTTTCTGTTAGAATTTTAAAAATTAACATGTTGAATTTTGTCAAGTGCTTCTTCTTTATTTATTGAGATAATTACAGGCGATTAATTGGTCAAGTCAACTTGCCATAACAAAGTACCACAGCCTGGGGGGCTTAAATGACAAAAAAGTTTATTTTCTCACAGTCCTGGAGGCTGGAAGTCCAAGACTAGGAGTTGGCAGGGTTGATTTCTTCTGAGACTGCTCTCTTTGTCTTGCATGTGGCCACCTCCCTGCTGTGTCTTCACATGAACTCTTCTCTGAGTATCATTGGTGCCTCTGTGTATCCAGATTTCCTCTTCTTCTGGGGACAGTAGTCATATTGTATTAGGACCCACCCTACTATCCTCATTTTAATTTCATCACCTCTTTAAAGGCCTTATCTCCAACTATAGTCACATCCTCAGATACTGGGGAATCAGGACTTGAATATATAAATTTTGGAGTTTGGGGGAACAAAATTTAGTCCATAACTAGAATCTCTTCCTTATTTCTGATAATATGGTCAATATAAATGATTAATTTTCAAATGTTTGCACAATCTTATCCTCTGGGATAAATCACTTTGTCATGAAGAATTCGCATTTAAATATATTACTAGATTCGATCACGAGGTCAGGAGATCGAGACTATCCTGGTTAACACGGTGAAACCCCATCTCTACTAAAAATACAAAAAAAACTAGCCACACGTGGTGGCGGGTGCCTGTAGCCCCAGCTACTCGGGAGGCTGAGGCAGGAGAATGGCGTGAACCCAGGAGGTGGAGCTTGCAGTGAGCCGAGATAGCGCCATCGCACTCCAGCCTGAGTGACAGAGCGAGACTCTGCCTCAAAAAAAAAAAAAAAAAAATTACTGGATTCAACTGGATCATATTGTGCTATATATCTCTTCAAATACTTTTGATGGCTACAGCTCTGTATAATATGTATTATATTATATTATATTATATTATTATATTATATTATATTATATTATATTATATTATATTATTATATTATATTATATTATACAATTAAATCAGCAATCCCATTACAGGGTATATATCCAAAGGAATATAATTTGTTCTATCATAAAGACACATGCACACATATGTTAATCACAGCACTATTTGCAGTAACAAAGACATGGAATCAACCTAAATGCCCATGAGTGGTAGACTGGATAAAGAAAATGTGGTACAGATATACCATGAAATATTATGTGGCCATAAAAAAGAATGAGATCATGCCCTTTGCAGAGACAAGGATGGGGCTGGAAGCCATTATCCTAAGTGAACAAACGCAGGAACAGAAAACCAAACGCCACATCTTCTTACTTGCAAGTGGGAGTTAAATGATGAGGACATACGGACACAAAGAAGGGAACAACTGACACTGGGGCCTGCTTGAGGGTGGAGGGTGGGAGGAGAGAGAGGAGCAGAAAAAAATATCTATTGGGTACTAGGCCTAGTACCTGGGTGATGAAATAAACTGTACGACAAACCCCAGAGACATAAGTCTACCTATGTAACAAATCTGCACATGTACCCGTGAATCTAAATAAAAGTTAGAAAAAACAAACAACAAAATGTCAGGTGGAGAATCTTTTGTATATAGCCATTCACATTGAAGTGAAACTTAAAAGTAACTTTGTAAAACCTGTTTCCAATGTACATAAAATCTCTGAAGAATAAAACATGGACCCTGAGGATATGACTGCCATTGGGATGAATTTCAGGGTTCCGAGACAGGATTCTCTTCTTGCTGCCTTCATCTCTATTTCTCTAGTAATAAAACTCCAACAAAGCTGCTCAACCCCTATGCCTTCTAAGAAAATACTATGTGGTGTTATGCAGGGCTTCCCTGCTCATGCTAAGACTATACCACAAACTAAGAGCACCGTCCTATGAATAAAGTTCAGAGACACAGATTCTTGAACATAATCCAGAGAAATTTGAGACCAGACAGCAGTAAGAACATGAAAGAACAACAATCAACAGTTCTGTTACTTTAAGTGGGGGCAAATTTTGCTTACTTCATGTAAAAAGTGAAGATGAGTGTTTCACATCCATTATGGCATTCAATCCAGTGGATATAACTTGTTAGTGGTCAATTTTCCTGTGTCTTCTCTACATCACCGGTCACCATGGAAATGATGTACTTATCCCCTGTAACCTACAGAGGAAAGATCCCATGAGAAAGGTTAGTCAATCTCTTTTCTATCTTCATAACCAAATTTCTACTTTATGTCAGGAATACAGAAATACATCTACTCTTCTTGAGCAAAGCAGAGCTCCACTCACTGCCAAGTAGAATCATGTAACATGAAATAGTGATTCATATTCACATATAAGGCTTAGAATTGAGCGCTTCTTGAAATAGCTAAAATGATGTCATCCAATGCTATGGAATTTCAAAATTGTCATTTTGGTACACTAGATTTTTTTTAACCTAGAAACCAGTAACATGGAAAAATCTAAAGAGCTGAAAGACAGAAAGATTGTCTTATGAATATGTAAAGAAATGGATTTGCATATAAAATTTGATACATCCATGTGAACTAGAGTGACACACACACACACACACACACACACACACACACACACACACACACACACACACACAAGATGTCCCAGGTCAACTTAGTCATGGTACCAGTGAGGGGTCTTGCTCACATGGAGTTTTCTGGTAAGCGCAAACGAGAACAAGTACAAGACACAGCACCAACTTCTTTATCTCATTGGTATTTGTCTTCCCTTCCCCGGAGAAACTGAGAGTGGATCAGACGTTGAAAAGAGTCTGAATCTGTGCTATATTTTATAGTATTGGTCTGCTGGCATGATGTGTAATGGACCAATTGTTCATCGTAGACCTTGGTTAAGTGTAAGTCTTATAATACCCTGGTTGGCAGTGATGAGTTTTACGTGACATTCTGTTGTTTTACTAATGAGATGAGTTTTAAGAGAAGCTTCAGTTTGGATGGATATTTGACCTTTATGGTAAGTAAAAAGGGCTAACACATTTGAGGTATTTCAAGAATAGTAATGTTAATTTTTTCTTATGTCCGAAGTTCTGAAACAGAGTATACAGTACAAGACATGTTTATCCAACTCCTGTACTGTTTCTTTATCTTTAACTTTGAATAGGTATGTTTAAACTTTCTTTCTTTCTCTCTTTCTTTATTCCTTTCTTCTTTCTTTTTTCTTTTTTTTTTTTTTTTTTTTTTTTTTTTTGGAGTCTTGCTCTGTCACCCAGGCTAGAGTGCAGTGGCACGATCTCGGCTCCCTGCAACCTCCCTGTCCTGGGTTCAAGCAATTCTCCTGCCTCAGCCTCCCGAATAGCTGGGATTACAGGTGCCTGCCACCATGCCTGGCTAATTTTTGTATTTTTAGTAGAGACGGCGTTTCACCATGTTTGCCACGCTGGTCTTGAACTCCTGACCTCAGGTGATCCACCTGCCTTGCCCTCCCAAAGTGCTGGGATTACAGGCGTGAGCCACCGTGTCCGACCTTAAACTTACTTTCTAAAACTAAAGATGTTCTTGTGGTTTAACAACATTAAAATGTGGCATCTATACCATGAAACAGTTATCAAGAAGTGTCTCAGAAAAGCTTATATTTAAACTTAACAAAACATTTCAACAGGAGCAAATTCTTACCTCCTAGTCTGCTTAAAAATCCCTTCCAAATCTACATCTATAATTTAATTTTGCCATGTATATACAATCACATATATAAGATTTGATTGTACCCTCAATCCAATTTATAGGAGTTCTGCCTTGCTTCTAGTTTCTGATATTGATTTCATGTTCTTTCTAGCCACCCTCTTCAACTGTCCATCTCGTAACCAACCTAGATTAGAGAAACCGTGGACAATCATGCTCATAATAATACCCAGTCCGACAATTTGCTATCAGTATACACCAGCCCTCACTGAGGAGATCGTGGTAATTATAAAAAAGCAGATGAAAGTGTAATGATTCAGAATATAAAATAAAGATGGAAACTGAACTGAACCTCTGTAATTGAGTACAAGTCTATAACTAAACTGAAAGATAAATTTTTAAAACCTTAATTGGGGTATAAATAATATACAAAAATGTTTACATATTCAAAGGGGACTAATGATAAGCTTTGACACATGTAGTCAACTGTGTGACTTTTTCCCATTCAACACATTGAACATGTCCCTCCACTTCCAATGTATCCTTTGACTCCAGCTACTCCCACTTTCCTGTCCCAGGAACTGACCCTTCCATTTTTTGACACTGTAGATACATTGGTACTCTGTGGGATTTTACAAAAATGGAATCTGAGTGTATGTGTGGTTTTCTTTCCTGGATTTTTTTGCTCAGCATAATAATTTTGATATTTAGCTATGTTGTGGTTTGCATTATTCATTCCCATGTATCACTGACTAGTAGTATATGGATATATCATGGTTTAAATACTATTAAATATTGGTGGATAGGCATTTCCCGGTCTGGACTATTGCAAACAAAGAGGAGTACGTGAGTCTAGACAACTGTCTTGAAGAATTTTGCAAGAAAATAACAGAAAAATGTGGTGTCTTTGGAAAGGAACATGTGGTGAAGGAAGTTTGTTTTGTTTAAGTAGGGGGCAGTAGCTGAAACAAATAAACAGCATAACAAAATGCCTGATTCAGGAGAGCGTGAAATAATAAAATATAGCAAATACATATTTGTCAAGCCACGTGACCATTTTTGCAAACTTTAAAAATCCTTAAATTTTGGGCCAGGGGCACTGGCTAATGCCTGTAATCCCAGCACTTTGGGAGGCTGAGGTGGGTGGATCACCTGAGGTCGGGAGTTCGAGACCAGCATGGCCAACATGGCGAAACTCCATCTCTACCAAAAATACAAAAATTAGAAGGATAATTCCACACAAGGGGGAGCTGAGGCAGGAGAATCGCTTGAATCTGGGAGGCGGAGGTTGCAGTGAGCAAAGATCGTACCACTGCCCTCCAGCCTGGTGACAGAGCAAGACTCCGTCTTAAAAAAAAAAAAAAATCCTTAAATTTTAATCTTTGCTCCAGAAAGTTATATCTGTCATGTTTCTCCAGAGAAACAGAATGAATAGCATGTGTGTGTGTATAGGATGTGTGCACACCCTATTCATTCTGTTATGCATAAATACATATATATCCTATTTGTATAAATAAATTTACCTATGTATGTATGTATATGCATATATATCCCATATTCATATGAATAAATGTCATTATATGTGTACATGTAAATATACATACATATATTTATTGATGACAATGTCTCCATAAATCTTTGTGATGATTAATTTTATGTGTCAATCATGCCCAGGTGTTTCATGTATATATATACATATATGTCCAAACATCTTAGAAAGATATATATACACACATGCATATATAAAAATATTTATATAAACTCATATATAAATATACATACATATATATCTATGTACATACACAGGCATATATAGTTACCTACATAAAAATATATACACATATGCATATGTATATATATATTTTTATATAAGTCCAGACCCAGGAGAACCGATAGTTTAAGTTCCACTTTAAGTCCCAATCAAAAGACAGAAGACTAGTTTCCAGATTGAATGCAGTCCAGCGCAGAGAGAATTCTTTCTTAGCCTTTTTTTTTTTTTTTTTTTTGCATTCAGGCCTCCGAGGATGAAAGATGTTCATCCACATTGAAGAGAACCATCGACCTGACTTAGTCTATGCATTCAAATGCTAATCTCATTCAGCACAGCCCTCACAGAAACACCCAGAACAATGTTTAACCAAGCATCTGGGCACCTGGTGGTGCAGTCAAGTTGACACATAAAATTGTCACAGGGATTTATGGAGATCTAGACATTATCTCTGAATTGCAGAAAAGAGGATACGAAAGGAAGAAAAGGCTTGAAGGTAGGTCTCCTGGCTGAGTCAGAATCTTTTAAAGACTTTTTAAAAAAGTCTCCTTTGGCAGGCAGATCACTTGAGCGGAGGAGTCCAACACCAGCCTGGGCAACATGGTGAAACCCCATCTCTACAAAAAAAATGCAAAAATTACCTGGGTTTGGTGATGCACACCTGTGGCCTCAGCTACTAGGGAGGATGAGGTGGGAGGATCCCTTGAGCCTGGGAAGCAGAGGTTGCAGTGAGCTATGATTGCACCACTTTACACCAGCCTGAGTGACAGAGCAAGATCCTGTCTCAAAACAAAACAAAAAAATCTCTTTTAAATAAATTTTCTGGGCTAAGAAAAAACCCACATACTTAGATGGTGAAATGTTAAATTGATGTGATCCAGTTAGCAGGTCAACAATAACTTGTTTTGTCAGTGTTAAGGTAATGGCTGGGTTTTTTTGTGTCTACTAAATATTTATCTTTAAAAAAGTATTTCTCTGTTTCTCTTTATCTAGCTTCTTCAGAAATCAAATCTTCTAGTAGGAGGCAAAGATTCTATTCTAGCAACTAGTTACTAAGTGGTATATGACACACTTTAAATCCCATGTTCAAAGAAGAACTTCTGGTTTTAGGAAACTTGTAGAAACGAAGCCTGCTGATGGTTTTTTCTTTTTTTCTTTTCTTTTGTTCCTTTTTTTTTTTTCACTCTGTCACCCAGGCTGGAGTGAAGTGGTAAGATCTCGGCTCGTTGTAATCTCTGCCTCCCAGGTTCAAGCAATTCTTATGCCTCAGTCTCCCGAGTAGCTGAGATTACAGGTATATATCACCACATCTGTCTAATGTTTTTGTATTTTTAGTAGAGGCAGTGTTTCACCATGTTGGTCAGGCTGGTCTCGAACTTCTGACCTCAGGTGATCCACCTGCCTAGGCCTCCCAAAGCACTGGGATTACAGGCATGAGCCATTCCTTTCTTTTCTTAAAAATAAACTTTGAAAGTTAACTCTTTAAATGAAAGACTCTTTGAAACAACAAATTCTTCTAAGGTACTGAAGTTTTATTCACATATTTATTTCAGATGTTTCGAGTAAACTTGAAAAGGATAGGCACGAAGCAATTTGTTGCTGCCGGTCATCCCCAAGTCCCCATGGAGGCTGTAAATTTTGAGAAACAATGTGTTGAGTGCACAGAATTTAGTTATGCATAATTCAATAGGCTCTGTAAACACTGCTGCAAGTTCTTACAACCTTTTGAGAAATGGGATTCAATTTTAATAATAACTTTTAATGGTGATGGGGTAATCTATAACACATCTTAAGGTTTTATTCACATGTACCAAGGGTATTAAGAATTAAGAGGATGCTGGGCTCTGTTCTTGGCTTGGGAGACTATTTAATCGAAGCTCTCTGTTCAGACAGCATTAGCTCTTTGTCCCATTCTTTTTGGGCAGAACCATAATGTGAGCATGCAGTACAGCGCGGGGGGATGAAATGGACATTTGGAACTGAATTCCACGCCTGTAAATGTTTCCCCAAACAACTCTTGTATGTATTATGCCTGTATAATGAAAGTATTCTCATTAGGAAAAAAATATAAAGAACCCTCTTGGCAACTCACTCAGCAATGCTCACGCCTGCTTCCTGGTTTAGAAGGTTGGGTCAGAAAGGTATTATTAAGTTTGATGCATTGTTTCTGGGTGTACAACAGGATTCTCCATAAAGACACAGAGAAAACAGAGAAGGATACAGCAACTAGCCATTCTTCACTAATATCCACTTTAATGGAGAATTTTTCAAGCCACATGTTCAGGGGTAGAAGAAATGCACATTTTTAAATGTTTTTCTGAAATAAATTTATTTGCTATCTGGCTATCAAGAACAGAACATCTACTCTTGTTTATTTAGAGTAAACTCAGTCATATAACTCATGGCAAACTCAGTTGACAGGAGTTTTAATTTCAATTTCAGAGAGGTGCATCTTAGCATCATTGGACTGAGGAGATGATTTGGAGGTGGAGGTTACAGCCTAAGCTTCCCAAGCTAGAAACTCTATTTCCCTGCCTTTTTCATGTTCATCTATTTTACATATAGCTCCGTGTCATGGATTAAAAATCCCTTCAGTTCTATGGTTACCCCTCTTAGCTACTATAAACCAAAAAGTATCTGAGACATGTCTCAATCAATTTAGAAGTTTATTTTGCCAAGGTTAAAGATGCGCCCGTGACGCAGCCTCAGAAGATCCTGAGAACATGGGCCCAAGGTGGTGAGGGCATAGCTTGGTTTTATACATTTTAAGGACATATGAGACATTGATCAATACAAGTAAGAGGTACATTTGTTCTGTCCACAAGGGGAAGATAACTTGAAGGGTGGACAGTTTCCAGGTGATAGGTGGATTCAAAGATTTTCTGATTGGCAATTGGTTGAAAGAGTTTCCCTAAATACCTGGAATCAATAGAAGGGAGTGTCTTGGTTAAAATAAGGGGCTGTAGAGACCATGGTTTCATCGTGCAGATGAAGCCTCCTGGTAGCAGGCTTCAGAGAGAATGGATTGTAAATGTTTCTTATCAGAGTTATCAGAGTGTTATCAGAGATTTATTAGAGTCTTATCAGAGACTCATCAGAGTCTGTTCTTTCAGTCTTAAGGTCTCTATTTTAATATAAATACTGGTCAGCTGTGCCTGAATTCATGGCCTGAAATAGTGTTTCAGATTTACTGTGGAATGCCTTTGTCTGAGAGCTGGGTCCATTCAGCTGGTTGGGGAGGGGCTTAGAATATTATTTTTGGTTTACACTCCCCTCAGGTTCTACTCAGGGAAATCTTGTTTACTTGTGTACATGACAACTATTGAGCCACAAGGAAACTGACATGTATTGGCCATTTTTTCTCTTTCTGCTTTATTTTTACTCTGCTGATATCATGCAGTAAAAATGGAGGGAACTACTAGGAAGTTATTACATCCTAGAATTTCTGTCAGAAGCAGAATATCATACCACCAGATCTGTTGCCTCCACCAATTTTTTTTTTTTTTTTTGAGACAGGGTCTTACCATGTCACCCAGGCTGGAGTGCAGTGGCACGACCTCAGCTCACTGCAACCTCTGCCTCCGGGCTTCAAGCAATTCTCCCACCTCAGTTTCCTGAGTACCTGGGACTACAAGTGTGCACCACCATGCCCGGCTGCTTTTTTATGTTTAGTAGAGACAGCGTTTCACCATGTTGGCCAGGCTGGTCTTGAACTCCTGGCCTCAAGCGATTTGCCCGCCTCAGCCTCCCAAATTGCTGGGATTACAGGCAGGAGCTACCGTGCCTTTCCAGCCTCCACCAAATTTTGTATTCCAGTACTCTTGATTTCTCCTTTGCTTCTCATCTTTACATTCAATCTGGAGTTGGTCATGTCAGTTGTTAATTAAATATAATCCCAATGGTGCGTTTATATAAGTATGACATTCTTCCCCACTAAAATACAAGTCGTGTGCCTCGTGTTACCTTCAGCCTTCTGCAAAATGCATATGCAGGGGCTCAAATGGCGAGGTGTAGGGAGAAAAGAAATGTTTATCATCATTGGTTCCATTGGTCTTAGTGGCCTGCTTCCAGGGAAGTGAATGCAAAAGGGGAAAAAGCAATTCTACTGTGCAGAAAGTTGGAAAATAGTATCTCAAACCAGGCGATCAAGGTCAACATCAAAACCAATAAGAGGATGCTTTACCTCTGTGGTCCTCCTCCCCAAAACACGTATCCCCAGTCTAATTGCCAAAGGCCTTGGAACCAGAGCGGCTCCATCTTGAGTGAGGGCTAGGAAAATGAGGCTGGAACTTGCTGGGCTGCACTCACAGAAAGTTAGGTGTTCCTAGCCTCTAGATGTTTGCGGCTAAGGGAACAGATTGATAGTGTTTACTGAACAGACCCAGAATTGGGAGTGTCCTAACATCCTGATATCTTAAGAACAGAAGCACTCCTACTTTTGCTTCAAAGATAATAATATTGATTCTTGCAAAATATAGTAATTAAGGAAATTAATCCTTTATCACAAACCCTGTAGCACAGCACATCTCCCCATGATCTATTTTTATCTTGTATATAAATGAGTATTGTACCTCGGGTGGATGCGTTCCTCCTCTTAGCTTCGGGAATGCCCTGCTCTGTCTATGGAGTAGCTGTACTTTCACCACTTTACTCTCAATAAACTTGCTTTTGCTTTGCACTGTGGACTCGCCCTGAATTCTTTCGTGCGTGACATTCAACAACCCTCTCTTGGGGTCTGGACCAGGACCCCTTTCTTGTAACATAATTATGAGATAAAACATCCATTGCCTAAGAACGTAGGGACATCCTGAAAATATCTGACTAGTATTCCACAAAACGAAGCAGGTTTTCAGAAGCAAGAAAAGTTTCAGGAATTGTAACAGTCAAGAACAGCTTAAGGAGACATAAAGACTAAATGTCATGTGGTATGCTGATTGGGATTGTGGAACATAAAAGGGATATTAGGGTAAAATAAATGCAATCTGAATAAAATACAAAGATGAGTTAATAATCATGTATGAGTATTGTTTATGAATTGTGACTAATGTACTATAGTAAAGTAAAAACATGGGAAACTGAAGGAAGAGATTTATAGCAACTCTATACTACATTCACAATTTTTCTGTAAATCAAAGCTATTTTATAATAAACAACTACCCATTAGCAGGGCCTTATACGCTCACATGCCTAGCCCTTTGGGAGGCTGAGGCGAGAGGATAGCTTGAGGCCAGGAGCTCAAGACCAGACTGGGCAACATAGCCAGATTCTCATCTCTACAAAAATGAAAACAAATAAAAATTAGCTGGGTATGTTCACACATGCCTGTAGTTAGAGCTACTTGGGAAACTTAGTGGGGGGATCGCTTGGGACCAGGAGTTCAAGGCTGCAGTGAGCTATGATCGTACCACTGTACTCCAGCATGGGTGAAAGAGTGACACTCTGTTTCAAAATAAATAAATAAATAAAAAATAAAAAACACTATGAACTTTCCTTTCATTGTTATTTCTCTACCCAGACCATAAGGATTATGAAGTTGGCATAGAAATACTAGATTGCGGAGAGGTAAGTGAAGAGTGACCAGTTGTATGTGTGACAAATTATCCTGGTAACAATACGTTGTCTTAGATGAGGTTATTGGCTTCAAAGCCACAAGATAATTTCTCCCCCATGAAACCTAGAAAGAGTTGCTAATTTCTATGGGAAATAGACCATTTATCCACTAAATGTACATTTCAGCCTATTTTGTCACTCTGATTCTGGTAAGGGTACAATGATGTTAGGTCTTATTTGAGTACATGCATGCTAACTCCACAACAAACTTCTACAAACAACAGGATGTGAATGCATGGATTGAAACGATCTTTGAAAACAAGACCAGGGCTAAACTGATTTGACAAAGGGGAACTTTAAAATCCCTGAGACTGTGATTTTGTGTTGGACATTAGGAACAAGCAACTATGTTTTGCTTTGGATCAGGAGGCCTTAGCATTCAGCTCTCCCACACAATCAAAGAACTCTTTCAACATTTTCATCCTTGTGTACATATATACATAGAAATAGCACTCTTATCTTGTAATAATTATGTCCATAGCTCTGGGGACAGACTAGGATTTAAACAACACTCAGTGGAGAATATGGCACTGCTAATACCCCTTCAAAATATTCCAAGTTTTCACCCAATGTATAGAGTACATTGAATATGAAAAATCTTTAATGAAATAATGTTTAAGACTCACCTCACTCAACTGCCAATATCAGAGAAAGCACAGTAAGAGCCAGCTATTTTAAATCTCACTCCTGAGACAAGAAGTTTTATTCAAATGAGTTCACTCCCCAAACTTCATTCAATACATCTTCCTCCACCTTTTCAGAATTTCTTAAAAACACACCAAATGCTTGTTGGGCTTATTCTTACTTAAAAAAAAATTATAACTTCTCATTGTAATTCAAATAGTTTTCAAATCTTCTTTCCTTGGGAAGTCAAAAATGGGCATTTTTATGCTATTTCCTTTTCATTCTATTAAAAGTTGCATTTTTGATGACTGTCTTCATTCCATAAGTACTCTTGAATGCTCTGTATACATTCAAGAATATATATATTTTTAGTGAAACTCCATGAAAGTATGAAAATTTCCTGTAAACAACTCCTTGTAACAAGTAGTTACAATGAACCATTTATTTTTGCTTCACTTTCAGGTATGTTTAGTGATGATTACAAGGGACAGAATTCAAAGGCCTAACTTTATTTATTTATCTGCTTTTAAAAAGTCTAACTTTAAATGCATTTTCATGTACCGACTGGGAAAAAGAAGGGTGCTACATCAAAATTTCAATGAACTTAACCACTCGTCCATATTTTAAATTTTAATATACAAGAAGGAGAAACTATGTTCAATTTTCCCTGTACAGTTGAGATTTTAGCATTTGTAGACTAGAGGTGAATATGGAAAAGATAAATAAGTTCAAATTGCAAGTCCAGTTTAAATACTATGTTATCTTTTTATTTAAAACAGTTTTAATGAGAGAGAGAGAGTAAATAGCTAATACGGTAGTTTCACAGGAAAGAGCCATTGGTTGAAAACGCTCATTTATTTTATAAAAAGTAGGAAGAAAAAAAAAGTCCCATGTTAATTTTAAAATAAATATTTCAGCTTTGGCTCTTAATATTTTGTTTAAAATAAACTAAATGTAATTTTCCCTGAGTGCTGCATAAAGTATTAATGCAACGTTTTGGCACAGGCTAAAATGTAAAAGCAATCACATCTGTCTTTTCGGGACTGTGCAATCGTTTCCAAAGCATCCCTATTTTAAATTGTTTGCTGTGCACACATATTCCCAACACACCATTCACCATGACCACTGAAGATACACACATTTGGCGATGTACATCATCACTACAAATTCAGAAGTGTTCCCAGGGGCTCCTTCTCCCCTCTGCCCATCTTCTTTCTCTGGAGATCTGATTAGATTCTTCCCGCCTAACATCACCCTCCACTCCTCTGTTCCCCCCCTCCACCCTCATCCATCATTAACTGCTACCAGCTCTGTCTCCCTGTTCACCTTGTTTCACCCCGGGTGGTCTAGCATTTGAATGACCACAATGCCTTCCTAGGTGACCTCTCTTTGTCTATGTTGCCCCACGAATCCTTCTAAGCACAGCAGCAATCCTTTTTAAACCACAAATGGGCCCATGGTTCTTCGTTGTCTTCTGTGTCAGTCACAGGAAGTGCCAACATCCATGTGAATCCTTTAAGGCCACACCTGACTTGGTCTTCCCACCATCCCTAACCGGATCTGTTCCCACCGTCCATTCTATTCCTTCCACTGGCAGCACACAACTCAGCCTGCTGCATCCATACAAAAGAGAGATATATTTATCCAGGGCATTGGTTGCTATTCTTTTCTCTGCCTGGAGTAATCTTCCCTCAATTAAGGCTTCCGCCATGGATGTCACCCATCTCTTTCTCAGCACTATTCTCTCTACTTCATTTTTCACAGCCCTCTGGTTGACACCTGACATAGGATACTTTTTGTTATTTACCTGTTTGTTGACCTTTTCCTATGCAAATGGGAAACTCCATACGAGAAGGGGCTTCTAAGCTTTCTCCGCACTTTACGCCCAGTGCCTATCAAAGTGCCCAATCAGCATTTGCAGAATGACTGCATGCAATCGTCGCACCCTCTTCATGATTTCTGAAAGGTTTTCATGCTTCCATTGTCTCAGCGTGCACATGGACAAGCAAGCTGTTGTGGCACAGGGAAGCCTTGATACAAAAGATGTCCCCTCCCACGATGCAATACAGCAAGTCCACTTCTAAAAGAAAATAGATCAATTTATCAGAAAGATACCTGCAGCTGTATGTTCATCACAGCACTATTCACAATAGCAAGGATACAGAATACAACCTGTGTCCATCAATAGAGGATTGGATAAAGAAAATGTACATATACAAAATGAAATACTATTCAGCCATAAAAAATAATGAAATCATGTCTTTTGAAGCAACATGGAACTGCAGGTCATTATGTTAAGTGAAACAATGCAGAAACAGAAAGTCAAATACCATATGTTCTCAGTTATCAGTGGGAGCTAAATAATGTGTACACATGGACAGAGACACTGGAATGACAGACATTGGAGACTAGGAAGGCTGAGAGGGTGGGAAGAGAGAGAATGATGTGAAATCAGTTAATGGCTACAATGTATGTTATTCCAGCAATGGGCAAGCTAGAGCCCTGACCTGACCACTGTGTAATCTGAGCATGTAACAAAATTGCACTTGTACCCCATAAATTTATACAAAAAAGTCTCCTCCTGTAGATTTTTCAGGAATATTAGCAATGATGTGGGTTGCTGAGAAAGGTCATGTCTCCATCTATTCTTCCATCTTATCTTCTAAATTTCATCTTGCCTCTTCACTCTGAAGCTCTTGTCTTTTTCCATAATTTTTTATATGTTTATTTCTGCTAAAATTACAAATTAACTTTCCAGGTCTTAGGCTTTCCTCAAAGGAAAATATAAAGCAATTTAGAAATTACTCTGAAAACATATATCTATATATTCTCCATTGATTTCTTTCAGTGACTTCTGTTCATATATTTATTATTTGCTTCCTTGATTTAATGTTGGGCTTAATTTGCTTTCTTTTGCTGGCTTCTAAAAAAGAAAGAACCTTGACTGTAAATCTTTAAAAGAATCAAAAACCCTGTAAGGCTGTAAATATCCCTCAGGGTACTGCTTTAGCTGCATACCACACATTTTAATAAGTTGAATGTTGAAAGCTTCTTGCACTTTTGTCTATGACCCTTGAGCTATTTAAAATATTTTCCTTAAATTGTCAAATATTCAAAAATTTTCTATATACTCATTTTTCTTGGTGTTTAACTTAATTGATGAACCAATATATTTGCTAAAGTTTTGAACTTTTAAAATGTATCATCATTTATTTTGTGGCCCAGAATATAATCTATCTTTGTGGATGCTTCATGTGCACTTGATAATAAGATGCATTCTACAATTTGGGATGAACATTCTATAGATGTCAACTATTGCAAGTTTTTTGATAAGATTACTTGAGACATCGCTACCCATACTGACATTATATTTGTTATATCAATTACTGAGAAAGGGGGACTACAATCTGATCCTGTAATTTTGGATTTGCCTGTTTTCAACTCTAGCCCTGTTAGAATTGTGCTCTATGTATTTTGAATCACTATTATTGTGTTCATATATGTTTCATATTTGCATGCTTTCTTGATGCATTGGCTCCTTTCTCATTAGGGAATATCCTATTTTATGTTTGGGATTCCCTATTTTGTTTTTTGAAGTCTATCTTGCCAGATTTTAATATAGCTACCTCAGATTTCTTACTACTAGTGTTTACAGAGTGTATCTTGCCAGTCAACTCACTTAGAACCTAATGGATTCTCATCATTAATACACATCTCTTGTAAATAGTATGTTGTTGGATTTTTATTTTTATTTAGTCTGCTTATTGCATCCATATAATAAAATGTTTAGGGCATTCATGTTTTTCATCTAATTTACTGAGGCATAATACATACGGTGAACTGCAACCATTTAAAATGTATCATTTAATGAGTGTGGAAAGATGTATACATTAGCATAACCACATGCTTACTGCAATAAATATGCAGAACATTTCTATAATTTCAAAACATTCCTTCACTCCCTTTTCCAGGCAAACCATCCATTCCTGGGGCCCCTGGCAACCAATGATCTGTTTTCAGCCAACATAATTTAGATAGCACTTTCCAGAATGTCAAATATGTGGAATCATACAAAATATACCTGTGTGTGTTTATCTTCCTTGGCTCAATATATTGTTTTGAGGCTTTCATGCCTCTGTTCTTTTCTACAGATAAGTCCTAATCTGGTTGCAGGTATATACTACATTTTTAATCTATTAATCTATTTTGTTGGGCATCTGCCTTCTTTTCAGTTTAAGCTGATTTGGGGGTACTGGCATAAATATTTGTGTGCCTTTATGTTTTCTTTTTTCTTTTTGAGTAATTATCAAGAAAAAGAATTACTGGATTATATGGTAAATTAATTTAAAAATGTGTGCATACTTTCAGTCTGTTCCAACCAGCAATAATTGACATATTAATTGGCAATCTCTGAATTGGATTCTTCCAATCAAGAAAGTATGGTAGATCTTTCAGTCTTCTCAATTTTTGCAGATTTTAAAAACATTTTTGTTTTATGTCTCTCTCTATCATCTATTTATTATTCATCCATCTATTGTCTATCTATGCATCTATCATTTATCCATTATCTAGCTATCATCTATCTCTATCACCTATAAATATACATATATATATCTTCTATTTTCTTTCTATCATCCTACTTATCTATCTATTATATATCATCTATTATTTACCGTCTGTCTCTCTATCATCCTATCTATCTCTCTATCCATCCATTATACCTCTCTCTCTCTCTCTCTTTCTCTCTCTCTCTTATCTACCTACCTAATCTTTAACCCAATTCACTTGTAATGTTTTGGTTCTAATTTTTTACTCTTATTTTCTCAAGCACTCATGTATTTCAAAATATAGGATGATATCTGAATAAATTATATCCTAAGATTTAAAACTGTCAACTCTCATCACCACTGCTTTCAGACTATTGATCAAATTAGAAAAGAATGACCTATGACCTTCTATCTACAAATTTAATCTGACAGTTTGACCCTTGCACATAGGGCAGGATGTCAACATTTCACTTCTACTACTCCTTCAAAACCAGTATTTGAGTTCTAATAGCCAAGTCCATTTTTCTGTTCTATTTTAATTTTTAACATTGTATCTACTCTTAAATTACCTTTATCTCTAATTTCAGAATTAATCTCTGTCATCTAGATTCTATCATCTTTCTAAATTCTCAGAGACCTCACTTCACCAATTTTCCCTCAGATTTGTTTCCTTAAATCATGTCTACTTTCAGGCCTTTCACAATTTAAAAAAGACAAAATGATGCGCTATCAACAATACACCTTTTTCTAGTATAAATCTTACATTTGACCATTCTCCTTCTTTTCCTTCACAGCTCATCTTTCTGAGTTGAAGCATCTCCTGTCTCAACTTCCTTGTGGCTCACTCAATCCTTAACCCTCTTAAAAACACACCTCTTCACCTGTCTCACAAGTGAAACATCTCTTGGCAAAATCACAAATTGTTTCCATCTATGCTCCAATTCATACCCTTGCCTTATCATTTTCAATCACTCTAAAATATTCTAGATATATTGTGAATCTCTTTGCAAGGCATATGGCTGTGGTGACTGTTTTGCCTCTGCTCACTGTGTGTGTTCGCTTATGGCATGCCCTGGCTCACACTGGGTCCCCCGAGTTATCACCAGCTATGCTAATGAGATCTGCTGTCTCAAATTCTCATGCCAAGGAACACATCGCTCCCTCTCTGCCATAAAGCATCAATCCACTTCCCTGGTTAATGCCTTGTCATCCTCATGGAGTCAGGTCAGATGGAATCTCTTTCACAAATATCCCCTTACACTTTTTCTCTGAGTTAGTGTCCTTTCTTGCATCATGCATAAAAATGTACCAGTATTGTAATCAAATCATATATTTTTTCCAGCACTTGATTACGATCCTTGAGGGAAAAAACCCTGAACGTGTCAAATTTCTCACTTGGGCCTTCCCACTTGGAAGAAGACTTTGGTATAAGCACTCACATTTTATTTAAGATTGGATGATATTAATAAGCTGTGCCTTTTACCTGGGATAAAACTGTGCACTATAACTACAATCGTGAATCAGGAAAATGAAATAGAGGAACTTCACGTTATTATTGCACCTGAGTTGGTAGACTGCACCAAACTTTGGAGTATTGGGAGTGAAAATGTACCCAGATAGTTCCCATAACAGTGAAATTCAGCTGGGTGTGGTGGCTCCCACCTGTCATTCCAGCACTTTGAGATGCCAAGATGGGAGGATCCCTTAAGGCCAGGCATTCAAGATCAGCCTGGGCAACATAGTGAGACCCAGTCTCTATAAAAAATGAAAAATTATCTGAGTATGGTGGTACACCTGTAGTCCCAGGTACTCAGGAGGCTGAGGCGGGAGGATCACTTGTGCCCAGCATTTCAAGACTGCAGTGAGCTATGATCATGCCACTGCACTTCAGCCTGGGTGACAGAGCGAGACCAGGTCTCTCTATAAAAATTTTTTTAAAGTGAAAGTCAATCAGTTAAGTGGAAGCTAGACCAATCCTGCACATGATCTCGTTTACTATGAACTATTCTACCCCTAATTCACACTGAACTAATATTGACCACCAACATGACCAGAAAATTGTCAAAATATCCAGTTAAATTTTGGCCTTTGAATCATAACTTCCATCAATTTCATAATGAGGGATCTATCAGTTTGTTCTCATGCTGTTAATAAAGACATACCCAAGACTGGGTAATTTATAAAGGGAAGAGGTTTAATTGACTCACCGTTCAGCATGTCAGGAAACAGAAGAAGAAGCAAATACATCCTTCTTCACGTGGTGGCAGCAAGGAAAAGTGCAGAAAAAGTCCCTTATAAAACCATCAGATCTGGTGAGAACTCACTATCATGAGAACAGCATGGAGGTAACCACCCCGTGATTCAATTACCTCCCACTGGGTCCCTCCCATGACATGTAGGGATTATGGGAGCCACAGTTCAAGATGAGATGTGGGTGGGACACAGCCAAGCCGTATCAAGGGGTTTGTGAACTCTGACCATATTGGATAATTCCAGGAATCTCAGAGTAATTATAGTAGTAATAAACCACAAGGAAAAGAGGCAGAGAGAAATTATAAACAACAAAGAGGACTTAATATCCTAAAGTCTAAAGAAAGTGTACGGGTGTAACTCCTTGTCTTCTTTACGATAAGGATCTTGATTTATACAGAAAAAGAGCTAAAGTTTCTTAAAAACAATAAATTGTATGCATGACTTTTTAAAGCAGTCTAAAAGGTTCACAAAAGCAGTCAGCATCTATAAAAGAAGAAAATAACATCAAAATACAATAACTGAGAAAAACAACGATGAGAAAACAGCAGAATGTAGATCATAAGCTAACAAAACCTAGTAAAGAAGAAAGAACACCAAGCATAGAAATGAGGATGGTAAAGAACAGGTAGAAAGAATAAAATCTGTAGGGAAAGTATGAAGAACAACCAGAAGCATAGATGTAGCAAAAATAAGTGCAATACAATTTAAAGGCATAAAAAATGATTAGTGTCCAGAAAACAGAACCATGCCACCAATCAAACTTTACCAATGAAATTCAGACAAATGTGTCCAAAATAACATAACAGCTGAAATCCATCTCTGAAAAGACTCAAGTTGTGTCACGAATACTTAATCAGCTATAATTAAAGAAAAAAAAATAAACTAGGGTATAAATATCCTTGGCAAAAAGTTAGGCTGATTTGTATACATTAGTGTTTTTAGACTGGCTTCAGTTTTGTTCTTTGGTAATATCCATTGCCACCTAAAAGTGAATACAACAAAATCCAAGGAATGGAGTGAGAACCAAACATTTTTGCAACCAGCACCCAAAGTTTTTGCATTTTGCACGCATCTCAAAATTTTGCATCTTTAGCTCTCTTGGGTGTAAAGACAACAGGAAAATATTGTTCACTCTAAAGAAACAAAAAACTCAAAGAATAACATAATCATGATATTTTATTGTGGACCTTTCTAGAGGACAAATTTCAGACAAATATTAAATGGTCAAAGGGAACACATACACAAACATCTTATTAAAGATTAGAAATAGACCTTGCTATATAATTTAAAAGTGTAATTCATACCAGGAAACATTTTTTTGAGCTGTGAGTTCTTTGAGGTATAGTCTTAGTGACCTCCCTCAGAATATATTTATTACAGTGCCATTGAGACTAAATCAATGGAACTTCATGTCCTATTTGTAGTTTGCTGGTGTTAGAAAAATAAAATTAGAAAAAGAAGCGTTTATGTTTTTATGTTTATCGCAGCACAATTCACAATTGCAAAGATGTGGAACCAACCTAAGTGCCCATCAACTGACGTGTAGATAAAGAAAATGTGGGATCTGTGCACCATGGAATAGTATTCAGCCATAAAAAATGAAATAATGTATTTTGCAGCAACTTGGATGGAACTGGATGATGTTGTTCTAAGTGAAGTAACTCAGGAATGGAAAACCAAATACAATATATTCTCACTTATAATTGGGAACTAAGCTATAGGTACACAAAGGTTTACAGATATAACGGACATTAGGGACTCAAGGGGGAAAGATGAGAGAGAGAGAGGGATAAAAAAACTACATAGTGGGGGCCGGGTATGGTGGCTCAGGCCTGTAATCCCAGCACTTTGGAAGGCCAAGGCAGGCAGATCACCTGAGGTCAGGAGTTTGAGACCAGCCTGTCCAACATGGCAAAACCCCATCTCTACTAAAAATATAAAAAGTTGTCAGGCGTGGTGGCGTGTGCCTGTAGTCCCAGCTACTCAGGAAGCTGAGGTACAAGAATCGTTTGAACCCTGGGGCAGAGCCGAAAGTGCACCACTGAACTCCAGCCTGGGCAACAGAGCGAGACTATGTCTTGAAAACAAAAAACAAAAAAAACTACATACTAGGTACAAAATACACTACTCCAGTGAAGAGTGCATTGAGATCTCAGATTCTCCACTATACAATTTATCCAGGTAAGCAGAAACCACTTGTACTCCAAAAGCTATTGAAGTTCTTAAAAAGAAGCCTTGCAGTTTAGTATTTACATATGAATTAAAATTTATACTCCCCCCCATTGCTGCCATAAATATAACACCCAAGATTGAGAAACATTCTAAAGAAAAAGGAAAGAAAAAAAGCAATGTAATTTTCTCCCATACTTTCTCTATAGCCCCTTTAATAACAACAAACCTAAAAGCTATAAAAGTGGACACGCCAAGCCACAGTGGATTCATGACAGAGCGCACTCTATAGATAAGAGAGTCTTACACTGATTTACCAGGGAAGACTCCAAAATAAGCCTCCAAAAATCTCATTGGAGGTTTCCATTTCCCTGAAAAGCTAAGATTACAATATTGGAAGCCCAGGAAACCACAAAGCAAGGTGACCTGGAAACACCAAGAAGCTAAGAGGGACATTGGTCATCTGGGAGAGACCTGGTGCTATATCCCCTGTGCCAAGATAGTATTTCATCATCTACAACCTAGTCTGAAGGCTGAGGAAGACTGCCCTGAAGTGGACTGAAGGCATGGCACACTCAACTGATCTCCAGAGTGAAATAAAAAGCTAGTCATTATTCCAGCCACACAAAACTCTGGAATCAGAGGTCACTCTCCTGACCATCTTGGTTTTGGTGGGATTTGGCCGGCTTCTTTACTGCAACCTGCTTTATCAGCAAGGTCTTTATAACCTGTATTTTGTGCTGACCACCTATCTCATACTGTGACTTTATATCTATCTACCTATCTATATATAGATATAGACAGATATAAAGATATATGTACACACATATATTTCTATATAAGAGTGTCTGTGTTTTTACAAACATGTATATATATATATATAAGAATGAGTGTGTGTTTACAGAAACAAATACAGAACTCAAAGTTCAATATATTATTCTATAACCAGTAAATAGTAGCCAAGTTATTCTAAGTAATCTTTATATTTCACTTGCAAAAAAGGTAACATATCCTATATGTAAAAGTGGTTTTGATTTCAATTCTTATATAACAACTCAGAGAAATTTTGATGATTCTTTTTACCCCAAATAGTATCTTCCTTAAGAAAAATGTATTTTCATGGAAAATGTCTGCAGAATTTAAATATGTCAGAAAAAATAGTTTACTACAGATAAGTCATCATAGTGTTGATGTCATTTCAGCTTGGAAGTAAATACTTACAGCTTTCCATTACTTTCACAATTGATTTTCTTGCAGAAGAAATAAAATAAAAACAGTGCTGTATGGAAACCCAATTTAAATATAAAGTCAGCTCCAGAAACACAGCTAAAGTACAGAATGCCCTATTCACCCATAGCTACAACTAAAAACTTTCAGCATCTAGAAATCTACATCAGGGTATTGCAATATAAATGTAACACATTCATTCTGAAAGCTTAGAACCTTAAGCCTCTTATTTATCGCCACGTTGTCTTAGAGATACACATATTTCAAAAAAAGTACAATCTTTGGAGATGATGTCCACAGATGTATTTTTGCAAACTATGTATCCTCAGTGCTAACAATGGCCATTTGTTATGAGTGAGCCAGTGAAAGTTCTCATTTTCTTTCTTCTTGAAAACAAACATTTCACAGTTCACAGTCTTTATTTGTCATCTGCCTTCTTAGGCAGAATCTCCAAAATACTTGACATTCTGAGGGACTAGATAACAGCAAATCTTATGTGGACTATCCTAGAGTGATCACTCAGACCTTTAATCTGGCAGTCAGTCATACCTGCACAATTCTCTCTGTTGAGATCTTGAAGTTCATGAGCAGTTCTGTGAATTCTGAAAAAAAAAAAAAAAATATATATATATATATATATATTGCAGCAATGCTGATGTTCTCCTTTATTTGCTGTGGTATTAAACCATTGTCAGGCAATCCAGTGAGTGTGTCTATATGCAGCAGTTTTACAAAGGGGCTGCAAATCCTTTGACATTCATCACATCAGAAATTAAAAGATAATTTCAAGAGATCTCTTGTATATCATGGTGACTATAGTTAATAACAGTGTAGAGAGTACTTGAAAATCACTAAAAACAGTAGATTTGAAGTGTTCTCACCACAAAAAAAAAGTATGTGAGGTGATGCATATGTTAATTAGCTTATTTAGCCATTCTGCAATGGATACATATTTCAAAACATCATGTTGTACAACATAAATACATAATTTTTGTCGATTAAAAATTAATTAATCAATTATTTAAAAGTTGAGGGCTTAAATTTTTTCACCTTGAATCAGGAATGAACTGTGGCTGCCTGGACCAGTTGAGTAGGTCAGAAATGATGCTTTGTGGCCATAGTGAGTCCCTGTTTTTATTTATAGTAAAATTCACTTAATAAAATCCAGCAAAGCAAGAGGCAGATGTAAGAAATCAGAAAGGAGAAGCTTTGATAAATAAACTATTATTAAGGAGTCATCCATTTGAATAAGCAATAGAGATAAACTACCATAGATTTACAAAATGTTTTAAATCTTACAAATGCAACTTTACTTCCTTGGGCCACATGTTTTTGGGGTGCTTTCTCTTGGCATGCAGTCACCCAGCCTTCATTCACTGAGAAATCCCAGCCCCATGGTGAAGCCACATGTTTGTATCTGGTCAACCATCCCAGCTGAACCCTGGTTTCAGTTGACTCCGTCCAGGCAGTCAGCAAGGCACGTGAGCAAAGAAGCCATCCTGAATACAGACCAAGATGTTCTATCCTAAGTGCTGTTCCATCCTCTACCTGTTGGCCTCAGCCCCAAGAGAAACAAACCACCGGCTCCTTACACTTTGTCCAAACTTCTCTTCCTAAGAAACCACAGTCACAATTAAAGCAAGACTTTCAACATTGAAATTTAGACCGGCACATCTACGAATTCTGTCTCAGAAAATCAGCCCTGAATTGCCAATTTGTGCCTTTTTCACCACCTTCCATCTATACAACAAGGCTGTACCTTCTCTAACAAACATCATTAGAAGAATAATCACACACACACACACACACACACACACACACACGCATACACCAAGTGGGAGCCCAACTGGGGAGTCCCTGCTTGTGGCAAATTGCCAGTGGCCCCAACGTAAAGCATCACAGTCTTCCAGTCAGGTTTCCTTATCAGGGAGGAAGTCACAATAGACAGTGACCCAGGACCTCCAGCAGGCCTAGGGTTTCCCCTGAAGCCA
This sequence comes from Homo sapiens, assembly GCF_000001405.40. NCBI lineage: Eukaryota > Metazoa > Chordata > Mammalia > Primates > Hominidae > Homo > Homo sapiens. The sequence continues at coordinate 5,128,074 of NC_000023.11, read as the reverse complement.
AGATGACCATGAGCACAGCCAGATTCTCTGAGTGGTGATCCCGTCTCCAAGGTGTGTTGTCAGTTTCAGTCATTTTCATGAGTCAGTAACAGCTTAGTAGACAGATGGGAATTAAGGTGTGGATTCCATTGTGATAAATTAGCTATAATGCAAAAAGAGACAGAGAGAGAGAGATTCATATTTGTAAATAAGCCCTAAATCTTCATATATGACTCTGTGTGTTATGTTTCTACAGCATGAAGACTTGCTTTTCTGTGAATAATAAAACAAAGTGGCTAAAGTATTTCTGTGATAAAATTGCTAATATTCATTATATATATGGCTCATTATTTACCTTTCTATACTGCTTTTCCTTAATGCCTAATCGTACTTCTCCTCCTTTTCAAAAAATCCTAATTGACTAACACACTAATAAAAGAAAATAAGAAATAAAAATAAAATGTTTGTTATTTCTTTTCAGGTAGGTAATTTCAGTTAGGAAAAAAAGTCATATTATATTAAGGACAACATCCTAAACCATGTGTCAAGAGCATTGATTAAATTAAATGGTTTCTGCATGTGGATGCTATACATCAGTAATTTTAGGTAAATACTTGTTGTGTTGAGGACAGAATGCTTTGTGCATATTTGTTTTGCCAAAGCAAATCATTCTGAATAGCAATAACCTTGGATGAGATTTGTTTATAGACCATATGAGGAAAATTATTGTCTATGATCTTTAATCTTTTTTAATATCCATTCATATTTTGGCCACTCAGCAGTATAATCAATACATAAGAAATAGTACACTTCAAACAAAATCTATACTACATATTTACTTTTACACACACACACACACACACACACACACCCCTTCCAGTTAATGTTAGATCTACATGAACAAAACATGTTAAGCTGTTCTGTGAACTGTGCTGTAAATAAATTCAACATATTGTATGTAGAATAGCATCTTCTGATAGTTACTTTTAAGAAAATTATTAGATCAAAATGGAAAGCCTGGAAAAATGAAAGCCTCCACTTTCAATTATAGAAAATTATCTATAAAAAATAATCATCACTCATATATTTTAAAACAGATCAAAGGAATAAGCAAGTAAATTTAAGAGATATCCATGCCTTATCAAAAAAATCACTACCTTCTAGTTCATAACCTACATATAAGCATAAATTGTGGAATAGATCTTTAAAGTATATCTTACATGACATTATTATCATCTATGTTTTCACTATCAGATTTCGATGTCTCCTAAGTTTACAGAAACTCTTAATAATGCATTTCTTATCACTAAAGTTCTTATTTAAAAGGTAACCAATGAATACAATATGAACTTCTCTGGAACACTGATCTCTGCATTCAGTCATAGCAATGACACCTGAATTCAGAGTATAAATTCATACCAACCACAAATGTTCTCTTTATTTAAAAACACATTTAATATGAAAACTCAGTAGAGTTATTTGTAATGTAGGCACCAATGTAATAAAATATTTGATAATGTCAGGGTGACAGTTTGCATTTTTCATTTTCCATCTACATTTATATCTCAAAATATGGTGTTTTCTCTCTAGGAAGCCGACAGTTAGGAACAGTAGAAACATCCCAACAGAAGGCAAATGTGCAATGTGTCCTTTTTGTTCATCTGCAAGAACTGTGTTTGGCAAAAATATATAGAACTCAGCATAATATAAAATATCTTCAACTCTCTACCAAGTTTATGTTTTTCCTTTAGCTCATTTGTTTCACTCTTTAATACTAAATAATATAAATTAGCAATGCTATGCCATTTAAATAGTGTATATGTTTATGCTTTTAACGAAACTGATGGGCTGGGCACAGTGGCTGACACCTATAATCCCAACACTTTGGGAGGCCGAGGTGGGTGGATCTCTGGAGCTCAGGAGTTCAAGTCCAGCCTGGGCAAGATGGAGAAACCCTGTTTCTACAAAAAATACAAAAATTAGCCAGGTGTGTTGGTGCACACCTGTAGTCCCAGCTACTTGGGAGGTTAAGGTAGGAGGAAAGCTTGGGCCCAGGAGGTGGAGGTTGCAGTAAGCTGAGATCATGCCACTGCACTCCAGCCTCAGTAACAGAGCCAGACCTTATCTCAAAAGAAGAAAGAAAGAGAGAAAGAAAGAAAGAAAGAAAAAGAAAGAAAGAAAGAAAAGAGGGCGGGAGGGAGGGAAAGAAAGAAAGAAAGAAAGAAAGAAAGAAAGAAAGAAAGAAAGAAAGAAAGAAAAAGAAAGAAAGAAAGAAAGGGAGGGAGGGAGGGAGGGAGGGGGGAGGGAGGGAAAGAAAGAGAGAAAGAAAGAAGAAAGAAAGAAAGAAAAAGAAAGAAAGAAAGAAAGAAAGAAAGAAAGAAAGAAAGAAAGAAAGAAAGAAAGAAAAGAAAGAAAGAGATGCAGGCAACCCCCTAATTTGGGGCTTAGCCTCGGAAGTTTCTTGGCTTTGCCCAGGAAAGAATTCAAAGGTGAGCCAGTGGTGTTAGACAGCAATTATTTTGAGGTGGCAGTGTGCCGCAGCAGCAGAAGTACTGCCTCTTGCAGAGAAGGGCTACCCCATAGGCAGTGTGCCCACAGTAACAGCTCAGAGGCCATTCTGTAGTCATATTTATACCCACTCTTAATAACATGCAAATTAAGGGGAGTTTATGCAGAAATTTCTAGAAAAAGGGTGGTAACTTCCAGGTTGTTGGGTTGTTGCCATGGAAAGGAGTGGTAACCCCTGGGTGTTGTTATGGCAATGATAAACCGACATTGTTCACTGGTGGACATGTCTTAAGGAGAGCCGTTTCCACTTTGTTCCTGTTTTAACTAGTCCTCAATTCGGTCTGGTGTCTAAGCCCTTCCTCTAGAGTTGAGTCCTGCCTCCTACCTCTTTGTTTCTGAGACTGAAAACACAGTACTGAGACATATCCTCACCATTTTTATATCTGGGCTAGATATTGACCTGGGGAAAGATTTATTGACAATTGTAACGCTGAAGATGCTTTAGGAATTACAAAGGAAGCTTCTAGATGAGAGGAACCTGGGGTGAGATTTAGGATTTGCACCTCAGCTGTGCTGACTGCATTTTCTCTGATCTTCATTCATAATCTCCCATCTCCAGCTTCATCCTAATCCAACAGATATTCCCTTTGCACATGACTAGGTTTCAACTCCAGAATCTTCTCTTTTGACTCTACTAGTGGTATTGCCAGGAGCTCGAATATATCACCTTCCTCTCAGAGATGTGCTTGGTGTCCTGATCAATAAATTATCTTTTAACAACTAGCCATGTCCATAGGAAAAACCATAATGGAAGTCAAAATCCCTCTGAAGAGCCTGAAACATCAGAGATCCCCAGGAATCTGGTGTTGGAGAGCATTTCTATCTGAGTCATTTCTTTAAACAATTACATCAACATCCTTCATTCCATGCTAACATTTTCTCCATGGAGGGAGGAAAAGAAAATCTTCCACTAATGGTCAAAGAACTATTCCAAGATACTATGTATTTTCTTTTTGTTTTCTAATGTGAATGATGGCTTTTTTGTTCAATTACATTATCATATCAAAATGCAAGTGATTATCAATATGGACTATAATTTAGTAGAGGGGGCACTTCGAGGAAGGAATTGTTACTTGGGGCAGGGGAGAGAGATACCTGGTAAGAGTGGGCATCCTTTGGGATTTGTCACTGAAAACAAAGAAACAAACTGAAAAAACAAGAAGTAAAAAGTGTCAGTCCTATGAAACCAAAAGTACATGCCAGAACTTGTGCTCTTTTTATCAAACAAAACAACAGAAGAGAACACAACACAATAAAATAAACCAAAAAAAGCCGTCTCCTAGGGCAACTTAATTATATGGACACGAGAGGGTGTCCGTGAATTGAAAAATCTAGTAAGCCATAAATAGCCCCTCACCAGTCCCTCATAAGTCAAAACACAATTTTCCTGATGCTACAGGAAAATTGCACACTGAAAAAGAAACAGGAAAAAAAAGGATAGAATTCACTGGGAACTACTATTAAAATAAAAACCAAAGTAAAACTCAAAAATTTTTAGTTAAAGAAGATGCTTCACACAATACCCAACAAAGTAAAGAAAAACTTTGGTACAGAACAATAATACCAATAATGGTTCTTTCCTCAAGTGTTTCTTGATTAGAAGTGCATAGATAAAACATATAAACAAAAACCCCGTGGAGAAAAAAAGTATTAGTTATAACCAAAATCACTCACTCAATATCACAAAAAATAACACAAGTATTTTTATAAATTTTATTCCTTTGGAATTGATACAGATTTACTTGGTCATCATCAATTTTCATAATTTTTAAAAATGTAACTGCAGATTAAGTATATTACCTATTACTGAAGGGTGCATTTTGTATGTCCCCATAAGGGCATCTCGCTGATGAATAGATTATTTGTTTCTTTTTGTATTATTTTGTCCCTTTGATAGTATGACTCTATCTCTTTCTCCTTGCATATCTTAAACATTTGTGTTATGAAAATTAGTTGCCCTCTTATTTAAAGCATAGATATTCATAAATATGTCTTTAGTGTTAATTGGAAGCTTTAGTATTACACTTATTTCCTTTTATCACTGGTGTTTTGGAACCTAAATTTTATCTTTTCTTATATCACAATTAAAGCAGAAATTGATGAGAGCAGTTAAGCCATGTACTATACAACAAAGTAACTGTTGGCACTTGGAAACAATGAAAAATATGGACAAACAGTTACATTTTTAAAAATAGGAATAAGGTACAGATACAAAAATTAAGAAAGAGCAAGTAGAAAAAAGACTACTGAAACAAACAGAAAATTGAGACATCATGAGAGATTGATTTGTATAACTTACTGCAAATATGCTTGAAAACTTGCATGAAATATCTAATAAAAAGTAGCTATTTACCAAATGCAAATCATGTACAAAAAGAATCCTTCAACAAAACAATTTCCATTTAAATCATAGAAAAATTTCAAACTAGTTATCCTCCAAAAAGGCACTTGGCTCAATGGTTTTATAGATTTACTCCAAAGCTTCAAATAATTGACAATCCTAATATTCCCTATAAAAAGTCCTAGTCAAAGAAAATGCAATATTTATATGAATTAAATATGACATATATTCCTAAACTTGATTTTCAAAAAAAAAAAAAAAAAAAAAAGGCATAAATTTGAAGTCCGGTAGTGTGATGCCTCCAGCTTTGTTCTTTTTGCTTAGGATTGTCTTGGCTATATGGGCTCTTTTTTGGTTCCATATGAATTTTAAAATAGTGTTTTCTAATTCTGTGAAGAATGTCAATGGTAGTTTAATAGGAATAGCATTGAATCTACAAACTGCTTTGGGCAGTGTGGCCGTTTTAACGATATTGATTCTTCCTATCCATGATCATGGAATGTTTTTTCCAATTTGTTAAATAATATGAGGGTACATTTTCTTGAGTGTCTATGTAACGTGACATATCATCATCGTTGTCATCATCTTAATCATCATTATGATCATGATGATGATGATCATCATTATCACCACCACCATCAACATCATCTTCATCATCACCATCATCATCATCACCATAATCAACACCATCATTACATCATCATCATTTTCTTCATCACCATCATAATCTTCATCACCTCGCCATCATCATGGTCAACACCCTCATCACCAACATCATTATCATATTCATCATCATCATCACTACCATTATCATCATCTTCATCATAACCATCATCACCATTATCACCATCATCATCACTCTCATCACCATCACCACAATCATCATCATTATCATCATCACCATCAACATCATCATCACCATCATTATCATATCACCATCACCATCACCATCCTCATTATCATCAACACTATCATCACGATCTCCACCATCATCATCATTATCTTTATCATCATCATTATCTCCATCATCATCATCATATTGTCATATACTACATATTACTGGCCAATGGAAATTGAACCAAAAAATTCATTTATGAGAAGGGGAAATTCTTGCTTAATGTGACAGTTATGCTACTAAATGCCAAAATTGCATATCAAAGGTAATTTTGAAATGTCCCATTAGTGCTAGTTTCTTCACTTGTGAAACAGTGTAGCTTTGTTTACAGATATAGGCCAGTAGGCAGTAGAGGACTTAAGTTCATAAAACTAAGAGCAATAATTGATATTAAAATTAGTCCAATTTATGCCATTAATTATTTCATAGAAAACTAAATTAACTGAGAACTGAAATATTTCACTCTGTCATCCAGCCAAAAAGGAGTGAATGTAATACCTATTGTTAGTTTCGTTTGATGCAGTTTCATCACATTGCCTACAAAACCAAATTCAGTGACTTAAATCATTTAAATCACAGTAAACTACAGTGGACTATATTCAAATCCTCAAATATACATGTACAAAAGGTTTATCTTTCAAATTCATTACTCACAGAATTCTTTTGAAAGGCGAGTCAATCATCTCCTTTGGAAACTTCTCTGACCAGCCACACTGTATACTGAACTGCTCCCAAGTTCACAATCCCAAAGACAGAGATCACTCATCTCTGAAGCATGAGCTGATTAAAGAAAATGATATATTTGTTGTTAACTCTGCTCTCAGCACTCCTACAGTACTTTCAATCAGCAGTGATCAAAAGCTGAAATTCAGTGCAACTTAGGGGCACAGTTTCATGGGCACGGTTGTATCTTATTGGAGCTTAGTGAAAAGTGCTTTTTGATGTTACAATCTATTAAAATAGGAAAAGTAGACTTTTTTCTAGGTCAGATGTTATGTACTTACAGCAAGGTAACTAGTGTGCCTGTACAGATGGCACGATAAATCATTGCATTAATATCTTGGGCTGTAATACTCTGAGATCATGAACAATTTCCCAAGAGCTATTTTCTTAATAATGTCCATTTTAATTATCTTTTCAATTAAAATCATGATGTTGTATGTGATAATGGCATGAAAAAATTAAACAAGTTGCAATACAGTGCCAAATTTGAAAAAAAGTCATCATTTCTCAAAGTTCATTTAAAAATTATTTAAATAAGTTTATGCATTTAAACAATTTTTACAAGGCACAGGATTCCTATTATCAGTTTCACTGAATGAGTTTTATCAGTATCCCATATAAAATACAGCAATCTGCCAATTTTTTTACACATGTATCATTTTTAAACAAAATTATCATGAATAAATATAGAATTGGATGTTTTCTGTTAATATTCCAATAAGAAGCAAATCTTGAATATAATCATTAGTTTATTTTTTTTTTCATTTCCAGAATGGTAAGTCGTCCTTGTCTTTACTTGACAAGATCATGCATGGCAAGAGGAAAAAAATCTTAAAGTCTTTTGAAAACTTCATTTTAAAGTAGTACACAGAATGCTTGTATGGCCACAGTGCTAAATGGATGACCTTGGACAAGTTCTTTATCTTTTTAATGCCTCATTTTCCTGGAAAATAAGATGATTTCAATGGTTGCTTTTAGTACAATGAAGCTACACTTCATGCAGAAGGAGAAGAAACCTAATGGACCCTGTGCATTAGTATTTACTTCAAGATCTAAAGCAACAGAGCATGAAAATGATGTTCCTGCGTTAACATTTTATTATCTGCAGACACCAGGTAGCTTCAGGTGCCTGTCAATTACAGAAATTTGGAAGCTAATGAATCAATAGTCAACACAGGGCTGGTAACTCTCCGAGTTTAATAGTTACATTCAAACATTCATGTGAGAAATAATTAACCTGTTCTACCTAATAGATCGTTTTTTTCAACACAGGTGGCTATTTTTATTTTCTATGTTCATCTTTAGCAAGGGAGTTTATACAGTGGGAACATACTGTCAATTGCACCCAGCAGTTGAACGCCGGCATAATAAGAAATGTTACAATGACGTAGATGTCAGGGCTCTATATTTGCATAATGTGCCAAAGTGTCAAATCATCCGTGGGTTTGTTTGTTTGTGTTAGGTTTGTGTTGTTGTTGTTGGTTGGTTGGCTGGTTTTGAAACAGGGTCTTGCTCTGTCACCCAGGCTGGAGTACGGTGGCACCATTGTGGCTCACTGTAGCCTTAAACTCCTGGGCTCAAGCCATCCTCCCACCTCAGCCTCCCAAGTAGCTGGGACCAGAGGCACACGCCACCATGCCTGACCAATATTTTTTTATTTTTTACAGAAATGGGGTTTCACTGTGTTGCTCAGGCTGATCCATGGGATTTTTAAAATAAAAATCCTCTTAAATAAAAATTAACCTTATATCATAATTTTAAATATAAAAATATCTATCTAGAATGTATGCATAGATTTCTTACCAGCCTTAAATGTATCAGTATGTCAGACTGCGATGTGTTCTCTATAATTGAGTGGCTGGTTGACTAATATATAGTTGGTGATGATTAAATAATTTATTCTGGAAGATCAGCCTCATGCCTTTTAATCAGGCATGCACACAGTCATAGATTCATATATTAAAGGAGATAGAACAATTATACATAGCATCACTTGAAATCCATAGCTCAATCCCTAAAAATGTATTAAGATTTTTTGACAAACAAATATGCCAAATGATAAATATATATGGGTAGATTACCAATTCTAATATTTAAAATAGCTTTGTAGTCATGCTTACTACATGGCAAATTTTAAGCATCATTCTAGTTCCCATTGTTTTTATATTTGAATTCAAATATTATTTCTACATCTGCACATTACAATTATTCAATAGGACCATTCATTTCCTATTTCAAATTTTTACAAATAGTGGTTAATTTTTTATATTCCAAACTTCTTCGCCATCCATAAATTCCAGGTACTAAACTCACCATCCATAAACACCAGGTACTAAATAACAGGTAGTAGGTACACTACTATCTTCCTGCACAAATTAATTCACCTTAGTGAGCACATGGGGATTGGTGAGTATGCCTGTGTGCCCATGTGTTTTAACTTGTCTGTACTTTCTGAATTTGCACACAATCCTGTCTAATTTTCCCATTGTCTCGATTGGATAATTTTTCTCAAAGAGTTGAAATGCTGTTATTTACGTTTATTTATAGAATAAGTCAAGGTGGACAAGCAAAATTGCCTACCCCCAATTTCCCTTCTCTTAATTTTTACTAACGTTTGTGTGAAGTATGTGCCCATACACATACAAAGAATACTATTCACCGGACTGTCTCCATAGTTGCATCCTCTGTGATAGGCTCTGTCTCTATTTTATTAACGTGGAGGGTGAGCAATTTGAGTTCACACTTTTTTATATTTAAAAATGCACTTTACATAGAAACACATTGTCTTTTGGAATACGGTGTGGTTAAACAAGCAAACTACAATCCCCAAATCTCAGCTTTCGGTCTCAGTTTTTATGGATCTTTCTGGAAAGAAACTTGCCAAGTCTGTAGTTTTTCTCTTCCATTATCTACAGTATATTTCATTTACCACTCTTTAGATGCCCTCTACATTTTAGAGTAACTCACTAGAACAGTGATTCTCAAATGTTAGCGTGGATAAGAACATTATGGAAAGCTTTTTAATACGCGGATTTCTACAAAACCTTCTGATGCAGAAGGTCCAGGTTGGGTCCATATATTTTATTTTATTTTTGTTTTATTTTGTTGTAAACTGATAATTTGTAATTATATAAATGAATGAGATATGAAGTATTGTTCAATGTAGAATAATTAAATCAAACCAGTTAATATATCCTAACATTTTTGTGGTGAGAACATTTACAGTTTACTCTTTTATCAATTTTGAAGTGTAAAATACTCCATCATTAACTATATTCACCACAATTTGTAATATTAATAGAACTCAAAGAGGGGAAAAGATTCCTTCTATCTATCTGAGATTTTGTATCCTTTCACCAAAGCTTTCATTTCCCCCACCCCGGCCTCCAAAATTGCCATTGTATTCTCTGCTTCTAAGAATGTGATGTCTTTACATTTCACATACATTTAATTTCTAACACATCCCTGGGTTTATTACTCTGCTGAGCTGCAAACCACACTTGGATTATGAGAAGGAGGACTGAGTCATATTTCTTGTTAAAAAGTTAATCCCTAAAGATTCATACCATGGCAAACGCACTAAATACTAGCTTATGCCACAACATGAATAGATCAGCTTGCTAAATCTATAGACGCAGACTAATGCTTAACTTTCTTTGGCCAATCCTTTGTTTTCACTCAAGTTGTTTCTTCCACATTTTTGGCTCACGATAGAATGAAAGTATTTACAATAAACTCAGGAAGATGCAATTTTGCTATAAGATGAAGACAGGCAAATGAGAAAAGAAGAGTAAATATGCTAAAATACAATCTGTCTATTCATCACATCCTTTTTAAATAAGACTTTCAAGTTCTCATCCAAAAAGGACAAAGTGGAAGGTTTATGGGTTTGTGACATTGCAATTGGGATTCTATAGGGCAAAGGAAGTAATTTCTGAATATCCTTAGGCACTCTCCTTGAGAAATCATTTTCTTAACCTTTTTCTGAAGCTAAGAATTTTGACATGGCATATATATTGACTTGGGACAGGACTTTTTTTTAAGTCATGTTATGCACTTATTTGGAAGCTTTCAAAGTCCATAAAAATATAGATATTCAAATAAAGACTTATTTACATAATTTGTGTTGGATTATTTAGAACTTCTGCTATTTTTCTCTTCATAATAACTCTTCACTACTTGTAGAAATGATTGCTGAAATCTGGTCTTCAAGTAATTTGAACATTGAAAAACATTTAACATTTTTACAGTCCTAGTTATGTTTGCGAAATAAAGAAACAATGGAAACAACAATGACCTCTTCTTTCTGGCTTGACATTTGTTCAGCTCACACCATCTGCATGGTCTGGATATAGAAAAAGGTAGACCTGAGGTCATTGAAAAACCACAGAAAAAATGGCAACTACCTTGAAAAAGGAAAACATGGCAACTGATTTCTACACACACACACACATACACACACACACACACACACACACACATCTGCCTACGTTATCTATTGATAATTGCAAATTAACTTACTGTGTCAAATTAAAATAAAGTTTTGGTCAACCAAATGCTTGAACTGAATCCACTAGGGAGACATGAGGGGGGATGATTTCCCAAGAGACCTGGTGGATGTGGCTGGATTACATCATAGTGCTCTGTTTTCAGTATGCACCTTCATGCAGATCTTTCAAACAAACTGATTTCACAGACCACCATCAACGGTGGTCAGTGGAGATCAATACTGGCCAAACTTTGGAAATAAAATAGTAACGGAACTTAGAACCTAGCGATATGAGTTTGCTAGGGCTGCCGTAACAAAGTCCCACAGACTGCGCAGCCTAAACAAAAGACATTTATTCCCCCACCATCCTGGAGGCCAGGAATTTGAGATCAAGGTGTCACAGGGCTGATCCCTCCTGAGGCTGTTCTCCTTGGTTTATAGACGCCGTCTTCTCCCCGTGTCCTCACATGGTTGTCTTTCTGTGTGTCTGTGTCCTAATTTCTTCTTATAAGTCCTATTGGACCAGGGCCCACCCTAATGGCCTCATTATACTTTAATTGTCACTTTAAGGGCCCTATCTCCAAATACAGTCCCTTTCTGAGGTACTGGGGGTTAGGACTTTAATATGTGTATTTTGTGTAGACACTGCTCACATGCAAATGAAAGCAAACTAATGCCAAACAATTGGTGAAATGCCAACATTTTTATCAAACACCATGGGTTAGATATACCACTGGTGAAAACGTACTATGTATATATAGAGACAGAGAGTTTAGGCTGCACAGTCTGTGGGACTTTGTTATGGCAGCCCTAGCAAACTCATATATAGCTAGGTTCTAAGTTCCATTACTATTTTATTTCCAAAGTTTGGCCAGTATTGATCTCCAGTGGCCACCATTGATGGTGGTCTGTGAAATCAGTTTCTTTGAAAGATCTGCATGAAGATGCATACTGAAAACATATACACACACACACACACACACACACACACACACATACACACACCATGGAACACTATGCAGCCATAAAAAAGAATGAGATCATATCCTTTGCAGAAACATGGATGGAGCGGAAGGCCATTATCCTTAGCAAACTAACACAGGAACAGAAAACCAAATGCTGCCTGTTGTCACTTTTAAGTGGGAGCTGAATGATGAGAACACATGGACACATGGGGGTGAACAACACACACTGGGGCCATCGGAGGGTGGAAGGTTGAGGAGGGAGAGGCTCAGGATATTAATGGGTACTAGGGTGATACCTGGCTGATGAAATAATCTGTACAACAAACCCCATGACACACTTTTACCTGTGTAACAAACCTCCACATGTACCCGTGAACCTAAAAGTTAAAAAAAAGAAAGAAAACGTACAATATAAATTTTATTTTTAAGTTTTTTCCTATTTTAGTAACTTTTAGTAAATAAAGCTCAACAGCAGACTTCACTTATTTTTATGATGTTGGTAGTAATATTTTCTCCTTCATCCTGTTTGCCTGTTTCCATATCTTTCCCCAGATCATACCCACTTTTAGCATTATTACCAAAATAATATAATTGAACACAAATCTTTTCTAACAAGTAGAGAAGGCCCATCCAGGCCCATCCTCCCATCTTTCCATCCTTCTCTATCTGCTCCCAGACTCCCCATTTCAAACTTCTATTGTTCATTGTCAAATGCTTTAATAAACTTTCCATGTGCTAGTTTTCAATTTACTTTCAATTCTGTAACCAACCCATTCCAAATTCCACAATAGAGAAAGAAATATCTGGGTACTTTCTATTTCCCAATTTAACCTCTATGCCAGCAAGATTAGGACAGGTCCAGAGGTGGGCTTTTCAGTGGGAATGACCTTCTAAACACCAATGAGTGAGTTACAAATGGAGACTTTCCTGTAAAAACTTTTAAAACATTGCTGTATTACCACTGGCAAATTAATCTCAATATCATGTAATATTTAACATATTTTTCACGAAACAGGATTTGGGAAATAGGAAATACCTGCATTCTCATTAACAATATAGTACTTTTTGTTTAACTTTGAAGTTCAGGGGTGCATGTGCAGGTTTGTTACACAGGTAAACTTGTGTTATGGGGGTTTTTTATACAGATTATTTCATCACCCAGGTATTAAGCTTAGTACACATTAGTTGTTTTTCCTAATCCTCTCCCTCCTCCCACCCTCCACCCTCCAATAGGCCCCAATGTCTGTTGTTCCACTCTATGTGTCCATGTGTTCTCATTATGTAGCTCCCACTTATAAGTGAGAACATGCAGAATTTGGTTTTCTGTTCCTGTGTTACTTTGCTAAGGATAATGGTTTACAGGCTCCATTCATGTTCCTACAAAGGATATGATCTCCTTCTTTTTTATGGCTGCATAAGGATAATGGCCTCCAGGTCCAGGCACACTCCTGCGAAGAACATGATCTTGTTCTTTTGTATGGCTGCATAGTATTCATATTGGGTTTGATATCAGAAATACATGCCTTGCACATACTTTTTGTTTATTTAATTACCACAGAAAACTCAATGACATAGATTCTGATTACATCTATTGTAGTATCCTGCAACTTACGCTGTTTTAAAAAATTGTTCATCATTCCCACGTTTTACTTTAAAACTTTGCAGAGAAGGCTCAGCACGGTGGCTCATGCCTGTAATCTCAGCACTTTGGGCGGCCCAGGTGGGTGTATCACCAGGGGTCAGGAGCTGGAGACTAGCCTGGCCAACATGGTGAAACCTTGTCTCTACTAAAAAACACAAAAAACTTAGCCAGGTGTAGTGGTGTGTGCCTATAATCCCAGCTACTCAGGAGGCTGAGGCAGGAGAATCACTTGAACCCAGGAAGTAGAGGCTACAGTGAGCTGAGATCGTGCCATTGCACTCCAGCCTGGGCCACAGAGCAAGACCGTCTCAAAACAAACAAACAAGCGAACAACAGCAACAACAAAACTTTAAAGAGAGAATGAAAAGTAACCACCGTTGATAATTTTCCTCCTCACCATTAGGCATGATTATTGCAATTGTCTCTTCATCTAGGATATAGAAGTCAAAAACATACAAATCACCAAATTATTAGTAAAATTGCAGGAATTACAGACATCTGTTCTTTGCACATCCCAGGCAGAGAAACTGCATCTCTACGGTTTCCAACTCATTTATCTAGAGTTGTTATGATAAATTTTCCCAAATGATCCCAAATTGCTGGTCCACAAATTCCTTTAATAATACATTTAAACCTCAAATGTAAATGCAATGTATTTGTATGTAATAGTTTGAGTAATCGAGGTCCACCACAAAAGATACCAGTGCCTATTTTAAAAACATTTTAATAACGTACTTAACAAAAGAAAATGAATGCTTTAGCAAAAAAAAAAAAGAAAGAAGAAAAAAGAAAAAAAAAGATAAACAAAGAAAAACCAGGTTCAAATCGCTGTGTTTGGACAGCATCCCATTTTTGCATGTTTCGGGAGCAGTGTACAGCTTTTTTGCACCCTCAATTTGTCCAATGTATTTAATGGCTCTGCCAATCTAGGAAGCAGAGAATCACCCAGAGCAGGAACGTCCTTGACTTGGTCATTTAATTATAGACAATTATAGACCATTTTTGCTGCTTCACAGGTTTGAGTAAGCAGCGTGCAATGATGTGATAGTGATTATTAAATGCTTAAATAACACGCTTATAATTCTGATTTGGGGGATGATTTTTCTGTCTTATATAGTGTATATTGACCCTGCCTGTAGATGGCAATGTTGTTCAAAAGACAACAACATCACCTTCTATCTATTGCAGATTCGCTGTGCATTATACACAGGTGAAGTGATGTTGTGTCTCAGATGTAATATTAAATACATATATTACCTTAATATACTTGGGGAGTTAGCTTGCGGGAAACGGAAACAGATGGAAAAGATGGAATAAAACTGGCAAAATCCTGATAATTGTTGGGACTTGGTAAAATAAACTTAATAGACAGAAAAATGCTAGATATTTCCTTTCTCCCACCCTCCAATCTCAAGTAGGCCCCAGAGTTTCCCTATAAAACAAACATGCACATAGACCCCTGAACCTAAAATGAAAGTTAAAAGAAAAATAAATAAGTAAAATAAAATGTGCACCTCTTTTCCTTAAAAAATAAAATAAAACAAAAATGCTAGATAGATAGATGATGGATAGACATTTTGTGTGGTTGAAGTGGGCAGAGATAAAACGTGTGGATCCAATTCCCTGTGACTTAATAGATGTTTTTGTTTATTTTATTTTGTTGATGTCGAAATCAATATGTTGCAAAAGAAACGTGTTTTCCCACTGTTCACCGATTTAGTGTCTGCTTTTGAATTTGTATAAAAACAAGCGATGGTTGCTAAGCTGAGGAAACTCTAGAACATGTTCTATGTTAAAGTTCACTAGAAAATAGTGATAAATAACTTGGCTTTAGCTATGAAGATGGTGGTTTTATTTAAAATTTTAAGTCAGTAAATCACTGAGCTACAACACAGTGCGTGGCACAGAACTGCAGAAGGGCCCAGCACATATTTCTTGGACACCTGGATTAGGGAAATACTTTGGAAGTGGTTTGTGAAATGCACCAAGTATGATGTCATGAGCACACGGGCTCGGAGAGTGGAGATAAGGGATTTGAGTGGTGTGCTCATGCACCGCTATGCACCACAGTTCTGCAACATCTACAGATGAGTCCATCCTAGTGAGTAGAAGTGGGTCAAGCATCTGAGAACCTCAAATTGCTCTTTCTGTGTGTGCTTTTAAAGTGCACAACAGCATGGGACAGACTGTCTGTCAAAAATTGCTGAACATGAATATCCTTTGCTTCTTGTATATGAAAATGAAAAAGCAAAATTTTGTAGCACTGCATGGATGATATGGATGTGTGTGTGCATGTGCACAAATTATATGTATGTGTGTGAGTGTGTATGTGCATACACAAGCTTATGTGTCTCTGTGACATCCCTGCAAATCAAGTCAAAAAGATCATATTATAATCCTGTCATTCTACAAATTATTTATAATGTGTGAATTTTTCTTTGTTATGCTCTGAATTCTGCCTATCCCCTCAAAATTTGTATGTCCAAGCTTTAACCCCTAGGACCTCAGAATGTGACTATTTTTAAAGACAGGGTTTTTTGTTTTTTGATTTTTTGAGACAGAGTTTCACTCTTGTTGCCCAGGCTGGAGTGCAATGGCGCAATCTCGGCTCACAGCAACAACCTCCTGGATTCAAGCGATTCTCCTGCCTCAGCCTCCCAAGTAACTGGGATTACAGGCACTCACCACCATGCCCAGCTAATTTTGTATTTTTAGTAGAGACGGGGTTTCTCCATGTTGGTCACGCTGAAGACAGGGTCTTTAAAGAGGTGATTAAGGTACAGGGAGATCACTAAGGTGAGCTCTGATCCAGTAGCACTGGTGTCCTTGTAAGAAGAGGAGATGAGGTTACAGACACACACAGAGGTACAAACAGGTGAGGACTCAGGGAGAAGACGGCATCTACAAGCCCAGGAGAGAGGCCTCAGGAGTAACCAGCCCTGCCCACACCTTGATCTCAGTCTTCCAGCCTCCAGGGCTGTGAGAGAATCAATGTCTGTTGTTTATAAGCCACCCAGTCTATGTGTTCTATTATAGCAGCCTGAAATGGACCTAAGACACCTCATAAGAAGAGGAGATGAGGACACAGACCCACACAGAGGGACGACCCTGTGAAGACACGGGGAGAAGACAGTGTCTACAAGATAATGAGACAGGCCTCAGGAGGAACCAGCCCTGCCCACACCTTGATCTCGGACTTTCAGCCTCCAGAACTCCAGGAGGATAAATGTCTGTTGTTTAAGCTGCTTAGTCGGTCGTCCTTTGTTACAGTAGCCCTAAGAGTAATACAAGGTCCAAATAATCCCAATGTATTATTTAGAGGAGATACTGTAAATACATTATTTAAACAATTCTCGATATCCATTCATTCCTTAAAAATTTTGTAGCAATCTAGTGTTTCTTCTTTAATTAGGAAATAAATAAGAGAAAAACAAAACTCTTGCTCAAATAATGGAAATGAACATATAAGATTATTACGCTAATATTAAAAGGCATCTGCAATTGTATTGAATTTCACTTTTTATATTTTGTCTTTTGCATTTAGAATGTATCAGTAGTATAGTTAAGAATATTAAATTCTAAAGTATAATCCTTACGTGAAAGGAAGGTAGTTATTATTTGAATTTAATAAATGTGTTTTTATAATCAGGTATGTTCTACATTAATCACAATGTAGGTGAATGCAAAAAGATGGTATTGTGATGAAAATATTTATGGTGTTAAAATTTTATCTTTCCTTAGAAATGATATTTTCTCTTCATCTCGAAATATCCACAGACTAGAATCCTGATCTATTGTGCTCAAGTGATAAGACAGACAAAAAGAAGAATGTGACATTAAATGGCCTGCTGTCAGAAATATGCAGAAATTACTTTTCGTAACGATGTCCAAAATAATACACATCTCTTAAAAGAGGAACGATAAAATATTAAAAATATTTTTAAGAAAGCTGACATGTCAGATTAAACGATGATGTTTTAAGATGCATTGTAGCTGTGAGATGGACCAGTCACAAAAATAAGTGGAATAAATAAAAGCCTAAGTCACTTATATTAGAAAAATTACAAAGAAATATTTCTTTGTTTTAAGCAACAAAATTTTAAAATGTGGAACCTAGATGATAATGCATGAACAACTGGGAAAATGTGATCTCACTAAGATTGTTTATTGCTAAGGATAATTATACATTTTATTGTGCTAGATATACGTATACCCTAAATTTGCTCTTTTAACCATTTTAAGTGTACAATTCAGTGGTAATAATTACATTCACAATGCTGCTCAACCATCAAGACTGTTTTCAAACCACTTTCATTACCCCAAAGAGAAACGCTGCAGCTATTAAGCAATGACTCCCCCATTTGCCCTCTCCCCAGACCCTGGTCACCATTATCCTATATTTTCTCTCTATGATTAGGGCTATTCTAGATATTTTATGTGAGTGGGATCATGCAATATTTGTTCTCTTATTTTATTTAGCATAATAAAATATTCATCTACATGGTAGCATGTGTCAGAGGCTCCTTCCTTTTTTAGGTTGAATAATATTCCACTGTATGGATAGGCCACGGTTTGTTTGGCGACTCATCCGCTGATGGACATCTGAGTTGTTTTCACTTCGTCACTATTTAAAGAATGCTTCCATGAATACTCTTGTATAATTTTCTGTTTGAGTCCCTGTTTTCAATTCTTTCCACCTGAATTTGAATAGGGAAATTGCTGGGTCATGTGGTAATTCTACTTTTAATTTTGACAGGAACCATCATACTGTTATCTGTAATGGCTGCAGCATTTTAAGTTCTCACCAGTGATGCACAAGTGTTCCAACTTATCCATAGCCTCACCAACACTTGTTCTTTTACAATTAAACATTATTTTATTTTTAAAATTTTTGTTAAATTTCTATTTTTTTGTAGAGATGGGGTATCACTGTCTTGCCTAGGCTGGTCTCAAACTCTTGGCCTCAAACTATTCTCCCACCTTAGCCTCCCAAAGTCAGGGATTATAGGCATGAGCCACTATACCTGGCCAACATTATTTTCAATTCTAAACATGTACTAAAGAATTGCTCCTAAATTAGACATGACTCACCAGACCTTGGATGGGAACCTATCAAAGATGTACCTCCTAGGTGGAAGGTAATGTTTGGGTTGGAGAGTAAGCAGTGCCTTATTTTTCTACACCTGAAAGATGATGGTTGGTGAGTGCACTAGTCCATTTTCTATTGCTTATAATGGAACACCTGAAACAGGGTATTTATATTTAAGAATAAATTATTTTTATTTTTATTTTTATTATACTTTAAGTTTTAGGGTACATGTGCACATTGTGCAGGTTAGTTACATATGTATACATGTGCCATGCTGGTGCGCTGCACCCACTAACTCGTCATCTAGCATTAGGTATATCTCCCAATGCTATCCCTCCCCCCTCCCCCCACCCCACCACAGTCCCCAGAGTGTGATATTCCCCTTCCTGTGTCCATGTGATCTCATTGTTCAATTCCCACCTATGAGTGAGAATATGCGGTGTTTGGTTTTTTGTTCTTGCGATAGTTTACTGAGAATGATGATTTCCAATTTCATCCATGTCCCTACAAAGGACATGAACTCATCATTTTTTATGGCTGCATAGTATTCCATGGTGTATATGTGCCACATTTTCTTAATCCAGTCTATCATTGTTGGACATTTGGGTTGGTTCCAAGTCTTTGCTATTGTGAATAGTGCCGCAATAAACATACGTGTGCATGTGTCTTTATAGCAGCATGATTTATAGTCCTTTGGGTATATACCCAGTAATGGGATGGCTGGGTCAAATGGTATTTCTAGTTCTAGATCCCTGAGGAATCGCCACACTGACTTCCACAATGGTTGAACTAGTTTACAGTCCCACCAACAGTGTAAAAGTGTTCCTATTTCTCCACATCCTCTCCAGCACCTGTTGTTTCCTGACTTTTTAATGATTGCCATTCTAACTGGTGTGAGATGGTATCTCATTGTGGTTTTGATTTGCATTTCTCTAATGGCCAGTGATGGTGAGCATTTTTTCATGTGTTTTTTGGCTGCATAAATGTCTTCTTTTGAGAAGTGTCTGTTCATGTCCTTTGCCCACTTTTTGATGGGGTTGTTTGTTTTTTTCTTGTAAATTTGTTTGAGTTCATTGTAGATTCTGGATATTAGCCCTTTGTCAGATGAGTAGGTTGCGAAAATTTTCTCCCATTTTGTAGGTTGCCTGTTCACTCTGATGGTAGTTTCTTTTGCTGTGCAGAAGCTCTTTAGTTTAATTAGATCCCATTTGTCAATTTTGTCTTTTGTTGCCATCGCTTTTGGTGTTTTGGACATGAAGTCCTTGCCCATGCCTATGTCCTGAATGGTAATGCCTAGGTTTTCTTCTAGGGTTTTTATGGTTTTAGGTCTAACATTTAAATCTTTAATCCATCTTGAATTGATTTTTGTATAAGGTGTAAGGAAGGGATCCAGTTTCAGCTTTCTACATATGGCTAGCCAGTTTTCCCAGCACCATTTATTAAATAGGGAATCCTTTCCCTATTTCTTGTTTTTCTCAGGTTTGTCAAAGATCAGATAGTCGTAGATATGCGGCATTATTTCTGAGGGCTCTGTTCTGTTCCATTGATCTATATCTCTGTTTTGGTACCAGTACCATGCTGTTTTGGTTACTGTAGCCTTGTAGTAAAGTTTGAAGTCAGGTAGTGTGATGCCTCCAGCTTTGTTCTTTTGGCTTAGGATTGACTTGGCGATGCGGGCTCTTTTTTGGTTCCATATGAACTTTAAAGTAGTTTTTTCCAATTCTGTGAAGAAAGGCATTGGTAGCTTGATGGGGATGGCATTGAATCTGTAAATTACCTTGGGCAGCATGGCCATTTTCACAATATTGATTCTTCGTACCCATGAGCATGGAATGTTCTTCCATTTGTTTGTATCCTCTTTTATTTCCTTGAGCAGTGGTTTGTAGTTCTCCTTGAAGAGGTCCTTCACATCCCTTGTAAGTTGGATTCCTAGGTATTTTATTCTCTTTGAAGCAATTGTGAATGGGAGTTCACTCATGATTTGGCTCTCTGTTTGTCTGTTGAATAAATTATTTCTTACAGTTATAGAGGCAAAGAAGTTTCAGGTTGAGGAATGGCATCTGGTGAGAGCTTTCTGGCTGTTGGGGAATCTCCTGAAGAGTTTCCAGGCAGTGCAGAGCATTCCATGGTGAGGGGGCTGAGTATGCTGGCTCAGGACTTTCTTCATCTCTTATAAAACCACCAGTCCCACTCCTGTGACAACTCAAAAATCCATGAACCCATGAATCCATAAATCAGCAAATCCTTTCATGAAGGTGGAGCCCTCATCACCCAATTAGCTCTTCAAGGCCCTCTCTCTCAACCTTGTCACATTGAGGATTAAGGGTTTTTTTTTTTTTGTTGTTGTTGTTTTTTGACCAAGTCTTGCTCTGTTGCCCAGGCTGGAGTGCAGTGGTGTGATCTTGGCTCACTGCAACCTCCGCCTCCTGGGTTCAAAACATTCTTCTCCCTCAGCCTCCAGAGTAGCTGGGATTACAAATGCCTGCTGCCACACGTGGCTAACTTTTCTATTTTTAGTAGAGACAGGGTTTTACCATGTTGGTTAGGCTGGTCTCAAACTCCTGACCTCTAGTGATCCTCCTGCCATGGCCTCCCAAAGTGTTGGGATTACAGGCGTGAGCCACCACGCCTGGCCTGTGATTAAGTTTTAACATGAGTTTTGGAGTGGACAAATATTCAAACCATACCAGATTTGAAAATAGTGGTGATATTTGCACAGCACTGGGAAGGAGAAAAAGAAGAAAAACGTAAGTAAATTCAGTTGTCATGAGACTCAAAAGGAAGAGTTTTATAAAGAGTCTGACAGTGTGAAAAAATTGGAGCAGGGTTGAAGGACAGCTTCAAATTAATGAACACATTGGAATATTTTACAACGATATTATTAAATCTGTTACTTTATTTCATTAGTGAGGGTTCTCCAGAGAGATAGAATCGATAGGATATAGAGATAGATGATACAGATACAGATATAGTAGGACAGATATATAGATAGATACTGATGTAGAGATAAAGATATAGGCCTGGTGTGAAGACTCATACCTGTAGTCCCAACACTTTGGGAGGCTGAGGCAGGAGGATCTCTTGAACCCAAGAGTTGGAGACCAGCCTGGGCAACATGGTGAAACTCTTTTCTCTACAAAAATTAGCCAGGTGTGTTGGTGCAGCCTGTAGTCTTAGCTCTTGGGGAGGCTGAGGTGAAAGGATGGCTTGATCCCAGGAGGTTGAGGCTGCAGTGAGCTGAGATCACACCACTGAACTCCAGTCTGAGTGACACAGCAAGACACTGACCCCCAAAAAAGATATATAGATTACAGATATAGATAAAGATGGATATTGATAGGCATAGATATAGAAATATGAGAGGGAACTTATAAGGGGAATTGGCTCATGCAATTACAAAGAATGAGAAGTCCCACCACAGGTCATATGCAAGTTGGAGAACCAGGAAGTCCAGGAGTATGGCCAATTCCAATTGTGAAAATCTCAGAACCAGGGGAGCTGATGGTGTAACTCCCATTCTGAGGCCAAAGGCCTGAGAACTTGCAAGGCCACTTGTACAGTCCTGGAGTTCAAAAGCCAGAGAACCTGGAGTTCTCATGTCCAAGGGCAGGAGAAGTGTGTCCCAGCTCCAGCTCTAGAAGGAAGGCAGAGAAGGGGAGAGAGAGAGAGAAAGAGAGAGAGTGAGTTTGACTATACTTCCCTTGCCCTTTTTTTTTTTCTTTTTTTTCTATCTGGGCCCTCAGCTAATTGGGTGATGTTTGCACACACTGAGAGTGGATCTTCCTTACTCAATCTCCTGATTTAAATACCAGTCTCTTCTGGAGACACTCTCACAGACAGACTCAGAAATAGTGCTTGACCAGCTATCTGGGTAACCCTCAAGCCAGTCGAGTTGACACTTAAAATTAATTATCACAATTCGGAACATAAACCTAGTCCTAATGCATTAGCGAATAAAATAAATGCTTGTTTTTCCAGAAAGCATGTTTGAAAATATCAAGTGTAATAGATCACACTATAAAGATAAAGCTACCAAAGGTCAATATTGATGCTCAATTAAGGGAAATTCAATGAAATGATTAATTACAGTGGTAGATAGTAAGTTTACTATTTTTTGCTGTAAGTTTTCTGAAACACTGTTGCAGTTGTACTTACTTTTATCCAAGAAGAAACATAGTCCTTAATTGTCTTTTAGACTGATTTACTACTTGATATTTTATATCTTATTTTCAAACTATGGCAATTTAAAAATTTGAGTATTCTGATATACATGAAAATAAACAGATCAATGGACTATTCCTTAATTTCATCCCTTAAAACTCATTGTACTGAATCCTGGGTTTATTGGCAGGGAGGGAAAAAAAACAGAACCCAAACCCTCCAGTGCATAGTAGAAGATAATGTACCTAAACAAAAACTATTGGTAGATTATTATCCTATGTCTGAATAAAGATTTCATAAATAAAGATTCATGAAAGTAAAATAATTACTAAAGAAAAACTATCAATACGAAGTCATTTCTTGTTTCATTTTTTCCCTTTCTACCCACAGAAATATAAATATCTGCAAAGCTTGGAGGTGAATATTGCATTTCCCAATTAACTAGTGTCTTGCTTTGGTATTGCAGAATGAGCTCTTTCTACAGTTGACTGAAATTGGCCAATTCATGGGTGAACAGATTCTACCTGCAATCTCCTTGCTACCACACATGTGCATAAGGGAATTTCCCTTTGAAGAGAGGATCCTTCGACACTAGGCTGCAACTGACCTAGACAGTGGCTGCCCTGTGGCCCCTGAGCCTTCTCTGGGCATGATGCCCATAGTGTGTTACCAGAGGAGGCCAAATCCTTTCCACCTCCCCTAGACACCAGGGAATAGCAACAGTTTTCTCTGCCTGGAATGCTCTCCCTCCAGGTTTTCCCAGAGCAAGCTCCTTCTCTTTCTTCAGTCCTGAGTTCAAACATCTTTGGTCCAATGCCTCTTTAAGGGGTTACTTTTTCCTCTCAAATTTCTTATCTTGATGATGGATGTATTTGCTTCTTTAGTGTACCTTTCCCCGCAGTAGGCTGTCAGCCAAAAAGAGTTGGAGTTCACAACTCTCTCACTAGCCTTTTGAATAGTACAGGAAAATTGACAGTGTGCAAGAATATCTGTTGAATGAATTCACAAAAGAAATGCAGTGTTACCTAATGCGGTCAGATAGGGGTTAAAAATGAAATCAATCACTAAAGGACAGAATGCAGATAGGCATTCTGACAATTGCCTAACAATGTGTCCTTAGACAATTTGGTTGTTGTGCAAATATCATAGACTATGCTTATACAAACCTGAATAGCATAGCTGATCACACATCTAGGCTATATGGTATGGTATATTTGCTACCCGGATACTCACTTGTACAGCCTGTTACTCCACTGAATACTGTAGGCAATTGTAACTCAATGATAAGTATGTGTGTATCTAAACAAATCTAAACACAGAAAAAGTAATGTGTTGCTCTATGATGTTGCAATGACTGCATGTCACTAGGCTATAGGAAATTTCCAGCTTCATTATAATCCCGTGGGCGCACATCATTTATGTGTTCTGTCATCAAAACATTGTTACGTGGTACATGATGTAATTTAAATCTGTATGCTGCTGATGGAAACACTGCCTAAATCATAAGTGTACCTACATTTAAACTAAGTCTAAATTAGATACGTATCAACAAACAGACATGCACTGGCAAAACAGTGATAAGATGGTTTTTCTATTGTGATTTTTATATTGCCATGTTATTCTTTTTAGCATGAAGTTAGCAAGCTTTGTCATTTCTATAATGTTTATATCTGTAGTTAAAGTATATCTCATTGTAAATTTTTATTTAAAAGATTGCACATCTTTCATTTTTTGGAGCTAATGTTCTTTGACTCATGGATAAGAACTAAAAGCCCCTCGTCTATTCTATATTATTCTATTGTATTTATCTTCCCCCACATATAAATTATATAATATTGGTTAATTGTTTTACAGCCTATTGGTCTGGTATAGGGTCCTTTCTGCTTGAACAGCAGTAATCTTTTTGATTTCATCATGATGAAACCCAACAGATGCAATAGGCTTCAGCCAGTACCAATGAAGAAAACATAAAAGGGAGCAAAACAATTTGTGAACAGCATCAGCTTATCATAGGTGGTAATGCATGACAGCTTATAGAAGATTTCTAATACCTCCATCATTCCATATCTGGGACATGTGTATTCCCAAAGGACTAATCTAAGCATGAAACTACCACCTCAATTCAGGTGATCTGAAGTTAGAAGTATTTACCAAATCAGCTGTGGGGCACCCTCATCTTTTATGTCTAGATGTTCCTGGAGTCCCCCCAGGTATAAGTGATTGCCCCAATCATAAGGTCAGCTCAGTCAAGCCAACTACTCATAACTTGATCTCATCAAGGACACACAGGTGTTTGTCCACTCCATTGCCCTCAACTGGACTCTCATTTGTCTTGAATATGTTATGCCTAAATACCCATCAATTCATGGAGTTACTAGTGCACAATAAGTAGAGCAAGGGGCAAATCTTCAGGCGTACCTGAGGTTACAGGAAAAGTTTCAGAAACACCTGCTGAATATTTTATTCATAGAGGAAAAAGAAAGGAAGGAGCAGGGTGAGCAGGAGAAGGAAAAGAAGAGGAGAACATGAGTAGGAGGAGAAAAAGAATAGAAATGGAGGGAAGGGGAGAAATGAATGAGCAAAGGTTGGACCACACGACTTCTCAGTGCTTCTTACATGAGGTTGACCGATGATGATTTGTCTTCATTTGATCTTTCAAAATGACTGATTTGAAGGGTAATTATGCCATGTTATCATATGATTTTAAGAAATATTTACCAAATTAGGCACTGTGCAAACATTGGAAATATAATGACGTGTAAGAGAAACTTCCCAAATGAGACTCTACCATTTGCAACAACATGGATGGAAGTGGATGTCATTCTGTTAAGTGAAGTATACCAGACACAGAAAGACAAACATCACATGTTCTCACTTATTTGTAGGAGCTACAGATTAAAACAATTGAACTCATGGAGATAGAGAGTAGAAGCATGGTCACCAGAGGCTGGGAAGGGTAGTAGGGGGTGGAGGGGGAGGTGGGGATGGTTAACGGCTGCAAAAGAATGCTTAGAAAGAATGAATAAGACCTAGTATTTGATAGCACAACAGGGTGACTATAGTAAAAAAAAATTAATTTTACACTTTAAAATAAGTAAAAGAGTATAATTTGATTGTATATAACATTACGCATAAATGCTTGAGGTGATGAATACCCCATTCACCCTGATGTAATTATTACACATTGTGTGTCTATATCAAAATATCTCACATACCCCATAAATACATACAGCTACTATGGACCCACAAAAATTAAAAATTAAAAATTTTTAAAGGAGAAGTTTCCTGGATTCAAAAGCTGTTACTACTCACTTATATAGAATTGATCTTTCTCTTCTTCTCTCTGTCTCTCTCAGTCTTACACACACAAGCATGCACAAACACACACACACACACACACACACACTTCATAATAGTTCTGGTTATCTAGCAGAAAATATACAAACTGATGTCTCAAAGAAGCTTCATCTCTAACATTGGCTAATAAATTGAGTAGTTTCCTAGGAACAATACTTTCAAGTACAGTTATGTTAAAAGGTTGTCAAAACTTATACAACTTCATAAATGGCATAACAGAACAAGCTGGAAGTGAGGCAGTCTGTATTAAATTAGAACACTTAATATCTTTTTCCCAATAACAAAATGAACTTGATATGTCCCCTGATGTAAAAAGCATTAACTGGCTTTTATATACAATTATGTCACATGAAATAAAACTGACTGGAAGAGTATAAACAAACAGGAAGTTAATTAAAATATAGCCAGGTTGTGAAGTGACCAGCAGGCTGTCACAGTGAATTTCCTAGTAAAAGAACTAGGGGATTATAAATATTAAAAATCTAATAAGAGATTGCACAATGTTTAACTTGAAAGGACACTATGCATAATAATAGAATAATAGAAGGTTACATAAATACAGAAAGTTACAACATAATCTTCACATTTTAATGACAGAAATTGTCAGTTTCTTATAAACCTACAAACACACACACCCTAAGACCTAGAAGAACTACTCCTAAATATTTACTGGAGAAAAATGAAAATGTACCCATATTTGTGCAAGGATGTCCATAGTAGGTTGATTCATAAAAGCCCAATACCAGAAACACTCCAGACATTATAGGAGAAGGAAAGAAAAACTGTGGCATATTTGGTATGGACTACTGATATCCACATAAGAAAAATATGGACACTAATATACACAATAACATTGATGAATCTTTAGAAAATGATGTTGAAAGAAAGAAGTCACAAAAATACAAACTGCATATTTTTATTTACATAAATTAGAGGGAAAAAAATCTAGGGTGAAAAAAATGTTGTTCCCTAATTGGGTGAGAGTGAGAATTGACTGAGTATTGCGGGAAAGAGCTGAGTGAGTTCTTCAGTTTCATAGAGGTTTAAGTTATACAGATATATGCTTTTGTCAAGACTTTTGGGCAGGTATACCCAGGATTATGCATGTTACTTAGGTATGCAAATTTTACCTAAAATAAAACAAGAAGAACCGTAAGCAAGTATCAATAATATGTATGCTAAAGTGTTGGGCAATGGAATGTAATGCATCTGCCACTTATCTTTAAATACTTAAAAAAATAAGACAACTAGCTTGAATGAAAAGAAGTGTAAACCAATAGATAGTATAAGGTACATCTATACAGATGTCATTACGTTCCAATTACCAACAAATATAGAAACTGGTGTACTAAATAAACTTTGAGAGGTAATTGTTGCTTTTAAGAGTATCCAGATACTACCTGTTCACAAGTTAAAACTTTACATTTATTATACTGGAGGAGCTATTCCTGGCTTTCTTTTAACCAGAAATAAATATTTCATCTGTATTTTGGGGTTTCTTTTTTTTAAGATTATCAGGCATTAGATTCTCATAAGGAGTGCACAACCTAGATCCCTCACATGCACAGTTCACAATAGGGTGAACCTTCCTATGAATCTAATGCCGCCGCTGATCTGACAGGAGGCGGGGCTTGGGCGGTAATGCAAGTGATGGGGAGCGGCTGTAAATACAGATGAAGTTTTGCTTATTCGCCAGCTGCTGTGTGGCCTGAATCCTAACAGGTCACAGACTGGTACTGACTGGTTCATGGCTTGGGGGTTAGGGACCCCTGTTCTTCATTCTATGTCCACGTGTACACATTATTTAGCTACCACTTATAAGTGAGAACATGTGGTATTCGTCTTTCTGTTTCTGAGTTGTTTTACCTGAGATAATAACTTCCAGTTCCATCCATGTTTCTGCAAAAAACATGGTTTTATTCTTTTTTATGGCTTAATACGACTCCATTGTGTGTGGAGTCACATTAAGCTACATTTTCTTTATGCAGTCATCTATTGATGGGCACTTAGGTTGTTTGCATATCCTCTCTATTGTGTATAGTGCTGTGATGAACATATGAGTACAGGTATGTTTTTGATGTAATGATTTCTTTCTCTTGGGTAAATACCCAGTAGTAGGATTGCTAGATCAAATGGTAGTTCTATTTTTAATTCTTTGAGAAATCTCCATAGTGTTTTCCATAGAGGTTGTACTAATTTACATTCCTACCAACTGTGTGTAAGCATTCTTTTTTCTCTGTGTCATCACCAATATCTGTTACTTTTTCCTTTAATAATAGTCATTCTAACTGGTGTGAGATGGTATCCCATTGTGGTTTTAATTTGCGTTTCTCTAATTATTAGAGCAATTTTTCACATGCTTGTATAAGCATTCGATTATCTTCTTTTAAAAAATAGCTATTCAAGTCCTCTGCCTACTGTTTAATGGAGTTATATGGTTTTTAGTTCTTGTTGAATTATTTGAGTTCCTTGTAAATTCTGGGTCTATATTTCAATTGAGGATTAAGCTGCAAAGAATAGTGGTGTTTATTTTTTCAACAGAAATATAAAGTTATTACATAAACTTATAAACTGGAGCAATAGTATGGATTGGATAACAAATTCATTTTTCAATTATTTTGTATGTATGCATAAAAAGATTATCAAAAGGGAAGGTTATTATTTATTAATTTCTCAGAACTTCTTTATAAATTTTTGTACACTGGAGATCATATTATATATTACTTAAACAGTTTCCACAATTAAACAAACTCTAATCATACTTTGTAGAAGATAAAATAGTTATTAATGTATAACATCAAATTAATAAAAACATTTTAATCTCATATCTTCATAAATGTAATAATTAGTAACTTAGCTATTCTTTTTGCAAGAAGTGATCACAAAACAGAACTAATCTCTCAACAACACTACTTGCTTATGCTTATACATTTATTCATTATATAAAAGTTATTCAACTGAGATTTATAGTTAAGTATATTTATTATTTATATATAAATCTCAGTTGAATAACTTTTATATCTCAAAAGAAAGAACCTCAGCTCAAAGAATTAATGCCGAATAAATTTCCCGAAACTCTGGTAATATTTATTAGGAGAAAATAAAGGTAAATTTATAATCATAAGCAAGTAATCTCAGCTCAATGAATATAATATTATAGTGATTATAATCATTATAATATTATAATGATTATTATAATATAATGGCGTATTCACTAAATTCTTGAACAAAGAATGCTCTAATCAGCCCATTTATTTAAAAGCATTTAAGTAGGTAAGTATTTCTAGCTTAGCAGTTATTATGCTCAGAAATGTGAAGACTTGAGGAATTTCTGTGTTGCTCTTCAGAAGTGTAAAGCCATTTAGCTGTACGATCTTTTGATGTTACCTTTTTCCCTGACAGATTTTATGAATTTATCTTTGTCTCAAAAGTTCACCATGATGTACTGATGTGAGTCTATTTTATTTAATGTGCTGAGAATTAATTTTTTTTTCTGGAGATCTTATCTTTTATTTCTGGGAAAAGCATTATTTCTTAACATGAATCCTACCAGCAAACTTTTGGCACTTTTTTTGTTTTTGAGACAGGATCTGACTCTGTCAATCAACTTGGAGTGCAGTGGCACCATCAAAGCTCACTGCAGCCTCAACTACCCTGGCTCAAGTGATCCTCTTACCTCAGCCTCCCAAATAGCTGAGACTGCAGGCATATGCCACCACACCTGGCTAATTTTTGTATTTTTTGTAGACATGGGGTTTTGCCATGTTACCCAAGCTGACCTCGAACTCCTGAGCTCAAGTTATCCTCTCAACTTGGCCTCCCAAAGTGCTGGGATTACAGGTGTGAGCCACTGAGCCTGGCCAGACAAATTTTTGTAGGTGTTATAGGTTATACTTTCTCCAAGTGGTTAATTGCCTTTATTGATTCCTTAATTGTAATTTTAGCATGTTTTCTTGTCATATGTAATCTAAAATTTTCTTCTTTCTCAATTTTGCTGGTGTGGCTCAATTACTATTCATTCCATATTCTCTCTTGATAATGTATAAGTTATCCTATTCTTTTATTTTTATTTTTACTTAGGTAGGATTTGAACCTATTCCATTCTTTTTTTCTATCTCTTAACAATAGCACTTCTTTCATAAGCAAGTACATATATTTTGCTAATATTATTTGCAAATACATTTCCAGCTACTTCTCACTATAGTTTGAATGTCTCTAAAATTGTTTAGTTCCTACTCTCTTTCTCATTCATAAAATTAGTTTTATATAATTATTAACTTATTTTTCTGCCAACTCCTAAATTTTCACTGAGTCGGTTTAGTGCATTAAAGCCTGTCTAGTTTATAATTTTCTTTATGGTATATTTCTTGCTTCCAATAACTTTATTTTGACAATTACGTAACACATTCATAGATAATAACCTTATCCATTTTGGTTTATCATTCTCCAGGGTTTCATTCTTTCTCTGTTGAGATGTGTGCACATTTGATTTTGCAGACCTTTAAATTAGGTGTCAACAATGAAAATCCTTTTAATTAGTTCAGTGCTTTTTTAACTAGAATTTTTTTTTTTTTTTTTTTTGGAGACAGAGTCTTGCGCTGTTGCCCAGGCTGGACTACAGTGGTGAGATCTCAGGTCACTGCAGCCTCAATCTCGTGGGCTCAAGTGATCTTCCCATCTCAGCCTCCTGAGTAGCTGGGACCACAGACATGTACGACCACACCTAGTTTTTTTTTTTTTTTTTTTTTTTTTTTATTTTTGTGGAGACAGGGCCTCACCACATTGCCCAGGCTGGTCTTAAACTCCTAGGCTCAAGTGATCCTCCTACTTCAGCCTCCCAAAGTTCTGGGATTACACGAGTGAGCCACTGTGCCCAACCTAGAATATTTTTATTTAACTCAGAAAATAGCTTTTGGGCTGAACTTCCTTAAGTGCTATAGTTTTTCATTATATGCTGTTGCTATTATTAATATTAATGTTATTGTTACTAATAACATTTTGTTGTTTGTACAACTTGCCATCTGTTTCCTGCAGCAGCTTGGTTTGCTGGGAATGTCACCTGTGTGTTCTGATTCCCAGGTCTCCTGACTTGAATAACTCATTTTTTTGTTGACTCACTGGATTTTAGGCCATGCCATTAGATTATTCTAAATGGCCGTGCCTTCTTGGAAGGTACAGATAAAATGGTCTCAACCACCATGGGACCATTAATCAGTAGAGAACACTATCCGCAGCCTATGGAAGTTCCTAGAGGAGTCTGTGGATAACAGAAGTCAGGCTCACTCACTTTCCATCATTCCAGCATCTCTGGAGGAAATCTCCAAGCCATAATCTGACACTTTCTGGTACTCACCCTGAGATTCCCTGGAATTGCATTTCTGATCCTTATGGCATCCACGAAGGAGAGCGCTCCATGTAAATTTCCTTGCTGTTCTTCCAACTACATCCAAACTTCACTCATGTACAACTTTCTGGGGGCCTCAGCCGTTGAGTCAAGGAGGGTCCAGTTGCTGGAGCTTGGAGTGCAGGTGAATCAAGCTGTGTTAGAGGTATTATCTTTTCAGAATCAACTTCCACAAATGGTGATTTATGAACTCATGTATTACATATGGGTCTCATCCTTTTAATATTAAATATAATATACCAGATATATGGCTAAACCATTTCAACGATTGAGGTGGAATGAATTCATTTTTTACAGTGCTAATAACAACCTGGATTTTTACTGTGTATATTATATACAAATACAACACAATTTTTGTAAAATTCTTAATAAGAAAATCCCAACCTCCTCTACTGGACTGTTCTTTTAATAACTTCTTTCCTGGTTCCTCTTCTCTCATACCTACCTACTCTAATTATCACCCAAGGACTCAATACTAGTATAATGAGTCCTAAAAGACATTTTTTCTTATATATTTTGACATAAAGAACACCTGACTAGAAGCCATATCCCCTGGATGCTGGTCCTGAGAATGAGACAGCTGAAGCCTTTTATGAATTTGCAAAGAAGGAGATAAGCTTTGAATGAGACCTTGGAGTTGGGGGCATTTGTGTGCATGTCACTTTCATCCTGTTTTTCTTCTCTCTCTTTCTCTCTGTGTGTGTGTGTGTGTGTGTGTGTGTGTCTGTGTGTTTTAATTTCAATAGATTTAGAACTCCAAGCGGCTTTTGGTTACATGACTGAATCATATAGTGATGAAATCTGGGATTTTAGTGGACCTGTCACCAGAATAATGTACATTGTACCCAATAGGTACTTTTCATCCCTCACGTTCATCCTAGCCTCCTGCTTCTGAGTCTCTAGTGTCCATTATAACACTGTGTTTGCCTCTGTGTCCCCATACCTTAGCTCCCACTTATAAGTGAAAGCATGCAGTATCTGATTTCAATTCCTAAGCTAATTCACTTAGAATAATGGCCTCCAGTGACATCCAAGTTGTTAAAAAAGACATTATTTTATTCTTTTTTATGGCTTAGTAGTTGGAATTGTAGCAGGACGAGCCACAGACAAAACTCCTCAGACACCGGGTGAAAGAAGGAAGAGGCTTTATTTGGTCGGGAGCATCAGCAGACTTGCGTCTCAAGAACTGAGCTCTCTGAAGAAAGAGTTCCTGGCCCTTTTAAGGGTTTACAACTCTAAGGGGTACACATGAAAGGGTTGTGATAGATTGAGATCTATAGATAGCACATGTGGTTAGAGTGGGGGGTTAGTCTTTAACCTCAGGCCTGGTCAGTGGTGCCAGTTGGTCTTGCCACTGACTTCATTCCTGTTGTTTTTCAGCTTTTACTTCCTTCTTCTCTTTAGAGATAGGAGACAGTAAGAGAAATGGCCTCTCTCCTCAGAATGACTGTATTTTGTATGATATATGGACATGAATTTTGAATAGGCAG
The DNA here is from genome assembly GCF_000001405.40 of Homo sapiens. Classification (NCBI taxonomy): domain Eukaryota; kingdom Metazoa; phylum Chordata; class Mammalia; order Primates; family Hominidae; genus Homo; species Homo sapiens. Next base: position 5,094,971 of record NC_000023.11, on the reverse strand, counting down.
GAATGAAATGTTATGATCTGAATTATACCCCTTACACACACACACAGGCACACACGTGCACACACACTTCATATGTTGAAGTCCCAACCCACAATGTGACTATATTTGGATACAGGACTTTTGGGAGACAATTCAGGTTAAATAAGGTCATATCCATGGAGTTCCAATTCTGTAGTACTACTGGTCTTATAAGAGGAGGAAGAGAGAGAGATACCTCTTGTTTTCTCCCCACCATGTGAGGCCACAGTGAGAAGCTAGATATCTGTAAGCAAAGAAGGAAGCCCTCACAGAAACAGAACCTTCTTGGACCTTGATTATGGACTTCCCAGGCCCAAGAACTGTGAGGAACTAAATTTCTCTTGTATAACTGTGAAAGAAAAATAAATTTTGGGACCTCCAAATCACTAAGCTAAAGGGAAAAGTCAAGCTGGGAACTGCTTAGGGTAAACCTGCCTTCCATTCTGTTCCAAGTCCCCCCTCTGCTCACTGAGATAAATGCATATCTGATTGCCTCCTTTGGAGAGGCTCATCAGAAACTCGATAGAATGCAACCATTTGACTTGGAAGCTCCCCGCTTTGAGTTGTCCCTCCTTTCCAGATGGAACCAATGTTCATCTTACATATGTTGATCGATGTCTCATGTCTCCCTAAAATGTATAAAACCAAACTGTGCTCTGATCACCTTGGGCACATGTCGCGAAGACCTCCTGAGGCTGTTTCACTGGCACGCATCCTCAAACTTGACAAAATAAACTTTCTAAATTAATTCAGACCTGTCTCAGATTTTCGGGGTTCACATACTTCATCATTCTATTTCGCTATGGCAGTCCTAGAACAGTTTCAATTCTTCTTGGTCTTCTGTTGTCTGGAAGTCTGTGTTTTCCTTCAGAAACTCAAATAATTTTCTAAGTAAGGTGTGAAACAATTTAGTATTATCTAGGTCCCAAGCTTTTCTGTTATGACTGAAATTGAAAATAGTAATAGAGTGAATAATTAAAATAGATTCTTATTATCCTCCTATGAGACACCAGTTGACAACAGAGAAGGATCCCTAGGTTGCCCATGTCATTGAATATACAAGTATCTATTTGTTTGAGCTAGGGAATTCCTCTTCTCCATATGGTTCTAAATGTTCACCACCACAGTCTCATTCCAAGGAGGAGGAGAAAGTGAGCTCACCTCCCACTGGCTAGAACTAAGCAGAGTTTATTCTGGCCAGCCCAGTAAAAGACAACATTTTGGGTCTTCTATGGGAGTGGGAAAATGAATATCCGAGTACAGCAGGAAATCTCTTCCACTTTTTGCATAATGGTGCAATAATTTTGAATCATTACAAGTAAAGATATGTTTAATTACTTCCATGAATAATAGCTTAATTGTTTTTTATTCTTCAACTTTTATTTTAAGTTCTTGGGCACATGTGCAGGATGTGCAGGTTTGTTACATAGGTAAACATGTGCCATGTTGGCTTGGTGCAAAGATCAACCCATCACCCAGGTATTAAGCCCAGCATCCATTAGCTATTCTTCCTGATGCGGTCCTTCCTCCTGCACCTCCACCCTCTCACAGGCCCCAGTGTGTGTTGCTCCCTCCCATGTGACCATGTGTTCTCATTGTTCAGCTCCTACTTACAAGTGAGAACATGTGGTGTCTCGTTTTTGTGCCTGTGTTAGTTTGCCAAGGATAATGGCCTTCAGCTCTATCCATGTCCCTGCAAAGGACATAATCTCATTCGTTTTAATGGCTGCATGGTATTCCATGGTGTATATGTACCACATTTTCTTTATCCAGTCTATCATTGTAGGGCATTTGGGTTGCTTCCATGTCTTTGCTATTGTGAGTAGTGCTGCAATGAAGATATGTGTGCATGTATCTTTATAGTAGAATGATTTATATTTCTTTGGGTATATACTCAGTAATGGGATTTCTGAGTCAAATGGTATTTCTGCTTCTACATATTTGAGGAGTTGCCAAACTGTCTTCCATAATGGTTGAACTAATTTATACTCCCACCAACAGTGTAAAAGTGTTCATTTTCCCCTGCTTAATTGGTTTTAATATTGTTGGCTGTTAATTTTTGTCCGTCAACTATTTTAAAAGATGATTCCAGAGATTCTTAGCTTCCACCGTTGCCCTTCTCAACACCGATTTGTGTGTGTGTGTCTGTGTGTGTGTGTGTGTGTATAACACCTATCTTTAACTCCTTTCAAAGGTTTCTCTGCTGTTAGAATTTGTTAGTGTAAGTGTATGCGAGAGAGAGAGAGAGAGAGAGAGAGAGACAGGTGTCTGCACACAAGCTTTTTTTTTCTTTTTCTGAAAAGTCAGAAAGACTTTTTAGGGTCAGGAATGTATTATTCTTATACATCTTTGGCTATACTCCTGATCCAGCTGTTTATGCTTCTTTTACAGGAATATTTATACTTTATATGTCATTTTGGGTTCTGCTGTCTCTGCCTTTGATGTTTCTAATCCATGTTTTCTTGTTGATAGCATACATAATTTTTTTATGTTTTATGATAATCCCTGCATTCAATCTTCTAGAATAATTTAGTTTCCTGTGATGCACATTTTCTTATATTTGCTTACCACTATGGATACTGTTTTATTTAGCATATTGTACTTAAAAATTACATTCTCCAAACGCAACTTTGAAAAAATATTAATAATATCTCTAAGGCTTGAATCTGTGCATTTTTAAAATTCTATTTCAGTGGGAAGCTGTCACTCTGAAGTTGGTCTCCTTTCTTTAATCTGGAGCTTACTGTCAAATAACTTTATTTTCCTTTGCTTCATGTGGCCAGTCAGTACAGACCTTGTTCACTACATTCTTTATTCAAAGTCTTGTTATTTTTTAGGCTATGTGTGTTTTGCTCCAGAACCCATGAGCAACCTCAGCCATGAATTAGGTGAAAGACAGAGATCTTGATTATATCTTTATTTTCTGAAAATGCCTACTTTATATTTAAAATCTATTTAACATTGATCCATCACCGGTTGAACTTGAATAGAAGGTGATGGAAACTGTGAAGTTCAGTGTAAGTTACCTATTGTTTTGGAAGCAATTGAGTATATACTGAAACAGACTAACAGATTTAATGGTTTGGTATAGATTGAAGTACCTGATGTTTATAACTTTGCTTCCTAAATCCATATACAGAATTTTGTAAATCAATCTTAAAACATGTGAAATTGAAAAATAATATACTTTTTTCTAAAAATATATTTAAAAACTCATATCTATTATAATAAATTGCTACCAATCATAAGTCCAATAGAAAAGCCACAATATTCAACCAGAAATATTAATCCACATTGAGATTTCACTATTTGTAGATGAAATCAACAGCTTTTTTTGTGTAATTGCTATTTAAACTGAAGGGCCACGACATTTGATGTAAAATTGCCCTTTTTGGTGTTTGTCAAGAGAAGCTAATAGGGGCTCCCTTGCATTTGAAACACAAATGAGTGCCTTTAATCTTCCAAACTCAGAAAATCAAATTCATTACTACCCAAGAATAGGCCAGAGATTTTACTACTTGAGAGATTAAGTGAACAAATGGCAAAATTATTTTCAATAACATAGAGGTTGCAAATACTTATGTATAGATCAAAGAAATAATGTGCAATTCTGGAGTGAAGGATCAGAACAGATCATTGACATAAATAATTTGTCTTTCTCATGTAAATACCATAAATCAATTTAAACAGAGAAACCTCCATTGGAGATTTGCATGATAAAACGTTTTACTATAGAGGGCCAAATACTCTTGAAATATTTAACATTCCAAAAGCTTTGACCACTTGACCATTTCTAAGAATGCTATAGTAGTCAAATCTTCCAGGCTGAGTTTCAACAGAATATGTCAATGTTTTTAATAAACTCTTAAGTGTCTCTGATGGAAGGGCATTATCCATTCTCTTTTTGTATTAGATAAACCACCAGTGGATACTGTTTACAAAATATGGCTGGACAAAGTATTTGATAACTCTTGGCAAGCTTATCATGCAATCTTCAATGGGAGAGTAAAAATTACAGTTAATATTGCCATAATCTGAAATATGAATATGCCATGTTTTCATGTGTAATTTGCATCCAAAGAGAGAAATATGGACAGAATAAAACAACAACTATGACCAACGAACAAAACAAGAGTGACTGGGAATTTGGGAAAAAGTACAGAATTCACGCTGTCTAAAAATCTAGGACTAAACATTGGTAGAAATGGACCATCACTAAAACAGAACTATACCCCATCATGGAATTATTAAAGATGTACTGAAGACCAGCCTTAAAACTTCTAGAAATGTGGAATAAGATAGGTGCTAGGATCTTCATGACCTTAAGTCTTCCCATTACTTTATTAGAGATTATAGCATTAACTCCAAAAATGATTGTGGAAATCCATTTAGATTATCTGGAAGTTCATTAAAAAGTTGGACATACAATATGAACTCAATAAATGGAGAGTCCAAATAAAATATGCACAGTCCATTCCTACTCAGCAATGTTAGGAATTAACTTGCATATCAGAATTGCTTTATATTCTAAGACAAAGTAGAAGAGAATTTGAGCAATAAAAATATATGTCCTTTAATCCTTAATATGGCTATTTTACTGTATGTGTCTTGAGAAATTCATAAAGTAATGAGATGCTTTATGCTGGAAAGCCAAGATGTCCATGCAGGTGCTCTAGCAGAACTTCAGCTCTCACCACTGTTGGAAGACAGTCTTGAGCATTTTTCAGAATGATTGTTGTGGTTGGAACCACCAATATTAACTGAGGATACTTCTTGGAAATCATGTTCTGATACCCTATTTAGTGATGTCTTCTTATAGGAATTACATTTATACATACATATATAGTGAGCCCAAAATATCTGTGACAGGTCTCAGTCAATTTAGAAAGTTTATTTTGCCAAGGTTATGGACATGTCTGTGACACAGCCTCAGGAGGTCCTGATGACGTGTGCCCAAGGTGGTTAGAGCACAGATTGGTTTTATACATTTTAAGGAGACATAAGACATCAATCCATGCATGTAAGATGTACATCGGTTCAATCTGGAAGGGCAGGAGAACTGGAAGTGGGGGTTTCCAGGTCATATGTAGATTTAACATTTTTCTGATTGGCAATTGATTGAAAGAGTTATTATCAGTAGAAAGGAATGTCTGGGTTAAGATAAGGGGTTGTAGAGACCAAGGTTTTATCATACAGATGAAGCCTCCAGGTAGCAGGCCTCAGAGATAGAATAGATTATATATATTTCTTATACTTAAGATCTGTGTTGGTGTTAATGCTGGAGGGGTATAATGAGGCATGTCTACCCCCTCTTCCATCATGGCTTGAACCAGTTTTTCAGGTTCACTCTGGAATGACCTTGGCTAAGAGGAGGGATCCATTCAGATGGTTAGAGGGGTCTTTAAATTTTATTTTTGCATATATATATAAGCATTTACTATATATAGTAAATATATTTTTATATATTTTACTGTAAATATATTTATTATATATAGCAAATATTTTTATACAGTAAATATATTTATTATATAATACATATATTTTTATATAGTAATATATGTATTATATATAGTAAATATATTTATTATATATAATAATATATTTAACATCTATAATAGCTATAGATATATAGATGTTATATATAGATATCTATATGTAACACCTATAGATATATATAGATGTTATACATTTATATATAAGATCTATAAATATATACACTTCAATATAAAATTTATGTATAAAAATGTGCATATACATTTTTATTTATATATTTATATATGTTGTATATATTTATAGATAGTGAACTATCTATAAATATATATTTATAGATGTCATATATTTATATATAGTGAAATATATATGAATACTTATATTTTATACAACATATTTATATAAATAATATATATTAATATATAATATATAAAATATAATGTATATAAATATATATAAATGATGTTTTCAGTGTTAAAACTTATTCATAAACAATTTGAGTGTTCTAAGGAAAATCATGACACGATATTTTCCCATAAAAATTTTATATTGACATTTTAGCTAAGATGAGCCCCGTTCATGGTAAGCAGTGAAAAGGTGAAAGTACAAACCGCAGGGATTTGGTTCATCAAATAGGTTATTCATGCCTTCCAACATCTTTCTGGAGTGTCTGGACTCCTTGGAATTGCTCAATTCCTATCATGTTTCTTTTCGGTATGTCAGTCATCACTGAGTTACTTCATTCTCTCCAGCTATAGGGCATTTTGGACCGATTGTCTTCAATGGTCTAAGGGCCTTTATGTGCCATAGCAAAGTGACGTGACTCCTGGTTTGGGGTAGCATTGAATATACATGGCATGGCTGACATGTTGGCTCCCCTACTCACCAGGCGATGAATCATTTTAGTCGATGTGTAGCAGTTTTTTGTTTCCGATGCTTCATTTAATCTACCTGAACCAGAAGGTCCTCTTGATTAAATGGATATGAATGACTGAAGAATTATACTTAAAAATGTTAAAGCAGACAGAGAAACCCCAAACATACTTAGTTTTATGAACCTCACAAAAATATGTCATTTTAAAATGTGAGATATGAACATTATTTAATAAAATAATTACTTACAATTTAAAATTTTTGCCAATCCTGATATGATGCCTCATGTATTTGACATTAATTTTGAAGTTACTGCTCCTGTGATTGGCAAGAAAGTGCCTTAACTTAACACCGAACAATAGCAAACCATTTTTTCCCATTATTTTATTTTTGGGGGTCCTTGCTGAGTTCCACTCTGATTATTGTATATCCAATACTTAATCATGGAATGTATTTAACAAATAAATAGATAGCGGAGGTTTACATATTATAAGGTGTTTTATTATTCACTAATTTTACCTTTGAATTTTATAAATTCTTATATACTTGGGTGATTACTTTAAAGGTATGAAATATAAGAAATTGCTGGGGCTGGGTGCGGTGGCTCACGCCTGTAATCCCAGCACTTTGGGAGGCCAAGATGGGCGGATCACGAGGTCAAGAGTTCAAGACCAGCCTGGCCAACATAGTGAAACCCTGTCTCTACTAAAAATACAAAAATTAGCTGGATGTGGTGGCAGTCGCCTGTAGTCCCAGCTACTCGGGAGGCTGAGAGAGGAGAATCGCTTGACTCCGGGAGGCAGAGGTTGCAGTGAGCCAAGACTGAGCCATTGCACTCCAGCCTGGGGGACAGAGAGATAGTCTGTCTCAAAAAAAAAAAAAAAGAGAAATTGCTGTTAGGCCGGGCATGGTGGTTCATGCCTGTAAACCCAACACTTGACGAGGCCGAGGCAGGAGGGTCACTTGAGCCTAGGAGTTTAAGACCAGCCTGGGCAACATGGCCAAACCTCATCTCTACAAAAAGTAAAAAAAATTGGCCAGTCATCTTGGTGTGTGACTATTGTCCTAGCTACTCAGGAGGCTGAGGAGAGAGGATTGCTTGAGCCCAGGAGGTTGAGGCTATAGTGAGCTATGATTGTACCACTGCACTCCAGCCTGGGGAACAGAGCAAGACCCTGTCTCAAAATAGATAAATAAATAAAATACAATAAGTTACGGCTAAAATATGTCCAATGATACAACTCACCCCTGCAGTATATGCACTCACACATCATGTATTTATACATATTTGTGTTTTGTTATTTCTAATCTATTATGGAGTAAATTTGTTGCAGAATAGCGGGCTTAGAAATTTAAGGCATTTAAAGGTTTTAAAAGAAGTGGGATAATAAAATGTAAATAAATTGATGTTTTTATAAGAGCTAATTATTTTAATAAAGGATAAATTATGTCAATACATAATTTGTAACATCTAATTAAAATTGCAATATTTTATTAGGTTGGTGCAAAGGTCATCATGGTTTTTGTTATTAAAAGTAATGCAAAAACTACCATTGCTTTTGCACCAACCTAATACTATATTAATATACATTATATTATTTAAATATTGATACATTGATTAATATAGTCTGTATTATTTTATTTGTATTATTATAATTTTTAATATATAATTTATAACAGAAAGCACAAATTCATATCTGTTAATAGCCAACTTAATGCCAAATTAATCCTTTTTACTTTAATGATGCAACTACTTTAATGGCCATATAAGTGGCCACTGACTTCTTCGTATTTTTCTCTAGTATATTGAGGTAGGCTATTCATGAAAACAGCTATTTTATTGGACACTTTATTCTCTGATCTTCTATTGCTTTGATAATCTTAATAAACCACAACAGAGTCACGTAACTGCCTTAAGTGTGCCTGGATATCATGTTTCATAGGAAAGTCCTGGAAAATGGCCCCATGAGAGTGATTTCCATCCTTTGTATTTTATGTGTATGGTGATTATACTCCTGGGAACTTTTCAAGGTGAATACGCCTAACAGGAATGTAAACAGAGAGTGTGTTCCATTCTGCAGGAAGAAGTAGGTTAACTTCAATATCCCTTTGGTACTTTTATCAGCTTGCAATATATTTGGATATTTCTGCAGATCTATCAAAATTTATTGCATACACTTGGCTCTGTTTATACTTTCAGCTTTTTCTCCTTTTCTACTTTCAGGATTACAATGAAGTCTTCACTTAAAATTGTGAACAGGTTCCCGGAAACAGAGACTTTAAGCCAAACAATGTATAAAGAAACCAATTCTGGCCGGGAGTGGTGGCTCATGCCTGTAATCCCAGCACTTTAGAAGGCCAAGCCCAGGAGTTCGAGACCAGTGTGAGCAACATAGTGAGACCTCATCTCTACAAAAAATATTTCAAAATTAACCGGGTGTGGTTGTGCACAGCTATAGTCCCAGCTACTTGGGAGGTGGAGGTGGAGGATTGCTAGAGCCCAGGAAGTAGAGGCTGCAGTGAGCTGACATTGTACCACTGCACTCCAGCCTGGGTGACAGAGTGAGACCATGTCCCAAAAAAGGAAAAAGAAAGGAAAAAGAAACCAATTTTCTCTTAAGGTGATTCATATAAACAAGAGTTAAGTTCCTAAGGTATATTTCTGGTCCCCAAAACATCGTCAAACTTCTAGATAAGGACTTTTTACACTTGTAATATTAAACATTGAAATACATGTGAGATAAACATATATTTAAGAAAGATTAATAAAACAAGATAATTATTTACCCAATTTTTAGTGAGCCAATGAGTGACGGTGGTCATAGTGCTGGTGGGTTAATTCAAGGAATAAATGTTTGTCAAGTGAAAATTGTCAGGCGATTCTTCCTCCACCACCAAGCAATCCAAAAGCAAATGATCACAAATACAGCAGCTCACCAAGCATTTTGTACCACAGAGGTAATTGTTGTACATTTGGATGATTATCATAGACTTAAAAAATTTTATTTTACAGTAAGTTGTATTCATTCATTTATTTTCCAATCTACTTATTCAAGTTCAGGGTCTCAGGTGGCTGGAGATTTTCCCAACTGCTCAGTGTTCTAGGAGGGAACCAGCCACGGACAGGATGCCATTGCATTGCAGGGCACACTCACAGGCACCCACATCCACAATGGAACTATGTAGACACACCAATGAACCTAAAGTGCACATCCTTGGGATACAAGAGGAAACCAGGACACTTGGAGAAAACCCACAAAAAATGGGGTCAACATGCAAAACCCACACAGACAGTAGCCCTACCTGGAATCAACTTTCTTTAGACACCCTCTCATCAATGTTGTAATAAAATGACATTTAAATGAAAGATTATTCGAGGATCTGCTGTATACCCTACCAACATACCATGACTGTAGTTCAAAGATGTCTGAAGTGGTTTTGTTGTGTCCCCACCCATATCTCATCTTGAATTGTAGCTCCCATAATTCCCACGTGTTGTGAGAGGGACCCAGTGGGAGATAATTGAATCATGGGGTCGGTTTCCTTCATACTGTTCTCTTGGTAGTGAATATATCTCAAAAGATCTGATGGTTCTGTATGGGGTTTCCCCTTTTGCTTGGCTCTCACTCTCTCTTGCCTGCTGCCATGTAAGATGTCCCTTGCCCTTCTGCCACGATTGTGAGGCCTCCCCAGCCATGTGGAACTGTGAGTCCATTAAACCTCTTTCCTTTGTAAATTACCCAGTCTCAGGCGTGTCTTTATTAGCAGCATGAGAACAAATGAAAACAATGCCTATGCAGGCAAATTGCCCAGCATTTTTTGGAAATAAGAATTCAGAACAAAAGTCTAAAAATCCGGTCAATAGCACAATGTTTCCATAAGCTATAGCATGGGATGTGATATGGAATACTCACTTGTATTTTCCAGCTTTTCAATACTACACTATAATTAAAAGCTACTAGAAAGCAATCATCGTATCCCAGGACAATGCATTTCATTCTCTTGCAGAATACATGTTAGCCAGAGGTCAACTCGTGTCCTGTGTCTTGCCTTTCACAAGCTACCTTCCCAGGCTGAACGATGAGTGTGCATCTTTGACATGGCCATTCTTCTTGCAGAGCAAAGGGTGAGAAGTAGGCGGAACTAAGGCAGTGGCTCCCAGAATGCCTGCTTGGAAACAGAGTATGTCATTTCCACTCACATTTCAGTGACCAGAGCAAGCTGTAAGTAAGATCATGCCTGGCTTTAATGGGACGGGGAGTATCATTCTTGCATGGGAAATTCCTGGTAATGACGGGTCAAGTTATGTTTGCAATAATACACTCTGGCACACATTGCGTATGATGATAGGAGAACCAGTTAGAGTAAGAGGGAAAGGAGATAAAGAATAAAAGCTAAGGTTTCTTGAGAGTTCCCCATGGGCTAGTAACCATTTTTCTTTCTTTCTACGCATTCCTCTTGCTTACTGACTCTCGCAGCCCACTCACAGTAGCTGCCGAAGAGTTTAAACTCATCCAGATTAAAATCAAAGCAACTGTGCTATGCACTAGGAGACGTGTGTGTAAATCAATTGAAATGGCAAATTGCAAACATGTATATATATAAAACAGTTGCCGAAAGCTACAATCTTTTTTTTTAAATCCTCAGTATAATTCTTTACCCATGTTTGTTGGTGTGTATTTCTATGAAAGCTGATAAAACATCTCTAGATATTTTCAGTTAAAGAATGTAGAACAAAGGTACCATTTTTCACATCTAATGAAGTGATATAAAGTATAAAGATTTTAGAAGATTCTACCATCAAAAAAGGATGATATATAATCCCATAGTATCAGTTTATTAATATAATCCTTATAATCAAATAAGAAACTGAGAATTCTGCTGGCCTGAACAGAAGTCTCCCCCCAGATTCTCAAAGGTACCACAAAATAGACAGATAATAAAGAAAATATACAAAAAAATAGATGCAGGCTAGCATAAACAGTGTAGAGAAAATTCAAGTTAAACCTTTAGTCTGAAAGTAAAATTAAGAAATAAGATAGGTAGAGAAGAAAGGTTCTCAGATATAGTAAGATTTTGGATGAGTGTCCTACTATAGTCCACTACACAAAATTTCATTCATTAAGATTCAATTTTGGCATAGGCTTATTATATAAAAGGTTTTAATTGGAAAATGTTTATCATCGATGATTATGTATCTATACATATATATTTTTCTTTACCTTCCTTATTTGTGTTTTTATGTACTTCTGGATCTATCTATATTTTCTAAGATGAAAATTAAATATTCCTTTGGAAAATGATGATTATCTCAATTTAACCATCATGTATTCATATTTATATCTGCCATGAATTATGTGTTTTTTCGGAGTAGGTCACATGACTAATGTGTTGTGTGTATTGGTGTGTGTGTATATGTGTGTGCATACATGTTCATGGGAATCAATGAGGTGATGCATGTGAAAACATTCCACTTGCAGAATAAAAAACATTTATTCCATAAATCCATAAACCACCAAATATACCCATATATAAAGAATATAAGGCTGGCATGTATAAAGTAACTCTCCCCTTTGAGTCACAAATGAGACCTGTGTCTATTAACCTTTAGTCTCCTTTTCTTCCTGTGTAAGCATAAAAATGTTATTTTTAGCACACTGCCTTGGGTTTACATGTGTATAGCAATCATCGCCCTCAGACGTGATGTCCAGCATGAATAATGAACATGGCTGTGATGTGCAGGCACCCTCCTGGTGACCAAAAGCATTCGTTTTTCTTGAAAATACCTACCCTTAATTTCAATCACTTCAGTAAATTACTGCCATCACTTCACAGCTATTACTTAAAAGATCAACATGGTGAGTACCAAATTCAATAATCATTTGATAAAGTGAGATATTAGCATATAAGATGCATTAATTTTCATAATGCAATTAAGCCTTAAAATGTTCTGAAGATCCATTGTTAATTGTTTTAAATTGTTTAATCAATGTGTACCTCTGAACCTCTAATTTTCAGTTACAAGCAATATGAATTTGCCACAACAACAGAACTAATTTCAAAATATAGCATCTAATCTCATAATGGTTACATGCAATATCAAATTTAAAATAAGTCGGCACCCAGAAGGAAAAGGGTTTAAAATACTGCTTCATTAGCATTGTACTGTGTAAGCCTAAAATGTTCCATAATTCTGGCAGAGTACCTAATTCATATTTAATCCCATTTAAAATATTCCACTGAATAAATTAGACTTTAAGGGAGCTATTCAAATTAGGTCTTAAAAAGATAAACAGCATTGGAAAATTCAGGCAAAGAACAACTACCCTGTTTGGCCACAAGTCATTATTGTGTTCAGGTCTGCGATCAATATGGACTCAGTTACTAGAAATAATGAAAATCGTAAGACTTCACTCCAGTAGCTTAATATGTTTGCAAGATTTATTATGCTATATTAACCAAAAAGAGATTATACTATTGTATGTGAAGGTGCTATTATTTTAGAATTGAGAAGGCTCCCATTTAGATACATGAAAAGAATATTGATAGATGGAGAAAGGACATTCGTTCTCATAATAAACCGATAAAGAATTAAGCAATTTTGGGCAACAGCATAATTCTGACATTGAGGCTGGGCGTGGTGGCCCCTGTAATCGCAGCACTTTGGGAGGCCGAGGCAAGACAATTGCTTGAGCCCAGGAGTTTGAGACCAGCCTGGGCGACACAGTGGGACACTGTTTCTGTAAACAATTTTTTTTTAAATTAGGCAGTGGTGGAGGCACCCACCTGTAGTCTCAGCTACCGGGAGGCTGAGGCGGGAGCACTGCTTGAGTCCAGGAGGTCAAGGCTGCAGTGAGCTATGATCACATCAGTGTGCTCTAGCCTGAATGACAGAGCGAGATCCTGCCTCATCCCTCCAAAACGAATAATTCTGACAATGTTTATGAAGACGTTTATCCCTAGTAAGGAAGAGAAACATCATAGTATATGAAAAACAGAGTCCTGGGTATTAGTCCTTGATTGAATTGTTCCTCCTTTATTGTGAGCCACACAGTTCTCCTCTTTGACCTTTAGTTTATTTGGCTCTTGCTGGGATTGAAATGCATTTCAACAATCCCTTTTTTGCTCTAAAATGATATAGTGCTATAATCGCTTTCAAGTAAAGTTATCCATGTGAGCAATAAATTCTGTTGTTTATAATCCACAGAGTTTATGGTTTTGTGTTAAAACAGTCTGAACTAGCGAAGACTGGTCATCACTGTTTTATTGCATCCAACATGTGAGTGTGTATTTATTCATTTTTTTCTCTGTCTGTTTTTAGGGTCAGGAGAAAGGATAGGAGACAAGGGGCGATGGAAAGCAACACATTGCGGAGGCTCAATTGTATTTCTGGTTGTGGCTTTGCAGAGAGCCTTGAAGCCATATGAGTGGGTCTCCAGATGCATGGTGCCTAAAAAACAAGAGAAGCATTGTGTGTTTTTCCAATTGCAGCTGCCACATATCACCACATGGACACTGTGCACCTCGAGGATGGGAAGCAAAAGAGATAACCCTGAAATCAACAAGATGCAGATATTAATCATCCCTCTTTGAAGGGAGTCTCCCTACTTCCCATCTATTCCTCATTAAGAGGAAATGACTCAGCGTTCCTCACAGTGCTTCTCCGTTTCTCCACTAAAGTTTCTACAAAGATGAAGTCAAATTTCCCTATATCCAAAATAATAACAACAAAGCACAAAAAATAGAAGAACATCCAAAACCGAGGCTTGGGTTAGTCCAGTGGACATACAAGAAGGCTTACCAGTAACTACCAGGCTACACAAGATGACTGAGACATACAGTTAGGGGCAACCCACACACACCCATAGCAGGTGTCCTCAAACCCTGGTCATGGACCAGTACTGGTTCATGGCCTGTTAGGAACCCCGGCACATAGCCAGTAAGCAGTGAAGCTTCATCTGTATTTACAGCTGCTCCCTATCACTTACATTACCACCTGAGCGCCATCTCCTGTCAGATCAGTAGCAGCATTAGATTCTCATAGGAACTCCCATTGTGAAATGCACATGTGAGGAAACTAGGTTGTGTGCTCCTTATGAGAATCTAATGCCTGATGATCTGTCATTGTCTCTCATCACCCCCAGATGGGACTGTCTAGTTGCAGGAAAACAAGCTCAGAGCTCTCACTGATTCGACATTTTCATGAGTTGTATAATTATTTCATTATATATTACAATGTAATAATGATAGAAATAAAGTGCACGATAAATGTCATGCACTTGAATCATTCTGAAACCACCCTCCCCCATGGCCCCAGTCTGTGGAAAAATTGTCTTTCATGAAACCGGGCCCTTATTGGGCACTGCTGCCCTATAAGACCATGGGTTCCATGACAGTAGATGTATGTGTGAGTGCTGGAATGGATGGACCACCTCCCACAAACATACAGCACTCACTATGTGTTCTTTAATTTAACATATGCTAATTGGCCACATATTAGTTTCTTGCAGCTCCTCTTACAAATGACCACAGACTTAGTTGCTAAAAGCAACACAAATGTATTAACTTACATTTTGAACACTATATTACATACTTGAAGTTTGCTAAGGGAATAGATGTTCTCACCACACACACACACACACACACACACACACACACAAACACACATACACACACACTTCTGAAGACCAGAAGTCAAAGTGGATTTCACTGGACTGAATCAAGAATGGAGATTATGGAGGGGAGGGGGACATAGGGAGATGCTGGCCAAAGGATCCTAAGTTTCAGTTCTGCACGATGAATAAATTCTGGAGATCTGTGTACTGCATGGTGACTCTGGTTAATAACACTGTTGATGGCTGCTGCGAGACCTCTGTTCTTCTCTTCTTAGTTTAAAAGAATTTAAACAAGAGACACACAGCAAAGGAGATACAGCATAGAGTAATTTATTGCAAAGGAAAAAGAATATTTTGAAAGTTAAGTGCAGAGTAGACAGTACATCCCGAGAAAGAGAGGATTCATGGTGGGCTGCTCTTAAGGGTGAGACAGTATTGATTATTGCTGGAGAAACTCCCTTTATGGGAGTCTTACATGATGATTCATAAGGAGATGGGAAGAGGTGTTGTCAGTAAGCATATTCTGGGTGGTCCTCTGGGTGCACATGCCCAGTAGCTGCACATGCTTGTTCATTCATTGCAGGTCTCATTAGCATCTTAAATCTCCACCCATGGTTACGTATTTTACTATTATAACAAGCCAAGGGTCAGTTGATGACAGGTAAAATCAAAGTGGGCATTCTCTGTACAGGGTAAAGTCCCTACTGAAGATAGTTTGCTTGAATGAGCTTAATCACAATATCAATACGGAGGCTTATTGTGTTGATTGTACAGTCCCCACGATTGCTGCATCCCCAGGACATGGTCACTTTCTTAACTACCTATCCTGCCTAAACACTATATTACATACTTGAAGTTTGCTAAGAGAATAGATGTTCTCACCACATACACACACACACACACACACAGATAAGTATGTGAGGTGGTGGACATGTTAATTAGCTTGATCATTAACATCATTTCACAAAGTACACATATATAAAAACATAACATCATGTACTGTAAGTATATGTGTGACGGTCAATATTGAGTGTCAACTTGATTGGATTGAAGGATGCAAAGTATTGATCCTGGGTGGGTCTGTGAGGGTGTTGTCAGAGGAGATTAACATTTGAGTCAGTGGACTGGGAGAGGCAGACCCACACTCAGTCTTCGTGGGCACCATCTCATCAGCTTCCCATGTTGCTGGGATAAAAGCAGGCAGAAGAACCTGGAAGGACTAGACTGGCTTAGTCTCCCAGCCTACATCTTTCTCCCATGCTGGATGCTTCCTACTCTCAAACACTGGACTCCAATTTATTCAGCTTTTGGACTCTTGGACCTCTGACCACAGACTGAAAGCTGCGCTGTTGGCTCCCTTACTTTTGGTGTTTTGGGACTCAGACTGGCTTCCTTGCTCCTCAGCTTGCAGGTGGCCTATTGCGGGACTTCACCTTGTGAAGTCATTATCCTGTGAGTCAATACTCCTTAATAAATTCCCCTTTATGTATCCATCTATCCTATTAGTTCTTTTCCTCTAGGGAACCCTGACTAACACAATATGCAATTCTTATTTTTTATTTACACTTCAATAAAGCTAAAAATGTCAAAAAATAATAAAGGCAAAAAACTGTGAAGTAGATGCTACTCTGCCCCCTAAAACCAGAGCTGAGGTAGCTAAATTCGCCCATAAGCACTAAAGTGAAGGAAGTTGTGCCTATAAACCACACATGGGCATCATTCATTCCCAATAAATTGAAACAACTGAAGCCAATGGGAAAATGTGATAAGCAGAACTAATATGGACTGAATGTCTGTCTCCCTTCAAATCCTTGTGTTGAAACCTTCACTCCCAAGGGGATGGTATTAGGGACTGGGGTCTCTGCAAGATGATAAGGTCATGAGGGTGGAGTCTCATGAATGGGATGAGCGTCCTTGTAAAATGGACCTCAGAGAGCTCCCTTGCCCCTTCCACAATGTTATGAGACAGCAAGAAGGTGCCCTCTATGAACCAGGAAGTGGGTCCCCATCAGCCACTGAATCTGTCCCACCTTGACCCTGAACTTCTAGTATCCAGAACTGTAAGCAATAGATTGCTGCTGCTTATAATCCACCCAGTGGATGCCATTTTGTCATACTAGCCCCAACAGACTTAGACAGGAACTTCAGCACATGGTTGTATATTCTCGTTTAACTCTCTGTGTAAAAAACTGCTATTTGATCAGAGCAAATTTTCTGATTTGAGAAACATGGTTTCTAACATTTGTCTCTGAAGATTTAGCCAAAGGGTTAAGATGTTTCTGTTAATCTTTAAAATTAATTTTTTTACAACAGTAGTTGTTATCTCATTACAGTTTATCTTTGTACCAAAATATTATAGTAACAAAATGGAATGCTTGAAAGAAAAATGTCCGATGGAGTCTATAAAAAATCATCCTCTTTTAGTATTTCTGCACCGACTAAAGCAAAATGTTGGAAGATTAATGTGGTCAAAAAACCATTTGGGGATAAATTGTTTGAAATATGAGTGTACTTTACATAAAGTCCTTTCTCCATTAAAAAAATGTTCTTGGTCACAGAGGATACACAATTCTAAGGAAATCAAAATAACCATACCTGGGGTCCTGTTGTCTTCAATTACTCTATCTGGATTGGTAATGACATTGAGCATCTTTCCTTTGTACACTTTTGGTTCCGATGTAAATAAACATTTTCAGTTTTTCAAATCTTCAATAAAATCCAAGCCACTATCTGGGTCTCAAAGGCAGGGCTGGGGATAACAGTAAGCATGTTTTTTTTGTGTGTGTGTGGGCCACAAAAAAGCTCTTGGCCCCCAAAAGGTTTGCTAAAAAATCACCAGCATGAGGTAGATTGATTAATAGGAGAAAAGACATACAAATTTATTTAATGTGTGTACATGGAAGCCTTCAGAATGGAGACCCCAAACCCCACGGAGGTCCAGAAGCTTAAATACAGTCTTGAGGTTGTAGAAAGAATGGGGGCTTGGATCCTGGTAGAGCAGTGTATTAGTCTTTTCTCATGCTGCTGATAAAGATATACCCAAGACTGGGTAATTATAAAGAAAAGAGGTTTAACAGACTCACAGTTCCACGTGGCTGGGGAGGCCTCATAGTCATGGCAGAAGGTGAAAGGCACATCTCACGTGGCAGCAGGCAAAGAGAGAATGAGAACCAAGCCAAAGGGGTTACCCCTTGTAAAACCATCAGATCTTGTGAGACTTTTTCACTACCATGAGAACAATATGGGGGAAACTGGCCCCATGATTCAATTATCTCCCACCCAGTCCCTCCTACAACAGGTGGGAATTATGGGAGTTATAATTCAAGATGAGATTTGGGTGGGGACACAGCCAAACTATATCAAAGAGGTTATGAGAAGGGGAGAAAAAGAATTCTGTGGAAGGGAAATAAATGATTGTTAGGGAGGATAATTGAGTATGATTGAATGGGGAACAGAGATTAACCTATAAATACTTCTTTTTGGGTGACTTAATTTAAATGATCTTTAGAGCTAGTCATTATAAAAAGGTCTCCTCAGGTGTAGTCACACCTTGGCCTTCTTTTCTGCAGTAAATAATGAGAGAGTAGAGAAGTGTAGAAAGAACAACTGTTCTCTTTGGTGGCTCTGAATCTTAGGCAGACAAAGGAACTTCAGCTTCTTTGGGAGAGACAGCGAGGGGTGTGGGGAGAGGTCAGAGAGACCTTGAAGATTCTTCGCTTCAGCATGTCAAAACAACATGGAGAATAAGTTTCTAGGCTCCGATGTTTTCAATAATAATGTTTGGGAAGAAGCCCGTGTATAAAATAATCCTTGGCATTCAGAAGACAGACATGAGAACATCAAGACTGGAATAGAATTTTGAGCTCCTGGCCGGGCATGGTGACTCATGCCTATAAATCTTGGAGGCTGAGGCAGGTGGATCATCTGAGGTCAGGAGTTCGAGACCAGCCTGGCCAACATGGTGAAACCCTGTCTCTACTAAAAATACAAAAATTAGCCGGGCTTGGTGGCATGCACCTGTAATCCCAGCTACTCAGGAGGCTATGGCAGGAGAATCACTTGAACCCAGGAGGTGGAGGCAGCAGTGAGCCGAGATCATGCCACTGCACTCCAGCCTGGGCAACAAGAGCAAGACTCTGTCAAAAAAAAAAAACAAAAAACAAAAACAAAAAAACCGAAAAAGAATTTTGAGCTCCAGCTTTATTTGGAATTATTTTCATCAGCAATTTATGGAAAAGCAAGACGATTTATGCTAAAGTTCATTGATTAACTCTGATTAACTCATTTAAAAAAAATATCCTCAACATAGGGTCATGAAATATTCATGAAACATTGCATTCCTGACCAAAGCATGTTCTTCTAGGGAGATGTTCGAGAATGTGTAAATACAAATGAATATATTTCACATGACCTTTCATACATACAAATGAATGCATAAAATATTGATAATCAATCCATTGTAATTCCCCAATTGTGGGCAATAAACAATGGAAGTAGGGGGTCTCATGAAGTGCATGGGGCTGTTCACAGTGATTTAATGCTTGACATTTGTGTGACAGAACATCCCGTCATAGGTATATAATAATAAACAACAGTGAAAACATAGACATGAAGCACAAGCCTGGTTTGGGGATAAGCCCCAGTTTGGTGTTGCTAGAGACTCAAACTATTGGTATAATCTGTTTTGGAACTGTGTCTCTATTAACCACCAGATATAGAAAGGCAAACCTGAGATTAAATGGCATTCCCATAGTAAGGGGATATTGCAATGAATTAATAAGATCTCAGAGCATCTGAAAGCCTTTGCAGAATCTGGGAGTCCAAAATCAAAACAATAGCAACAAACTTCAGGGAAAATAACTGTGATAAGCATGCATTTCAATAGGTGCAGTAGTGGAAAATTAATATCTCTAACCAAAATGTTTCTGATTTTCTTGAGCTATCTTTTTACTTTCAAATATCAGCAGTGCTAATGACTGTCAGCTTTATTGAGGTCATGAGTAAAATCAGAAACTCTACATTTCTCATGCTGATTCAATATGGAGGTTGTTTTCACACCAGCAGCTCTACAGGGTAGGGAACCTTAGGGTTATTCATGTGTGCTTATGAGACGGAAACAGCAAAGAACCTGTACTAGTCCACTTCATACTCATATAAAGAACTACCCGTACCTGAGACTGGGTAATTTATAAAGAAAAAAAGGTTTAATTGACTCAAAGTTCCACATGGCTAGGGAGGCCTCAGAAAACTTCCAATCATGGCAGAAGGTGAAGGGGAAGCAAGGCACATCTTACATGGTGGCAGGAGAGAGAGAGAGAGACCGAAGGGGGAAGTACCACTTTAAAAGTATCAGATGTCATGAGAACCCACTCATTATCATGAGAACAGCATGGGCGAAACCACCTCCATGATCCAATCACCTCCCATCAGGTTCCTCTCTGGATACACAGGGATTACAATTCAAGATGAGCCCGGGGTGAGGACACACAGTCAAACCATATCAGAAGCCGTTTCTCAAAATGCAACACCATTACAATTTTGAAATAATGAGTTCCAATCCCACATTCTCTATTGCATTCCCATTCTATTCATTCCCTGAAGGTCCCTGATTCCTGTGAGCAATGCCAGGTGATAGGGCTGGTCTATAAATCTATCTAAAAGGTAAAATTCTGTAATTCAAAATTCTGGTTGTTCATAGGAGTAGTCCCAGGGTGATCTGCTCTTTGAGAACAGCATAATCTATATTTAAGTATCTAACAGAGAAAGTAAAAAGTCAAATCAGTCCAATTTACTACTTGCGGCAGTAAAATCATATAATAACATCAGAGATGGAATCTATTATAAAAGTAATCCCTAACATTCCTTTATTTTCTTTTTAATTGACAAACAATAATTGTATATACTTATGGTATACAATATGATATGTTGGTGTATGTTTACACTGTAGAATGATTACATCAAGCTAATTCACAAATCCCCAGCTCACATACTCATCATTTTTTATGAGTTTCTTTGTAGAAGGTGGAATTTTCCATGGCATATATAATTAATGTCTCATTTACAAAGCCTATATTTTTATGCACAAACTCGTTTTAGCATCTGTCTAACTTAATTGGTGTGGCAGTTCAAATTGGGCATGTTTGTCAATGATGATAAACAAAGTGGTACAGACTTAGGACAGAAGGCAATGTGTATACTGCTGGTTCAGAAACCGTACTTTGAGAACCCCTGGTTTAAGAAATAGGGAAATCAAATTTTTGAAAAATTTGTAAAGTGATAAGAATGTCATTTGATTTAATTAATGCATGAATTTTTCCCCAAGATTATTGGATATAACTGACTGCCTTAGCTGGGTAATTTCTTAATGACTACGAAGTGAAAACGATGTTTTTACAATTGATATTGCCTCATTTCAGGAAACATCATTATTAAACCCATCAAACATATTAAATAATATCAGTTCAGTACCACCTCTGAAATGTAATTAAAATAACAATTTGTGTTGACTCTTACTTACAGAAAATGTTCTTTGCTGAGGAATACGTTTAATTACTCTATGTAACTATTCTTATAAAGTCAAGCAGTAATATGTTCTTTATGCAAAACAACCTATGACAAAAAGTATTATTCAGCATCCATTATAAAGGAAAGTTTTTCAAACTAAATTGAAACACTAACAGTCAAAACACGTTAGCTGGGTAAACCGACAGCCATACCTGTATGACAGAAAAACTGAACTGGTAATTTAGGCATAGAGCAAAACTCTGGAGCAAATGACACAGCACTTCTGGATGAGTACAAGGATGTTCTAATAAAAAGCCCTTCTGAAAAGTCGAGCCTAGTGTTATTCTAAATATTATAGGGAAGCTTGCTGCTTTAAATAAATTTCCAGAAGATTATTTCACAGCATAATTAATCCGTTCATCATCTCTCCTTTCTAAATTAAACTGAAATCATTGCCTCAAATTTGTAGAAATGCAAGGAAATTAAAATAGTTTTCTAAATGTGGAATATAGGCACAGTAGACCTTCCCAGTTCAAAAAAAATCATTTTCTATTTAATATTAAAATTTTGCTTTACAGAATAAAGCTGGTGTTTGATTTCTTTGAACATTCTCCTCTTTCATGACAATTGCCTCTATTTTTACTTCAATATTCTGGGAAACCTCGATTAGTCTGAAGGGACTTAACTGCCATCTGTAAATAACATTTTCCAAACATCTGCTGATAAACTATTCTCTTTTGATTATGCAATGACAGTGGCATGTGCGTGCATGTATTTATCAATGCAAAATGTAAATACCAACACTTGACCAAGGCAAGTAATCAACAGACCTTATTTCTTTTTCTTCCCAACACTCTGTTTCCTTAACACGGAACTAAACATGTTTTCAAGAAAATTCTCCAAGATATTTCTGTAAAGACACTGCCATCTTCCTATAATTGCATGAAATATGTCCTCAACCATATGTGTTACACCTACTGCACTAAACATCAGAGCGTAGCCTAGCCTACCTTAAATGTTATCAGAACACTTACATTAGCCTACAGTTGGACAAAATCATCTAACACAAAATCTATTTCATAAGAAAGTGTTGAATACCTTGCATAAAAAATTAATATTTGTGTGCTGAGATTGCAAATAGGTACTTGTTCATGCTTTTTCATTTTAAATTTATGATTATTTTACTGAATGCATCTCCCTAAAGTTAGAAACCACTATTTCCCATGTTCCTAACTAAAATTTGGAGAAATCAGAAAGAACACAAAGCAATATTTTGCTGCTTACATGAATGAGTCAGATATAGAATATTTCTAAAAATTTTCTACAAAGCATGCTTAAATCAAAGAGAGATGTTTATTTTCGTCAATGGTAATATAGAAAAGTAAGAATTTTGTGGAAAAGTCATAGTTTAGTTTTCCCAGAAAACTGTCCTGAGTCAAGGCATCTCTTTTAGAAGTAGTTTGAAAAATCACTCCAGGAAACATCATCAGTGCTGTAGTGGAGGGACACAGGAGCTCAAGTGAAGTCAATAATAGGTCCATTTTCATGTTCTTATCCACTTGGGGTAAGTGGGGAACAGTCTGTCTGTGAAACTCTGGAATCCAGTGTAAATGAGTTTTGGAATTAACTCAACTGAGCAGCAAAGGAGTTAGGGGTGTATATCTACCAACTCTCTGTCATTGATGGAGGGCTGTTTCCACGACATTAATTGCCTGGGTGGCTTCAGGCTTGCCCATTCTGTGGTCAACCATGCTATGCTGGCCAGGAAAACAACAACACAACAACAGCCTGGGCGTGGTGGCTCATGCCTGTAATCCCAGCACATTGGGAGGCTGAGGCAGGCAGATCACTTGGGGCCAGGGGTTCGAGACCAGCCTGGCCAACATGGAGAAACCCCGTCTCTACTAAAAATACAAAAATTAGCCTGGCATGGTGGCACACACCTGTAATCCCAGCTACTCAGGAGGCTGAGGCAGGAGAATCGCTTGAGCCCAGGGGGTGGAGTTTGCAGTGAGCCAAGATCATGCCACTGTACTCCAGCCTGGGTGACTGAGCAAGACTCTGTCTCAAAAAACAACAAAACAAAACACAAAACAAACAAACAAAAACACAACAATGAAACAAGAACAAAGAAAATTACCAGGCAAAGAGTCATGTTTTTCACAGTAAGAAAATTTTTACTGAGTGTGGTGACTCATGCCTGTAATCCCAGAAATTTGGGAGGCTGAGGCAGGAGAACCTGGGCGACATTATCAAAACCCCATCTCTACAAAAAGTAAAAAAATAAAAATTAGCCAGGAGTGATGATGTGTCCCTGTAATCCCACCTACTCAGGAGGCTGAGGCAGGATGATAACTTGGGCCCAGGAGGTTGAGGCTGTAGTGAGCTATAATCTCACCACTGTATGCCAGCCTGGGTGACAGAGTGAGATCCTGTGCAAAGAAAGGAATAAAGAAGGAAGGAAGGAAGAAAGGAAGGAAGGAAGGGGAGGGGAGGGGAAGGGAAAAGAAAAGAAAAGAAAGAAAGGAAGCAAAAAGAAAAGAAAGGAAGGAAGGAAAAGAGAAAGGAATGAAGGAAGAAACAAAGGAAAGGGAAGGAAAGAAGAAGAGAAAGGAATGAAGGAAGAAACAAAGGAAAGGGAAGGAAAGAAAGGAAGAAAGAGAGAAAAAAGGAGAAAAGTTTTTCTATATATAGCTGAATGCCATGAAATATGAGCATCATTTTCATCAAAGTTACCTTTGTTCCAAAGTTGGAACTTCACTTTCCCATTTTCCTTTCATTCTGAAAATGCCAGAGTAAACAAAATAGTCAGCATCGCTTATGTGTTTAGAGAATTACATTGGGAATGGTAGAAGACACAGGAGCAGACGGATAAAAAAAACCTAAGGTTATCTTAGGAGTTGCCTGAAAGAGCAATGAATGATAAGAATCATCAAATAAGAGTGAAAGCAAAAGGAAAATAAAGAAGGGAAATTGACAAAAGGAGGGAAAAAAAAGATCCTATTAGTTTGGGACACTGCCAATCTCTATGGATGTGAAACAAACATCTTTCTTAGGACTCAGAAGTTCCATTCCTAGGGATAGATCCAACACAATGAAAGGAGAGTCCACCAAAAGATAAGTGTGCACCATACGCTGGGCACAGATGGGCAATGGCTCTCTTCTGGTGCTTTGTTAAATACTGTATATGGCTCCTGCTCTCCTTCAGCGTTGTTGGTTGAATTTTGTATTCAAATATAGAGTATCTTCCAGGTTCTTCAAGTCCTTCCCAGGCTCCAGATCCTTCCTGAGATTCCATGTCTCAGTTTTCTTCTTCCTATTATTTTTACCCCTCAAGACTAAGGAACAGGTGACCGAAAATATTTAGGAGTCCTGGCTCTGTGCTCAATCTCCTGCTCTTTAGAGCTTTATGCAAAAATATTCCCCGTAACTTTCTTCATTTTGCTTCAGTGTACTTAGCATTTGGGAGATGTGTCAAATTGCTACAGCTTTTGAAATTTGCACTTTGTTGTGTCTATACTCTGAGGGGACACAAATACCCCTCAATCTCTTGTTGACTAACTCTTGATTACCATATACTAAACTATTTCACAAGTATTTACTGAGCATCAACTATTCTCAGGCACTGCCATACGGTCTGCGAGTATGGATGTGAATAAACAGGCATAATTCTGTCATTTACGGAGACCATATTTTACTGGAAGAGGCAAGAAAATCAGCAAAAAGTAGATTAGGTAAAGATATTCTATCTGCCTATCTCTCAATCTATCAATCCCTATATCTATCTATCTATCTATCTATCTATCTATCTATCTATCTATCTATCTATCTATCCATCTGTCTGTCTATCTATCTACCTATCTCTCTATTATCTACCTAAGTCTGGTTCTCTATCATCGATCTAAACATCATACCTATCTATTCACTATTCTATCTATCCATTTATCCTCTTTAAATATAAATCTATCTAGCTATCCATCTATTATATCTATCTATTCATCCATCATATCTATTATCTATCTCATCTATCAATTTTCTATCCATCTTTAGATCTCTCTGTCCATTTTTCTATCTATCAACCCATTAACCTAGCTAGCTGGCTATCACCTATCATATCTATCTACTTAATCATCATATCTCTCATCTATCTATGTGCCTATGTATCTATGTATTTATGTATCTATAGATCTATGTATGTATGTATGTGTCTATCTATATATCTATCATCTATTATCTGTCTATGTTTGTCTTTCTCTATATATATATCCATCTACATATCTGCTTATCAACTTACCAGTTATCTATATATTTAACATATCTGTCTGTCAATACATAAATACATCCATTTATCTATTTGTCCACCTACTTATTTTCTTTACTCTTATTTATTTCCAACCTAGTCCCCCTTCACTGTGATCAAAAACATTTAACTAACTCATAATAGGTATCATTTTCCTAAATCTAGATTTCTTTATTTTTATTTAAATTCCAACATTATTTTACACACTTAGTGACTGCACAAAATTTTAATGGCATTTCTAGTATCTCAAATGCTATGATTAAATTATCAAAACGTAATCGTAATAATAATATTACCTAAATCTCAAATCAGAATTTTATAAATGAAACTGTGAGTAACGACTTAGAGTCATTTCAGTTGATGAAATTCAACATATCATTTATTGTTAGTCATTCTGTCATTATTCATCACCAGTAAAGAATGTTCATCACTCTTTGGAGTCAGCAAACAAATAGTGCTTTGCCCCAAATTATCTTCCACTGTATGCCTGAAGGTATTTAAATGTATGAAAACAATGTATTTTACATTTCAGTGCAGATGAAAAAGTTTTAGTCTATTTAAATCGTGTTCATATCGTTCAAAGAACAAGCTGAGTTTTATGCTCTCATATACATTTTCAATATTAAACAAAAATAAATAGGAATTCCACTAACTTTAGTTGAATAGAATGAAAAGAAAAAACAAAAATGACAGTTACTAGGTCTCCAATTTTCTAGTAAAATAATATAATATTTAAAGTAGTATTTTAGCTAAGAATGAAGCACACATATATACTTAAGTGTGTCAGTTTTTACAATATCTAAGTTCATTTTCACACACTATGGGGGGAGGAGAATGTAATTGCTGTCAAAATATATTGTGTTTATAACACTTAACACTTAAAGAGCTGATGGATGGTCTCTGAGAATTGCTCATGCTTGCTTGAATTCGAACTCATTATTGTCACAGCCAAATCTCTTATAGTTAGATTCTTCTCTTTAATTTTCTCATCTGGATTGAAGATATTAATGCTTTCAGTTATTGCAACTTTAACCAGAGCCTGGCATAGTGACAGAGTCTCATTGTTCTGTTGAAATAACTTCTCCCACTTTATTTTCTTTTTAAACATTTTTATGAACTAATTTTAAAAGATTAACTTCATTCTTCATATTAATTTTTTGCATTGGGAATTGAAACACTAATCTTAATAGTAATAATAAGAAGAAAGTATCCTGATATAGACACATTAAGGAAGGAAAAGTAAAGCAAGAACACATTTTTTTTATTTTGAAGAGCTCAAAAGAGAAGCTTAGAAAAATGAAAAAATCAGAAAAAGTGGAGAAATCAGAAAAAGAAAACTTATTCTTGTAAAGCTAATTATAAAAAGTTAGACAACTGTAGCTTATTTTAGGAAGACAGAGATTTGGCCATTAATTTGGAGTGTTGTCAGTGGGAAGATGTCTAACATGCATTTTGGATAATTTGTGCATTATGTCGATATAGATACACAGTAAGTGCATTAGTAACAAATTAGAGACATAAAAGTTGCCAGCAGTGATGGGAAGTTCAGGAAAAGCCACCTAATGCAGTTGAAATACCTCACCGGCATCTCTTTGCAATGAATTGTGTTCAGTCATCGTCTCTTTGTTCCCAGACCACATCCACAGTATACGTCTTTTATTCTCAACAGGAATTTCTACTAGCTAATTTATCATGCTGAATCCAGACTATTACCCCTAGCTATTCTCTCCCTGCCTTTCATGTCATGATCAATGGCTTAGGTGCAAGTTGCACTCCCAATTCACCCTGCTTTTATGTATTATGATGTGGACACATTATTTAATCACCTCATTTTCCTATGTCAGAATATGCGGAAAGTAATTAATGTATACAAAGGATTGTTGTGAGAAATAAATAACATAATATAGATAAATGGTTTATGCATGTTGGGCACATAACAAATATCCAATAGATATTACTGTAGTGAGTAAAAATTAAATTTACAAATGATGTAAATTATACAAGAAAACACACAATTATATTTACTTAAAAATCAAGATGAGGGCCTGGCGTGGTGGCTCATGCCTGTAATCCCAGCACTTTGGGAGGCAGAGGTGGGTGGATCACAAGGTCAGGAAATTGAGACCATCCTGGCCAACATGGTGAAATCCCGTCTCTACTAAAAATACAAAAATTAGCCGAGCATGGTGGCAGGCGCCTGTAGTCCCAGCTACTCGGGAGGCTGAGGCAGGAGAATCGTTTGAACCCGGGAGGTGGAGGTTGCAGTGAGTCGAGATTGCACCACTGCACTCCAGCCGGGGTGACAGAGCAAGAGTCCATTTCAAAGAAAAAAAAAAAAATCAAGATGGGCCTGGTGTGGTGGCTCAAGCCTGTAATCCCAGTAATTTGAGAGGCCCAGGTGGGTGGATCACTTGAGGTCAGGAGTTCAAGACCAGCATGGCCTACATGGTGAAATCCCCTCTCTACTAAAAATACAAAAAAATAGCTAGGCATGGTGGTATGAGCCTGTAGTCCCAGGGACGCTGAGGCATGAGAATAGCTAGAACCCAGGAGGCAGAGGTGGCAGTGAGCCGAGGTCATGCCACTGCACTACAGCCTGGGTGACAGAGTGAGATGCTGTCTCAAAAAAAAAAGTCAAGATGAACGAGAAAGAAGATATCAGGCATTTTTGGCAGCCCCTAGTCAGGAGAGCATAAGATTTAAGGAATAGGTCACATGAAGTATTCAGGAAGGGTGCTACTTATCTTTCTGCAATATATGCCTTTGCTATATACCAGACTATATAGCAGAAATAAATCCAGCAACCAGATGGCAAATGTTGGCATTAATGACAGATGATTTGCATGTAGTATTTTTCTGTTAAAATATTGGATGTCTAAAATATCATAGAGATTCTAATTAAGTTATCATTCTCATGTTTAGTTTGTTTTGTAACACCAGACAGACACAAACACACATACACACACACACTGATATGGTAAGGATTTGTGTCGCCGCCCAAATCTCATGTTGAATTGTAACCCCCAGTGTTGAAAGATGGTTCCAGTGGGAGGTGTTTGGATCATGGAAGTGGATTTCCCCCTTGTTGTTCATGTGATAGTGAGTGAGTTATCAGGAGATCTGGTTGTTTAAAAGTGTGTAGCACCACCCTCCCTCCCTGTCTTCCTCCTGCTCTAGGCACGTAGGATGTGCCTGCTTCCCCTTCACTTTCTACCATGATTATAAGTTTCCCAAGGCCTCTCCAGCCATGCTTCCTGTACAGCCTGCAGAACCAAGCACCCATCAAACCTCTTTGTTTTATAAATTATCCAGTCTCAAGTAGCTCTTTATAGCAGTGTGAGAACATTCATGGCAGAAAAAAAAATTTCTATTCTGCAAGCTAAGATCTCACCTATATAAACTGGAGAAAGAAGAACAATTACACAGAAAGCAAACAAATGGAAAGAAACAATAATTAGAAAAGCAAAAAATCAAAGAAATTAAAAACATAAACAAAACACAAAAGCAAAAAGATAATATTAAAAGATTGACACTATAAAAAAACTAAAACAGTTAAATGGTTAATCATCCATGTAATATTACCAATGAGGAAACAATAACAAAATAATACAAACAAATCACTATCAGAAAGAAAAGAGGGGACATCACTAAGGATCCACCAGATATTAACATAGAATCAAGAGAATACTACAAAAAATCTCGTACTTCAAAAACTTAGGTGAAACTGAGCAATTTCTTGAAAGACACAATTATCCAATCTCAATCAAAATACTATCTTCAATGTTTTATGCATGTACTTTTGAATGATTCGACAGATACTTCTTAATCTCTCCACTCTCATGCAGGTTAGATGTGCAGCTGGGAAACAAACAAGATGATTTCAGAGAGTAGCAGAGACACAGGAGAGTATAATGGGATATTGACTGCAAGGGTTACTCCGTAATAGATAGTCAGGCAAAGCACGTCTGAGAAGGTGACATTTGAGCTGAAATTCTTAAATCATGAAATTTGAAAGGAAGATGACAGCAGATGATGGGGGTTTTCCAAAAGTAGAAGCATTACCAGAAAAGGAGTCCCAATCCAGACTCCCAGAGAGAGTTCTTGAATCTCATGCAGAGAGGAATTCAAGGTGAGTAACAGAGTGCAGTGAGAAGAAATAACTTATTAAAAGCTACTGCATTACAGAATAAGGCGTCTTCAGCAAACAAGTGGAGGAATGTCCTGTCTTTGTTTTAAGTTTTTCTTATCTAGAGGTCTTGCCTATGCAAAGAAAATCTAAGCTGTGCTTACATGCAGGTGGGCTGACAGCATGACAAAATGTATTATCCTATTGATTTAAAGAAAACTATCCTTGACATTTTCGCATGTAACTACAGCAAAGCATAACTATAATAATCTTGAAAGCATATATTGTTATGGGTTTTGAGACATCTGAACTTTCTGTCGAGGGAGTTTGTTCTCGCTGGCACTACCAAGCTGTTTTCTTAGCCATAAATATCTTAAGACCATGGGTCATGACTAGCAAGGAATGTTCCTTGTTAGTCTTAAGATGGAGGAGTACTATTAATATGACATTACTCTGGCTCTCCTAGGCTCCTTCCCTAAAAGAAGGAAGACCACTATATTCTTGTCCAAGAGCAACTCTGATAAGATGAGCTCATTATTGTGCAGGGGCCAAATGATGCATGTTATAAAGCCCAATTTAAAAAATCCTTGGATTTTTATTCTGGGTGATAACCAGTGTTAGATAATTAGAGGGTTTTAAGTTGGGTAGATAGTTGGAGTGGTAGGAAGTAATGTACTCTTACATATGCTTTAAAAACTTAATGGAGAAGGGAACACAGTGGGATCAGCTTTGAAGACAGGGGTGATTTCACTATGTTCCCTATTGCAATAGCCTAGAAAAAGGTGACAGAGATTAAGCATATGCTTGAATTGACTTGTACTCCAGGTTTTGTAACTATTCCAAAGTTATTTCCATCATATTCAAAGGATTATATGAAACTTGTTTTTATCACATGACATTTTCACCCTGTTTCCTCTATCCAGAGCTTTAAAATTATGAAAAAAATATACTCTGTTTCCTCTATCCAGAGCTTTAAAATTATGAAAAAAATATATTTACTCATAATTTTACTATCTAAATGTTTTTGTATTTACTTTTTTATTTTTATTTTTTGTGGGTATACAGATGTATATATCTGTGGGGTATAGGAGATATTTTGATACAGGCATACAATGTATAA
The DNA here is from genome assembly GCF_000001405.40 of Homo sapiens. NCBI lineage: Eukaryota > Metazoa > Chordata > Mammalia > Primates > Hominidae > Homo > Homo sapiens. Next base: position 5,063,925 of record NC_000023.11, on the reverse strand, counting down.
TAATCACATCATGGTAAATGGGGTATCCATCCCCTGAAGCATTTATCCTTCGTGTTATGAACAATTCAATTATATTCTTTTAGTTATTTTAAAATGTACAATTAAATTGTGATTGACTACAGTCACCCTGTTGTGTTATCAAATACAAGATCTTATTCATTCTATTTTTTTGTACCCATTGGCCATCCCCACTTCTCCCCAACTTTCTCTGTATTGACCTTTTTTTTTTTTTTTTGAGAAAGAGTCTCACTCTGTCGCCCAGGCTGGAGTGCAGTGGTGCTATCTTGGCTCACTGCAAGCTCCACCTCCCAGGTTCATGCCATTCTCCCGCTTCAGCCTCCCGAGCTGGGACTACACGTATTGACCAGTGTTTAAGCTTACTCAGTGACCTATTTGTTTTAACTTTATGTCATTAGCTTACTTTCTTCCTTTGGCATCATCAGGCCATGTGATTTGGTTAACAGATCTATTTAAGAAGCCTTTATTTTTATTAACAATTCAGGTTTTCTTATTCTATTTTAAACCAAGATAGTTTTTCCTCATGTTTTAAGAGTCTCACAATTTATTTTGTATAACTTATAACAGGAACCTTTTTTTTCTCTTCCTGAGATCACCAATAAGTACATTTTTGAATGACATTGCATGGAGAAGAGAAGTATTAATAAATATATCTAAACTCAAAGAAAACTCATGACATTCAAATTAATGCTGGAGAGCTTGTATCTATACACAGTCTTATCTATAGATCAGATCAGTCAGAAAATCACTAAAATACATGAATAACAGCAAGAAAAATGCTGTAAGAGTATGTATGTGTGTAATGAATAATGGGCTTATTTAACATTTAAAATTGATGATATCGTTGCTCTCTACCTATGGAAACCCAACAAAGCAATATGAGAGTCCCCACCTGGATGTAGTCAATTAGTGCAATTAGGCCAATTTCTTTTCTCTCATTATGTTCTTTCTCAGAAAGCCCTTACTAAGGAAATACACTACACCTGAGTTTGTCTTACACTTGATTGTCATTCCTATTCACCCTTAAAAATTCCAGAAAATGATGGAGCTTTTAGGAAGCAGAGAACATTTTGGAGAAAAAGAAATCTTTTTATGAAGTCTTAGAGTAATTTTATTTTTCCCAAATGATTTAAAGATACAATAGATCTAAGTGGTAACTTGGGTTTCAAATAATTAACAATCTATAGCAAAAGACTAATATTTTAGAAATGATTGCAAAACTAAATGCAGCCAGGTTGAAGGGAGACACTAGGGGAGGGGACTAGATGCCACACACCATCACCACCTACAAGTCGTTAGGACGATCTCAATCTCTTTTTTGGTTCTTAACCTGACAGTGGAAAATTAGACAACACCCATAGCCAATAGCCCAGTGGATAGACTGAAACGTGAAACGATTCCAGTTGACTTCCCAGATAGTGGACAATCCCAGAAACGATAGAAATCCAGACGTTAAAACACTCAGGAGTACTAATTGGAACAAATGAATCTGATTTGCCATTGGTGATTAGAAAATGGTGGGGGGAGGGGGGAGGGATAGCATTAGGAGATATACCTAATGTAAATGGCGAGTTATTGGGTGCAGCACACCAACATGGCACAAGTATACATATGTAACACACCTGCACTTTGTGCACATGTACCCTAAAACTTAAAGTATAAAAAATATATATAAAGTAAATAAATGAAACAAACAAAAAAAAGAAAATGGTCATCCTTTATGTTTTCTCTTTCAATTTCAAACGTTTAGAAAAAGTTACCCAGCAATCTGTCCTCTGTGCTATTGAATGCAACTCATTGATGCTGCACTTTCTACACAGTTTAATAGTCAAACGCTTGGGATTTGATAATCACAGCATTGGAGAACAGGAACGTTCCTTACATAAGTGACCATTAGTCCCTAAGAGTGGTTTCTCTCCAGGGCTAGTTCCAATGGTTTTAAATGACATCATTTAGGTCTCTTCTCTCCACTGCCCCTTGGGAAGCAATTTCACACTCAAATAGATCTTACCTTGAAGAATGTCTTGAAGTTTAGCCTGAAAAATATTTTTTGAGGATGACCTCATTACACTTTGAACTCTTTCTTATGTAATTCTTTTATTTCCCCCCTGGCAAGTCAGAAGATGATAAAGATCACTCCCTGAACTTTATAATTTTAGACATGAAGCGAGCTGTGTTAGCTTTGGGAAGTTTACATTTTAACTTTAGTTAGTAAAACTTTCATATTCTATTCTAGCATTAATGGATTTCCATACAACCTGCTTTCCTTACTGTGTGTAGGTTATTCTCACTTTATTAAAAAAACAAAAAACAAAAAACCTCGGTTCTTTATCAGTTTGTTAGACAGACAACTATTGTATTCTTTTTGTTTGTTTGTTTGTCTTTGAGACAGAGTTTTGCTCTTGTTGCCCAGGCTAGAGTGTAGTGGCGCGATCTCGGCTCACTGCAACCTCTGCCTCCTGGGTTCAAGCGATTCTCCTGCCTCAGCCTCCCAAGTAGCTGGGATTACAGGCACCTGCCACCATACCTGGCTTATTTTTTGTATTTTTAGTAGAGACAGAGTTTTGCCATGTTGGCCAGGCTGGTCTCGAACTCCTGACCTCAGGTGATCCACCCGCCTTGGCCTCCCAAAGTGCTGGGATTACAGACATGAGTCACCATACCCAGCCTCAAGTATTGTATTCTTATGACTATGAAAAATGCAAAAATAAGATTTCTAAATACATCTTTAAATGTTAATAATAAATATAAATGGTACTTGTAGATGATGTATACAATTTATACATATATATACATATATATATGTATATGTATATATAACTGCATGGAAGGGTAGAAGGTGGAAGTCTAAATTCCTGCTTAGATAAAATCCATATTTCTTCAGGTAGTCTACTCAGACTCAAAGATCTAGGCCCCAAGACTAAATGAAAGGTCAGACAATTTACACAAGCAAATATTTACATTTGCTAATTGTCTTGTGAGAAAGCTCTTTCTTCTATAAATAGCAGAAATATCCTATGCTTTCCTACCAATCCAGGCTTCCCTGGTAAGAGGGTTTTTTCATTCCTATAAATTTATGCTTCAGCGAAGGCTATGGGAAATGTGGACAGGTGTCCCAGAAAAATGTGTCTTTTAATGTACATTTTTGGTTGAGTAGAAGCAGTAAAAGAAAGTTATACATTTGGAAATAATCTTCTAAAAAATGTGAGATCATGAATGCTGCACTAAAGTAGGTATTTCTTTAAAAAGGCCTACTGGAAATTCTGCCCTGAAAAAAGTCATATTTCTCTCACTCCAATGAAGCAACATGCTGGCTTAATGGAATGGAACTTTAAATAAAGTTAATTTTTTCACTAGAAAACCAATGATCATTATTTCCTGGGTGTTTTCCCTAACAGGAAAACATTTTAGCTGGCATAAGACATGCCTCCACTTAAAAACAAATTCCAACGTCTGCTACATTTTCTTAGCTAGCTTGATCATATTCTTGTATGGTTTATTCACAGATATTATAATGAACATAATTGAAATGTGTCATATGAACCATATTTTCAGAACTGAATAGTCGTTCATTCAACAATGACCAGAGTGGGAAAAACCACTTTACACTTAACATTTTATACTTTACAAGTGGGAGATAGACAATAGATAATGAACATAGTAAGTGAATACATTACATAGGCAATTGAACACTCTTGAGAGGTGTCAGGGGGGAAACGTGGAAAATGGAAACTGCAGATACCTGAGGATGCATTCCTATTAATTTCTATGATGTAGAGATATAAAATAAAACATAATAAAGCAAGAATAACACATTGTATTAAAATAATTGCAACACTAAAAGCAAGGTAAATTGTTTTCCAGGAAAAAAACCAACAAACGCTGATGAGGCTGTGAAGAAAAGGGAACATATATACACAGTTGGTGGGAATGTAAATTAGCACAACTTCTACAGAAAATAGTATGAAGATTTCTCAAAGAACTAAAAATAGAACTGTTCTTGGATCTTCTCCTCTTCATGCTTAATTTCTTTGGAATAATGGAGTTTGTTTCATCTTGTCTCCCCATGAGTAACAGAGCTTGGTCGGTCACTGCCTCTTCATGTTCTTTAGGCTTCCAAAGAGAAAGAATACCAAAAAACCCTGAGACTGGGAATAGCCCCTGCCTTGGGATCTAAAATAATCTAAGCTAGTGATATTAATTACGGTGTTACTCTAATGGTCTAAAGCCAAGATAGAACTGCCTATACTCAGAATATGCCCCATACAGTGGAAATTTTGCTGATTGAAACAAAACAATCAACATATAATTAATTGTTAGAACTGAAAAAAAAAAAGACATGACCAACATCTCAGATGATAAAATCCAACCATGGCTGGGACCAAATTACTAGAACCTCTGGAAGAAATGAGTAGTATGGATTCTGTTTTAGACAAAGCCATCTTCACACTTTCTAGGTTGTGGACTACAAGTATCTCTCCTTCCTTCCTGAACTGAGCTGGACCTCATGTGATGGGTGCTATCCTCTTTGGCCAAAAATAGATGAACTTGTGAGCAAACTGTCCTGATAGTCCTCCCCAATAAGTTTCTTTTGATGCCATATGACTTTCAAAGTAGAAGCAAAGAGTCGATCATGAGGTACTAATTCGTAAAAACCAAAAGAAGCAAAGCAAATGGAAAGACACACACACACGCAAAGAGAAAGAGAGAGAGAGAGGCTGTGTAACAAAGATGTGGGCCTCATTCATTCCTATTTTATCGTAGTCATCCATATTTTAGCTCTGTCTTCTAGCAGTGTGATGTGTTTGTCTTCAAGGAGTCAGTTTGCACCTTGAATGACAATGGAATCTGATTCTTTTTTTTTTTTTTTTGAGACAGCCTTGGATGGAAACTGATTCTACGTGGAGAGACAATAGACTTGCATGGCCAGTGGATATGATACAGGACCATCCTCCTGCAGTGTTATCTACAATTGTATGTGTGCATCTCCATGTAGGTAGAAACATATGAAAGAAAATGCAGTGAAATATTAGCAATGGCTAAATACTATGTTATGTGTTACAAATGAATATATTGCTTAGTTATATTTTCCCATGCTTTTCTTTTTCTACATTGAGCCTTTATTGTTTTTGACCAATAATCAATAAAATATTTTTACAGGGAATTTTTCTTATAACTATATTGCATTTTCCCTTTGTGAAAATGAAATTCAGCATTTTACAATATTGAATTATCAAATGATTCTAATTATAACACATATGTCATTTAATCCTCAAAAGGATTCTAAAAAAACTAAGTAGTATTATTTTCTCCATTTTTCATAACAGGGGATAGATCCTAAGACAGCTTTAAAACATTTAAGAAGAAGGCTGGGCAAGGTGGCTCATGCCTGTAATCCCATCACTTTGGGAGGCTGAGGCAGGTTGATCACTTGAGGTCAGGAGTTCGAGACCAGCTTGACCAACATGGTGAAGCCCCCATCTCTACTAAAAACATACAAATTATCTGGGCATGGTGGTGTGCACCAGTAATCCTAGCTACTCAGGAGGCTGAGGCAAGAGAATCGCTTGAACCCAGGAGGTGGAGGTTGCTGTGAGCCGAGATTGTGCCACTGAACTACAGCCTGGGTGGCAAAGCAAGACTCTGACTCAAAAAAATAAAAAATAAAAAAAATTTTGGAATATCTGCCTTTTAGTAAATGATAGAACTATATTTGGGGAACTAGTATTAATAGCTGAATTTTAGAGCCTAGTTCATAATAGCGTTGTGTCTCAAGCAGTTTATATAGTAATAAATGGAGGTATGCAAGTATGATGGAACCCTTCCAATATTAGGGCCAGAAATCTGTAATTCTCTAAGCATCCAAATCATGTCTGATATAAGCAGACCCAGTACTATATTTGGAGATAGATTACTGCAGCGTGTGGCCATGAAATGATTCCATATTAATATCTCAGCCCTGACTATAAAAACACAGTCCCAGAAAGAATGCCAGTGCATCATAGCTGTGTTGTGATGATGCCACTCAAAGCACTTTGCAGTGTACATGTCTTCTTCCTACATCAGTGGAACTTTGCACTTTAAAATGAAGACACTGAATATTCAGACCATGTCCTGACCATATATAAAAAAGAATTCTGAACTGCAATCTGCAGTGATCAGTCTGCAAAGTTCAACATCATCCATTTCTGAGGAGCTGATTTTAACTATCATCTCTGTAGCAGCCCCAAACCACCAGGACTTGATTAATGACTGACAGCTTCCCTAGTTTCCTCCCCTGCTCCTCAAGCACGACGAAACACAGAAAGCCAGATATGGACCTCCAACCAATCACACAGGATGCTTCATTTTCTTGTGAGCCACCTAGGGCTTCCCAACACTAGCAACCTCCAATGAGGGCACACCGGGGGCCTTTTGTTTTCACACTATAAAACTTTCCGCCTTCTCTGCCTGCCTTTGAATACCATATGCAAGTGATGATGGGTGCCTCCCTTGCTCTAGCAAACCTGGAATAAACATTCTCTCTTTGTCCTCATTTCAGTGGTCTTCATTTATTTCCACAATAATGAAATGAATGCCTCACGAATAACAGCAGTATCACTCCATGACTGGCAAAGTGTCTTAAAGACATTCTAAAATACAGCGAATTGCAGCTCATACTACTCAAAGGATGAAAAACCCCATAGAGCAGTCATGCCATAATTAGAATAGAGTGACTATCATATTCCAAATGTTGGATGAAGCCTGCGTTTTGTTAGACTCACTGACCATCCTCCGTTCCATGTGATACTAAAATCAAATTCAGACAAAGTCATTGCTATTCTGAGTAGATGTAATTAATGGCTTCATAGCTCAGAAACTTCTAATGAGTTTGGTTAAATAAGTAAATAAATAGATTGGTGAAGTACTTGATTGACTAAAGAGATTAAGGAAAATAATTTAGCATGAAATAAAGCTTGTTTAGGAAATCACCTAAAAGTTCAACTTCACCATTGCATTAGTGGTGCTATAAAGAACTGCCCAAACACTGAGTAATATATAAGAGAAAGAGATTTAATTGACTCACAGTTCAGCATGACTAGGGAGGCCTTAGGAAACTTACAATTATGATGGAAGACAAAGGGGAATCTTACCTTCTTCATAAGGCGGCAGGAAGGAGAATGAACATAGGAGGAACTACCAAACACTTATAAAACCATGAGATCTCGTGAGAACTTACTCACTATCAAGAGAACAGCATAGGGGAAACTGTCCCCATGATTCAATTACCTCCACCTGGTGTCTTCCTTGACACATGGGGATTATGGGGATTATGGAGATTACAATTCAAGATGAGATTTGGGTGGGGACAAAAAGCCTCACCATATCAACCACCATATTGGTAGAGTCAACTCCAGTATGTCATTGGGAGTGAACTTAAACATTTTCTAAAGTGAATATTATCATTATATGTTATAATACATTTTGAAATATTGTTATATTTCAGAACTTTTTTAAATTTAGGGAAATATAAACAGAAAAATGGTAGTTACCTCACATCTCACTACCTGGAGATAATTCCTGTTCATGCTTGCATAGAAAGATCTCTGAAAAGAGGAGGAGGCTGGGCACAGTAGCTCACACCTGTAATCCCAGCACTATGAGAGGCAGAAGCAAGATCATCTGAGAACAGACTGAGCAACATAGCTAGACCCCATCTCTACAAAAAAGTTACATATTTAGTTAGGTGTGGTGATCCATCCCTGTAGTCCCAGATACTTGGGAGGCTAAAGAGGGAGGGTCACTTGGGCTCTGAAGGTCAAGACTGCAGTGAGCTGTGATCATGCCACTGTACTCTAGCATGGTTGACAGAGCAAGATCCTTCCTTAAAAAAAAAAGAAAGAAAGTAAAAAAAGGAGAGAGATTTTTTCAAATGACAGACAGAATGAGAGAGCAAACTGTACTGGCTACTTTATATTCTGCTTCTGTAACAGAGTCATGTATTCTTTAAAGTGTATCTTTTAATGACTACATAGTATTCTGTGCTTTGGCTTAGACCACAGTTTACATTTTATAAAATTTCTTTGTTGCATCTCTCACCATTTATCTTCTGTTTCTGGTGTGGGGATGAGAGAGCTGCAGATTTTATCACTGACAAAGCAGAGGGATTGGCATGGAACTCCTTGGGTAATTAGAAATTCTTAATGACTAGCTTCAATCGTGAGGCAAGGTAAATAAACCATCTGTGACTGAGGGCAAGAAATCTCATAGCTCCTGCAAGGTGATAATACTGGAGTGCATTTTCATACCTAGGGAACCATATGATTTAAAAAAAAAAAAAACTGGAAGTGAGAACTGAACAATTTTGTAAAAGGCAAGATGGAAAGGAAGAACTGTGCAATAAAAGTATTTTGCACAGATGAAGCAAAGCCATTTATGTCATAACCTTAGCTTTACACACTGTTTCAGTGATTTAACATTTTACTTACCACTATCTCAAAGTACAGTCAAAGTGATATTGATCTATAATTTTCTTAAGCATAAAGTTCTGGTTTATGCAGGCAAAAAGCTTTCACTAGAAACATGAAATTGTAGTGGGTTGCCCAATTTCTATTTTGTGGAAGAGTTTCTATAATTTTAAAGGTAAATGTAGCTTGAATGTTTCAGCTGGACTTAATAGTATAATATTATAGCCACAACAAGAAAATTTAAAATTAACAAGTCAACTATTTTAAAGGTTGCAGATCTATTCAAATTTTGTTTATATTTAGTATAAATTTTAAAAGTTATATATTTCTGAGAATATTTTATCTTCATTTCAAATTTATTGCCTTACAGATGTTCATAAAATCTCATGCCTTTAATTTTGCTGTGTATGCAATTTTGACCACATTTTCACATGTAATATTGTCCTTTCTTTTCAGATAAGGACAATAAGTTTCCAGAATGAATGCTTTTGGAACATAATTTCCTACAAGCATTTGGAAGTAATTGTATATCCAAGTTTTGGTGGGCATTGTTTTATATAAGTCCATGATATAAAAATCTTCAACTGTACTCTTTCAACAAATAACTGTTTTGCTACTACTTGTCCTGAAATTCAATTATTCCTTTTTATCCAAAGGTTATAAGCCCAGCAATGCCTTCAAATGCTAAAAGAGCAGATAATCTATTCCATATGGGCACCCTTAAATATGTTTTCTGCAATGATAACCAATAACAAATATTGCGTTATTAAAATTTACAGCAACAAATGTTAGCTTAATATTTTAAGGAGGAAGGAAATCACTGCAGGTTATCTGTTGCTTACAAAATTGTTGGAAAGACTAAAGGAGCATTTCTAGACTCCATCTATTCAAATAATTATCAAAATATTACAAAAATACCCCACCTGAGGAACAAATGCCTGTGAGGCTGGGAGTTAGAACCTTCTTTACAGTTGTTCTCAAACATGTAGAACCTGGAGAATGAAGATCCAAACTGTAATACAGACACTAGGCACAGATGAAGAAATCCCTGAGGTGGTCATGACTGATTACCCTCTTTAAAGAGTGTATATGATTAAAAAAATAAGAAAACTGCCTTTGCAAAACCTCATGTTTCCATAAACGTGTTTACCTACAACAACAGCAGAGACCTGAAACCTCCACATCTAGAAAATGGCACTTTGGTTTAGCCAACCTGGAGATGTAACCCACCTTCCTATTTGGAGATCTGTCCATTCCTTCAGGCTGTTTATCTAATTCTCTGCATCTAACAGTCTTTTCCATCTTCTACATATCATATTGCTATTCGTCTGCCTATGTATCCTGTCAATCTATTTGTTCATCTATCTCTATCTACCTAGCTATCTAGCTATCTACCTGTCATCTACCAAGTGAATCTGAATCTATCCATTCAACCATCCAACCAGCCACTCTATCTATCTATCTATCTATCATCTATCCATCATCTATCTGAAGCTATCTGTCCATCTATATTCCAAATGTATTTATACTTACTATACAAATCTATTATTTATCCTAATCTGTCTATCCAAATCTATCTATCCATCTATTTCATCTGTTCCTTTCTGTCATTTATCCAGCTATCTACTCATCTATCTTATGTATCTATCTATCTATCTATCTATCTATCTATCTATCTATCTATCTGATCTATCACCATCTATCATCGATTAATCTACCTATCTACCCATCTATTTATGTTTCTATCTATCCATTTTCTATCTATTAATCTGTCATATCTATACATCTATCTATTGATCTGTCTTCTATCTATCCACCTTATCTATCTACCTATCTATCGATCTATCAATCTATCTATTAATTATCTATCTACCCATGGCATCTATCTACTCATGTATATAAATACATATCATCTCTTTAGTGTATGTAGTTCTATCGATATCTGTCTAAGTGGACCAGCTCAAGTGGAACTTTCTCTATGAAGCTTCAGTTAGTTATAGCAAAGTAATATAAGAAAAAAACAAAGAAATCATGATTCTGGTGTTCAATTTTCTCTAGTGCTTTTGACTCTCGCCTCTGTGAAAATACATATATTAATATTCATTGGTTCTTTGAGAACTTATGTCTTTCCATTGATATTCTTGATATACTAAAATTTTGAAATCATCTCAAAATTGTGATTCTAAATGAAGTCATTATCTTCTAAACAAGCTATTTTCCTTATATTTACTGTTTGTTTTTTAATGCTATACTCATGTTCCTAGTAATTCATGAATAAAATATGAACATTTAAAACTTGGCCACTTTTTACAACCTATCCATCAAAAAGACTTTAAAGTGTCTTTCAAATCTCTCCTTTCATTTTTATATCTGCTTTAATTTAGACACTTGATGCTTATTGTCTATTCTCCCACAACAGTCTTCATTCTTTCTCACCTTAAATACTTTCTTCATGCTATTAGGACTTTAACATTCCTAAAATAATTTTTTTTTGTAACATCATTGCCTCTTGGTCAAAGTTATTCAATGTGTTCCTGTTATTCAAAAACAGAATTTATCCTTATGTGGATCCAGACTATTTTTCCAATCTTGGTGTTGCTAATTAATGAAGGTTATAGAACTTAATTGGTATGTGTATAGTTTCTCATAATAGCTCTTCTATTAGTTGGAACATAGCTTCTTCAGCACTACTCACGCCACATTGGGAGTCATGTATCCTCTTTGTTATTGGTTACTTATTCTTTTAATATTTGTAATGACAAGTCAGGAAGTAGGATGGCTATCGGCTCTATCCCAGAAGCCTGAGAACATTAATAAACTCATCAGTTTATACCATTTGGGGTGAAGAAATGTTATCTTTGACTCTATGTGCTAGGATGGTGAAAAAAAGTTTTGGAAACCTTAAGTTAGGAATAGTTTTTACTAATTAGCAGTTGCCAAGAACACATGCCTTAAATAAAATAAGAGGACTTTTATTTCTTATGCAAGCTTTCAAGACTTAGGTGGGAGATTCATGGCATTGGAATCCAGCTTTCTCCTGTATTGCTGTTCAGCTTTAACTTGAGCTGTTGAGAAAGAAAAGTTAAGTAGTTAGGGTGGGTCCTTGGTAAAACTCCTTTAAGCAGAGAAACAGCCTGTAAAACCAGGCTTCAGGCACAGATAAGGAAACTTGCACAAACCTCTGGCCCACGGAGATAAAGGAATGAGGCCCAACATAGAAATGCCTTTGTTCTTTGTGCTTAAGACGTGCCCCCAGCTACACTGATAAGGAAAAAAGATGCAACATAGAAATGCCTTTGTTCTTTTTATAACCAGCAGGCTTACAGGAAATAGTCTCTTCTCCTTCTGTGGGCATATACACAGCAGTTCCAGTGGGTTCCGGTGGGCACTTTCCTTTCCTTTTTTGAACATGCTTTGGATTGTGAGACAAGCCTCCATGAATCATCACTTTAGCATCTGATTGGTCCTGGGCCAAGTTCCTGCTAAGCTTTCACTTCAGCTCCTGATTTGTCCCGGGCCAAGGTCCCAGGCCAAGCTGAGTAGCCTCTATGTGTCATCACTTCAACTGCTGATTACTCCCGGGCCAAGCTGAGTAATGCCTTCTCCAAGACCAATCAACACATTCCTTACCTTCCCAGTCCATAAAAACCCCAGACCCCAGCCAGGCGTGGTGGCTCACCCCTGTAATCCCAGCACTTTGGGAGGTCAAGGTGGGCGGATCACGAGGTCAAGAGATTGGGACCAGCCTGGTCAAACATGGTGAAACCCCGTCACTACCAAAAATACAAAAATTAGCCAGGCATGGTGGCGTGCACCTGTAATCCCAGCTACTCAGGAGGCTGAGGCAGGAGAATCGCTTGAACCCAGGAGGCGGAGGTTGCAGTGAGCCAAGATTGTGCCACTGCACTCTAGCCTGTGTGACAGAGTGAGATTCCATCTCAAAAAAAAAATCCCAGACCACAGCCTCATAGTGGGCAACCCACTCAGGACCCCCTCTCTGCTGTGGAGAGCTTTCTTCTTTTCCTCATTAAACTTTTGTCCAACCTCACCCTTTGTGTCCACACTTCTTAATTTTCTTGGCCGTGAGACAAAGAACTCAGGGTGATACCTCATGAGAGACTGCTGCATTGCGGTGCATTGGCAAAACTGCAACACTGTGATTGTCTTCATGCATGATGTAAAATGCTCGCTAACATGCCTATATTCTTGCCAAGAAGGAATTGGCTGATACAGAGTGGATTGCACACAGAAGCCTTCAAGAGCTTCCCTGGGGCTTCACACAGCCTTTCTGCCAGTATCTTATTGACCAGAAACTACCCATACTAAGCTTCCAGGGCACACGCACACACAAAACAGTCTCTATTTTCAGTAGCTTTGTGTCTAACTAAAGACACAGAAGATTTTTTGGTATTGTTTTGCTCTGTTTTCCTAAATTAAAAAGTCAGAGGAAACAACTGAACTTCTCTATCCCAACTATCAATCACCCACAGTAAAATACATGGTGGATGAAATTCATACTTGAAGAATCCAAGGATTTAAAATGTTGGATTTTAGACCAGTATTGGTTAGAGTTCATTATACTGAAAGTAAGAGTAAAAAGTGTTTTTTCTTTTTAGAAGTCATAGAACTATCTCTTTTTAAGAAAATGGACTTCGATATAAATGTTGATGTATTAAAAAGTAAAGTAAAAGATTGTATGCCTCCATATGCAATCTCTGGGAGGTTGTGAAGCCAACAGTAGGTATTACCATGGGAAAAAGATTGCTAGAGCCCTTTAGAGTCTATTTATGTCATACTAATTTGGCTTTGCTCATGGTACTTGTGCATGCACAGGTAGTGTTGGAGGAATGATAATCGGATGGTGTGGCTTGCACTCAATGCAGACTTCCAAGACTGTACTGGAATACAGATATAAAATGTAAGAACAAATTGAAGGCCCCAAAAATATCTTGTGACACAAACAGAAGCCAATACAGCTGCATATCAATATTAATATTCCCCTATGAATTTTTAAAAAGGTAGCCATAGAAATAGAATGGAATATAACCATGTTTCACCATGGGATATTGTATTGCTTCCATTTTCTTAACATCAGATTGATCAAAATGCTATATTTTGGTTTAGTGAATCTATGATTACACAGTTCCTTAAAAAAAATTAAAACCTTGCTTTCTAGTAGACCTTTAAAGTTGCACTATGTTTTGTTGTTTTATAGGTAAAATGGTCTGAAAATTAAGTACATTCAATAATGCCTACTGCTAGATCCTCTTACACAAAGAAAAATGTGTAAGATGCCATAGGCTATTAAATATTAATGTTTGGCAGAGGAAGTGTATTAGGGTTCTCTAGAAGGACAGAACAAATTATATATATATATAAGTTTATTGAGGAGTATTAACTCACACTATCACAAGGTCCTACAACAGGCTATCAGGCCATCTGCAAGCTGAAGCGCAAGGAAGCCAGCCGGAGTCCCGAAGCTGAAGAACTTGGAGTTTGACGTTCCAGGGCAGGAAGCATCCAGCCCGGGAGAAAGATGTAGACTGAGAGGCTAATACAGTCTAGTCTTTTCACATTTTTCTGCCTGGTTTATATTCTGGCCAACCTGGCAGCTGATTAGATGGTGCCCACCCAGATTAAGGGTGGGTCTGCCTTTCCAGCCACTGATTCAAATGTTAATCTCTTTTGGCAACACCCTCATGGACACACCCAAGATCAATACTTTGCCTCCTTCATTCCAATGAAGTTGACGCTCAGTGTTAACCATCACAGGGAGAGAGTGTCAAGATTCCCTGTGAGAAGAAACCTATATATTATCTCTCTACAAAAACGTACTTTTGAACATGCGTACATTTTCCATATAATTTGAAGGGCTTAGTGATAAGTGCTCATGTAGCAATATTTGTTTTTCACAAAATCAGATAGAACTAGATAAACCTGACGGCAACACTTTCAATTTCCAACATGCTCGTTCAGCAGAGTGCAACCATTATCCCTTCCCAGTGTTATCAAGAAGATTAAATGAAATCACAAAATAAAAGTAACTACAATTATTTAACATCATTTTAAAAAATTCTACATTATAGTAAAGTTTCCATTGCAAGAATTAATGTGTTATTCAGATTCACTAACTTTGTGTCTATCTCAAACTCTATCACAAATTTCATTAACCTCTAGGGCTTGATATTAAAGAAAGAAAGAAAGAAAAGAGGCCGGGTGCGGTGGCTCACGCCTGTAATCCCAGCACTTTGGGAGGCCGAGGTGGGCGGATCACAAAGTCAGCAGATCGAGACCATCCTGGCTAACACGGTGAAACCCCGTCTCTACTAAAAATACAACAAATTAGCCGGGCGTGGTAGCACGTGCCTGTAGTCCCAGCTACTTGGGAGGCTGAGGCAGGAGAATCGCTTGAACCAGGGAGGCAGAGGTTGCAGTGAGCCGAGATCATGCAACTGCATTCCAGCCTGGGTGACAGAGCAAGACTCCATCTCAAAAAAAAAAAAAAAAGAAAAGAAAAGAAAAGAAAGAATGTTTATTTTGCTGTTATGTAATTTCCCTGATGCCTCAAATTTTGGATAGAAAATAGAAAAGACATTAAGTAATTTTGAATCAAGTAAGAATCATATAAATTATCAGACTACTTTCAGTACGTAAAGCACCTCACATTTCTGCATGTGTGTGTGTAAAAATAATCGTAATGTTATAAAGATTTGGAACTTCAAGCAATTATGGCAGGTGTCCAAATTTTCTCTATATAAAAGGGTTAATCTTAATTGGGGTCAGCCCAGTTTAAAAGCTTTAAGTTGTTAGTTTATTCTATCTATAATGCCTTTTGTAACACTCTATTCTACTTAGTCTACAATGAAGACACCCTAAAGCTGTGTCTGCTCTTGAAAATACATTATTTTTAAGAGTTATTTTTCACGTTTGAGTAATTTTGTTCTGTTGGGATTACATCTAGAATGTTACATATAGGATGATGATCTCAACTTTATGAATAAAGTTATTGTGATTGATTACCATGATAAGCATAGGTTATAATTATAGCTAAATTAATGTGATGACTTACTATTAGCTAGATCCTCTCCAAATGCCAGTAAATGGAATATTAAACTCTCAGCAGATCTCTGAAAATGACTATATATTGAGCAGATTGAAATTAATTATGTTTAGAGAAATTTTGGAACTAGCTCAAGATCACTGACTGAGTCGAAATTCAAAATTGATTTTATCCAAATATTTAGCACCTCTAATACCTTTAAATATAGTGAAACACACACACACATATATAGAAACAGATACACACATACATACACATTTATACAATTATCTCATATACAGAAATTTTGTTACATATTTTTATTTAAAGTCTCTTGCAGAAGTGATGATTCCTGTTCAGATAGAAAATTGTGTAAGCCATTTGTTCTTCTGAGTTGATCAGTTATATCATGATAGCTTTGCTAAACCTATTGGAGAGCAGAGACTGCAAAAAATAAAAAAAAAATCTGAAGCAAACCGTTTGTACATAAACTTCTCTTAGGAAAGAGGGGACACTGGCCATAAAACCACAAGTGATGAAGGAGTCAGACACAGCTAGGTCTAAGGAAAACCCAGCTTAATGCCACAGATTTTGAATGACTGCACATCGATAGGTGTGAAGAATTATCAGCCTCCACAGCCATACAGAAAATTGACAACCACCTCCCAATATTTTTTTCCTTTGGACCGTCACCCAGTGCATATGTGGCATATATTACTATTATTAATTAATAATAATTAATTTTGACAACAGTAGACCATCTTAAACTTAAACTTATGTATGCATAGTCCCAAAGTTCATGTAAGTTGCAAGGAAATTCTATTTGAAATAATGACTCTTCCTATACTACTAAGATTCTAACGAAACTGATAATGAGTTTCCTGGTTACCGTGAAAATCTAATTTGAATTCTGGTACTGAATGAAAACATTTTCTGTATTTCAAATCTAATCATGTTGGTAGGTAAAGCTGAATGTTCACTTGTGATTTCCTGTCACCCATTTTCTTTTCCGTTAGCATGGGAAATATTTTCTTCACTGAAGAGGATTATTTAGGAAAAAATAGATCCTTGACGATAATGAGATTTTTATTCAATTTTTATAATTTCTCCTTTACATGCACCGTCACAATGGGAAAATGCCAAATGCTTCTATTTTCCATTACTTCTATCAAGTTTTACTGTTTTGGATATTTAAATAGCATAAACACTTTGTAACGGATGATTACATGGTTTCCCATTCTACAAAAACAAAACAATGAAAATAATGTAATATGGGATACTCAAACTTCCACAGTTTACTCCTCCTTTAAAACCTCACTGGCTAGAATAAGAAGCAACACAAAATGATTTTCGAACACATGGCGAGAACTTGACCCAAGAGACGAATATACTATATTTTTTCATGCAATTTCAAGAAGGCTATTATCTGAAGAGGTGGCCTTAAAGCAACCTGTGATTTAGGAATTGCCCCAAATGTATTATTCCAAAACAACTGGAATGTCCTTATGAAACACTTGCGCTGACCAGATGCGGCTAGGGTCAGAGTAGTTTCAGATTTTAAATCACCATATGTACCCATCTCTAGCAAATTGCAATAAAATGACACTGAAAGTATAATTGCCTTGAAATAGTTACAGAATCTTCCTGTAAAAGGGTAAAAAGTGAAAAGAACATAACAGAAGTAGGAGAGGAGAATTTTGCCTGGGAAAATGGAGAATGAGAGTAATTTAAGCCCCAAGCAGCATAGCCATGTTTTACCATGCTTTACCTTCCCCTGCCTTTCATCTTATTCATGCACGAGAAAGGAATGCAGATTTGATTTCCATACAAACTGCCAAACAGCCACAGTTCTAGAATGTGGAACAGCTTGGAAACTTTCTTCATTGGCCACATCTCCAATCAATGAGGCTGCCCTTAGCGGTTGAGAAGACGGTGTTTAAGAGACAAAGAAACATGGAGGAACTGGAAAACATTAGGACATTATGCTTAGTGAAGTAAGCCAAACACAGAAAGACAAATGCCCTGTGATCTCACCTGTTTGTGGAATCTTAAAAAAAAAAAATCAAACTCATAGAAGCAGAGAATTGAATGGTAGTTACTGGGCTGGAGCAGGGGAGGAGATGATGGGGAGATATTGGTTAAAGGAAACAAAGTTATCAAGAATATTGGTCAAAGGATACAAAGTTATCAAGGCTATTGGTTAAAGGAAACAAAGTTATCAAGGGTATTGATTAAAGGACACAGAGTTATCAAGAGTATTGGTTAAAGGAAACAGAGTTATCAAGTATATTGGTTAAAGAAAACAAAGTTATCAAGGGTGTTGATTAAAGGATACAGAGTTATCAAGGGTATTGGTTAAAGGAAACAGAGTTATCAAAGATATTGATTAAAGGAAACAAAGTTATCAAGTATAATGTACACAGTTAAAGGACACAAAGTTATAAGAATATTGGTTGAATGATACAAAGTTAGATACGGTAAATAATTTCTGGCGATCTATTGTACAGTATAGTGACTATTGTTAATAATAATGTATCGTATTCTTGAAAATTACTAGGAGTAGATTTTAAATGTCCCCATCACAAAAAAAGTAACTCTGTGAGGTGATGGCTATACTAATTAGCTTGATTTAATAATTTCACAATGTACACACATATCAAAGCACTGTGTTGTACTCCATCATTAAATAAATTTTTCCTCATTTGTCAGTTAAAAATAATATTAAAAAGAAATGTATAATATTAAAAGGCCAACAGCACAACAGCATAAAGAGAAGTCAGAACATTAAATGCGGCCAGGTGTGATGGCTCACACCTGTAATCCCAGTACTTTGGGAGGCTGAGGTGGGCAGATCACTTGAGGCCACCCTGGGCAACATGGTGAAACCCTGTCTCTACTAAGATACAAAAAATGAGTTGGGCATGGTGGCTGGTGTCTGTAGTACTAGCTACTTAGGAGTCTGAGGCAGGAGAATCCCTTGGACCCAAGAGGTGGAGGTTGGAGTGAATCAAGATCGTGCCACTGCACTCCAGCCTGGGCAACATTGAATGCTGTGGAGTAGACCATTCAGTAGGGTTGCGGACCAAAAAAAAGTCTAATACCAAAGTAAAAAAGTGAGACATGGGAGATGATGGAACAGGGAGAAGATATATTGTTAAGTATGAATTATGCAATCATTTTTTCAGAAGGGAGCATGCATAAAGATGAAAGTGAATGGCCCTCAGAGTACAGGGATTTATGAAAAGTAGAATTCACAGTAGATAATATATTTATGTTATTTTTCAAAGTACCCACTCATGGTAACTTGTTTTTACTGTTTATTTTTGTTTGTTTGTTCATTTTCACATAATTACGGCTCTAGAGGAGAGAGAGTAGAAGTCTTGTCTGGAGCAAGTAGTAAAGGTAAGTTTAAAGTCATTTCCTGATTTCAAAGCAAGAAAGGGTCTGTAGAGGGAAGAAGATAGGATTTTGATTCAGGTACATCTGTTGCATTGCTTTGTTGACATAATTCTGCATAAAAGGAAAAAATAATTACCTACTCATGATTTTTGTAAGAACTAGGTGGGTTATATAACAGTCCGTGATATATCACAAGTGTTCAGTGTGCTATTATGATTATAATGATGGTTAGACAACTGGTATAGGGGACTCATTCAAAGTTCAATACACATGAGGATCAAAGTGCATGAGAACTTGACTTAGAGGAAATCCACAGTCTTTTAAAGATATCTGTCACTTGGGTACATCTCCAGGCCCCACTTCCATCACCATTCCTCCCATTAATTAGAAGGTATTGCATTAAAAGGAAAATGTACTGTTCCTTGGTGCAACCCTAAATGAGCTGGGTGTGGTGGTTTAGTCTTCTAAATACTAAGAATAAAGCTGAACAAAAGACAAGAGTATTACCACCACAATAATTGCCTGAACCATTGTCCAGGGACATTCAAGATTATGAAACCCAAACATCAGCACTGAAATCAAAGAGAATTTGAATGATCTCTAGCAGCAGGAAAAGTATGTCTGCTCTCTGCACTAATCCCAAATTCCTACTGCACTTAATAGGTCCCACTTTTAAAGGACACCTGTCAGGACTTGGTCAAATGTATTAAATAGGTAGTTTTCCCCTGACATAATCAGACAACTTACATTGGCAATGCATCCATAACTAATACTTAAACGAGGAACATTGAGAATTAACTGTTGCATTTGACTATAAGAATCCCTGCATGTTGTTTTGGTCAATTCACTTACTGGACAAACCAAGAAAGTGATTGATTAGTTTGTACAAACCAATACGTGATCTATTGTTGAGAACGAATCACTTTTCTTGAAGCTTACTGACTTCTCGATCTACTTTAGAAATGTTTTATGCTAGTAAGTGGTGAGATGCATACAATAACCTGCAGACTGTGCAGAAAAAGGATGACAGGTCTAATAGAACATGGAAATACTTTGCTCTGTGACCATATGAAAGAGTAGACACTGGATCTATCATGTCTAAGCAAAAAGCCCCAGAGTGCTGAAAAATGACTATGTGATTACAGTGTTTGGAAGTGTGTCAACGATATTAGAGTTGAAAAAGTCTAGAGTAGGGCATTAACCAACATGGTGCCCTGAGTGCCAAATTAATGTTGTTAGTAGCAATGTTTACCAATTATCTACCATGTATTAGAAATTGAATCACTGCAATGTTATGATGCACAGATTAGAGGTTGTGTTGAGAAATGGAAAGAATCTGAAAATTTAGCTCCTAAACACATGGGGTTTTCACAGAATAATTCTTATTGAGTGCTATTGGAAATTCTTCTAAATTCTCAAGTATTTACTTCTCAATAATAATTATCCTCTTTTTCCAGTCTGAACTGATTTTTTCTTCAGACAATTTGCCATCCTAAAGCTTACCTTCACTGTTTCCTGAATTGAATCCATTATTTCTTGGAACCTGGGTTGTATTTATTTGATGATTTTGCTTTTTTTCCTGTAGAGTATTCTGTGAAAATCCCACGTGTGTAGGAGCTAAATTTTCAGATTCTTTCCAATTCTAAAAGAAAACTGAGTTATCCAGCAAGACACATGACTAAAGTTGGTATCAGCACCATTTTGCATTGCCTTCTGCCAAGGCTCTAGCCATCCCACCTCTCTTTTTATTTATCTCCACTCTTCATTTGATTTGTGCCCCCCTTATCTTGTTTCAGATTTACTAAAGGACTAAGAAGATTAAGTATCAATTAATGAAGTAGCTCTATTTGGCTCTTCATAGGTTCCTGGATAATTTTTTTTTTCTTACTTAACAATTTAATACTGTCAAATGTGGCTGGCTCACCCGACACTACTCTAAGTAGAAAATACAGAGCTTCCATCTCTCCTGAAATCAGCATTTTAATTAGCAGGCCCTCCGTGGAGGATTGACAATGCATTTTCTTAATTTTGGGAGGCAGTCAGTGGATAATTCTCCTAGGAAAACTCCCATGTCAGAGGGTCATATTTGGCAAGTTTAAGAAATACTTTTAGATGCCTCTTTAATTAGCTTCTGAAACCCTTCAATCAAGGTGTCATGGGTAGTTGTATTTCACTTACTTTATAAAAGGAAGAGGTCCACTTAAGATGCAGAAACCCTGTGTCTCAAATATAACAGCTGCTTTAACAGAAACTCTTCAATGGGTATTTTCACACAGTTAACATACATCTAGTTTTCCCACATCAAACACACCCCATTTTGGAGATTCAGCTGCGCGGTACTTGTTTTTTTTCCCTCTTTTCCTGAATGTTGAATTAACAATTTGAATCACTGCAATTTTAAGACGCAATGATAATTTTGGGGAAGTATTTACTTTTAAAATCTTATGCTCAGACATCAGGCCTCTGATTTCTGGCCATTGCTTAAGAATATAAATGCACTTATGAGTAAAATATCAAGGAAATATTGGCTTGTTTTTACTTTGAACACAATTATGGTGTTACATTTTATTGAAACCATGACACTTTAATGCCTGTAATCCCAGCACTTTGGGAAGCCAGGGCAGGCAGATCACCTGAGGTCAAAGTTTGAGACCAGCCCGGCCAACATGGTGAAACCCCGTCTCTACTAAAAGTACAAAAATTAGCCGGGCATGGTGGTGGGCACCTGTAGTCCCAGCTACTCGGGAGGCTGAGGCAGGAGAATTGCTTGAATCCAGGAGGCGGAGGTTGCAGTGAGCCGAGATCGCGCCACTGCACTGCAGCCTGGGTGACAGAGCGAGACTCCATCTCAAAAAAAACAAAAAACCAAACCAAACCAACCAACCACCCAACCAAACAAACAACCTGCCACGAATACATTGTGTATATTTCTTGGTACATATAATGCAATCATTTCAGTTTAACGTATACTCAGGCATGGAAATTCTGGGTGATATGAGTATGAGAAAATGCCAAATTGTTTTTCAAAGTTAGGCACCATAGAAGTCCATGGAAGTTCCCTTTTCCCATATACTTGACAGCACTTGGTGCTGTCAAACTATTTCTCTTTAGGGTTGTAGATGTTGTTCCTCATTGATGTTATAAATTGTTTTCTCCCATTTGCTATGAACTGGACTGCCTTTTGATAAGTTCATGGTCATTCTAGTGTTCCCTTTTATAAAGTTCCTGATTATTTCGAATTTTTTCGAGCAGTGCGTCTTTCTTCTTCTCGCTTTGAAGACAGTCTTCATAAGCCATCTGTTCGGTGTATGTGTACCAAAAGCTTTATCTCACTACATGGTTATGTTTCCCTCTCTTTAAGATCATATTTGGCAAAGACAAGGTCTGAAATGTGATACCCTCAAATTTATCAATGCTTTTCCAATATTTTGCACTTTTGTGTCCTGCCTAAATATCTCACTTTACCCTGAATTTCTAAAAGTATTCTGTAAAGCTAGGAGTAGTGGTACACACCTGTAATCCCAGCTGCTTAGGTGGCTGAGAAGAGAGGATCACTTGAGCCCAAGAGTTCAAGCCCAGCCTGGGTAATACAGTAAGACCCTATCTCTGAATTTTAAAAAATTCTATATTATTTTATAAATGACCACTGTCCAACAGAAAGTTCTAAAATAATGAAAATGTCCTAATCTTCGTTATGAATACAGTAGTGTTTACTACATAAGGCTATAAGAACTTCAGTGGGGCTAGTGAAGATGAGAATGCAACTTTCTTTTGCTAATTTTGTTTAATGTTGGTTAATTTACATTTGAATTGCCATACAAGGTGAGTGGGTATCCTATTGCATCATAAAGTTCTAGATGCTTTATAGTTTTGCATTTCACATTTTGATTTCCTGGGAATTGATTTTCTCTGTGATAGGAGTCTATTTTCTCCCCCATCTTCCTCCTCTAGCTTTTGTAACCTGATCTTCTTTTTCATAATCTTAGTATTGGTACCCAATTAAGCAAGTCACATTTATTGCATAAAGAAAGGTGTACACATACTATTGCTTCTCTTTCTCTGCCTCACTCTGACAAATACGTCTTAAAAGGAATTAATGTTTACTGATAAATGTGAAAGGAAAATAAATCTTGGGGTCGCGAAATCACTAAGCTAAAGGGAAAAGTCAAGCTAGGAACTGCTTAGGGCCAACCTGCTTCCCATTCTATTCAAACTCACCCCTCTGCTCACTGAGATAAATATATATCTGACTGCCTCCTTTGGAAAGGCCAATCAGAAACTCAAAAGAATGCAAACGCCGTTTGTCTCTCACCCACCCGTAACCTGGAAGCCCCCTCTCTGCTTGAGTTGTCCCGCCTTTCTGGACAGAACCAATGTACATCTTACATATATTGATTGATGTCTCATTTCTCCCTAAAATATATAAAACAAAATGTGCTCTGACCACCTTTGGCACATGTCGTCAGGACTTTCTGAGGTTGCGTCAATGGTGTGCATCCTTAAGCTTGGCAAAGTCAACTTTCTAAATTAACTGAGACCTACCAACTCAGATATTTGAGGTTCACATAAGTAACTGAAGTGATCACAATTACCACCTGAACCAGGCTCTCAATTAGTTAGAAAAGTGGTCACCGTAGTAAATTGTTAACATTTTCACGTTTTCTTCTTTGATATTTTAATCTAAAAAAAATCTTTAAGACATGATGTTTAAATTCATCTTCGGTCTCATCAATCTTGTTATTAAATTCCCTTTCATTTGCTTACTTGAGCTTTTCCAATTTGATCACATACTTGTGGTTTTTGAACAAGCCCACACCTGTTCCTACTCACAGAATCCCTATTATATCTGAATTTCATCATTGTCTTATCAGTTGACAAACTGGACCTCACCAAAGGTCTGGCACTAGTATTAATACATGTGCCAAGATTCCACTTGCCATCAAAATGTGAATTAAGCGATCTTGAAATAAATACCTTTATAGATTAAATGCCTTCATGTATTATTGCTGTCCTCACCATGGGGAACCTTCTGAGCGGATGTGGCATCTCAGAGGGAAAGATCCTCTTTTACTTTAGTGGTAGCGTGAATTATTAAATGTGCCAACAGCAGCATGTATTTAAAATTA
The DNA here is from genome assembly GCF_000001405.40 of Homo sapiens. NCBI lineage: Eukaryota > Metazoa > Chordata > Mammalia > Primates > Hominidae > Homo > Homo sapiens. The sequence continues at coordinate 5,039,896 of NC_000023.11, read as the reverse complement.
TTTCTACTGGTTTGAAATATTTCATCAATTACAGAATAAACGATATGGAGCAGGTAAAGTGCTACAGTGTCTTATTGCTTCAGGTGACTGATATTGATCATGTGTCATCTTAAGCACAGCCTTGCTATGGAGCAATGAGTATAACATAATATTCATAATAACATAACATTTAGCACAAGTCAAGGCTGTTTTTCATGCAGGCATGAAAAACTGAACTCAAACTAGTGAACAGAAAGTGAAAAAAAAAGAGAGAGAGAGAGTATTGACTTGTATATGAGAAATTCTAGGAATGATGCTGTCCGTCTAATAAAATATGCCAGAGTCTTCAAATTGGTATTTACTTTTTCTTGTATCAGCTTCAAGCATAGCCAGGTTTTTCCCTTGGAGATGGGGACAAGTTGTTCACCAGGAGCTTAGGAAAAGTAAACCTGGTGGAAAAGATTTTCTTCCTTAAGCATCTTGGCAAAATTTTGGGATTCACTCTTGGATCAACTTGGATCACTCCTATGGACAGAGCTTGTTATTGATTAAATGGGATCTGGTGCTTTGGTTGAATTAGCCCTGGGTTATGTACATTCCCAGGGTCTCTGAAGTAGGGTCAGCTCCACTCAAAGCCCTGAAACTGGGAGTGAAGAAGAAGTGGGTAAATATGTAATGAAATACATATGAATATTAACTATATTTAAAGTATTCACATATGTGAAATGATATATGAAATATATAATATATGTAAAACCTAGTCACATTGACACTGTTATACCTAAAACAAGACATTGAAGAATAGACTATTAGCAGTATTTATGGGGCCCTTCCCATGAAGGCCTCCCAATGAAAGTGAGAAAAGTTTGTCCATTGGTTCTTTTCTCTTGGTTAGGATTGCTGGATTTATGGGTGTATCTTCAAAAATTATACCTGTAATTTGGCTTTGGATTTGAATTTTATGTAAATTTACCTTACTAGATAGAAACCCTATATTAGTCCATTCTCACATTGCTATAAAGAAATACCTGAGACTGGGTAATGTATGAGAAAAAAGGTTTAATTGGCTTATGTTTCTGCAGGCTGTACAAGAAGCATGGCAGCATCTGCTTCTGGGGAGGCCTCAAGGAGCTTTTACTCATGGCAGAAGTAAAGCGAGAGCAGGTGTCTCACACAGCAGGAGCAGGACTAAGAGAGACAGAGAGGGAGAAGGAGCTACACACTTTAAAACTACAAGACCTCATGAGAACTCTACCATGAGAACAACACCAAAGGGATGGTGCTAAACCATTCTCGAAGGATCCACTCCCATGATCCAATCACCTTCCACCAGGCCCCACCTACAACATTGGGGATTACAGTTGAACATGAGATTTGGGTGAGGACACAGATCCAAACTATGTCAAATGTATACCAATTTCATTTATTTTACTCAATGTTATGCTTATAACTCCAATTTCATATAATAGCCGATGTGATAATTACCAAAATATAATATTCCCTCATATGAATAGAACACACTTATGAGTTCTCTAGTATTTCCACAGCTATGTCATTTTTACTTTTCTTCCCTAAAATAATAATAGCTGATGCTGGTTTGACGATGCTTGTCCATGTCTCTCACTGCATTTCAATAAAAGGTAGTCAGGGTTGTATACTCAGGAGTGGAAGTGTTCGGTCACAAGATACATATTTAAATCACATCAATATATCCCCAAAGTGTTTTATTCCCTCTGCCCCATGCTCTCATGTTCTCACAAACATCTGTTTCTGACGGACAGTTTAATTTTTGTCCAACCTGTCAGTGAAAATGGATATCTTTCTGTAGATTTTTATTTGCACTTTTTCCTAATCCTGCTGAAGATGACAACCCTTCCATTCTGACCAAGTATGGCTTCTTTTCTGTGAAATGTCTACTATTGCCTTAAAATGTGTTTCTGATTTTTTTCTTCTATGTTTGCAAATTTGATTTGCTTGATCCCTTTGTGTTATACAGAATAACCTGTTTTTCTTTATTAAACATTGAAAATTCTACATATAGATTGGGATTTTTAAAGACAATTTTTATAGCATCTATTCATCAGTCACTTTTTTCAATGAGCTTGTATGTCTTTCAAAACATCTTCTGCTACTATAATATAATGCACAGGGCCTTCTTTATCCATTCCAGTAAGTATTTCTTTCTTTTTTTTTTTTTTTTTTTTGATAGAGTCTTGCTCTGTGGCCCAGGCTGGAGTGCAGTGGCACAATCCTGGCTCACTGCAACCTCTGCCTCATGGGTTCAAGCAATTCTCCTGCCTCAGCTTCCCAAGTAGCTGGGACTATAGGCTCCCACCACCATGCCTGGCTAATTTTTGTATTTTTAGTAGAGGCAGGTTTTCACCGTATTGGCCAGGTTGGTCTCGAACTCCTGACCTTAAGTGATCCAACCACCTCGGCCTCCCAAAATGCTGGGATTACAGGCCCATTCCACTAAGTCTTATTTCCCACAATAACAAAGGCTCTCGAGTCACTCCTCTGTTTGTATCAGGAATATGTGAGACACCTTCCTCTGTTATTGCATAATATAAATAAAAATAGTATTTCTATGTCTAAAATTATGCTATTTTTACGTTCTTTCACTTTGAAACTTAAGGCAACAATATTTTGCAAGCATTACTTATAAAATGCAAATAATTCTGAAAAACGATTGTGATTTGGGTAAAATGGGAATGTTAGTTAATTAGTACTGACAGTGCTTTTTATTTTTTAGCAAAAATATTTATCTTGGTAATCAATAAAGAAACTTTCTTTGCTATGGTTCAATGGAAAACAATTCACCTACTAGTTTAAAATAAAAATGCATCAGGCAGGTTGATGTAGAATATATAGAGGATGTTGTTACTCTAGATGTACTAATGCCTAGTTATTTATGTGTATAGTTTTGTTTATTTACATGCATAGTTTTGTCAAATGTTTTACAACACAATTATATATTTAATATATGTATATTTAAGTGTAAGTATACATATCTGTTTATCGTCTATTATCTATCATCTACATCCATTTATCTATTATCTACATATCTACCTATAACCTATATATTATCTATCATCTATTATTTATCCATTATCTATCATATATCTATCTATATCTATCATCTATCAAAAAATAGAAAAATATACAATAGTATTAGCTATTGTTGTCTCTAGTGAAGTAATATTTCTTTTCTCCAATTTTCTGAATTTCTGAAATGAACTTATCCAGCTTTGAATGAATAAAGTTCTAATTTCAAGTATAAGTATTTACTTGCATATGAATAGTATGAGATCGGATTTTGTAGACGATCTCTGTGAAAACTGTCCTGTGAAGACTGTTTCTATCTTTTCCGTAACATCAGTGGAAATAAACTCTTTTCTTGTGTGTTCACAGGAAGGCTGGTAGATCAGCTGATACTGAGGAAGAGATTTCCAATATGGGTGGGAGAAGAAAATCAAGCCCTATGGAGAACTCTCCAATATGCATCTTGGCTTCTATATAAAAAAAAGCTTATGTAAAAAATGCTAAGTATAAACGCTGGCAAATAAGTTTCATACCAAAGAAGTCAGAGAAAAGGTTATCAGTTTCTACAAAGTAATATAGTTATCAGTCCAAGAAAGAGGAAAGAGGAAATGAAAAAGACATTTCAAAACAAGGTGTCAACTCTAAGAGTTTATGCTTTTCTTCTACTTGTATAGTATAAAATATTTTTCCATATTTAAGCCATAACTGATTTTAAAACATTTTCACCTTTCTAGAATTTCTATTAAATTTCTAAATTTTCCATCAGTAAAATTAAAACTTCACAGATATTGCTAACAATAATATTAAGAATACAAACTAGTACAAGTCATTATTATTTTTCCTTAAAGGTTTTGCCAATGAATGTGCTCACTGTTACGTACACTCACACATCCACACAAAAACACACACCATCATTTCCGCCATCAATGAAAATAAATATTAAAAATATATTTTACATATATACCAAATTTTTCTTAAGATATAGTCAATTTTCAGGTTGTAAAATGTTAGTTTGCATTAAAACCAGGTAGACTATGTCACAAATTAAAAACAGATGGCATTTGCTTGTATTATAAACATTTAAAATTCTAACAATGAGTATACGTGTATTTAATGTCTTGGAGGGAGCATTCACTTGACATAGTTAACAAACATTTTGGATTTCTGGGAGACAGTTGCTTGCAGGAAACAACTAAGTCATGGTTTGGGCATAATTAAAAGACACTTTAGCAAGTTTATCAATATGGGATTGGGCAGCTCCATTTGAGGTGATGAATTACTTTCCATTATATTCTTGTAGTCCCTTTAGCAGAATGAGTAAAGATTACATAGAACTGTGTCCTTCTGTAATTCTTTTCCTGAAACAAGGAAAAGGGTGAACTACTTTATATCAGGTACGTTAGGTGATAAAGTTTATTCTACAATAAAGATTTTGTCTAGTTTTATCTTCCCTCGAGGGAAAAGCAGATTACTTAACATTTGTTAGATCCGATTCTCATGATTAGAGCAAGATTTCCTATGAGAATATTAAGAAATATAGAAAATTAAACCAAGTATTTTGTAATTTTCTCTTTAAATTTTTTAAGATTTTAGAATTTGGAATTCCAAATTTAGAATTTAGACTTTTAAAGTTTATTGATAATCTCTTCTCTATCAACTTTCTCTGAGCTTCTTAAATGATGAGTCTTCTCTCTCTCTTTTTTTTTCTTTTTTTTGAGATGGAGTCTCGTTCTGTTGCCCAGGCTGGAGTGCAATGGCACTATCTCAGCTCACTGCAACCTCTGCCTCCTGGGTTCAAGCAATTATCCTGCCTCAGCCTCCTGAGTAGCTGGGATTACAAGTGTGTGCCACCACACCCAGTTAATTTTTGTATTTTTAGTAGAGATGGGTTTCATCATATTGGCCAGGCTAGTCTGGAACTCCTGACCTCAGGAGATCCTCCTGCCTCAGCCTCCCAAAGTGCTGGTATTACAGATGTGAGCAACTGCACACGGCCTTTCTTTTTAAACTCTAATTTCAAATGTTTCTTAGAAAACTAGTTCACTTGATAAAATATGTATTTCTCTGGAGCAACATTTCTCTACCTCAGCACTACTGACATTTGGACTGGTAACTCTCTTTTGTGGAGGGCTGTCCTGTGCATTATAGAGTGTGCAACAGCACCCCTGGCCTCTACTCATCAATAGCAATCCTGATCAAGCTGTGATGATCTAAATAAAACATCTCTGTGCATTGCCAATTGACTCCTGGGGGGCAAAATCATCTCCAGTTGACATTCATTTGTCTAAGCTCTACCAGAAGGTTATGCTAACTGTAAAATCACACAATTATAAATTTGTACAGGGAACTTTATTTTTATTTTATTTATTTATTTTGTTTTCTGAGATGGAGTCTTGCTCTGTCACCTAGGCTGGAGTGCAGTGGCGTGATCTCAGCTCACTGCAACCTCTGCCTCCCAGGTTCAAAAGATTCTCTTGCCTCAGCCTCCCAAGTAACTGGGACTACAGGTCCACACCACCATGCCCTGCTAATTTTTGTATTTTTAGTAGAGATGGAGTTTTGCCATGCTGGCCAGGCTGGTCTCGAACTCCTGACCTCAGGTGATCCACCCACCCCAGTCTCCCAAATTGCTGGGATTACAGAGGTGAGCCACCACGCCCGGCCAGACTTTGTTTTTTATAGAGTTCAAGCCTGTAAGGTGGTCGTGCTGAGGGGCTGGGAAGCTTTTTCTAGCAGCCACCCCTATTGTGTGTGCATCAACAAGAAGGCTCAAGCTACCTTCCCTGAAGTCATCTTGGTCCATGGGAAAATTTTGTAACCTTGTTAAAACAACCAGACCGCCCCTCTTACTAGCTTTCTCAATTCTATCTTTTATTCAACTAGGACAGTGGACAGGTGGCTGCTGAACCAGGCATTGGAATGAGATGGGTTGTTCCTTTTTCATAGGCACCCACAGTTCTAACAGGAGGAAACTCTTTTTATCTTCCGCTCTGTTAGTTGTGGTTAAAGGAGAAGACGCTATCCAATTTCGCTTTTCATTTCATAGTCACATTACTATGAGACCCTCCATCTTTCTTAATTCTATTATCCCATATTCTTGGGGGTAAAGCTATATTGGCAGGTCTCCTTCTCTATTCTGTGTTGAGTAATATAAAATTTATTGTCTTTGTACAAGGCATTAATAATGCATGCCTCTTGTTTTAAGTGGCAGCCAATGCCCTGCTGCAGTAGTATATTTATTTCATTGTGAAAATGAAATGAAAATAGCACTGCAAAGCCCTAGGGAGTCTATCAAAAAGTCAAGAACAAGTGAAGGATAAGATAAGTTACATGATGCTTTAGTCCAGCAACTAAAATTGGAATAAATTTGACACAAACTTAAAGTACATCACCAAACTTCTAGTGTTATCAGAATTGTTGTTATTTTATTTAATCAGCAGAGAGAAAGGGTGAAACAGAAGTTCAGGAATAAAATTAGGGCCGAAGAGGTGCTTAATGCAATTAATTACTCAATAAGAAAAACAAAAGTTTGCTGGAAACAAAGTTTGTGGTTGCTCAATAACAGTATCAGAAAATCGTGCTCTGTTTGATCTGAGAATAACTTTGAGGTCAATCATTTTTGTGATTAATCCCAAATCTCGAGTCCATGTCCCTGTGAATTTCCACACATATTCGTGCAACTATACTTTAGCGTTTATACCCCAGCTCTGTGGATGGACTTGCAAGGTCTCTTCCCACTCCCTGTAAGTGTATACCCTTTTCAACTTCCTCATCTAAAATAATGTCATGAATAAGTTATGGAGAGACTGAGCTGTTACTCTCTAGGGAGCATCTCCTACTCATCCCAAGTTAGATAAGATTCCAGATTCCCTTAGAGCATCATTTGCTCACTCTGCTTATAGTCCCTGTCTGGCGTGTTTTGAGCGTCTTAGTACTTGTCTGCTACCTATCCAGGATGAGAGCTCCTGGAATTTCAGGTTGACATTTAACTAACACTGAAACATGAAAAGCCCATCTCAGTGTCTGGTTGGAAGAAAATATATATATATTTCCCAAGGGATTAAGTCAATAAATACATGATTATTACCTTTCATTTTTACCTAGGGGTATTTGTTTTAGTCTCACTCTAGAATCCAAAGACCTCTCCTACAGAACAGCTATTGCTCCACTATAAATGAGTGAATGAGCTCATCCTCACCTATAAATTGTTCTCACCAAGAACCTTTGAGACTCTACAGGACCTATTAGAGAACTAGCTTCAATGCAAGAGATTATTAATGCTCACAAATTCATAAAAATGAATAACCTAGATATGTTGCGTGACTGAAAAGGGTTGCCTCATCAGCACCTGGCAGAGTAGCCAGTTATGATGCAAAATTAATGCAAGCTAGAAGAACATGTGTCTAATAGATGCATTACAAAATTTGTGTATCTTTATAATAATCTACATTACTCATTTTTTTCACCACAAACTGCATATCAGTCAATATGGACATCTATATGTATTTTGAACTGATACTCCCCCTAGATCAGGCACAGCATTGGAAGTAGGCATAGAGACGTAAAGAAGAACAATACGGTTAATGCCGTGATAAGGTGAAAAATTCAATCAATAAACAATATATTTAGAGATTGCTATAAGAATTTACTATAAAGTTAATAATGGTGGTTCTGGTGATTCTAATGACGGTAACGACATTACAGGTGGTAATGATGGTGACTCTGGCATTTGTGATGATGGTGGTGGTGGTTATGATGACGATGAAGGCGACAATGTGATGATAATGATAATAATGATGGTGATGATGGTAATCATGATGGTAATGATGGTGATGATGGTGTTTGTGATGATGATCATGATGGTGATGATGGTGATGATGGTGTTTGTGATGATGATCATGATGGTAGTGACGGTGATGGTGATGATCATGATGGCAGTGGTGATGATGGTGGTTATGATGGTGATGTGATGATGGTGACGGTGATGATGATGATGATGGTGTGGTAGTATTGATGATTATAATGGCGATGATGATGATGATGCTGATGCTGTTCATGATGATGATACAGCCATACAGTGTTTAAAGGTCATTTTTAATAAGAGCTCACTATTTGATTTAATGTATTTCGTACATATAAAACATGCATGGTCAGACCCAATCCCTAAGTAAATGTAATTTTTCAATGCGTGTGAGACAGTGCAGTCCACTTTGCTTTTCCTTTTGTTCCAAGAAATGTAAAAAAGGGGTGTGGTGGCAGCCACCTGTAATCCCAGCTACTTGGGAGGCTGAGGCAGGAGAATCGCTTGAACCTGGGAAGGGGAGGTTGCAGTGAGCTGAGATCGCACCATTGCACTCCAGCCTGGGCAACAAGAGCAAAACTCCATCTCAAAAAGAAAGAAAGAAAGAAAGAAAGAAAGAAATGTAAAAAAGAAGAAGACCCCAAGCCTACCCGTCTCTCAAACGTTACAGTACCTGCTTAAACATGAAATTGACATATCAGTAGTTCTTTCATTTATTTGTAGTTAATAGCACATCAGCATACTGTTTTTTTCTCACTTTAGTGCATAGAAATGTTACTAAGAATTGGTTTATCAAAACATATCCATTTAGCTTGTAAATAGTTCCTTCATTCCATAAAATATTTTTTGAAAGGTAAACATTTCCTGATTAGCATACAAAGTGGTTATTAACAGATGAAGAGATTATTAAGTATAACTTCGTGAATTATATATCAAATTTGAAGAACATGAAAAAAACTTCAATTAAGGCCAATCATGAAAAACTTTTATTTTTTGAAATACTGAATTATTAAGCACATATATACAGATCTATTAAACTTATATCTATTTTCGTGCTCAGAAGTATCAAAATTTATCCAAATTCCTTTCAACTGGGGCTCTAAAAAAGACAATAGTAAAATTTGTTCTTCACAGAAGAGACATGACGATATAGTGGATGCACATATTGAAGTAGAGATATTAAAATATTCTGGATGAAGCCCTATAATTTATCCTTGCTTCATTTAGTTTCCCTGTCAAAATTTTCACCTATTATAAGATGTATCTAAATTATTCTTGCATAAGGCTTTTTTTGACCACCCATAACTCCTTGTGCAGTTGGTTGGAGCTTTTCTAATTTAATGTGAAATTTGACTTCCTTTCTGCTTAGTTCTCAGAAAGATGAGAAGATTATTGAAAATAGAAGTTTACCTGCCAAACAGTTGACTAAATATAAGGCAGGCAGTTAACTTTGCATCTTTTAAGCCAGTATGCTTTTCTGGCTGAGTCAATATTCATAGTGAAGAAATTGGCAAGTGAAAATCAGCATGAATAGCTATTAGCTCCAAGGAAATTACCTTTTCCAATTCCCAATAGATTTTTGCTATCTAGAGGAGCATTATATGTAAATAGTCAATATAAATAAAATAGATGTTAGAAAGAAGAGAAATGGGCACAGCGCTGATTAAAAAGAGGGACCTCAGTGATAATACTATGCTAGTTAAAAAATAAATAAACTTTATAATTCAGGAAAGCACAGACCACTAAAGTCATGTCATGCCAGCCCACTCACTGTCCAAACAATTGGTATTTTCTGATGGTAAAACTGAATGATGACTTTAGGATATCTGTGTGTTAATGTTCTGATATTATTTTCCAATCAATATTTTTAGTATTTCCAAAATTATTATTTAAATTTATAATCAAGTGTCTATAACCAAATATTTTCATATTTACAAAATTATAATTTTAAAATTATAATTAAAATATTATACAATAAAAAGCCAAAATGAAAGGGAGGCTAGGCAACCAAAGTGCACATTGCATGCAAGTATTCTAGATGCATCTGATAGTAAGAAATTAGTTAGCATGGCAGACAGAGAGAGAATCCAGGTGTTTTCCTTCCAAAGTCAGTATCATTTCTATACACATTTTACCTAAATTGAGGAATTATAGCATATGCCTGTCCCTAACCAGAGGGGTGTCCCCATGATACTATTCTCAATCCTTAGAAACAGTATTTAGGATTAGGCAGAGCCAGGTTCTGTAGAATGATTATGTGTGACTGGACAGAAAATAACACATAATTATGTGTAGATATAGCAATAAATGGAATAAACAGCCAAATTAAAACAAAGTGCAGCTTGTTGTCTTGTTAAATTATTATATTGTGATGTAAATTAATCACTCTATTTTCATGTGTAATCAGTGGCGTAATGGTGTAGCCAATAATGATGACATTATAGAGTGTGTAACGTGGGTCAGGTGCTGTGCTAACCACATCAGGAGTGCATTCGCTTTCTCCCTTCTTAATTCTCACAATTCTGTAACACAGTTCCTATTACTATTCCTCTGAACAATAAGCACTGGGTTGAAAATGGTGAAGGCTGTGTGTGGTGGCTCACACCTGTAATGCAAGCACTTTGGGAGGCTGAGGCAGGAGGACTGGTTGAGCTCAGGACTTTGAGACCAGCCTGGGCAGTACAGTGAGACCTCATCTCAACAGAAAATAAACAAAAAATTAGTTCGGGGCAGTGGCACCCACCTGTGGTCCCAGCTATTTGAGAGGCTGAGGCAAGAGGATCACTCGAGCCCAGGAGGTTGAGGCTGCAGTGAGCGCCAGATTGTGCCACTGCACTGCATCCTGGGTATCAAAGTGAGACCCTGTCTCAAAACAAACAACACACAAGAAATATATATATTTATAAATAAAACGATGACATTCCTAAGCATAACTGCGGAGGAGAAAAAAAACTTTGCTTTCTCCTATACCCTTCTATGTTCTTTGGCTGGTTTACACTTTAAGTTAAAATAAGACAGATTAACAGGAGACAAACAACTTTAATTACGTTCCTATGCACAGGAGTTCCACAAAAACACGAAACTCAAGAATCAACCAGACCTATGAAGTTTACATAGCATCCTGGGCTACAGAAAGAAATAGGGGCCTGTGACTTCTGGCAGGTGATGGAGACAAGTTACTGGAGGGTGAGGGAGGAGCTGTGTGGTGAGTAAAGGTTGGCTTGTTATGCAGATAAAATTATCTCAGGAGATCAATGTCTTCTCGGAGCAACACTATTCCTGGATCAGATATCTTTATCCCTGAAAATTTGTTTTGTAAATGTAATTTGCTTTACAAAACAGCAACTTTTGAGAGCTACTCCTGTATCTGCAGTCTCTCAAAGCAATCAGCTCCAAATAGTCAATATGCCAAATAGGTATATTTTGGTCTCCTGTAATCATATTCTGGGGTGATACGTCCCGAGCCCCAACAGGACTCAGCAAGTAAATGCCACTATTCGAATCCTGGGATTGTTATTTTGTATTTCACTCATTCATGCTATTTGAATATGAATTCTTAAATGCAATCAAAGGTACAACATTCAAAAGTACCAAAAAACTAAATCTAGACTTTAGCAACAATATTGTACATTTTTGGAAAAGTTTTCTAGAGATTACATGTTACATGCTACATATAAAACATAATGCATGGGGTATGCACATACACATGTTTTTATCAGTCTGTCTATAATATTTTATCAGTCTGTCTATAATATTTATCTATCATCTAGCTAACTAGCTGCCTATTTCCATCACCTATCCATTTATTCATTTATCTATCTAGAACCCATCCATTTATCTATCTATTCATTCAACTGTCTGTTTAACCATCTATCCATCTAGTTATCTATTATCCACCCACCCATCCATCTATGAGCCATCTATCCACCCATCTGCCAATCCTTTTATCTATCTATCTATATCTATCTATCTAACATAGCTACCTATGTGAAACTCACCTTTTAGTTAATAATAAATTTTGAAATAAATTCTCTTCAATACATATAGACCTGCCTCGCTGTTTTTAAATTTGAGCAATTCTTTATTTAAAGTCAACAAAATGAAAACCTAGGTATTAGAATTGCGTAGATCAGTGAACTTTCATAAAATCTATACACCCACCAGCCAAATAAAGATTACCATCCTCATGACCCTGTTTCATGTGCTGCCACTCCTATACCACCCCTCTGCCGAGGTGGTCATTATCCTGATTTCTAAGATCGTAGTTGGTTTTGCTTATCTAGAACTTCATATGAAAGGAATTGTAGTTAAGCAACATTGTCTCTGGCTTCATTTGCTAAATGTTGGTCTTATGTGATACATCTCTCTTTTTTTTTAATTTATTTTTGAGACAGAGTCTTGCTCTGTCGCCCAGGCCGGAGTGTCGTGGTGCGATCTCAGCTCGCTGCCACCTCCGCCTCCCAGGTTCAAGAGATTCTCCTACATCACAGCCTCCTGAGTAGCTGGGATTACAGGCATGCACCACCACCAGCAGCTAATTTCTGTATTTTTAGTAGAGATGGGGTTTTGCTATGTTGGCCAGGCTGATCTCAAACTCCTGACCTCAAATGACCTGCCTGCCTCAACCTCCTAAAGTGTTGGGATTACAGGCATGAGCCACCGCACCCGGCTAATCCCTTTGGTTTTAAGAAAGCTGCACAATCTATACTTGGGAATAGCAGCTGATTGGATGAATATACCTCAACATGTATTTCTAGCTTATTGTTACTAGACATTCACAATACTTCAATTTTGTAGCTATTATGAATACTTGCTCTTATTCATTTCTTAATGCCTGTGGAATTTGTTGTAATGCAACTTTTGTTGTTGTTGTTGCCCATTTCTTTTATCAGTAATTCATGCTTTTCTCTATTGTGTTTTTATTTTCATTTTTTAAATCAAGTCATTTCTATTCAAAACAGTATATTTTACTGTTAGTATTCTCAATTAATTTAATTTTAATTTCTCAATGAATATAAACACCTTAGTATTTTCCTAAGAGTTCTCGCCCAGGGCAGATTTTAAGAATTTTCTTTAACAGTTCCTACGTGATGTATGTATTAGCTTCCTATTGCTGCTGTAACAAACTACCAAAAGATTTGGTGGCTTAACACAATGCAAATATATTATCTTACAGTTTGGGAGATCAAAAGTCCAAAATGCATCTCACTGGGCCACAGTCAAGGTGTTGGCAGGGATGTCTCATACTGGAGACTCCATGAAAGTGTTCATGTCCTTATCTTTTGCAGCTTCTGTTGTCTGCCTGTACTTCTGGCTCTTGGCCCCCTTTCCGACATCACTCTGAGGTCTCCTAGTGACATCATATCTGCCTCTGTAATTCTCTCTGCCTCTCTCTCTTCCTCACAAAGACCCTTGAGATGACATTGGGCCCACCAAGATAATCCAGAATCATATCCTCATCTCAAGATCCTTAACTTATTTGCATATGCAAATCCCCTTTTGCCATGTTAGGTAACATAGTCACAGGTTCCAGGAATTCAGATGGTGTGTTAGTCTGTTCTCACACTGCTATGAAGAAATACCCGAGACTGGGTAATTTATAAAGAAAAGAGGTTTAATTGACTCATAGTTCCACATGGCTGGGGAGGCCTCAGGAAACTTACATTCATGGAAGAAGGTACTTCTTCACAGGGCAGCAGGGGAGAGACAGTGCAAGCACGGGAAATGCCAGACGCTTATAAAACCATCAAATCTCTTGACACTCACTCATTGTCACAAGAACAACATGCAGGAAACTGCCCCCATGATCCAATCACTTCCCATCGAGTCCCTCCCACAACATATGGGGATTAGGGGAACTACAATTCAAGATGAGATTTGGGTAGGGACACAGACAAACCCTATCAGATGTGGACATTTTTGGTTTTGCTTTGTTTTGTTTTGTTTTGGTAGGAGGCAGTATTCTGCCTACCGCAATGTGCATGAATGTTTTGTTGTATTTATCTAATTTTTGGGTTTTTATAACTTCTTGAATCTATTTCTGGATGTCTTCCCACAATTTGGATAATTCTGGTCAATATATTCTCTAATGTTCATTTATCATCTACCTATTTCTCTGTCCTGAACTACAAGACATAAGTATAACAAATATGTTTACCACATCATGTATATAAATATATAATATATAAACATATGTAATATATAAATATATAATATATAAACATAGATATTATATGTAAGTATATATAATATATAAACATATATACATATATATATATATATATATTTTTTTTTTAAGACAGGGTCTCACTCTGTCACCCAGGCTGGAGTGCAGTTGTGTAATTACAGTTCACTGGAGCCTCGACCTCCCCAGCTCAAAGGATCTCCCACTTCAGCCTCCCAAGTAGCTGGGACTACAATTATGCCTAACTATGCCCAGCTAATTTTTGTATTTTTTGTAGAGATGGGGTTTCACCATGTTGTCCAGTCTGGTCTCAAACTCCTGGGCTCAAGCAATCCACCTGCTTCTGCCTCCCAAAGTGTGGCAATTACAGGTGTGAGCCACCATGCCCAGCCTCATATATGTTATTTTAGTTGCAGCTATGTATTCCCTCTATACTCCTATCTTCATATTTTACCCACATTCCCATTCATGACTCCTTAATTTTAATAAAATCAACTTGTTTCTTAAATTATCTTTTGCTTCCTAGTTTCAGTAGTTGTATTTTTCACATCTAGTACTGTGAATTGAATCCTTGTTATAGATTCCGATGATCTAGAAGCAATCTTCCTGTGTCATGGATTTCCTGGAATAAATTAGTAAAAACATTTGAAAGTCTCTTTTAAGAACTTAACTATCTATTGGTCTATTTTTATTTACTATTATTTATCTTATATTTCAACCACGTGTTCATGCTTTCTTGTACATTTGGTAGTTTCTAAATAAATTCTGCACACACTGTATGAAAAAATCGTATCTATATTACATAGTATATTGATGTTAATATTTATTACAAACATATATGTGGGTGTATACTTGTGTGATTTATATCTATCTACCCACCTAGTTCTCTGACACCTCTCAGAGGGATAGATAGATAGATAGATAGATAGATAGATAGATAGATAGATAAAATTAGGGATAGATATATAGTTATGGATGAAATTCTGAAGTAATTCCTCTGTAGAACTTTTTTTTCTGTCAGTCAACTAGAGTAGGGGAACTAGAGTAGGGGAAGATCACCTTAATCCTGTCTGAACTTAAATTGTTTCAAAGTTGTTTTTAAGTCATTTTAGGTTTGCTTTACTCATATAGGATAACCCTACCTGTGTCCTAACTGGAATTTTATTTCAAGGAGGAAGGCTGATCATTATTTTTGCTGGTATCTGAACCCCAGTTTTGTCTTCCTAGGCCCCTGACTTCCCAAATTTCTTCTTATGTTTTACCCTTTTTGCTACCAGTTCTCCGACATGACTGGCTTATGTCATCAATTACCACAAACGGAACAGATTCAGAGAATATTGGGCTGATCTCAATATGCATTTTTTATGGATTGTATGGCTTACTCTACACATCAACCTCATTAAGATTTTGAAAAATTTCTTCTTACAATTTAATGTGTAGGAACGTGAAACACTGATACTCTAATACTTCCCTAATACAATAGGGCAACGGATGTGAGATCCAAAATTGTCACTGAGGCCTTCAGATTCTATACCTTTACATATTAACTCCAGAAATTCTATTAACATGGGCATTATGAACGAACAGCGCCATACCTGTAAACAGAGAACATCCTAGTCTCTTTCAAGTTAACCTTGTCTCTTTGAAAAGAGTCCTCAGTGTTTCTTGGTTTTTGCCAAATACCCCCACTCTGAAGTAAGAAGACAGGCAGAATATCTCCGCTTTAATGTGGGGGAGGAGACCTCAAATCGATAGGTCGTTTCCTGTGATGCTATCTGGAACTACATTACTAAGGTGCACTGCTGAGTGGCACCTGTGGATGAATTTCTAGGCTTGTAAAATAGGTTCCATGTTCCTTATGCTCAGAAGATGGTGAGGTATCCAAATGCTTGATCTTTGACCTCTTCCAACTTTGTTTTTTGATTGTTAAACATGTTTTGAAAATTATATTATTTGTATGTAAATGGTTGTATCATTCAATCTCCCATAGAGTTATCATTGTGAATGGAAAAAAAGAAAAGAAGTGAGGTTATGGATGTATGGATAAGCTAATGGATGGATGGATAGATGAATGGATGGGTGGATGGATCAGGGGATTGATGGATGGATGTGTGGCTGGGCTAATAGATAGATGGATAGATATGTGGATGAGCTAATGGATGGATGGATAGATGAATGGATGGATGGATCAATGGATGGATGGATGGATAGACAGATGGATGGATGGATAGATGAATGGATGGATGGATATATGGATCGATGGATGCATGGATGTGTGGATGTGTGGATTGGCTAATGGATGGATAGATGAATGGATGGATGGATGGTGGGTAGATGGATACATTGCAGACTATTTATATCTCAAAATTAACCATAGCATGAAAATTAGACCATGTTTTTCTTTAGAAGAATATTTAATGTATTTGGACATTGATATTTTAAGCTGAAACATGTATAAATTTTTCTTTTCTAGAAAAATAACAAGAAAACATTTTTCAGGGAAAAATCCATTCTTAGTATTATGGTGATTTGTATTGTGCCAAGAGGCATAATGAAAGTCCATAATGTCAATAATTTTGTTAAGTACAAGGAAAATATGTTTGGGGAATTATTGTTAACATTATAAAGAACAAAAACTTGATTCTGTAATATGTGTATATTTTCTCCCCACACTAACCAAATATAAAATAGAGAATCATCAATCATGGATAACTGTCTTTAAGAACTTTTTTGATTTCAGTTAATATAATGTTGCCTGGAATTACCACTGCATTTTCAGACTTTAGGGATTTTTTTAAACCTGTTGTAATGGTGTTATTTTACTGGCTTATTGGTCTTCTTTGGATTCAGCCTCCTATGAATCACCACAACTCAACAGCAGCTATCCTAACAGTATTAGATAGATCAAATCTTCATTACCCTCAGAGAAAAAAGCTGATTTCTCAGGTAGCGTGTGGAGATTCAAACATTTGGTAAAAATAGTACTACACACACAGTAGCAAGAATTTGTTGTACTTTGCATACAATGAAATATAATTAAATTCCTGTTAAATTGCATATATAGTGATATGGAAATAATAAAATATTTAATATGATACAGTAGAAAAGTGAATCAACTATAGCTACACATAGCCGCATGGATGGAGCTCAATAACATCTTATCTAGTTTAGAAAGAAGCCTCAGAAGCCTCTCTAACCCATGATGCCATTGTTTTAAATGTTTAGCACGAACAATGCCAAGTGTATTAAACCATTTTGCATTGCTATAAAGGGATATCTGAGACTGTGTGATTTATAGAGAAAAGAGATTTAATTGGCTCATGGTTCTGCAGGCTATACAGGAAGTGTGACACTGGCATCTGCCCAGCTTCTGGAGAGGACCTCAGAAAGCTTTTACTCATGGCAGATGGTGAAGTGGGAGCAGGCATGTCACATGCTGAGAGGGGGAGACACAGAGAGGAGGGAGGTGCCAGACGCTTTTAAACAACCAGATCTCACATGAATTCAGAGCAAGAACTCATTACCTCGAGGAGGCACCAAGCCATCCATGAGGGATCCGCCTCTAAGACCCATACACTTCCCACCAAACCTCTCCTCCAACACTGCGGATTACAGTTCAACATGAGATTTGGACGGGACACAACATCTAAACCATATCACCAAGTAATACCAACAATGGTATATATGGCATTATATAATATTATAACAGTTTATTTTTAAAATGATTTTTTAAGTTAAAATTTGAAATATTGATCACCTCGATTGCAGAGGTAGGCAGATAGTTAAAGGAAATAGCACATCGGCTGATCAAATTTATTGCTAATGTTCTTATTCTTGGGTTGGCTTATGAGTTCATAAGTGCTTTTTAAAATGAATGAAAAAATAATTGGGGAAATGGATAGATGAATATGTGGATGGGCTAATGGATGGACAGATGAATGGATAGATGGATGGATGGATGAATGGATGGAAGATGGATGTATGGAAGGATGGATGAATGGATGCATAGATGGATAGATGGATGAATGTGTGGATGAGCTAATGGATGGATGGATGGATAGATGAATGATAGATGGATGGATGGATGGACAGATGGATGGATGGATGGATGGATGCACAGATGGATGGATGAATGGATGAGTGTATGAATGGATGTGTGGATGAGCTAATGGATGCATGAATAGATGAGTGGATAGATTGGCAGATGGATGGATGAGTTGATGCACGGATGCGTGGATGGTCTTATGGATGCGTGTATAGATGAATGGATGTTTGGGTGGGTTAATGGATGGATGGATGGATGGATGGATGGATGGATGGATGTCTTTATGAGGTAGGTAAATAAATGGACAGATGAATGAATGGATAAAAGAAAAGCAAACATGAACAAATGATGCTAGTGAACTGTCATTATTCCAGTTCATTGCACTTGAGTTACTAAAAGACAAACAAGGAAAAAGAAGCTGGGTAAATTCTATATGCATAAGCATGTTTCATTCCAACACATGTGTCCAGATATCCAAGGGAAATTGTTTAATACTAGTAATGTCTGCAACTTACCTGTCCATGGTGAAGCGACTTCTTTTGTTAATACTTACTTCACTTCTGCCAAATGCTGCTAGA
Organism: Homo sapiens; assembly: GCF_000001405.40. Taxonomy (NCBI): domain Eukaryota; kingdom Metazoa; phylum Chordata; class Mammalia; order Primates; family Hominidae; genus Homo; species Homo sapiens. The sequence goes on along the minus strand of NC_000023.11, from coordinate 5,021,267 downwards.
TGGGGCATGATATAGAATGCAGTGGCTTCTCAGAGCCCTGGCTATCATGGCCCGAAGTCACACTTTGGGTAATACATTAGATAGTAAATCCCACCAACACCTTTCTTTGTTGATGTTTTCAGATTGTCTCCAAATGTGCTTTTCTTAATATACCACATTGAGCAATCAAATTGAAATCCAGAATACTGTGGTTTTACAAAAGGAAACGACATGTGTTTTCTAAAAGGAAAGGGCAAAAATAAAGTTGAATGAAGTGCTTGCACCAACTTTCTCTTAGTCTCATCACCTACCCAGAATATCTGAATAGTGTATTCTCAAGGCTGGGTGCTCTGTCTGCATAAGCATGAACTAGCATCACTGAATTCTAAATGGCAAAACACATGCAGGAAAATTTGACCGTTGAGTTTCTTCATCCACAGATGCTTGTTTAAAGGAAGCAATATGATATTAAGTCCATGCTTATTGCCTCAGTTGAAGGAGCCAGAATATGCATCTCAGTGGCCTTGCCTATAGTTGGGATGCATATTCTGGCTCCTTCAACTGAGGCAAAGAGCATGGACTTACCATACCTCTTTGTGTTCTCGAGAGTATGGTCTTATTTTAACTGCTCTGTCTTCCCCACGACTGTGCTATTTCAACTCAAGGTTTAATTCTCATTAGATTTATTGATTGATACTATATGATCAGGAAAATTGGTATCTTATGGTACAAAGAGCTGCAAGGCAATCCCCAGTGCCCTACATCTTTGTATAATTCCCTCCCCTTCAGTGTAGGATGGGCCTGACAATGAGATGATGAAAGCAAAATAACTAGCCCAGTGATTAGTTTATGCTACAAGGCACAGTTGACCTTAAGAGAGAAAGATTACCCTCAGTGGGCTTGATCTAGTCATGTTAGACTTTCAAAAGTACAGCTTTATTCCTCGAAAGACAGATTCAAAGCATGAAAAAGATTTTACAGGAGAGAGAGTCTTTGCTGCTGGCTTTGAAAATGGACATCTGTATTTGACAAGGAGCAGACACCAAGGAGACGAGCCCCGCCCCTTGTTAAAAGACATAAAGGAAATGGAGACCTCAGTTCTACAACCGTAGGAACTAGATTCCGCCACCACCACTGAACTCAAGAAAAAGATGGGGCAATGCCTTAATTTCAGCTGTGTAAGACCTTGGGCAGAGGACCCTGATATGCATTGTCCAAATTTCGGACCTGCAGGATTGTGAGCTAATGACTGAGTATTGTTTTAAGGGCCTGGATTTGTAGTGATTTGTTAAACAGCAGTAAAAAATGTATACTTAATAATTAGTGTATCAAATGAGGCTTTGAACAAACCTTAGTGACAAAAAGAAAAAAATTACGTTATCGTGACCATGTTTTCTTTGGACATAATGTCGTTTCTCTTTATCTAGAAGAGCTGATTTCGTATCAAAATATGACTTCGAATTCTTTTTAAAAACTGATTTAAGATCCCCTGCATTCTTAAGGAATTTCTCACTCATGGCTGACATTTATGTTTCTTTTCAAAATTCAAAATGCTATATAAATATAAATCTATTTTATGAAATATTTATAACTGATTTATATTGTATTAGAAGTTTGGAAAACTGATGTTTGAGAAGATTTTTAAAAATTAAAACTGCTGGATATAAGAAGACAAAATATAAATTGTACTATAGGTAAGTAAAAACATTTAAACTTTTTATTTCTGTAAAATGATTGCAACTACAACATCACAGATACTGAGATTATATTTCAAATGTTAGTGATTCATTGTCCTTTTACTCAGACACTAGCATATACATAGACTAGAGTATTAATATTTTTTGGATGATCCTTTCCAAAGAGATTATTTTATTTTTAGAGTTAACTTGGTAACCAAGTTAATTTTTAACCATGAAGGGCATGGTTAAGAATATTGATTCCTTAATATTCACCACATTGCTAATAACTCATTCATGTGAATATACATCTTTAAGTTACATATGTGTGCATTCACAATAGGATATTACAGACGACATACATTATTTTTAGCATTTTAGCAAATTTGAGAAAAATCATCTGTCAGAGATGACAGATCCAATTGGCTCAGATTTATATGCCCAAGAAATGTCCACATCAGATAATTATTGCAAACTACTATTTGATAGACTTCTAATTCAAATTGTTAGTCAAGGAATTGTAATTAGAAGACCTATTTATACTATTTTAAAAATGCCACTGACACCTAAGTAGATCGATAAAGATCTATAGTGCTTACCATTGTGATTCAAAGATTTAAGGATTTCTAAAACATATTGATTAATAAAGTTGACCAGAAGGCTGGGGAGAATGTAAAGATTTAGGAAAAGGCTTTCCCTATATCTGGTCTCTCTTGAAAATACTTGATCTAAGAGAGAGCACCCAAGAAAGGACACTCTATTTCTCTCACTCTCACACTGCTGAAGAAAAGAAATCATGTCCAGAACTGCTTCTAATTTACAGAAGAGGAGAAACCAATTAGCTCATGACTCAGATCAAAGGGACAGAAAAATGCAACTCAAATTAAGTGCCCATCCTGGGGCTAACAGGAATGGCCAGAGGGACTCTAAGGCTGTAATAACAAAGCAGTTACTGGAATAACCATGTGGGTTGGGGGGCAAGGAGCAGGGGTTCACATAAGTCTGTTTGGATGACATGAGGTTGATGTCCGTACAGTAGTGGTGATACAATGAGTGCAGATTATAAAATTGGATTAATTCAAAATGTGGAGTACTCAGAAAACAATGAAATTCTTCAGATAAACCTTTTGGAGATGATATGACTTGAAATGGACTTCAAGGAGAGTAAAAGAAAGATAATAAAGAAGAATCTGTCTGCTCTGAAAACCATGCAAATGAAGGTAGGATTCATCAAAGTGCCTTTTAGAGAAAGTCTGATGGGACAAAATATAATTTTCAAGAAATGACCATGGCGATTTCTTCTTTTATTTTTTCAGGTGCATTTCCTGATGTGATTTGTCCTTCTCCAATCAGTCCCCTAAGTCCATGCATATTCTCAGAATTTAAGGAGGGGCAATCCACAGAATACAAAGTACAAAGAAGTCAATTAATGGCTATTGAGTTTCAGCCTCCCAGAACAGCTGAATGAATTGAAAGAATACAGGTCATAAAATGAATGCTGACTGGGGTGAGATGGTATACATCATTCTACCATAAAGACACACATAGGCACATATTCACCGCAGCGCTATTCACAATGGCAAAGAAACACAACCAACCTAAATGTCCATCAGTGATAGACTGGAGAAAGAAAATGTGGTATATATACACCATGAAATACTATGCAGCTGTTAAAAATAATGAGATCATATCCTTTGCAGGGACATGGATGGAGCTAGAGGCCATTATCCTTAGCAAACTAATGCAGGAACATAAAACGAAATACGGCATGTTCTCACTTATATGTGGGAGCTAAATGATGAGAACACATGGACACATAGAGGGGAACAACACACACTGAGGCCTACTTGATGGTGGAGGGTGGAGGAGGGAGAGGATTAGGAAAAATAATTAATGAATACTAGGCTTAGTACCTGGGTGATGAAATAATCTGTACAACAAACCCCCATGACATAAATTTACCTATAAACAAACTTGCACATGTACTCTTGAACTTAAAACTTCTTTTTTTTTTTTTTTTAAAAAGAATGCTTTTCCACTGTGCACAGAGTAAAGATTCCAAGGATTGCGTGAGGAAAGGTGAATTAGAACAGTCTGGAAAGGAAGCGGAAATGCTGATTTCACTGGGTAGGGGTCTTGCTGTTGGCCCTCTGAAGCAGATCAATTCTTTCTGCCCTCATTCCCAGATACAAATAGTGGAATATTCCAAGATCTTAGAGTTTCCTGGAGAAGCATTTCTTTTGGCAATAAAATAATAGAATATGCTGTATCTAGGCAGAGGGATTCATAATCACGTCAGATTGGATCAGCATGGCATAAGAGCTTCGGAATGGACCCATGTGTTGAGAGCATACGGAAAATGGTAGGGGATAAGTTTAATCTAAAGTGGCCAGAAAATAACACACTGCACTGGCCAGCACAGCCGTATTTTTGAAGACTAGACGGAAATGACCATATCTTAAAAGATGACTTCTTGGCAAAAGTGTAACACCAAAGGCCAGGTGTAAAGTCATTTTCTATCCTCCCCTCCTTTCTCATAATCAGTCAGTCACTAAACTCCTTTTCAATGTTTTTACTCATTATTCCACTGCCGGGTACTGTTGATAAATTAAATCCTAATGCAAAACATGGTAAGTGGTCATTTTCAAATTGCTGACCAGTAGGAAAATAGGTAATTTATTTTCAGGGGGAAGTTTTCTATAAATGGTATAATGTAAATGACTGACAAGATGAATGCTGAAGGTGATACTGAGACTAAACTCGGAATTTCCTTGGAAAGCAGCATTCAAGAATTTTGCCTTTGCTAAATGTCTCTAATACTCTGCTAGTAATTAGCTATTGATTCAAGCTGTCAGTGGTCATTGTACTTTGTGTCTTTGCCCATGAAATGTGAAATGTATCCAGTCACAATTAATCCTGAAGCCAAATGCAAAAGAAAACATTTTATTTACATAATGCCTGTGGTGGAGGAAAAGCAATCTAATTAGAAATTAAAAGGCAAAGATAACTTTCGAAAGTAAATTAAATTGATGAGAAATCTAATATGATTTTTCTCATACACTTGCTTTTTCTATGAAAACTCATGTCCTCTTTCTGAGGAGAAAAAGATGGTATGATTTCAAGGACAATTAGGCAGTTGTAAATTTTACCATCTTTGATACAGAAGGGAGCCAACGTGCTACAAAATGAGGCATGGAGCGTGTACTTGCAAGAGAGGAATACTGAAAGCAGGACATGCATTCTTATTCACATTCTTACTTAGATTATTTCAAACTGTCCCCTGTGCTTGCTTTACCTTATGCTTCTTTTTAAAATAATAATACTTTTAAATAATATCATTTACCATTTTTATGGACATATTTTATTCTCTTTATCATGGTCGCTGGGCTGGCATCCCTTGTTGTATCCTGATATTTTGTTCACTCTATCATTTATTTCACAAATATCATTGCCATTCTGCTATGTGTAAAGATTGTGGTAGATGCCAGGAAAATGTAATTGAAAAATGTAATCATTGTGGTCAGATATTTCAAATTCTTGTAGTTGAACAAATACATAATTGATATGCATCATCTATATTTCATACTTAGGAGAAGGGTGAACAACATGCAATAGAATATAGAGCCCATGAACCTAAGACCTGGAGACACTAGAGAGGTTCAAAGAAGAGGTGGTCTTGCATTGAAACATTTTTTGTTTTTGTTTTGTCCCAAACAAAACTGGTGATATCATTCAAGGCAAAGGCAACTAGTTATGGATACATGCATTAATATCTGGTCATGTATTAGTGTTTCTTCCCTTTGTTTCTTCCATATTGACATCATGGACTGATAACCTTCTTGCTACCAAAACAATCTCCCCTGAGCTTTACCACAAATCAGGGTCTTGAGGCTCTATTGTATTAGTCTGCTGGGGCTGATATCACAAAATACTATGGATTGTGTGGCTGAACCACAGAAATGTACCTTATCAGAGTTCTGCAGGCTGGAAGTCTGGGATGAAGGTGCTGGCAGATTTGATTTCTAGTGAGGGCTCTCTTCCTGGCTGGCAGATAGCCACCGTCTCACTGTGTCTTTATGTGGCACAGAGAAAAAGAGAATGATAGCTCTGGTGTCTCTTCTTCGTATAAGGCCATGAATTCCATCAAGAGGACTCTACCCTCGTGAATTTACCTAAACTAAATTACCTCCCAAATGTGCCATCGCTATATACCATCCTGTTGGCAATTAGGCTTCAACCCGTTAATTTGAGGGTGGCACAATTCAACCCATAGCACTGCTGAAGGCACCTGAAATGCTAAAATAGCTAAAATTTGTACCTTAAAGACACAAATCAAAGCCTATGTATCTGGCTATAACCACCAAGTCCTTAATAAGCACTGATATTTTATATATATATATATATATATATATATATATATATATATATACACATGTGTATATATATACACACACACATATATATGTATATATATGTATATATGTGTGTGTATATATATATATATATACATATATATATATATATATATATACATACACACAATTGCTGAAGAATAGATCTTGGGTGTCTATTCCAAGTAAAGTTAGGAGGGCGTTCTTGTCCTTCCTGGCATCATATGCCTGTTTTTACATCACTTTGGAATTTAGAATAAATGATTCTAAAATACAACGATAGTATTTTTATATTTGCATCATAGTAAGGTAAAAGTTTGTCAATAGAAATAGCAGACAGAGCGACTCACTGCAAGAAAACGATATTTATTTGGGAATGGACATTGCAATGGGCATATGAACACCACAGTAAAGTATGCGCATATTCAGGAAGGTAAAGAAAGACAAAGATTTTTGAAGGAAAAGTTGAGGAGGATGCATAATTGTTGACATAATTATCTTTGTCTATAAGGATCAATAACAAGTATAATGTCAATTGGAGTTGCACAGGCAGTTGCTGGGCAGATGTCCTTGCAGAAGTACTTTAAGTTTGTAGGGGTCTTCGTGCAAGCTTGTGGATTTTGCAGTCTTATGATAGTTCTTGTTATTAGGGAATTGTGTGTCACCCTTCCCCCTCTTCATGGCCTGCCTCAGCTCCGTTTCCCAGGATCTTTAACACAAATCACCCCACTTTTATTCTGACAACATTCACAAGTTTAAATAAGACACATATGTCCAATTTTATTACACTTGTATCAACATTTCAAACTGACTGTTACGGTATTCCTGAAAATAGATAACTGATAAATCTATTTCTTCAACTTAATAATCAAGCATTTTATCCAGAGGTCATGTTTTCTTGTGCATCTTCCTGGTTCAACTAGATACTTTCTTTCTTAAAGATGAAGTTCTTTCATTAATATTCAGAGTCATGCTTTCCCCATAAACAGCAATTTAGTTGAGCAGCATTAAGTGGAACCAAGTCCAAAAGGCAATAATATAAATGTTAAACAAACAAACCAAAACCCTCCACCTGACCAGAATATCATCTTTGCATTTGATTTTCTAGAGAAAGAGATGAAAAATTCCAACGTTAAAAATTCTTCTATCTACCGCAATTCCCCAAGAATACATACATGAAATAAATTGTAGTAAATGCCTATTCAGTGCCTTTAGTAACAACAAGGTTTTTTTTTTTTTTCCTTTTGCTTTAAGTTGACATGTAATAATTACACAATTTATGGGATACTGAGTGATAGTTCAATACATGAATACAATGTGTCAGGATCAAATCAAGGCAATTAGCATATCCAATACCTCAAATATTTATCATTTCTTTGTGTTAGGAACATTCAAAATCCTCTCTTCTAAATTTTTGAAAATATACAATACATTATTTTAACTATATTCACTCTACTGCGCTATCAAGCATTAGAACATATTCCTATCTTGCTATAATTTTGTATCCATTAACCAACCTCTCCCCATCCTTCCTCACTCCTACCCTTTCCAGCCACTAATATCCACAATTCTACTCTCTACTAACATGAGGCATTTCTTTTTTCAGATTCTATAGATGAATGTGAACATGTGATATTTATCTTTCTGTGCCTGGCTTATTTCACTTAGCATAATATCCTCCAGGCTCATCCATGTTGCTGTGAATGGCAGGATTTTATTCTTTGTGGCTGAAGAATATTTTATTGTGTATCTATATGACATTTTCTTTACCTATTCATCTGTTATTGGGCATTTAAGTTGATTCCATATCTTGGCTGTTGTGAATAGTGCTGCAATAAACATGGGGGTACAAAGGTCTTTCTGACATATTGCATTCCTTTCCTTTGGATACCAGGTAGTGGGACTGCTGGATCATATGGTAGCTCTATTTTTAGTATTTTGAGAAAACTTCATATTATTTTCCATTGTAATAATTTACATTTCTGCCAACAGTGCTAAAAAGTCTCTTTTTCCCCTCATCCTACTTAGCATTTGTTACTTTTTGTCTTTTTGATAACAGCCATTCTAACTGGGAGTATATCATATCTAATTGTGGTTTTGTTTGCATTTCCCTGATAAGTGATGTTAAGCATTTTTTTCATATATTTGTCGAATATTTGTATGTTTTTTTTTTGAGAAAAGTCTGTTCCAATTCTTTGCCCATTTTTAAATCAAATTATTAGTTTTTGCTGTGAAGTTGTTTGAATTCCTTGTGCATTACAGATATTAGTTCCTTGTGGAATAAATAGTTTGCAAATTTTTTCCCCCATTCTACTGTTTCTTTCTTTACTTTGTTGATGATTCCTTTGCTATGCAGCAGCCTTTTTGTTTGATATATTCTTATTTGTCTATTTTGTTTTTATTGCCCTTGTTTTTGAAGTCATACCCATAAAACTTTTGCTTGGATCAATGTCTTGAAGTATTTCCCCTGCATTTTCCTCCAGGAGTTTTATATTTTCAGGTCTTATGTTTAAATCTTTCAGACATTTTGAATTGGTTTAGTGTATGATGAGAGATAGTGGCCTAATTTTATTCTTCTGCATAGGGATGTCCAGTTTTCCCGACACGATTTATTGAAAAGAGTGTCCTTTCCCCAATGTATGTTCTTGGTGCCTTTGTCAAAAAGTAGTTGGCTGTAAGTATGTGAATTTATCTCTGCCTTCTGTTTTCTGTTCCATTGGTCTACGTGTCTGTGTATATACCAATACTGTGCTGTTTTGGTTGCTATAGCTTTGTAGTACATTTTGAAGTCAGGTAGTGTGATGTCTCCAGCTTTGTTCATTTTGCTCAGTATTTCTTTGGCTATTCAGAATATTTTCTGGTTCCATAAACATTTTAGGGCTGTCCATTTTTTTTATTTCTTTGCAGAATATCATTTGTATTTTGATAGGGATCACATTGAATCTGTGTTTGCATTGTGTAATATGGTCATTTTAACAGTGTTAAATCTTCCAATGAATTAGCATGGGATGACTTTCCCGTTTGTGTGTCCTTTGAAATTTCTTTCATAGGTGTTTTCTAATTTTCATCGTAGAGATCTTTCACTTTTTGATTAAGTTAATTTCTAGTTATTTTATTTTGTAGCTATTGGAAGTGATTTCTGATTTCTTTTTTAGCTCATTTGTTATTTGTATATAGAAACACTACTAATTTTTGTATGTTGGATGTTGGATTTCTATCCTGCATCTTACTGAATTTATCAGTTTTTTGGTTTGTTTCGTTGTTTTTTGAGACGGAGTCTCACTCTGTCACCCAGGCTAGAGTGCAGCGGCACTATCTCGGCTCACTGCAACCTTCATCTCCCGGGATCAAGCGATTCTCCTGCTGTAGCCTCTCGAGTAGCTGGCATTAGAGGCGCCCGCCACCATGCCTGGCTAACTTTTGTATTTTTAGTAGAGATGGGGTTTTGTGCCCAGCCTATCAGTTTCAAGAGCTGGGTTTTTTTCTGTGGAATTTTTATTTTTTTTTTTAATCATATAACATTATATCATTTAAAGAGGGGCAATTTGACTTTTCTTTTCTCAATTTGAATCCCCTTTCTTTCTTTCTCTTGCTTGATTGTTCTGGTTAGGACTTCCAGGACTACGTTAAATATGAGTGATGAAAGTGGGAATTCTTGTCCTGCTCCAGTTCTTACAGAAAAGTCTTTCAGCTTTTCCTCATTCATTATGATCTTAGCTCCCACACTAGTTTTTGGAACACAAACTTCCAGCTGTCTGGCAATAAATAGCGGAAAACATAGAGTAAGTAATAATTCACATTTATGTTGAAATATATTATTAACTTCAAAATTCTCATATTTTTGTGTCATATGTATAGCCATGATAAAACTAACACCTTATGTTCAACACAGTCCCTTTTGTTTGTTTGTTCGTTTGTGTCTTTGGGAAATGACTGTGGCAATGTTTTCTTTGAAGTCTAAGAAAGCCCCTGCCTTAAATGTAACATAAAAAAAAAGAAGAAAGAAAGAAAGAAAGAAAGAAAGAAAAAAGAAAGAAAGAAAGAAAAGAATATCAGTCATGAAAGACATTAGGGAATGTTATGAGTTGGATTTCATTTTACCCCAAATTTATATCTTGAAGTCCTAACTTCCATTATCTCAGAATGTGACTGTATTTGGTAACGGGGTCTTTATGAGATAATTGAGGTAAAATGAAGTCATTTTGATGGGCCTAATCCAATAGGACTAGGGTCCTTATGAGATGAGGAGATCCGGACACAGACACACTCAAAGGGATAACCACATGAGGACGCAGGGAAAAGATGACATCTACAAACCAAGGAAAGAGTCCGCAGTAGGAACCAGCTCTGTGGACACCTTGATCTTGGACTTCCAGCCTCCAGGATTGTGAGAGAATAACATCTGTTGTTTAAGCTACCTAGCCTGTGATCCTCTGTTATGGCAGCCCAAGTAAACTATTAAGTAGGTAATCATGAGTAATATGTGTAGTGATATTCATTATGATGACTGATTAAGAGAGAAAGAATGTATAGTTTAACATAGAAATTATTTCAGAGACTCATTAGAAACCCTAGTCTTATTTATAACAGAGAATTTTCTCTAAAGGAAAATCCTTCTGGCATCCAAGGCTACTATAATTCCAAGGCTAATTTTCTTTCACCAAATTGAAGGCATTAATGACATCTTTTGAGGGTTTGGTCCCTTCTGCTCCTCCTTCATGGCTCCTCCTTCATGGATCCCAAAGAGGAAGAAAAGGACTCTGCTTGTCCATTTAGGAAACCCTTCCGTATTTTTGTGGATGGCTGTCTCTCATGTAGGTTGCTCTGAAGTTTTGTTTCCTTATCTGAAGATGGCCAGTTGCGTGGCTATATGTTGTTCGTTTGCTCATGTGTTCAATTTTTAATTAAAGTTTCTTTTTTATTCTGAGATAATTGTAGATGCTCATGTGATGTAGGAGATAATAGACAGAGATCTAATTACATTTTTACCAAGTTTCCTTCAGTTATAGCATCTTCATATTTATAATACAGTATCACCTCCAAGATACAGACCGTGGATACAGTCAGATATTGACCATGACAAAAATCCCTGCTTTTAACGTTTCATAGCCACTGGTACTTTCCTTCCTTTCTCAACCTCTCCATTATCCCAAGCCACCACTCATCGGTTCCTAATTGATAAAACTTCGTTTTTATTTCAAAAATGTAGTATAACTGGGAACAAGCAATATATAACTTTTTGGGATTGGCTTTATTCTTTTAGTAGAATTCCCTTGAGATTCATCCAAGCTGACGCATATATCAATAGTTTGTTTCTTTTTAATTGCCAACTGATATCTTATGGTATGGATACACCATTATTTGCTTAACAATTCATTTGCTGAAGGACAAGTTGGCAGTTTTCAGTTTGGTACTATATGAATAAAGCTGCTAGGAATATTTATGTATGGGATTTTGTGTGGATATAAGTTTCCACTTTTTCTGGAATCAATGTCCAAAAGTGCTGGGTTCAATAGTGGTTGCTTATGTATTTATTTGCAGAAATTGCTCAACTGTGTTCTAGAGTGGCTGTTTCACTTTGCATTCCTATAGAAATATATGGGTGATTGAGTTTCCACATTTTTGCCAGCATTCAGCATTTAATGTTGTCACAATTTTTTTTTTTTTGGTCAGTCTCATAAGTGTGTAGTGATATTTCACTGTAATTTTAACTTGCATTTCTGTAGTACCTGATAACATTAAACGTGTTTTCATCTGTTTATTTGCCATCTGTAAAACCTCTTCGGTGAAAATTCCAATTTTTGCTTATCCATTTTCTTTTTTCTTTCTTTTTTTTTTTTTTTTTTTGAGTTGGAGTTTTGCTCTTGTTGCCTGGGCTGGAGTGCAATGGCGCGATCTTGGCTCACTGAAACCTCTGCCTCCCAGGTTCAAGCGATTCTCCTGTCTCAGCCTCCTGAATAGCTGGGATTACAGGCACCTGCCACTATACCCGGCTAATTTTTTGTATTTTTAGTAGAGATGGGGTTTCACCACCTTGGCCAGGCTGGTCTTGAACTCCTTACCTCGGGTGAACCAGCCGCCTCAGCCTCCCAAAGTGCTGGGATTACAGGCGTGAGCCACCATGCCAAGCCTGCTTATCCATCTTCTAACTGGATTGTGTGGCTCATTCTACCACTGAGTTTAAAGAATTCTTTATATGCACTAGGTACTAGTTTTTTGTCAGGTATGAGGTTTGCAAATAGTTTCCCAGCCAGTGTGTTTTCAAAATATCATTTTCTTATTTATTTAATTTTCTATTAGATTTCAAAAAGGAAGTATTTTGAGACCTGGCTTCCTTGCAATTTTATCGTGTAACATTCAACATTTTGTGAAGAGTACTATATATATTTTGTTTTCACAGATTTCTATTATAAAAGGAGATATGTTTGCTTGTCATCTAATTTAATAATGCAATTTTATTCAAAACCTGAAATGAATTATTGTATAATTCACATTATATTACTGTCTAAGGATGTTTGTGAACTCTCAATAATTTTTCTGTGATTCAATTTGCTATAATTATGTTATTTCATAATTCAATATACACCTAAACTTGAACATGTTAAAGAACAAAGCCATGCAGTTTATATTTTGTTATTATAACAGCACTGAAAAAAGTATTGTGAAAAATAAGCCTCAAATATATGTATTCATTAGAATTTCTTATTTTGTTATTTATTTTTGTTGAGAACTCTGACATAAAATATGTGTGTATGTTAGGGGTGAGGTGGGAGGGCCAAAAAACGTCTATTCACTTTGACTACTTGGTCCTTCTAATGAAAAGTGTTCTTAACTCTGATAATCAAGTACACAACTATTTTTAAATTGTACTATTTTAAAATTGTATAATTTAAAAATAGTTGTATACCTGATAATGTATGACATCTGTATATGTGTTGCATATTTTGATGATTAAAATGGATATATCCAAATGATGAATGAATGTTTTCTAATATTAACACAGTAAGCAAAACCAAAATGCTCATCTCAAAAAATGCAATACTCCTTGATAAAAATTGGATGCTATTTCTATATTTTAAAATAAGAAAAATAATTAGGACTTTAGAAGAAAAAAACCCTCACCTTATGTTTATACTTGATGATGGAACATGCAACCTCTTCCTTCAAAATCAAGAAGAAAGCAAGCACATATATTATCTTGTACATGTTCAATATTGCATGTAAGATCCTAGTCAGCTTAGGATAAAACATCGAAGTTGTGAAGAGGAAAACATGAAAATAATTTTCGTAGATAAACTGAAGTACAAATGATAAAAATAAACAGATACATTGTAAAATTAATAGTTTAGGCATCACTTGATATAAGACCTTACGATCACACAAAAAAGAAACCCAAATACTTTCCCACTGGACAGAAGAAAGATATAGAATGTTGTTTTTTTTTAATAAAAAAGTGAAAATCATTTACAATAACAATGTACACCATGCATGGAAATTAATCTAGTAAAATATTTGCATGGCGTATTGTACTTTGGGGAGAAAATTATAAATTTGTATTAAAACCTAGAAGAAACAAGTGTATTATTCCTTCTACTTCTTTTTTGTTTTCCTGATTACTATCTAACACATTTTTCCTGCAAGGGACTGAGTCAAGAATGTCCATAACGTGATTAATGCACATTACAGAGAAGGTAGACAAGTCTGTGGGAATATGGCATAATTACAATACAAAGAGACAAAACTCAGCCACAGAGGAAAGGACTTTTGAATAATGCAGAAAATTCCTGCAAGAAAATCTCTTACAGGCTTACATATTGTCTCTGTGTACAATCCAAAAGCCATAATGGCTTTCTCCTCTGTAAACAAAAGACGCTTGTGGAAATCCTATTTTTATAAAATCTATATTTTCTAAAGCTCATACATTAAGTAGACTTCTTTGGTATGTGATGCACTGAGGACAGAAGCAGAAATACAGATGCTGGCCTTGGTAGAGGTGATGTAGAAAGGTTATGTTTAAGGGATTGACCTTAAAATCTCTTCAGACATCCAAGCTGAAAACACTCTGTAGTTTAGAAATCAACACAAATACAAAGTGTTTACAATCCAGGCAGAAGCATGAGCTAGTATGCTACATGAAATCAGAAAATAATAAGTGAAAACAATTCTGTCAATTCTGATGAAAACAGAAACATCTTCCTAGTTATGGAATACATCTATTAACAAAGGTGAAATATTAATACCAAAGGCAGGCTAAAAGTATCACTGCTTAAAATGTAGTATCTCAATCTATTTTTTTCAATAAGCTCAATTATTCTTAATTTGTTCCCTTATAGACTATATCAAAGATTTATTAAAATATTCAAGCAATTTTTCAGCATACAATCTGCAAGAAAAACGTTTTATCACCTTCCATAAGACGGCATGATTTGTAAGAACATGAGGTGACCGGTTCTGTTAAAGACTGATAAGGTTGGGCTGTGTCCCCATCCAAATCTCATCTTGAATTATAGCTCCCATAATTCCCACATGCTGTGGGAGGGACCCTGTGGGAGACAATTGAATCACGGGGGCAGTTTCCTCCATACTATTCTCATGGTACAGAATTAATCTCACAAGATCTGCTGGTTTTATAAGGGGAAACGCCTTTCACTTGGCTCTCATTTTCTCTTGCCTGCCACCATGTAAAGACATGCCTTTCACCTTCTGCCATGATTGTGAGGCCTCCCCAGCCATGTGGAACTGTGAGTCCATTAAAACTCTTTTCCTTTGTAAATTACTCAGTCTCAGTCTCAGGTATGTCTTTATCAGCAGCATGAGAACAGACTAATAGAAGCATGTCCCACTAGTATGTGTTGAGCACCTGGACATGGGTTAAAAATGAGAAGAAGAAAAAATGAAGGATGTTTATTTTAAATCTGCCCTAGTTATCTATTAATATTCAAGTAAGTCCCTAGAGCAACTTGTTAAAATCCAAATTCTAGTTCTATAGGTGAGGGGTTTGCTTCCAGCTTATATTTTTGTATCTTTCG
Organism: Homo sapiens; assembly: GCF_000001405.40. NCBI lineage: Eukaryota > Metazoa > Chordata > Mammalia > Primates > Hominidae > Homo > Homo sapiens. The sequence continues at coordinate 5,006,192 of NC_000023.11, read as the reverse complement.
GTTTTATTGAGATATAGTTGACAAATAAAAATTGTATATATTTAAAGTGTTCTACTTGATGTTTTGATATATGCATACATTGTGAAACAATCACCACAATCAAGCTAATTAACAGATCCATCATCTGACATTTTCTTCCCCTCCTCTACTTCTTCCTCTTCCTCTTTCTTCTTTAGTAGTGAGACACTTACAGTCTATCCTCTTAGTGACTTTCAAGTATACAGTACAGTATTGGTTCAAATGGTCTCTACGCTGTGCATTAGGTCTTCAGAACTTACTCATCCTGCATAACCAAAACTTTGTACCCTTTGGCAAATAGCTCCCTATTCTCTCCAGGGTCCAGCCCCTGATAACCACCATTCTACTCTCTGTTTCTATGAGTTTGATTATTTTAAATTCCACATAGTATTAGTCTGTTATCACACTGCTAATGAAGACATACTCAAGACTGGGTAATTTATAAAGGAAAGAGGTTTAATTGACTCACAGTTCAGCATGGCTGGGGAGGCCTCAGAAACTTACAATCATGGCAAAAGGGGAAGCAAACACATCCTCCTTCACATAGTGGCAGCAAGGAGTGCCAAACAAAAGGGGGAAAAGCCCCTTATAAAACCATCAGATCTTGTGAGAACTCACTCATTATGAGAACAGCATGAGGGTAACTTCCCCATGATTAAATTGTCTCCCACTAGGTCCCTCCCACAATATGTGGGGATTATGAGAACTACAATTCAAGATGAGATTTGGGTAGGGACACAGCCAAACCATATCACACATATACTTGGAATCATGCAGTATTTGCTCTTTTGTTCCTGGATTACTTATAAACCACCTGATATGGTTTGGCTCTGTGTCCCCACCCAAATCTTATGTCAAATTGTAATCTGCAAAGTTGGGAGAGGGACCTGCTGGGAGGTGATTGGATCATGTGGACGGATATTCCCCTTGCTGTTCTCATGATGGTGAGTGAGTTCTCATAAGATCTTGTTGTTTAAAAGTGTGTGGCACCTCCTGCTGCGCTCTCTCTTTCCTGGGCATGTGAATACGTGCTTGCTTCCCCTTTGCCTTCTGCCATGATTGTAAGTTTCCTGAGACCTCCCCAACCATGCTTCCTGAACAGCCTGCAGAGCCATGAGCCAATTAAACCTCTTTTCTTTATAAACTACCCAGTCTCAGGTACTTCTTTATAGCAGTGTGAGAAGGGACTAATAGACTATCCTACCAAAAAACAAAGAAAATCCTTTTTATAGCACGTTCTTCTGCCCCTACCTTAAACTCTCTTTGCTAAGACCTTTGGACTGGCTTTGAAAACCAACTGTGAGTAGGCTTCACTTTTGTATCCAAGCTTACTTAGCTCCTACAACTGCTACATTAGTGTTCTGTGATATCAAGTTTGCATTCATTTATTTGTATAATTCCTTCTTTCCTTCCACAAACCCATTTTGAGGGGTCGCAGCTTCCCAGGTACTATGTTAGATAATTTATGAGATCATCTGCTCATGCTTTGAAAACCAATAACGTTGATTTCTCTAGGACTACCTGTGAGGGAACGTCCGCTGTGGCTTTATGAATGGAAGGGAGAGGCTGTCTTGGCATCAAGACATTCACAACGAGAAATTTGGTGTGAAAGACTATAGTTACAATATTCAAAGTTGATTAGATATAAAATTGATGAAAAACCTTGAAAACCAAACATTCTTGCATCTACAAGAAAGACAAATTCCTCTGTCCCTTAGGCTAAACTTGACAAAAACTACAATACAATTGCCCCACAAAATAAACTCTTCTAAAGATTATATAAATAAAAACATAGGTACACAATTACTATCTGTACACTGTGTATTATAAGTGTATATGCATATATTTACAATACTATATACAAAGTATACAATATAGCATATTGTATTTATATTACAACAGGGTATACATATATTGATATATATATTATATATAATATGCATGGGTACAATACTATATAATATATTAGATATAATATATACATGTAATATAGGTATATAGATAATACAAGTGCAAAAGTGTATAGGTAAGATATTACATATTAAAATGATAATATATTATATATTATAGTATTACATACAGTATGCATATATATGTGTAAACAAAAAATGATATAGATAATTTTATTTTATCCTTTGGACTAGAGGTTGTAGTTTAAAAAAGTTATTTTATTCTTGTATACAAACATGCACACACAATGATTTTGTCCTTTTAATAATGTTTTCGGCCAAAAATAAAGTAGTCTTACTACATTTTTCTGCAGCAACCTTTCCTAATAAGTTAAATTTTCTTCAGAATTCATGATTAAGCCCAGCCAACATAAATTCAGAGGAAGGTAATTTGACTCTCAACATTTTAAAAAACCCTGCAAATATGCTTTATGATTATTAAAGGTGCATCTGCATCCGACAAACTCCCTCTCGTCTTTCTCATTTTTATTAGGCACGCTGACTTCATAGCAGCCCCTGTGGTTCTCATCTTCCCCAGTGGCTTCTGAGACACTGCAAGCCTTCAAATCAAAGCAGGTCTACTCCTCTAGAATGAGAATGAGGAGATTTATTTCCTGCCAAGTATTCAGGAGTGCTTGAGAGGACAGAGTGTGCTTTCTCAAGACTCTTCAACAAAATATCTCTAACAAACACGTGGAGAGGTTAAAAGAGAATTATATATCCGTTCGCGTTTTAAGAAATGCTTAAGAATTCCCACTGGGTTGGATCAGTCTATAATCTGTAAAATACTGAAGTAGTGTTTACAACACCACGAACATTTCTTTTTAAATCATGGAAAGCGAATACCGTCAGTATTGTGATTTATAATCTAGAGATAAGCAGAATTCTCCACAACATGTCCTGCAGCAGCAAGAACTTCAACAATGTGTATGTGCTTGTGGTAGACCTAAAATATATGCCCCCAAAGTCCTAGACCTCCTGATTGTTGCAGGTGTGTGTCCCCAACCCTACATCTCCAACTCCCTGGATATTCCTGCACCAAGGCTCACTTTCAGAGTTCCTCCACTATCTCATTTTGCAGACCTGGGTCTTGAGCTTGGTTGGGTAGATGGTAGGTCAGCCTCCCCCACCTGGGTCTCTGATGTTGTCAATTTTTGACTCTCTCTTCCCTGAATTTCTGAAAGATTCATTGATGAGGAGATAAAGAAATGGCAACTTGATTCCCATTAATAGAGAGTTTTGGTAGGGTCTGTGTTTTTGGAGGGTCTGTATAGTAGTGTTTCAAGGAGCCCAATTTCCTGGACTTTGATTCTGCAAAGAGTTTGATTTACTGGGCAAGGGATCAAGTCCAGAGCCAGGGATTACAAAGGACAGGTCATTTCGAAGGTTTGGTGATGAGACTCCAATGAATCAGAAACAGTGTGAGAACCATAAGTGGCAATTGTGTCCAAATAATTTTGGTTGTCACAACAGGGAGGAAATTGACTTTTACCCACTGGCATAGAGTGGATGAAAGTCAATACAATGCAAAGATTTACTATTACCTTGCTCATAATGTCAACAGTGCTGAGGCTGAGAAACCTTGGAAGAACAGTAGTAGAAATGAAATCTCAGAACACCTGACATTTCTGGGAATGAAGCTGTCAGGCTACTGTTATGGTTAAGGACAGGGTCTCTATCAGGGAGGTGGGCCTGTATTAGGATTCTATAGAAGTTTGAGGTGCAGGTAATTCATGCACTGAGTCTTAGGATGTGCTGGAGAACAGCCCTGTATTCATTAGCTTGTATGCTTAGGGTCCTTCTTGTCCCACATTTCCACTAGCTGGGAATGTCCATATATTGGGTTCCAGAGTTTTTTCTTCAATACTTAAAGATGTTGAACTGCTCTGTCTTAGTCTGCTTTGTGTTGCTATAAAGGAATTCCTGAGGCTGAGTAATTTATTAACAAAAGAGGTTTATTTGGCTCATAGTTCTGCAGGCTGTGCAAGAAGCATGGTGCCAGCATCTGCTTCCAGGGGGACCTCAGGAAGTTTCACTCATGATGGAAGATGAAGGGGAGTTGGGAGTAGCACATGGAAGAAGACAGGGGGAAGTTTCTCGATGGTTTTTTCACTTTTTGAGGCAGAGTCTCACTCGGTTGCCCAGGCTGGAGGGCAGTGGTGTAATCATGGCTCACTGCAGCCTCAACCTCCTGGGCTCAAGCAATCCTCCCACCTCAGCCTCCTGAGTAGCTGGGTCCACTGGTGTGCACCATCATGCCTGGGTAACTTTTTTTTTTTTTCTAGAGATAAGATCTCACTATGTTGTCCAAGTTGGCTTCAAACTCCTGGTCTAAGTGATCCTCCCGCCTTGGCCTCCTAAAGGGCTGGGAATATAAGTGTGACCCACTGAGCCCAGCACAGACTTTTTTTAAACCATCAGATCTCATAGGAATTAATAGAGTGAGAACTCACTTGTTATTGCAATGACAGCACCAAGCCATGTATGTGGGATCCATCCCCATGACCCAAACACCTCCTACCAAGCCCTGCCTCCAACAATGGGGATCAAATTTCAACATAAGATTTGGCAGGAACAAATATCCAAACTATATGTACCCTGCCCCATTTCCTAAGGCCGGCCTGGATATACTCATTGAAGCTATTTGAGAAGGCCCTGAAGAAAAGGACCATGTCAAGAGAGTTTACTAAAACAACCACTTTGCGTACATCTGGTTTACATAGGCAATCGTTAATTTTTTGCATCTGGAACTGAGGTTCAAACTCTGCTCTTCCTTCCAAAAGTGGGTTTTACACACACATAAGTGAGATATCAATGTTTAATATGTTTTTTAAAATGAGCTGCTGTTCATCAATGGATCCTAGCAGTGGATCAAGGAACGTTGTTGTGTTTATGTGTTTCTCTATTGTTCTAACATGTTTGCAGCACTAGTGGGCATTGTCTATTAGCTTCATTGTACACTCAGGCAGGGTAAAGAGACATGCAACCACAATAGTCTAACATTCCCTTTGCATGTGTTCTTCAGGGGCATCATTGTTTTATGCGGATTTCCCCTGAAGGCCTGATATAAAAAGAACGTGTTTTCATGTGGATTATTTGTTTTTCTGCTTTGTTCATCTTTGCAATCAGATGTCAATGATAGGTGCTTTCCCTGAAGTGATCTGGGTCTGATTCTAGTTGTATCTGAATGAGCTATCAATGTTGCTGTGGAGTATCAGATGAATGCAGAGAATACATCCCAGGTACTCTCGATTCAAAAAGCACCATGTCTCAGGTGCTTTAGGAAATCCTTTCTAAGGCCAGGGAAGACTTAGCAGTCTCTCCTTAAATCAAGAATATATCATTCAAGCCAAATGAATATTATACACTATACAGCACACATATTGATATGCTCTTGAATGTATCTTATTACTTGACAGCAAACATATAATTTAAAAATTATTGAAACTGTGTAAAAAGGAAGCACGTAGAAATAAAATTTTAAAAATATGTTTGCTATAAACAAATATCATTTAAATATTATTTTTACTTCTCTGCATAATCACCTAAACATTTCACACATTATTGAGTGAATATATATGAGCAATATTAATTTTATATTTCAAATACACCTTTGGAACTTTGGTTGTAAAGCCATGTTTCTAATATTATCCAACTATTACATTACCATCCATATCTTGTATCACCATTTATATATTAATATATGCATACATATTATTAGCCTCAACCTCCCTGGCTCAAGCAATCCTCCTACCTCAGGCTCCCATGTAACTGGAACCAAAGACGTTCGCCACCATGACTGACTCATTTTTGCATTTTTTGTAGAGACAGCGTTTTGCTATGTTGCCAATGCATTCTCAAACTCCTGGGCTAAAGGGATCCGCCTGCCTTGGCCTCCCAATGTACTGGGATTACAGGCCTGAGCCACCCTGCCTGGCCCACTTAATCCTTAATGTGGCATGTGCTTCATACTCTCCTGGCTCCCCAGGGCTCTTTGATCTGGGCCACTATTTATGTCATTACATAGTGCTACTGTCTGAATATCAATGTCCCCCAAAAATTCCTGTGTTAAAATCCTCACCCCCAAGGCGATGGTGTTAGGAGGTGTGGCCTTTGGGAAGTGATGAGGTCATGAGGGTGAGCTTCACAGATAGGACTACTGCCCTTATAAAAGGCACTACAGAGAGCTTCCTCGCCCCTTCTGCCAGGTGAGGACACAGTGAGAAGGCTCTATCTATGTACCAGGAAGCAGGTTCCCACCAGACACAGAATCTACCATTACTTGATCTTGGACTTTCCGGACTCTAGATCTGTGAGCAATAAACGTCTGTTGTTTAAAAGCCACCCTATCTATGATGTTTTGTTAGAGAAGAAACAAACAAAAAAATGAATGGAACATACTTCACCACCAAAATCATTAACAACGTTGAACCCCATGCCAAATTATTCCATTTCTATACATGCAAAGAATCCCATTGGATTTAGGGTGGAAAGAAAAACATCTACTGCAGTTTTCTCACCAGGGAGAAAAGAGTTAGCCTTTTTTTTTTTAAAGCAGACTCTTAGTCTACTGAGTTTCATTATTTTGGATATATGGTATGGGAATAAAATATTCAATATTTGTCATAATGTTTTGATACATTGTTTTGATTCATTATAAAATATTTGTTAGTGAAAGATTATACATTTCAAAATAATCCACATCTCTTTATATCCCTCTGTCTCTGTCTCTCTGTCTCTGTCTGTCTCTCCCTCTCTCTTTATCTCTCTGTCTCTGTCTCTCTTTTTCTCTCTCTGTCTCTCCTTCACTTTTTCTCTTGTCTCTGTCTCCCCCTTTGATTTTTCTTTCTCTGTTTCTGTCTCTTCTTTTTCTCTATCTGTCTCTGTCTTTCTCTCTCCTTTTCTCTATCTGTCTCTGTCTTTCTCTCTCCTTTTCTCTGTCTCTGTTCTTCTCTCCCTCTCTTTTTCTCTTTCCATCTCTGCCTTTTCCTCCTTCTCTGTCTCTGTCTCTCTCTCCCTCGCTCTTTCTTTGTCTCTCTCTCCCTCTTTTCCTTTTTCTTTTTCTGCTTCCTCTCTCTCTCACACACATACACACAACTTTTAGAGCTCTCAACCGTCTTGAACTTAGGTTTCTTTACTCTCCTTCACTGTGCAACAAATTTCTGCCCCTATAATTCTAGCCACCTGACCTACAGCAAACACTTTTATTTATTTATTTATTTATTTATTTATTTATTTATTTATTTATTTATTATACTTTGAGTTCTAGGGCACATGTGCACAACGTGCAGGTTTCAAATTCTTAACTTGCATTCACGTTGACAGAACTCTTCTCTAACTTACATTTTTCTCAGAACATACAGGCATTTTATAATAATAATACATATATGTGCAAACATATAATGAGAGAGACATCATCAATTGCTACATGTTGTTTATCTCAACCTGGGCTTTTCCCTCCTTAAATTCACTATACTCTCACCTCCAGGCTTTCTACAAATGAGTCCTTTTCTATCATTTGTCGTATAAGTTTCCTGGGAACTCTTCATGCCTCATCTAAGAAGAATCTAAGATGTACAATCTAAAGCTAAGAAATTGTCTCCATTGTACAGACCTGCTGGTTTCTCTTTCACATCTCTGTGTCATCCAAGTTTAAGAATATATTACTTAAAAGATGTTACCATAAGATATGGCTATGTAAGGTCTCTTCAAATTTGTGACACATGGAAGTTACTAGGTTCTTTGCAAGCCTATGTCTCTATGATTTTACTATGCTGTTGCCATCTATTTTATCATAGTGTTATATTATCTACTTGAAATCAATATATGATTAAGCCAATCTACTAGGTTTTAAAAATGGTTAACTTAATGGAAAGTGGTTGGGAAAATAATAATTAATTTATTTGCTTTACGTCATATGGACAACAATAGATATAAAGTAATACCATCATTTTACTATCAAGCCTCCAAAAGTTCAATCCAAACCCCATTTTAAATATGGCAATTAGGGTAAAGACTTATGAATTTAGTGGCCATTTAAATGCATATTTCACAGTGGAAACCAACATTGACAGCTTTCTCTCTCTCTCTCTTTCTTTTTAAGACAAGGTCTTGCTCTGTCACCCAACCTGGAATGCAGTGGCATGATCACAGCTCATTGCAGCCTCAAACTCCTGGGTTCAAGCAATCCTCCCTCCTCAACCTCCCAAGTAGCTGGGACTAAGGTGTGTGCCACTATCCCTGGCTAATTTTTTATTTTTTATTTTTGTAGTGATGGGGTCTCACTATGTTGCCCAATACATATGGATGGCCCAATCATTATGGAATGACCCTAAATGGGAACATATATGGGGAGAAAAGTATGGAGCTAATGAGGAAATTAACATGTGAGAGGATAGAAAAGTGTCAGGGTTTGATGATACAGAGAAAGGTATCAAACCTAGAAGAGATTTGAAAGGTCAACTTGACTTTGTGGAACCACAGACTAAACAAGGCAGAAAACAATAACGAAAGCTTTTGCTTGTTCACCATTATAGGAGTGAGGCTAAGCAGAACTTCTGTGGATTTTGACCAAGGCCATGCATATGAGGCCATAATCATGAATTGTGTCATACTCAGTGGCCATGGCAAAAAGATAAGGTTTATACTATGAAGAGGCAAACTCATGACATTAGCATGCAGCAAAAGAAGGCAGACTGATCTGAGGTCCCCAGATCTCACCAGGAGGGGCACAGCTGGGCATTCAGAGATCAGACAATGGAATCATGAGGTGGAGAGATTTGTTCTGAACATGACAGGATGTACTGAGCCTGGGGGGTCATGGCAGGCTGGGTCCTATACCCTCAAAACACCCACCCCAACCCCAACACCAAACATTGGTTATCATCAGTGTTAATAAGGGATCGAGTCTTTGTGAATCAGCCTTGATCCTTGAAATCCAGGGGATTTCAGTGCACAGAGACATGAATCCTAATAGAACAGTAAGTGATGTATCAGCCAAGCAGAATTCTTTTGTGACTTCTCTAAGCCATTTGGGGTAAAAAGTGTTTCATCATTTTAAGTCAATTCATGATTATAACTCAACACGTAATCTTTTTTTCTGAAAGTTCTCATGGATCCCTGTTCAATCCATGCATTTCTGATCAAGTAATTTAATGAGTATTGTTCTCAATGCAGATGTGCATGAATTGAACAGTTATCAATCTGATGACTTAGTTTAAGGTTTTCCCCTTAAATAAAGATTCTCATGGCCATTGTTGAGTTCCTCTGGATTCACATAATCTAGAAAAAGATTTCCCTTCAAAGTCTGGAATCCCCCTTTTAAAATAAAATTACAATTGCTTTAGCAATTTAACTTTATTGTTCTTGACTTTACAGATGGTTGTCTTTACACATATAACTTTCAGAGCTAGATATTCATTTTATTTTTATTTACTTTGACATTGTTATATTAGGTAGTCAGTATCACTACCTTTTACTGTCTAATAAAAAGCAAACATTGTATTTTTGCTTTATGTAATTTTGGCATTGTGACTTCACATGAGGTATTCTCATTGTTACTTTTGAAATAATAATAGAAATGAAACTAAGAAGTTAAGTGAGGAGTAAAGTCTTCTGGGAGAAAACTTCCAAATCATTCAACAAAGCTGTACAGCAGTATTTCTCATCTCCACTTTTAAATATACTGACAGTATTTTATTAAGTAGACTATAACCATGTATATATTTAAAAACTGTTTAGAAGCAATGATTATTTACTAATCTAGAAGTATTTAGATAAACAGTAGAGGCACGTGAGATTACAGAACTGTTTAAAAAACAAATGTTTTTTGAAATGTCATTATGAATTAAGGAAAAGAGATGGTTATACGCTAACATGAATTGCAAGCAGAAAGAAATTCGGGGAGAAGTTTCCTAGAGTGACATTATCTTGTACTAATATATCACCTGATTATTTAATGGCATCTATAATAATCAATAGAAATAATTAAGCTAGTATATTGCTATTAAAAGGTAGGTATCAGTGAATAGACACACATACATTCATATAAATACATTAGAGAAATACATTATGTAAAACTATTTAGAGACATAAAAATGACTGTATTAGTCTGTTCTCACATTGCTATAAAGAACTACCAGAGACTGGGTACTTTGTGGAGAAAAGAGGTTTAATTGACTCACAGTTCTGCAGGCTGCACAGAAGCATGGCTGGGAGCAGGTCTCAGGAAACTTACAATCATGGTAGAAGATTAAGGAGAAGCAAGCACCTTCTTCACAAGGTGGCAGGAGAGAGAGAGAGAAAGGGGAAGGTGCCACACACTTTTTGTGTTGAAGAATCAAAGGCCAGAATGAAAGACACTTTTTGCATCCCAAAGGAAAATTGCAATTCAGAAAGACACTGATGGCTTTTTTAGCAGCATCTATTCATCTGCTCCCCAAAGGCATGGGGTCATGTAATTTTGAGAGTATTGACTGTATTCGCAATGCATAGAAGTCATGTATAATAATTTAGGGGACAGTGACTCCGTTCACAGTTCCAGAGGTAAATCCCTCTCCAATTGACTAAAACCAATCAGAACATCCTACTCTTGCCCGGGATCGTTTCAGAGATGGGCAAAAATCTCATCCTAAGCCAATCAGAGTACAGCACTTCCCTCGGCTATGGTAACTGATTCAGAGATGGGCATGTGACCTGTTTGCTCATTTAGAGGGAAACCTAGGATTTTGTTTGGTAGTTGAGATAAAGACACTTTTCTTCAGGAAGATGTGGTGTACAGAACTGTTCCAGACATTTTGTCACCATGATAAAAGTGAGCCTAAAAAGTAAACCATCATGTGAAGGAAAGCAAAATCAAGAGAACTGCAGAGCAATGGAGTCAGCGCCCTGATCAAGCCATTCCTGAAACTAGTGTTGACCTATTTTTATTTACATGAATCAATAAACTCCTTTCACTGTTCACATTATTTTAAGCTGGGGTATTCTCCTGAGAACTCTGTCATGAGACAGCACTAGGGGGATGGTGCCAAACCATTAGAAATCACACCCATGATCCAATCTCCCCCCACCAGGCCCCACCAGGCCCCGCCTCCAACACTGGGAATTACAATTCAGCATGAGATTTGGGTGTGGACACAGAGATAAACCACATTAATGACTCAGCAGATTTTTTTTACTCTGGTTTTCAAGATGTTTGCCATCAAGGTAGCTAATGTCAGAGGTAATTATTAGCAGAATTGTGTTCCTTAAAGAACTATTGGGTTTTTCAGAGGATGTAGTTGTTTTAAGCTATAGACCAGAAATGTGTTTCTTTCAAATCAAAAATTCTAGACATTATTCAAAGACACTGTCTTCTTGGAACCTGGGTCACAGAGAAAATGTGATTTTACTAAAATGTTATTATTTGGCCTTTCCGGCTATATATCAAGTGAAATAAAAGTGGTTTGTTAAAATAGAACAGCCTCACTCTCGGTTAAAAGAAACATCTTGTTTATGTTGTAATTGTTTTGTCCATTATTTTTGCTTATGGTTTTGTCAATTATTTGTCAATTGTTTTGTTTAATTATTCTTCAGATGAGCAATAAAAATTAATATCAGAGTTTAAACGGTCTCATTATTAAAAAGGAAACATGATCTTCAGCACTCCATCGGCCTGAATTAGACTCAATAGAACAGATTCATACCACATAACAACCTAACTTCTCTCTGCTTTGCAATGATGCATAATTTTAAAACACGATTAGCAAAGAGTCTATGTACTATTTGTGCTGCCTTGGGAAATGGACTGCTAGCTTTCTGGTGAAATCGCAAATATCACACATTTAATAGACAGAATATCAACGGTTCATAATTATTGAGGAAACAGTGAAGATTTTAGCTTCACTGTGGTTTTTAGATTTGAACATCAGATATGAAAACATTTGTTGGCCTGTAATTTTTTATTTGCTCAACTTTTGATATTTTGGGGGAGTTTTAATAAATATTTCCATGAAAGTATTCAAGTAAAGTGCCATGAATCTTTGCACAGCGATCACTGCCTCATCAGGGTGCTGCGGTGCAGCAAGATTTATTTATGTGCTGCTGCACTGACAGTGTTCTCAAGAGGGAAGGGTTGGTTATTCCATTCTGCCACAAATTGATAAATAACACTCATGTGTTTTGCCGTGGAACTTCTTCAAGAAGATGGATGTGATGTCTGTATCAGCTCAAACTTATCAGCTTGAGTGAAGATGAGACACATCCATGTTCCTGCAGAACTTGAGTCTGGTCCAAATTCAATCACCTGGATGCAGGTGTAATGTCCCCCAGTGGAATGGGTGCACCATGAACTGGAAATCAGCTGCCCACACACCACCATGGATGGAGCACGTGGTTATGCATGTATCCTTGAATTTGATATTTTTTGTTTGTTTGTTTTTATCTGTAAACTGTGCATAAGGGAGTAGATGTTCTCTCTGTTTCCCTCACTCTCTAGCATTTGCCCCAAAGTGGAGGGTGGAAATCTGATAATATTAATGAATTAAGCATTATTTTATCATTTCATTTTACCCACAGGTACATATCCTCTTCTGGAAGAGACTGAAGGTAGCATCCTCTTCAATGCTGCCTGTTAGACTGAGAAGGCACCAGTGAGGTTCTGTTGGGTTATGCAGTGCTGTGGCATTCAGTAATTATGTCTGCGCTTCCTAGGAAGACCATCCTGTATGATGAAAACAAATATACAGCAACTTTACTGAGAAACGGAAGGTAACGAAAACTATTTTCACGTAAGTAACGGTGAAGCAGAAAATGGAAAACAGTCCATAACTTGGAGATATCTTTTTTTCTTTCTTTCTTTCTTTCTCACTCTGTTGCCCAGGCTGGAGTGCAGAGGTGTGATCATAGCTCATTGCAGCCTCTTGTTCCTGGGCTCAAGTGATTCTCCCACCTCAGCCTCTCCAGTAGCTGGGACTACAGACTAATTTTTAAAAATATTTAAAAGTTAGGCACACTTGGCTAATGTATAAAATATTTTTCTTGTGGATACACGGTCTCACTATGTTGCCCAGGCTGGTCTGGAACTCCTGGACTCAAGTGATCCTTTCATCTTGGCATCCCACAGTGCTAGGATTACAAGTGTGAGCCACTGCACCCAGCCAATATCTTAATTATAAAAAGTGAATTGCAGCTTCCTAAAAAGTGGGGCAGTCATCAAGGTGATGCAATATGCTAATTTTTGTATATATGTTGGTCAGTGTTTATTTTCAAAGCAATGGAGTGAAAGGAGAATGGTGGCATTTTCAACTAGCCATTTTCAAGGTGTGGTTTATTGATTACTACTTCCATTAGATTCACCTGAAGGCTTTTAAATATCCACTTCATTAGCTTCTTTTTAAACTTGCTGGACCAGAAATACTGCAGAATGATTCACGTGGCCCTGCATGTTTAAGAAGCAAGATATACATGCCAAGTTTCGAGAGACATAAACCTTAAAGGGTCATGGGTAGAGTTGGAAAGCAATGTCCAAAGTTCTGCATGGCCTCCTTGTGTCTAGAATCAGCTCCCAAAAAGGGGAAGGTGGTAGAAAATCATGTTGACTCTTGGGAGGCAGGCCCTACCTTTTGAAGATTTGGAACTTCAGGACTCCAGTCAAGTAGACTGGGGATGAAAATTATTTCTCTAAACCCAGCAAGGGAAAACAGAGTACTAGGAAGATGTAAGGGCTTGTAAAATACAGATGAAAGGGCAATATTGTTTTGGAAGTTTCTCTAGAGGGAGTTGAGATTTGCCTCAGCCAGGCACCCAAAGTTTGAAAAGCTCATGTCAACATAAGCTTAAACTGGGAGGTAAGCCGAGTTACCAGGGACTTTATGGAATTTAGGCTAAGGAGGGATGGGTTAAAAAGTCAGTAATCAGAGGCTAGACCACCAAGGAAACTACATACTCCTGTTCCAGGCTGGGTGTGATAAATCCATGGGAAGATGGCAATAGGAATATGGAGGATTGAGTCTCGTGCTTGAGATCTGTAGTGCAGAGTTTCTTGTAGAGTCTATCAAAATGGTGCATGACAAAACTTAGCTGGGTGTGGTGGCATGTACCTGTAGTCTCAGCTACTTGGGAGGCTGAGTGAGAGTATTGCTTGAGCCCAGGAAGTCAAGGCTGCAGTGAGCCAATATCACATCACTGCACTCCAGCCTGGGCAACAGAAGGAGACCCTGTCTCAAAAAAAGTTGGGGAAGGAGTGCACAGAGGGAAATTTTTTTTAATGGGCAAGGAGAAATGGGATTGATATCTTGCTCCTATAGAAGAGGTAGAGGAATGAGGAATAGAAGAGTTAGGCTTCAAAATTTACTTTACTTAGCAGCTGTTTCTGGGTAGCAAAGGCAGCTTCCTGATACACACTGATCATTTACATAAAAATAACAAACCCATCAGCAATATCCTTGAATATGACAGAGGATTATAAATACATAGAGTCTTTGATTTGAAAGAAATAACTGGTACTCTATTGTGATAAATAACTCTATAATTTTACAATGAAACAATAACAAAAATTGATGCAATTGTACTACTTAGCATCTCTTGCAGTTACAAAAGCATCACTATTAAAATATTGTATCTTTATCACATGATGGAGTTTCTTTGAAGTGTTTATGGCTGTCACAGAATTAACACTGACTTGTTATGTTGTAAACTGTCCTATGGGGTAGTATTATAGTCATAGTAATGCAATGAAATATAATGCTTTTTTAATGGAATTTTCTTTTTGTGATTTTTAAAGTCACTCAGTTTTCTTTTTCTTTGAAGAAAACTGACTGTTACTTTATAATACATTGTACTGAAAATATGGAAAAAAGACTTAAACAAAACACCTAATGGGCAAACACATTCAATGAATACTATGGGGAAAAAGAAAATATATTAATACGCACAAATCATCTTGTTAGAGTCCTCTCTGTGAGCCTCAAATGGTACACCAGGTAAAGTCAAGTAAATCTTTCTGTGTTATTTTCTTTGTTTGCCCTAAAAATATGCAAGGAGATGGAATTATCATTCTAAGTACCTTGTATTCTGTGAAGAAATCACATATAGGACAATGCTAGTTGTTTCCAAAAAATAGAGGAATGTGATCATTCAGTTCTGGGAATTCATAATCTATTTTAGAGTTTGGTTGAGGATAACTATGAATGCAATAGACAAGATGAAAATGAAAGGAATCAACATGTAGTGAATGGGCTGATACTAACAAGATGCACTAATTATGTCAAAGACATGTATACATGTATATTTGTCATATATATGACTTGCAAAGGCTCTATCAATGATATACATGTATATGAATATATACATCTGTGACATGTATACTTGTCTGTTTTAACTGTATAAATATATGAATACACACACATATGTACCTATTTATTAATATATGCACATGTGTATTTATTTATCTTTATGTATAATTATATAATTATATATAATTTTATTTATGCAATATTATAATTTAAAATTTATAATATTGCATAAGATTGTCTTAGAGACATAAGATTAAAATAATATAAAAATAATTATACATATTATATTTAATAGATATAAATATGGAAATGATATATTTATAAAAATACATAAGTAACTGTTATATAATCCTATATAAGTAATCATATATATTACTTATATAAAACATATATAATATCATATATTTTATGTACAGGGATTTCAAAAGGGATTGTGGTTTTCTGGTTTATACAATTAGCCATAGTGAAAGGGATTAACTAAAAGTCAGAATAAAGCAAGTCCAGAATACAGAATAGTTTCTTACTGGAATAATTCATGTTATTGAATACAAAATTTTGTGTTTCTTGCAGCTACAGTAGAAATTGAACCCGGTAGGAATTTTTTATTTTTTATTTATTTTTACTTTGTAGTTATTTATTTTTTCACTTTTGAAAATTCACTTCTTGCCTTGGAAGAATTTACCTGTAGGAATTTTTATTATCTGGTGAAGAAAATACACATTTGTCTCAAAAATCATTTTCTCTGGTGTTTCATTAAACAATAAATCAGTTTCATATTCCAAACATTGGAGTACTGGCAGATAAAATACGTCAATAAGAAATAAAGGTATAGCTGAGTTCAATGCCAATAGAAATTTTCCATGTGCAAAACGGGGTCTCACTGGGCTGCCTCGTGAGAAGCTGGGGAGTCTTTGACTAAAAGCCAGCAAAGGCAGCCACAAGGCTGGGTCTTCTTAGTAATTGAGACCAAATCATCCCACCTGTGGAAGGGAATGAAAGCTACCCTCACTGTGTGACCTTGAGGACCCAGGATAGAACCCTGAAGGGTGCAGGAAAGCAAACGAGCAAAAATAGCAAAACCAAAATCTTTGCACATTTCAATCCATCTCTCTTCATGCTCAAGATCCCAGGACTGCACTCCTTAGAGATGCTGTACTAGAAACAAGGGTTTTCCCCTTGCGACACCTGTCATAAAGTTCAACAGGCATGATGAGGTGCTTCCTAAAGTGATTGCAGGAACATTGAATAGTGCAGAGAGAACCTAATGCACCATTCACACTGTGTGGTGCACTTGAAAATATGGTTTATGTGGAGGAGTAGGATGGGAAGAAAGAAAAGGAGGATAGGAGCAAAGGGAAGGAAGAAAAGAAGGAAAGAAGCAAGGAAGGAAGGAGGAGGGAGAAGAAAAAAGAAGTAGGGAGGGAGAGAAGGAAGGAAAGAAAGGAGGGAGGGAAGAAAGAAAAAGAAAGAAAGAAAAAGAAGGAAAGAAAGAAAGAAAAAGAAAGAAGGAAAGAAAGAGAGAGAAAGAAAGAAAGGAAGGAGGGAAGGAAGGAGGGAAGGAAGAGACAGAAGGAGGGAGGGGAGGTAGGGAGGAAGGAAGGAGACAGGGAGAGAGGCATAGAAGATAGGAAGGGAAGAAGGGAGGGAGAAAGGAAGGAAAGAGAAAAGGAAATAAGGAGGGAAGGAAGGAGGGAAGGAAGAGACGGAGGGAGGGGAGGTAGGGAGGAAGGCAGGCAGGAAGGAAGGAGACAGGGAGAGAAGCATAGAGGATAGGAAGGGAAGGAGGGAGGGAGAAAGGAAGGAAAGAGAAAAGGAAGGAAATAAGGAAGGCAGAGGGAGGGAAGGAGGGAAGGAGGAAAGGAATGAAATAAGGAAGGAAGAAAGGGAAGGGGGAGGAGAGAGGAAGGGAGGGACATATGAAAAGAAGAAAAAGTGAAAGGGAAGAAGAAAGTGGAAAGAAGAAAAGGAAGGCAGGCAGGAAGGCAGGATGGCAGCTAGGCAGGAAGGCAGGCAGGAAGGAAGGAACTGACGTTTTCACCAAGAGGGTTCCTGTTCCCTTTTAAATCTATGCCTTCGATATCTTCCCAAGGGTAGAACCCTAGAGGCCTCTAGTTAAGGGGGAAGCCATCCAATTAGGAAGCGGCTCAGTGTCTGGTGTAGTCTGGTGTTCCAATAAAATATTGACACCTGCTAGGTTACTGAACAGGGGAAAGAGAAAGAAAATTTCATTAAAAATGGATAACATACGGATCAGGTATTTTTGAAATTGTTGTGTATAAATCTAAAGTGATCTGCTGAGGATGTATGAATAGGTTGTCAATTGCCAATGCAATTCTTTTTTTTTTTTTTTTTTTTTTGAGATGGAGTCTCACTCTGTCGCCCAGGCTGGAGTGCAGTCGCGCTAATCTCGGCTCACTGCAAGCTCCGCCTCCCGGGTTCACGCCATTCTCCTGCCTCAGCCTCCCGAGTAGCTCGGACTACAGGCTGCCGCCACCACGCCCAGCTAATTTTTTGTATCTTTAGTAGAGACGGGGTTTCACCGGGTTAGCCAGGATGGTCTCTATCTCCTGACCTAGTGATCCACCAGCCTCAGCCTCCCACAGTGCTGGGATTACAGGCATCAGCCACCGCGCCAGGCCAGCCAATGCAATTTTTGTCTGGTGGGATAGCCGGGATGTTGAGGAATAAAGTTCACATGTTATTGCAGATACGGACATTTCCAAGTGGTATTTTCATATTCATTCATTATAAAAGCCCTTAAATGAGCAACAAATAATTAAACAACTCTTTTAAATATTCCTCAGCCCTAGGAAGACATAAGGTTAACGCCACAGAATTATTATAAATAATGATAATAAAAAGAGCAAATGAGATAAAGCACCTATTTCAACCATAGAAGAAACTTAAAATAACCCCTCACATGGTTCGTTGTTAAAACTGAGTCTGTTCATTTGCCAAAATGATATATTCATAAAATACTTTCTGAAATATACAATAATTTCCTAGGGAATTACTTATTAATGTCGATCCCATCGTGTTTTCTAAGATCTATTGTTTTTGTTTCAGTAATACTGAAGCAAAGGTCATTTTCTTATAAGAATTATATGAATGCTCAAGGTATTCTTAAGGGCAGATTCTACGTTTTAATAAAATCCTATAATCAAATAAAAAATGATGTTTGTTTTCTTACTTGCTATAGCTGGAGGACATTTGCAGAAGAAACCAAACTGCTGTATTTTCAAAAGACATTTTTAGTTAAAATTTCTCTGCCTAATTGCCTCAAATAATTTCCTCCTGAATGTACCACGGGAAAGTGAAATGAAAAATTCTAAAGCACAGCCGTTTTGTTCTTCCTTAAAAGCATTTTTTATTCTTGTATGTTCCATCTTCGTTAAGGTCATCAGCCTTCACTCGGCTAAATAAGAAAGAAAACAAATTCATCTTCAATTCCTTTTGTAAATATACATTTTTTATTTTCAATAGCTTCAGGGGTCCAAGTGGTTTTTGTGTGCATGGGTGGATGCACAGTGGTGAAGTCTGGGATTTCAGTGCATCTGCCACCCGAGTAGTGTACATTGTACCCAATAGGCAGGTTTTCATCCCTCATCCCCATCCCACCCTTCCTGCTTCTGAGTCTCCAATGTCCATTATACAATTCTGTAGGCCTCTGTATACCCATAGCTTAGTTCCCGCCTCCTTTTATGCCTTTTGTATAATAACAATCAATTGCAGATTCTACATTTGCTGATAATTGAAATAACTCTCTTTAGCTCTATTTACAACACCTCTGATGTAGCTTATGTTTTTATTTGGAATTCTACAATACTGTCATCATTTTTAAAAACTAGATTGAAAATGGATTATTCACTAAAACATCATTTTTAGTGAGAAAAATGTATTCCATAACCTTACCATTTTCTAAAAAATACACAAAGTTTGATGTCAATGAACTCCCTTAAAAATGCCCCACCAAGGCCGGGCGCGGTGGCTCACGCCTGTAATCCCAGCACTTTGGGAGGCCGAGGCGGGCGGATCACGAGGTCAGGAGATCGAGACCATCCCGGCTAAAACGGTGAAACCCCGTCTCTACTAAAAATACAAAAAATTAGCCGGGCGTAGTGGCGGGCGCCTGTAGTCCCAGCTACTTGGGAGGCTGAGGCAGGAGAATGGCGTGAACCCGGGAGGCGGAGCTTGCAGTGAGCCGAGATCCCGCCACTGCACTCCAGCCTGGGCGACAGAGCGAGACTCCGTCTCAAAAAAAAAAAAAAAAAAAAAAATGCCCCACCAATAGTACCCATTATTAATAACCTGATGTGCAACTTCGATGTGCTTTTTAAAATGCGTATAACCAATGGACACACACACACACACACAAACACACAAACACATGCATTCCTACTATTTTATTATTGGCTTAATGGTGGCCTAGTAACAATCAACTGTAGAGTTTCTTACTATGAAATGTTCCTGCTATACACCTTTTAATGCACACATGTAATTATTTTTATAAAATTTATATAAAGTATATCAGTGGTGATCTATTTGACAATTCTTAATATAATACATATCACCAAATTATTTTCTATGAAATTTGCCTCAATTTACAGTCTTTCCAGCAATAAATGAGAAGGGTGAGAAGGAAGGGAGGGAGGAAAGGAAGGAAATAAGGAAGGAAGAAAATAAAGGAAGGAAGGAAGAGGCAGGAAGGAAGCAAGGGAGGGAGAGAGATAAGGAAAGAAGGAAAAGAGGGGGGGAGGGAAGAAGGAAGGAAGAGAGAAAAAAACTTCTACTTTTTCTTCTTCATGACATTGCGTCACAGAAAACTTCTTTCCAATATCATAGATTAAAAGCCTGTATTACTATTTTTATTTACATTTTTTGACTTCCAGTAAACCTGAGAACTTGAATGTATTTTTAAAGATAAGTTCATTGATCTTTTGTCATTCTAGTTACTTTTCTATTGTAGAAACATCTTTGCATATTAGCATATTAGTGAAATCTATCATCTATCTATCTATCTAGCTATCTATCTATCTGTATTTCTGTACATGTTTCTGTATTATGGTATGTTTTATTTCTGTATTATGGTATGTATTCTGTATTTCTGTATTATGGTATTTCTGTATTATGGTATGTATTTGACATAATTTCTTATAGTCTGGTGTTTATGTTATGATTCTATAATGCACTAATTATGAAACCCAATTTGTGTAGTCTTCTTAATGGATCCTTTTGTCACCCTTCATCTCCATAGTTTTTGTAATTACAAGCATGATAGTTTTGTTTTTAAAACACAATTATTCTCTTATTTTCCAGCATATAAAGATCACTCAATCCCCGTTCCTATTTTTCATCAATCCTATTCACTTTGATTTTTCAGCTTCTTGTGATCAAAAGCAGGAGATAATTTCCATGTTAGAGAGATCTCCTCGATTCCCATGAGGCCATCCGGAGCTAATCCTGGGGAATGAACTTTTATGTCAGCCACCTCTCTCCTCTTTGCCTCCAGACTTCAGGAATGAACTTTAGGGCCGCTCACAAGCAATACCAGGTGCATACTTATTAATAATCAGTTGCCTACATTTGCTCACTTACCAAAACATTCACCAAGGGTTTCACACTCTGTACTCAATTCCATGAGTGTTAGACTTCATATTTTCGACTAGTGGGCATTCTACGACCCTTTTATTTGCGTCTTTTCCGTTATGCAATCAATAATGTTTGCTTACTTATCTTGTTTTCACTCTCTTACACTTTTCTTATGTCTTACAGGTAATTCTTTGAGAAAATTAAGGTGAATGGGGATAGATATATGACCAGCATTTTCTACGTAAAAGTCATTTGTGTATTTCAAAGAGCTGAAAAAATTCAATATAATGTTAATGGGAAAAGGAGAACTGACTCTCCCAGATATAAAGAGTTGCGTAGAGTTGTTCAAAGTTTCACACCTATTGGGCCACTGCTTTTTATGTAATTGGTTGCCTTTTAAATGTCTTGGGAATGAGGCAAACTCTAGCCCAATGAGTTCCCTAAACTCCAGGGAATAGATATTAAGCCTTCTGGGAGGTTCTATTTCATTTTCCATGCCCAGAATTAAGGCAAGAAGTGAGCCTATTCCTCACAACCTCTCCCTATGTACCAGATAGGAGTAAAGCCCAAAGACTTGAAAATAACATTTCACTAATTTTTACTCCTAACTCTCTTATTTTCTCAACATATGGGATGAGCTAAGAATCACAAGGCTGATTTTTGCAACTACTGTATGAAGATCTTATAACTTTCATTTTATAATGGAGGAGTACTTGTGTTATTTTTTCTTGAGATCTCAGCAGAAGCCAAGACTAGATTAGTTCTATTTTAACATCATCTTTCAAGAAGGACATTTTATGCTATGATTTTGAGCAAGTAAATGTGTTCGTAAAGAGAGATTGTGTCTAATTTATAATTAACAGAATACTGTGGTCATCATTGTCAAGTCTGGACTATTCTTTTTTGAATATTTGAGAACGAGCAATTGATTTTGCAATTGAATATTGTCAATTGGGAAAGAAAAGTAACTAATTTAATCAAAGTGTGTTTTATATTCTTCAACACCTATTGCTTAACTTGCTATAATATTTTCTTATATGGAAAATGTATTTTACTGGTAAGGATGCAAGTCAAAATAGGTAAAAAAGTCAAATTATATCATCATAAAAGTAGTTTCAGCATAGGATACAGGCAGATCACAAAAGCAAGACAACACTAAACTAACTAAGCTAAGATTTTTAGACATAGTAGTTTTTATAATGGTTATTTGATCGATTATCTGTTTCAAACTTATACCTATATTTTCAGTATTGTTTACATTATCAAAATTTGAAGGTGAAATAAATTACTATACATGCTCAAGGGAAGGGAGTGTGTTCTGATTTTTTTAATTGATTAGCCAAAAATATAAGTGGTGCTCAAAGATGCAAGTCAGCCGATTGATACATGTTGTAAGAATGTGAAATACTTTTATGCTTCAGAGAGCTGAGAAATGCAACACAGCAGGAAGGGAGGTGAAGTGAAACCTCTCAGAGGTCTCAATAGCCATTCCCTATAGTTAAGGGGGCTCAATGGGCTAAGATCTGACTTATACCTAAGACATCTGAACAGCAGATGACAAGATTCTTAGCTAAGAAAGCAAAGGATATATGGACTATCTTAAGCTCATAGAGAGTCCATGATGCAGTCTTTCCTGTGGATCCTACAAAAGAGAAATCTAACCTGAAGACAGCTCATACCTTGCAGATGATTGAAAAGGTAATATAATCTAGCAAGAAGAGGTTCTATGGAGAAAGGAGATACAAGTGTAATATTTCCAGGCATCAAAGGCAGAAGAGAAACGGGGAATGCTACCATCCCCAAAGAACCTGTGTGAGTGTTGCATAAAAAAACAAAACACCTTTAGACACCTACCCAGCCAACAGCATATGCTGTACACGAAACAGCAGTTTTGAGTATTACAGTAGTCTGATATTTTAAAATAAAATCAAATTGTCTTTTATAATTAGAAGGAAACCACAGAATTCTTATTTGTTTTTCATGTGTTCTGGGAGTCAACAGAATAGTTGAATCACGGAACCAAGTCAGGGAAAGCTTTCTAGCCCAAAGAATTGGATTCAATTGAATGCCAACATTTTCCTTTACTACATTTAGGATTCTTGTTCAATGTAACAGCGACAATATCAAGTTGTTAACAGACATTATAGAACTAAAACCAAACTTCTTCGTGTTTTCTGTTTGAGCATATCATACACAGTATAATTAGACTAGTCAAATTTTATGTAATTACAAACATTAGAAATTGTTTTGAAATTGAACATTAAATTACTTTAATTTCCAATATTTTATGTAGACACTAATTAATTTTTGAAATTTAAGTAGAAAATGTAATCTGGAAAATAAACCCTACCATTGTGTTTAAAAATATAAACAAAAGTATAAATATTATTTTTATTATTTAAAATACAATCTATTATAATTATTACCTAGTAGTTTTGACAATTATATGTTTTCATCAATATCACACTTTTAAAAGTTAAGGTAATACAATCTTAAAATAGATGTTAATGAGACTTTTCTGACAATTTTGTAAGAACAGTTATGTACTGGTATTATAGTGCTTCTTGGTCTTAAGTACTGACTCACTAGAATAGGTTACTTAGAGCAGCCTACTTTTGAGCAGCTGGAGATTGCTGTAAAAATAGGTTTTCGCCTTTGTTTAGCTTGATTACATACACCAACAACACAACATACATATATATAAATATATATAAATTAATATATATTTAGCATGCTAATTTTAATTGTCAATATAATATTTTAACTTACTTTGAAATAATGTTTGCAAATAAACTTACTTTGATTTACCATAATACTTTATGTCATAGAATATATATGTTCATGGATGTCATAAAAATGATTTTAAACTATCTCTTTCAAATTTCACCTGTTCTCATTTCCTTTCCTTTTGAAAACACAGATCTGGTTTCCAGAAAAGATGTGAAAAAGAAATGTCAAGAAAGGTCCTCATGTTGCTTTTTTGCTTTTTCCTTGGTTGGAATTTCCAATTCACCACTGATCTAAGAAGCTTTGTTCCTGGGTGTACACGTTTGTCATGTGTACTATATATAGTATCATTGGCTTTTTTTTCACAGTGCAACTGTACTTTACCACACGGGACACACTTACATGAATAAGTAGCCATTTGGATTTTTAACCAGGAAACCCTGGTAAAATTCTTGGTCCTGTTGCATGCATGAGAAACCATAAAACTTTATCTCCCTCATTTGATTTTTAATTCAATAAAGCACAAATTCCCAATGAGCAAATAAAGCAAGTGAAAGGACATTGTAAACTATAGTGTTATATGAAAATCTAAGTTTATATCACTATAGAATGTGGGATTTACATGTAGTACACTATCTTGGATATTGAAACAGGTTATTTAAAGATAAATACATAAAATGGAAAACAATAATAATCATACATTTTGTAATCATTTATGAACTAATTCTCTAATCTATAATTTAAAGAAAGCCTCTACCTCCTGACCCCTGAAAAATGAGCAAAAATAAGATGAATGACCAGATTACAGAGTATTAACAAGAAGGCACTAGAAATTATAAGGCACTCTATCTACCTGCAAGCCTCTCTTCGAACCCCCTTATCCACTGAAATCGAGGGTTGGTATAATGATCTAGAAACTTCAGGAAGTTCTATGTTGTTTTTGTTTGTTTGTTTGAGACAGAGTCTCATTCTGTCACCCAGGCTGGAGTACAGTGGTGCAGTCACAGCTTACTGCAGCTTTGACTTCCTGGGCTAACACCACCTCAGCTACCTAAGTAGCTGGGACTACAGGTGTCCACCTCCACGCCCAGCTAAGTTTTAAAATTTCTTTGTAGAGGCAGAGTCTCACTATGCTGCCCAGGCTGGTGTCAAACATCTGAGCTCAAGTTATCCTCCCACTCTTCAGCTTTCCAAACCACTAGGATTACAGGCATGAGCCACAGCACCCAGCCTGGAGGTTCTATATTGCTGCATGTATCTTTACCCTACCATCTTTTCACAAACGCATTCAGTAGGGTTCATCTCTTTGGAATCAATGTCCAGCTGCTACTTAGATTCAGCCAGTATGAGAGGAGAAGCCAAATTTCCATCTTAAGTCAAAATTGCATATCCTAGCAAAAGTTACAGTGTGTGTTAGGTACCTGGTCAATCATAAAGTGGAACTTTTTTGGATCATTCATGGGTAGTGACAAGCATGATGATTAGAGATTCAGCCAAAGGAACATCTTGACACACATCTCCAATAATATGTTCTTTTCCATGATCAATGAAGACATTTACCATGGGAATGAAGGAGACCAAATTACCATTTTCTACATTAATTCATCAACTCACAATGCGAACCCCATGAAATAGTTCTCTTCTTTTGTTCTTAATAATTTGTATCTTTTAACTCCCAACTTCTTGACTGTGTCTGACTTCTGGCTACATACATTGGGTGAAATTGTCACATTTTATTAATATGTCAATTTTTCATTTACATCCTGGTTCACCTCTTTCTTGTTTTATGACTTTGGACATAACCCCTGTAAAATAGCATATAAGAGCGTTAGTTTCCTAATTTTTTTTCCCCAGAATACTAAGTAGACAATAATTTTAAAATACACACAGGCACTTGAAAAATAATAGTAATTACAAATAAAATATATGTATATATATAAAAATATGTGAATCAATGATATATATATCATATATATACATATGTATATCCACAAATATACACTTCAATGAATCAATTTCAAGTGCTATAAACTCAAGAGCACATTATCTAGAAGTTTATAATTTACCAACAATTTGATTCTTTAAGTTAAAGGAAAGAATGAGTCTGCCCTCTGGTGTGAACTAACTAGAAGCAAACAGTTTATACATTTGAAAGAGTAAAGATAATACCCTATGTATCTTATCCATGTAAGTCTGTGTAATTATATCAGATTTAAATATTTTTAATGACTTGGTTTTATAGCAGATAGGCACATCCATATGAGCACTGAGAAACAAAGACTAAAGAAAATACACAACAACACTGATTCACTCCACCACAAGCTAGTGGCACATTCGTGGATTACACCATCCAGCCTCATTGGTGATCACTTAGGGAGCTGAAAACTATACCCATTGGCTTGGAGTCTCATTCAAACCCTGTCATGGCGGGAGAAGTCACAGATTCATCCATCTGGCCAGCCAGAATGTGCTGCCTTCACCAACAGGATGTATCATACCCTCTTGGAAAATGATCTGGTCATTCCCAAGTTGCATAACCATTTAGACTTAAAGACGTTCCAAACTTAACAATGGCAGTTTGGTGACAAACTCTTAGTGCAGGTTGCCAGTATGACAGGTGAAGCAGAATAAACTTGAAATTGTCTGAAAAGTATCGCAGAGAAAAAAATCTCAGGAGAATTCCTTAAAAGTCTGATATACATCCACAGGCTAAAGAGATTAACCCCTTTCTCTGGGCTAAAATTTACATGAAATATAACTCTCATATGCATGTGAGTAGATCACAGAAACACATTTATATGTCTTCCCAGATCACAAAACTCTATATTCCCAAAGTAATGTGATCATTAAACTCTAGAGTCACATAAACTGTTACTGGTCAATGATTCAGAGTAGACTATTAAAATGTCTTCACATAAGGGATTCTCACTCCCGTCAACCATATGGCTTCACACAAGGCTTTAAAATTTGTGTTTTATCTGCCTTCATCTGTAAAATGGTTGCATTAATAACTCAAAACTCAGTGAGGGAAGGTATTAAAAGTCTAGAGCGGTTTTCAAAAATAACATCTAAGCAGTGCAGTACCCACAAAGAGTTATCATTGTTCTTCTACTGGATCATACAGAATGAACTTGGTAGATATTCAAGTGTATAGAGTTCTATAACCTTATATTAAATAACCTCAGATTGTTGTTTCTAAAATGGCTTTTCTGTCTTTTTCCACATGGATCAATTGATGCATATCCATTATAAGCTTTAAAAAAATTTTTTTCCTCTTAAGGTGTTTTTGTAGACTCTTTATTTGACTTAGGTCCTGAGGGTGGCCACATAGAGAAAGTAAATTATTAATTACTCAGAGGCTACTTCAATTACATTCTTGTCTTGGTTCTTAGCTGCGTTGCATTAGGAATAATTTATAGAAAGTCAGATCTTGAAGGAAGTGAAATGTTGCTACTGAGACATGCCTCACCCATTCCAGTCATTGCTACCATCTGGAAAATGATTATGTACTTCATTGTGTTCTCAGTCAATATTTTCAAAATGCAGCTTCAGATCAAAGATGAAAGAATTATTCAAGCTATCAAATATTTAACTTTCACTAGAACACAAAGTAGAACATGCAAATAAATTGTGCTGAATATTAACATAAGACACTTTTTTAAACGATATATAACATTGTTTAATGCAGAAAAAACAATTTTAAAAGTGTAGGAAGATTTGAAGTTCTAAGGAAAACAATTTTGAAGGTCTACAATTTATTGAATCCTCTCTAGTATTAACCTACTGTGCTCAAAATCCCCAGAGTTTCTGAGTATTCAAACTGAAACTTATTCTTAGAAAGTCTCTCTGAAGCCTTTGTTAGATTAGAAACAGGTATATTTGACTGTTACAAATTATAGCCTGTGGATAGATAGTCCATTTGGTTTGTAACTACATGGATTTTATTTATGCAATTTCACTTGATTCAAACAATTATGTGGTCAAACAGAAATATGTAAGGGGATTTACTTTGTGCACCACTTGCAAATTTGTAAATGAGTTTGCAGATATTTTTCAGTCATACTGAAAAAGATGCAATACTTCAAATTTGTGATTCTGGTACAAGATGGAGTAGATGCACTTCTCCTGGTTTCCACCACTAAATACAGCCATAAAACCTGGACATTATACATAAAGCAAGTATAAGAAGTCCCTGACAGATGAAGAGAAGAAGAAAGAAGACCAACTAAAGACCTGAGTACGTGGGGAAAAACATGGGAATGAGTTCTCTGGATTTTCTGTGTGTCCAACATATACCTCAGACACACTGTGGTTTCCCACCCACCCCATCAGCAAAGACCGATCTTGAAGCATAAACTCCCACCTTTGCCCATCTGTAACAAATTATAACTCTCCAACAACCAGGTGGATATCAGACAAGACTAACTGGTCTGGACTGTCACTCCTACCAGGCAGAAGCAAGGCAACTATAATGGTTAATTTTTTGTATCAAGTTGACTGGGTCACAGGGTGCCCAGATATTTGGGAAATCATTATTTTGAATGTGTCTGTGAGGTGGGTACTTGGATGAGATTCCCATTTGAATTCATACACTTAATACAGTGGATTGCCCCCCTGCTGTTGGTGGGTCCTCTCCAATCTATTGAAGACCGGAATAGAACACAGAGACTGAGTAAGAGGGAACCTCACCTCCCTGCCTGATTCAGCTAAACATAGGATTCTCCTGTCTCTAAACTGGCACCTACACCATTGGTTCTCCTGGGTCTTGGGTTTTCAGTCTGGACCCCACACCACCAGCTCTCCTAGGTCTTGGAATTTCAGACTCAGATTGAAATTCACACCCTCAGCTCTCCTGGGTCTCAGGTCTTCAGGCTAAGGCTGGAACTCACACCATCAACTCTCTTGGGTCTCAGGCCTTCAAGCTCAGACTGGACCTCACACCCTCAGTTCTCCCAGGTCTCAGGCCTTCAGGTTCAGACTGTAACTCACACCATCAACTCTCCTGGGTCTTAACTCAGTCCTTCAGACTCAGACTAGAACTCATACCCTCAGCTCTCCTGGGTCTCAGGCCTTCAGACTCAGACTTGAACTCACACCATTGGCTCTCCCGGGTCTCAGGCCTTCAGACTCAGATTGAAACTCACCCCATGAGCTGTCCTGGATCTCAGGCCTTTAGTCTCGGACTAGAACACAGACTACCAACTCTTCTGAATTTCCAACTTGCTGCCTACAGATTTTAGGACCTCTAATTTTCCATTTTGTGAACCACTTTCTCTTAATAAATCTCTTTGAATCTATCTATGTATCTGTCTATCTTCTATAAAGTCTTTCTCAGAGAACCCTAATTCAAACTCTCTCTCTGTCCCCACTGGGGTGGTGTCAGAAGAAACCCAGTGGAGAGTCAGGGTGAGAAGTTTGCCTGTTTCCCATTGTGGTGTCATTGCAGTCATTATGAGACATCTCTTTACCCTTCTCACAATCCCACAGTGGCCTTATCAACATGGATCACAGAGATTACAGGGAAAATATGGACTTCCACCCCTCCTTCCTGTAGTGAGGTGATACTCCACTTCTCCCATAGGCATGATCTCAGAAGAGGTCTCCTACAACAAAATAATTAAACAATGTGCAAAACCTCAAACATAATCCTAAATGTCCAGGATATAACTGAGAATCACTGTCCATACTAAAACATAACATTCCTTCAATGAGCAATTAAAAACTCTTGAGACAGATGAAAACGTAGAAAGTTTCAGAGAAGAAATAGAAGACATAGAGAATAACAAAACGAAAATTTTAGGACTAACAAATATAGTAACTGAATAAAAGATTACCAGACAGGCTTAACAGAAGAATGGAGAAAACAAAGGAAAGATAAGTGAGTTTGAAGATAGAATAGAAATTGTTTTAACCCAATTTAAATAGCAGAAAAAATAGAAAATTATGTATAGATTTTCAGGGACCTAACTTTATATGATTGGAATCCCAGAAGGAAAGGGGAAATAATTTGTGCTGAAAAAAATACATAACTGAAAATGTTTCCTAATTTAGCAAAAGTAATAAATGTACAAATTGAAGAAACTGTGAACTCAAACAGAATAAACTTAAAGACATTCACACCAGGATGCAACCTGGTTTAATTACAGAAACTTAAAGGCAAAGAAATAAATCTTGAAAGCGTTGGAGAGAAATGATGCATCATCTATGTAGGACAAAACGCATTGTCTAACAGTGTATTTTTCATTAAAAACCATGAAGTCCAACAAACACCAACACAGGATTTTTATGTGTTGAATACAAATCACTGTCAACACATGATTATATATCTAGCTAACACATTTGTTTATGAATTAATGTAGAACCCTAGACATAGGTGAAGGAAAACTAAGAGATGTTGTCTCCAACAAGCCTACCCTTGAAGAACTACTTAAAGTTTTAAAACATAAAGTAAACAATAAAGAAAGAAAATTGGAATACCAGGAAGGAAGACAAAATAACAGAAAGAGAAAACATTTCAGTTAATACAATGGCCTCTTCTTCTTTCCTTGATTTTTCTAAATTATGTTTAATAGTTGAAGCAAAAAAAGTATAGCATTGTATTATGTGGTTGTGAATGCATGTTGAATATATAATTAAGATAATTGTATTATAGATAGGGAAAGGTAAAGAGAGATAAAGGAAAGGAAAATTTCTACCCTTCTCTCAAACAAGTAAGATGCTGAGACTAGCAGGTGGTGATGAGCCATATGCATATAAGCACTGTAAATAAACTAATGTTTAATTAGAAAATAACTGTAAGTAACCCAGAGGAAGGCAATTAGGAAAAAAAAACAGGGAAATGAAGAACAGAGGAACAAACTGAAAAGAAAACAAAATAAAATCAATTAAGCACTTACATATCAATAATGTATCTTTTAAAAATTGCTTTTGATACTAGCATAAAATTGGAAACAACCAAAATGACACTGAATGAGTGGTTAAACAAACTGGAATACATCCATGCAGTGGAATATTATTCAAAAATAAAAATAAATGAATGACTAGTTCACACAACAACTGGATGGACCCTGAGGGCATTTGGCTGAATAAGTAACACCACTCTCAAAATGTCACATACAATATCACTCCATTTATATAACGTTCTTGAAATGGCAAGATTTTGTGATATATGTCACCACATTTTTAAATATCATAAGTTCAAACTTTCTAATAACTGATATATCTTCTTTATACATACTAAGATTTTTTAATATACTACCACTCATTATTAAAACATTTGAAATAGTCATTATAAAAAATAAAACAGGCTGGACACAGTTGCTCATGCTTGTAATCCCAGCATTTTGGGGAATGAAGCGGGAGATTACTTGAGCCTAGGAGTTTGAGACCAGCCTGGGCAACATAGCAAGACGTCATCTCTACTAAAATAAAAAATTTAAAAAAATTATCAAGGCATGATGGTGTACACCTGTAGTCCTAGATACTTGGGAAGCTGAGGTGGGAGGATCACTTGAGCCTGGGAGGTCGAGGCTGCAGTGAGCCATGATCATGCTTGCACTCCAACCTGGGTGACAGAGTAAGACCCTGTCTCAAACAAAATAAAATAAAATAAAACAAAATATCCATGGTTTGTCTAGCAAAGTCTTAAGCACAATAAATATAGTGAGAATAGAAAACATTTTACAAAAATCACATCTTGTCATTAGTTGTAATTGACAGTGGTACATCTGTGGATAGAGTAAAATGTAATTATAAAATCATTAACCTGATATATTATGATTATTTATTTAATTAAAATATTATACAGTAAAATTTCTAGGTAATATTGACCTACACATGTGAATGGGTATAATAGAAATTGATGCATTATAAGGGAAGTGTATGTGGTGGGTGGTGTATAATACAACTTCCAGCATGAGAATGTCAGGGCAAGGAAATTCAGTGAAATAATAAAACAAGTAAACTTCAAACAATTCAAATTAAAAAAAAAACAGAAACAGAAAAATTAAGATATTTAGAAATTCACAGCATAAGAGGACAAAAAATTCCAACTTTTTAAGAATAATACTCAATGTAAATGAAAGCAGTGTGAATGCTTTCTAGTTAAAGATAAAGACTGTTGAGCAGAACTAAACATTTTTAAAATCCAGCTTTTCACTTTACAAAAAGGAAAACTAAATCATGAGGACACAAAAAAGACAAAAAAAATCATGATTATTATTTTAATGGGATATCATACAACTGTGAAAAAGAAAGAACCCACTATACACATCAACATGGACCAATTTTTTTAAAAAAGGAATATTTGAACAGGAAGTCTTTGTGCGGAAAAACATATTCACCTAACTTTATTCATATAAATTTTTAAAACAGAAGAATTCATTGACATGGAATTTACAAAAGCATTCATGCAAGCTAAAATGTATGGAAATGAAAAATTAGGTTAGATGCAAAATTTTGGGGGGACAGAGGAGGAATCTGGTGAAAATTCATGATCCAGATACAAATTTGAAGTGGCACATTGTATTAGTTCATTCTCATGCTGCTAATAAAGACATACCCGAGACTGGGTAATTTATAAAGGAAAGAGGTTTAATGGACTCACAGTTGCACATGGCTGGGGAGGCCTCACAATTATAGCAGAGGGCAAATGAAGAGCAAAGTCATGTCTTACATGGTGGCAGGCAAGAGAGCGTGTGCAGGGGAGCTCCCCTTTATGAAATCATCACATCTCATGAGACTTATTCACTATCACGAGAACAGCATGGGAAAGACCCTCCCTCATGATTCAGTTAGATCTCACCGGGTGTCTCCCATGAAATATGGTAATTATGGGAGCCACAGTTCAAGAGGATATTTGGGTAGGGACACAGCTAAACCATATTACACATGGATCCATTTGCTAATGTTAAATCATCAGTTATTCATTTCATTTTTTCCTTTTTCTGATTTGCTAAAATATTTGGAAGTTTGTCTTGCCACAGAAGGCAAGGACATTTTCAATGTAAGGAATAAAGCCAAGAGCAAGGCTGCAAGTCATAGGCTGGCATTGAGCATGAGGAAGGCTTGTCACGCTAGGCAGATCCTTCCCTCACCACTGACTATCTGCACTGGAGGAACCCAGGAGAGCTTGAATATTTCTAATCATTGAATGCCCCAGGACCCTTCAACACAGGAAGTGATCAATTGCACCTGAGTAACCTGTGGCTGAGGACGGGAATGTGTCATCTCAAGCTGATTGGAGCATGCCTGACCTCCTCAGTTTAATGGTTCTTCTTTCCCTTGAATTAGAAATGACCTCCCTATACATACCTTCCATGAAAGATCCTGTCTCAGCCTATTCAGGCTACTATAGCACAATACCATAGAGACTGCATGACTTATAAACAACAGATGTTTATTGCTCACAGTTCTGGAGGCTGGAAGTCCAAGATCAAGGCATGGCTGATTCAGTGTCTGCTGGACTCACTTCCTGATTCACAGAGATGGAGGCTTCTCACTGTATCCTCACACGGTGGAAGGACAAGGGAACTCTCAGGGGCCGCTTTTATAAGGGCACTCATCCTATTCGCAAGTCTCCACCCTCCTGACGTCATCAGCTCCCAAAGACCCCTCGTTTTAATATCGTCATCTTGGAGGTTAAGACTTTAACGTATGAATATCTGGGAAGACATAAACATTTAAACCACAGCAGATCCTCAACCTTTCACACAAAACATCATCTTTTATGTGATAGCATTTGTGTAATTTGTAGTGTTGGAAGGTTACTAATTTTAAACCGTGAATTTATGAAGGTTACACCCACAATCTAGTTAGCCTTTTTTTTAAAAAAATTCTTTAACATTGTCTATTTGTAACTAGGGATTTGCCTCTATTTAGAAACATCTATATCAACAAATATTTCATTTCAGTTGTGGAGAAAATAAATCTAGGGCCACCTTGAATAAGGAAAAATAAAGTAAAACTTACTTGTGTTTTCATTTTTTATTCTTGTCGCAGAATTGACCCTATATTTAAGAGTATAGATGCACACACATATATGTAGTATTATTTATTTTTATATTTTTTATATAATTGTGCATACATATTCACAAATACTAATTCTGTTTGTCTGAATGACTACATCTTCAACTTCAATGTATGTTTTCCTGAAATATTTTATGAGCTGTTCAGGGAAAACAAAGGAGCTTTTCATTGAAGTCTAATCAAGAAGACTTGCTCAATGTAGAGTAATAGGACAGCATCCTGATAGAAATATAACTTTCAAAGGCTGTGTCATTAAAAGAAAGCAAGCTGTTGAAGGCATGTTACTATTCATAAAATTGAAGATAAATAATTTGTGATTAATAAAATTGCAGTTTTTTAAACTTTTAGGTTCAGGGGTGCATGTGCAGGTTTGTTATGTGTCACGGGGTTTGTTGTACAGATTATTTTGTCACTCAGGCACTAAGCCTAGAACTCACTAGTTATTTTTTCTGCTTCTCTCCTTCCCCCTACCCTCCACTGTCAAGTAGACCCCAGTGTCTGTTGTTCCACTCTTTGTGTCCATGAGTTCTCCTCTTCTAGCTCCCACTTATACTTTTAAATATAATCCAAGTTCAAAGTTCTTTCTAATCTTAAAGCATCGTTAAGCCACATTCCCTGAAGCAACTGACCCAAGAGAATTAGAGAAGAGTTTATGGCTTGATGTTCCAGGAGAAAAATACAAAATCAGATTAGAAGAAAGGAAAGAGCTGAGCCAATTCTGTGTTTACTATGCCTGTCTAATTTCTCCTTGACTATTGGCAGCAGAATGTTTTCGTTCCATGATGCAGATGAATTCTTACTGAAGTTTCTGCTATCCATCCAAGGCAACATAGCTTGTTCCAATATTCAGAGAACAGCAGCCCTAATAAATAAACACACAACCACATATAAGGATTGTTGGCTTAAAGTCATGACAATTTTTTTGCTTTTTGATGTAAAATATATCTTTTCATCTTTATGCAGAAATTAAAAGTTACTCACCACCCACTTTTTCTCCCTCTTAAAAAGATTGTTTCTTGGGCAAGCATCTGGGGCTGTGGTGGCTGCTACAGGGATATTCTGACAGTGAACGATGGTGGGGTGGGTAGTGTTAACAGAAGATGAGAGGCTGCAAACTCCAGTGTGGTGTGGACAGCATAAATCCCATGACAACATAGCTACTGTTCATATATCTTGCATTTCTTGAAAGCTGACATTGAGATTAATGATTTGAAATGCAGTTGTGCTATTCATTTATTACCAAAATTTTCTTTGCAGAAGGCTAGTCCTGAAAATAACTGTGCTTGATCCATTTGGCAGCTTCTTAGTAGGTTACGTCGAATCTTTTTTTCTGAAATATCAAAATGATTCATTTTGTTGAATGTCCAGCATGATGCTTGAGAAAGAATAGAAGACACACTAAAAACATCATCTTTAGAATTTCCATTGTCATCAGAGAAATATCTGATTTTTCTCTTTTACTAAGAGGGAAATTATAAAACAGAGACCCATGTAGATAAATTTTATAACTCATATAAACTGGTAAAGAAAACCACTGATTGTGCTAAACATGATAGCTATAGCAAAAGTTGTAGTTGATTCCCTTTTTAGCTATTTACAGAAAGGCACAATGAAGAAAAATGTAATAATTTGTAAAATGGAAAACATCTTTTTTTGCCAAATATGATTTCCATAGAAAAAATAAACTATTCATATTAATACCCAATTTGGATGGCACATTTCATGTGAAATGCACTTTACTAATCATTGCCATAAAATGAAAGTGAGGACATGTGCAGTGGCTCATGCCTGTAACCCCAGCACTTTGGGGAGGCCGAAGCAGAAGGATCACTTGAGCCCAGGAGTTGAAGAATAGTCGGGCAACATAGCAAGACCCCTAACTCTACAAAAAATAAAAAATAGCTGAGCATGGTAGTGCGCACCTTGGATCCCAGCTACTCTGGAGGCTGAAGCAGGGGGATCACTTGAAGCCAAGAAGTCGAGGCTGCAGTGGGCTATAATCTCACCAGTTGACTCAGGGCTGCACAACACAGCAAGACCCTGTCTCTAAAGAAAAAAAAAATGAAGTGAATATGCCTAGCCTTAAGGAATTTGTAGAGAAGTTTGGCCAAATAGAATATTTGACTTTTAGTGAATATTAATAAGATCTCCAGTGGAAAAATCCTTTAAATTAACATTTATGAGCCCTTTTCCAAATATATTTATTATAAAAACTGGAAAACAGTGTGGAGTTGGCACTGAATCCATAGTAGGAAGATGCAGTCATTTGTTCTCGTGTGATCATATGTGTCCATGTGGAAAGCTACATTTCTTTCGTGGAAGATGTAGGAAGATATATTTCCAGGAAGCTATATATTGTCCTCTTCCTTACAAGGCAGCAACACACACATGCTTTGAATTGTCTCACTGTGTTGTTCAACTAGCAATTCCATTTTCAACTCAACCCTTTCTCATGCAGAGCAAAGTTGCTCATTTCAATCAGCTTTTAAATAGGGAAAAACTGGAAAAACCTTAAATGTACATCAGTGGAGGAATGGAGAAAAATATCTCTTATTTATTCATATAGTGGAATATTATACAGAGTTATTGGAGCAAATAGGTTTATATTTACCAAGACCAAATCTCAGAGGCATATATTTGAGCTAAAGAAGCAATCAGCAGAAACATATGTGCATAAATGGAGAAGATAATATGTTTCATATGCCAGAATTGAAATCAATCAGATATGTTTTCTTTAGGATACATAAATAATTTTAAATTTTTAAAAAATATTAAAAAAAAGAGAATAATTAGGAAAGTAGTAATATGTGGTGGAAGCGAGGAGTGGGAATTTTGGGGGGAGTTATATCTTTTAAAAAATGATTAGAAGCAAAATTAGCTCTTAGTGTCTGCACATTTAATGTTTAAAATATTTTCTTAATCAGCTAAGATTATAACAAGAATGTACAAGACTTTTAAAGAGAAAGCTCCCAATATTGTTGAAAAGTAGCAGAAAATAGAAATAAATGGAGAAGTATGAATATATGTAGATAGGAAAACTCAATAGTGTAAAAATGACACATCATCTTATATCAAAAGCAATGCAATCCCAAAGAAAATGTTTATTATTTTGTAGAAATTGACAAGATATCCTAAAATTTTGAGGAAACATTATGAGGTAATAGCACCCGAGGACAATATGAAATTAAAGAATGAATACACGAAAATGGAACTTTCAAACAGCAAAATATATAGAAATTTGAGTAATGTGGTGTTGGCAAGAAATAAAGAAACAACATCAGTTTGATTCTGAAAAAAGTGTTGACATCATCTTCAAACACATATTTTATTGCCATGTTAGCAAAAAAAGGAAAAGAGAAGAAAATTTTTAAAGGAATAAAAAATTTTTAAGTTAAAATATGTCTTTTTTTTTTTTTTTTTTTTTTTTTTTTTGAGACGGAGTCTCACTCTGTCGCCCAGGCTGGAGTGCAGTGGCATGATCTTGGCTCACTGCAAGCTCCACTTCCTGGGTTCACCCCATTCTCCTGCCTCAGCCTCCCGAGTAGCTGGGACTACAGGCCACCACGCCTGGCTAATTTTTTGTATTTTTAGCAGAGACAGGGTTTCACTGTGTTAGCCAGGATAGTCTCGATCTCCTGACCTTGTGATCTGCCCGTCTCGGCCTCACAAATCATGTCTTTTTTTAATATCAACTTTTTTTTAAGTTCTGGGGTACATGTGTGGGATGTGCAGATTTGTTATATAGGTAAACGTGTGCCATGGTGGTTTGCTGCACAGATCATCCCATCACCTAGATATTAAGCCCAGCACCCACTAACTGTTCTTCCTGATAGTCTCTTTCCTCTCTCCCTGACTGACAGGTCCCAGTGTGTGTTGTTCCCCTTCATGTGTCCATATGGTCCCATTGTTCAGCTCCCACTTTAAGTGAGAACATGCAGTGTTTGGTTTTCTGTTCCTGCATTAGTTTGCTGAGGATAATGGCTTCCAGCTCCAACCATGTTCCTGCCAAGGACATAATCTCTTTCCTTTTTATGGCATAGTATTCCATGGTGTATATGTACCACATTTTTTTAATCCAGTCTATCATTGATTGAGATTTGGGTTGATTCCATGTCTTTGCTATTGTGAATATTGCAGTCAACATACACATGCACGTATCTTTATAATAGAATGATTTAGGAATATTTTTAAAAAAATAAGATGAGGTTAAATTCATAAAATTCATAAATACAGAAAATACAGGGTCAACTATGAACATGTGACTTTTTATCCTCTGGTAACATAATGTGTTCACTGAGAACACATTGCACTCAAAACATGGGTCTAATTTACATAATAAATCATCACATATTCAGCATCTTAAAATAACCTCCATTTATCAGTTCACTGTTTTTGCGGGTCAAAGGCTGGGTGCATGGTCACTAGGTCTTCTGCAAGGTTGCAGATAAAGTATTAGCCAGGGGTGCATTCTCATCTGAAAGCTTGACTGTGGATAGAATCATTTGCAAGCACACTGAGGTTGATGACACAATTTATTTCCTCATAGCTGTAGGACTGAAGAAATCCTGCAGTGGCTTCTAGCTGGCTGTGAGCTGGCTGTGGGCTGAAGGCCACTGTGAGCGAACAGAGGCCACATAAGCTCCCCATATGTCTATCCACAACATGGTGTCTTTCTTCTTCAAAGTTAGCAAGAGAAAAAAAGGCAAATTCTAGAGTCAGTCAACTAATACAATGAAGTCTTATTTCATCTGTCTTAAGCAACTTGGGCTGTTGTAACAAACAGCATAGACTGAGAGGCTTAAACAACAAACATATTTCTCATAGTTCTAGAGGCTGGAAGTCCAAGATCAAGATCAAGGATTCAGTTCCTGATGAGGCCTCCCTCTTCCTCTTATGTCCACCTTCTTCCTGCATCCTCCCATGGAAGACAAAGACAGGGAGAATAACCTCTGGTGTCACTTCTTCTTCTTCTAAGGAAACAAATCCCATCATGGGAGCTTAATCACCTCCTGAAGGCCCCAACTCAAAATATCATTACCTTGGGGGTTAAGGTCTCAACATATGAATTTTGAGGGGACACAAATATTTCATGGACAGCACCATCATAATTGCCATAAAAGATAATCTAATCAAAGAATTGCCATAGAAGGTAATTTTAATCAAATTATATTTGGCAGTGTATGGGTTAGAGCAAGAAAAAAGTCCCACTCACACTGTAAGGGGATTACACAAGAGTGTGAATACCAGGAGGTAGGGTCATGGAGGCCACACTGGAGTCTATTCACCACATTAGTTACTCAGTTATTGTGTTTATCACCTACCTATCTAATCATCTATCTATCTATCCAACTATCATCAATCTATCTGTCTTCTATCAACCATCCATCTCTTATTTTTCTATCTTTTCATCCATATCTGTCTATCTATCTATCTATCTATCTATCTATCTATCTATCTATATCTATCCACCATCTCCATTTATCTTGCATGTACTTATTCATTTTATCTATCCATCCATCTCTATCTTTCTATTTCTCCATCCATATCTATCTATCTATCCACCTATCCATCTCTATTTATCTATGAATGTATTTATCTATTCATTCATTCATCTATGCATTTATCTCTATCTATCTCTCTATATATCCATCTATATCTATTTATCATCTATGTGTGTGTATCTCTTATCTATCTAATTTTAAAAACAACTACATAAGCTAGAAAGTCATGACTAAACTTAGATCAGCAGATTTTTGATATGGTGCTTATTTCTAATGTTAAACACATATTATGGTTCTTCTTTTAGGATATTTTGACTTGATGGTGGATAATATATTTATGTTCATTTTATAAACATTTTGTGTAGTGTACTGTCTTTAGAAATACGATGGCATTAATGATTCTGTCTTTTCAGATATTGTCAAAATCCTAAACACAAATCATTAGTGTTGGGATGTAACCAGCTGCATGTTGTAGCAGTGAGAGGAAAATGCATATAGGGCTCATAAAATCCTCCTAAGAAGTCTATGAAAGCATTTCTAGATATCATGTGTATAAGTTGGTTGAGAAAAGTCAATCCTCTAAAAAAGTGGTCCCCAACCTTTTTGGCACCAGGGTCCAGTTTCTTGGAAGGCTATTCTTCCATGGACTGGGAGTTGGGAGAGATGTTTTTGGGATGATTCAAGGGCATTACATTTATTCTGTACTTTATTTTTATTATTATTCTATTGTGACACAATGAAATAATTACACAACTCTCCAGAATGTAGAATCCATGGGAGCCTTGCGTTTGTTTTCTGCCAACTAAACAGTCCCATCTCGGGGTGATGGGAGATGGTGACAGATCATTAGGCATTAGATTCTTATAAGGAGCACACTGCACAATAGGGTTTGCACTCCTATGAGAATCAAATGCCTCTGCTGATCTTGCAGGAGGCGGAAGTTAGTTGGTAATGAGAGCAATGGGAGTGGCTGGAAATACAGATGAAGCCTTGTTTGCTGGTCCGCCTTTCACCTCCTGCTGTGCTGCCTGGTTTTTTTTGTTTTGTTTTGTTTTGTTTTGTTTGTTTTGACACAGAGTCTCACTCTGTTGCCCAGGTTGGAGTGCAGTGGCGTGATCTTGGCTCACTGCAACCTCTACCTCCTGGGTTCAAGGAATTCTCCTACCTCAGGCTCCCAAGTTGCTGAGATTACAAGCACCTGCCAGCACACCTGGCTAATTTTTGTATTTTTAGTAGAGATGGGG
The DNA here is from genome assembly GCF_000001405.40 of Homo sapiens. Classification (NCBI taxonomy): domain Eukaryota; kingdom Metazoa; phylum Chordata; class Mammalia; order Primates; family Hominidae; genus Homo; species Homo sapiens. The sequence continues at coordinate 4,965,867 of NC_000023.11, read as the reverse complement.
TCTTGCAATGTTGGCCAGGCTGGTCTTGAACTCCTGACCTCAAGTGATTTGCCTGCCTTGGCCTCCCAAAATGCTGAGATTACAGGTGTGAGTCACTGCACCTGGCCGTGGTCTACTTCTCAACAGGCCACAGACTGGTACCAGTCCATGGCCAGGGGGTTGGGGATCCCCTGCTCTAAAGGAATCACCAAAACATATTAAACAAAAATCCATAAGTTGACCATAGTTTTAGGATTCAAAATATTTGTGGCCACAATATTAATAACATGACCAGAATATTCGTGATGAGGGGCAAACCCCTATTATATAATTAGGAAAATGATTCAGAGACTGCACATGGTTTTCATGAAGATAAAGCAGCTACACTTGAAAATTCAAGTTAGACCATTCCATTTCAAAAAATGCCTAGACTTCTGATATTTGCAAGCATGCTCCATATCACCATCACCTCAGCCAGCTGTTAGCTCAGAGATTAACACCACACACGGTAAAAACAGTGTGTATAAATGTCCACAGGTCCTGAGAGCTCTTTCCAACACTTCCACTCCTGTGGCCAGCATGCAAATGCCAAATCATGATGCGATCCCATTTTAATAGCATTCTCTTCTTAAACCCCTGCCTGTGACATTTCTGTATACGTGTAATTAAGACCCTTAAAGGGAGCTAAAAGAGGCCAACTTAATAAAAATGGCAAATTGGATGAAGTAAATAAAGAAGAAGACAGAACGATGTTGTAGGGCTGCTATAAACTTTTTATTGGTCCATGCTTGAGAAATCCTGAAGGACTCATTTATAGCCTCCCTCCTTAATGCATTCGCAGCCACCTTTAGCTCCTGGCAATAGAAATTCAAAGAATCTCCACATAATCACTTCATTTTCCCCATTCTCTGTCTCTTGTTCAGCTTTGTATAGAGACTTTTAACAAATCTTGTGTGCCTCTTTTATGCCCTCTCACTGTACAGAAATTAATGAAGCAGATTAGTTACTCTGGGAACACTGGTGTTGGCTCAGACAAGGCTCAGTGCCATCCACAAATGTGGCACAAAGTTAATTTGGGTTAGTGTTTGAAATACACATGGCAGTTTGGGAAACGTAGGCGTTGATCATGACCATTGGAGCCATAGGTAATATAATTGAAATGGAGCATATTTTGCTGCTTTGCTTATTTATCAGCAGGGCAGCTAGGTAGCTCATTTAATACAGCATTATTTTTGGAATGTACAATGAGTGCTTAGACCTAGAAAACTGGAGATTCACCTGCAGGAATACACACAATCAGAATCTAGGGCACCATGAAACTCATATATTTAGCCACTCCATGAATACCCTAGTTTGCATGGTACCAGTCTATAAACTCCAAAAAAAAAAAAAAAAACAACAACAATAGACACAGGTTGGAACATTCAACCTCGAAAAGTCATCTCTGGAAAATGCTCTTGAAAATCCACATTATAATAAGGACTCAATGATTTACAAGCACTTGTAAGGGCTCCAGCACACATGTGACATTGTCGTTCATCATATTTGCCATGAATCTGGACAGCTTCACAGTGACTCCCTGACAGCAACACTTTTGTGCTAGCAGAATGCCCTTGAAAGATATCATGACATCAAGTATGCCTGTAACAACCACCTAGGACAGACCAAATTGCTCATGGTGGGAGTGGACAGTTAGAACATAACAGAATAGAAAACCATATTTAACAATCTTGTGTAAAGAAGGGAAACGTTATCATCTAAGTGGAGGGGGTCCCTGGATATGCCACTAGCAACTATCATCTCCATGATTTTTCACACAAGCCTGCATGGCATCTGTGTCCATCAGCCTTTATTATGATTTGACTTATGTACCCTCAAAAATGTATATGACAAAGCCCTTCCCACACCCTACCTCCCAATACCTTAGAATATAACCATATTTTGTAGTAAGGTTATTGCAGATGTAGTTAAGTTAAGATTAGGTCATATCAGAATAACATGGATCCTTAATCCAACATGACCAGTGTCTCTTTATGAAAAGGAAACATTTGGACATAAAGACTCACAGGGAGAAGGTCAAGTAAGACAGAAGCAGAGAGTGGATTTATTCCACTAAGAAACTACCAGAAACTAAGAAAAAAGGCTGGAACAGATCTTGACCTCACACCTTCAGCGAGAGCACCCTCCTGATCTCACACTTCTGGCCTCCAGAACTGTACGGCAATAAATTTCTGTTGAGTAAGCCAATCAAATGGTGATATGCTGACATGGCAGTTCTAACAAACACATGCAGTCTTTTTTTTTTTTTTTTTTTGGTGCAATAAATAGAATTCACACTTACTACCTTAGGCAGCAAAAGATTTTCTTATCCAAGAGTGCAAAATTCAGAGAATATCCTGGGGTATCAGAAAGTTAGGTTTTAAAGCTTATGCAGCCTGAAAAAGAAATTCATCCACATTTTGGGAGCTTTTATAGTACAAATAGCAGGTTGCTTGCCACCTTTGACTCTTGCCGTTGGAAAGCAGAAATGCCATTTCTGTTGCTGCTATTCAGCCTAACATCTTCCCAGGAGAAGCCAGGAGCCCAGTGACCCGGCCAGCAAGTCATTCACTTCTGGAACCAAATCTCCCTGTAGGCTGTCCAGTATCACTAGAAATTGGGTCATCTGGTGTACACCTGACATGCAAGGGAGTTAGGACACCATCTGACTTCTGCATTGTGAGTCAGCTCAGACCTGGAGAAATTCATAAACTAGGCAGACGGTTTCGATTGGAAGGCCACAGAGAACAAAGATCCACAGATGTGTCTGAAATTTCTACCATTAGAGACATAACTTTGTGATTAATTCATCTTTTTATCTTACGTACTTAAAAAATCAATGTCGCACCATCATAGTTTCAGCCACTGGGAATCCAAAATGAACAAGATAGTTGCATTCCTGTTCCTCATGGAGCTTATATTCTAGTAAGGAAAATTATTTTAAGACATTAAAATATGTTCTTATTCATAAGTGGGAGCTAAGTTATGAGGATGCAAAGGCATAAGAATGATACAATAGACTTTGTGGACTCAGGGTAGTGGTGATTTGTGCGCACCACTACATCTTAGGTTTAGTGTACACTCCTCATGTAACCAAATACCACCTTTCCCCCAAAAACCTATGGAAATACATTTTTTAAAAAGACATTAAAGTAGAATTACAGTTATAATTAATGCTTTGAAGGATAAGTATAACTGGTGTTTATGGGCGGAGTTGTGTTCAATTTTTGGTCACACAGAGGATTGGTGCTTTGAAGGAAAAGCCCACAGATACAGTTGTGTGGGTTTACAGCTGCTGCAAAACACATCAGACAGGGACAAAGGAAGATTGAAATCAAGGTCAACTCTACAAGCTCTGCCCTGGTGCATGGTTGTGTCTGTCCCGAGTGAGGTGCGCTGTTCCTAATAAGCACTATGCACTGCGTTGGCTAAGGGGAGCTAGCTGTGTGCAGGGTGTGCTGCTGAGGCTCTACAAAGGAGAAAATGTGAAAGGAGAGACAGAAACAATGCTGTTTATATTGAGAGCAAAAGGATGAAAAGATTCACCCTGACGTCTAATTCTAATCTTCTAGTTTGTTCACTCAAATTTTCTCTGCAACCCTGTATGGATATATATGGAGCTTGTGATGGTGATCAGGATGTACTTTTTTTTTTTGAGATGGAGTCTTACTCTGTCTCCCAGGCTGAAGTGCAGTGGTGCAATCTCAGCTCACTGCAACCTTCGCCTCCTGGGTTCAATGATTCTCCTGCCTCAGCCTCCTGAGTAGCTGGGATTACAGGTGCTCACTACCACGCCTGGCTAATTTTCGTATTTTTAGGAGATACCGGGTTTCACCACATTGGCCAGGCTGTTCTCGAACTCCTGACCGCAAGTGATCCACCTGCCTCAGCCTCTCCAAGTGCTGGGATTACAGGCCTGAGGTGCAACGCCCGGCCATGATGTACATTTTTGTACCTGTCAAGACAAGTTCTTTTACCCTGCACACTCTGTAGCCATTATATTTTTCCGCATTTTGGCTATTTGTGTGATTTGTTTTCTCAGTGCATTTTAAGATTATTTTGCCCAAGTTAGAAATAAAATCATTACATTGGAATTGGATGGAATGACACATACACGCATTCATACACATGAACAATTTTAGTTATAGTTTTTCATCAAAAGCTAACTTTTCATATACTTAGATACTATTCATGGCTCTTGATGACTATATTATTTTCTTACTGTAAATCATTACTGTGTTTCTGTTTTCCCCTTAATTACTGGACTAGAAAAATATATTATGTTTTAAAGGTAATTAATTGTGGCCAGCTAGTTTTCCAAATGCTAATATTAATGCTAGTTTCTACTTTTTCTTGTTACTCAGTTTGTCTTGTATATGATTATATCAACAGAAATAACTATATCTTTTCATTTATACGGTTCATGCTGTTAACTTGTTCTTTTTCTGTTTGCTAAAATCTGAAAGGTCATGTTAAATAATGTTGAAAGTAAGTATTCTCTTCTTTGTTCCTTTTATTAAAATTTCCTTTAATGTTTGCCGTTTAAAATAGTTGCTGTTGATACATGTGTAGTTCTGGCCCCTTATTCAGAGATGTTTTTTAAATGTATTTTTGTTTTGTTTTGTTTTGTTGTTTGTTTGTTTGTTTTGCTTTGCTTTTTGACACAGGGTCTGGCTCTGTCACCTAGGCTGGAGTGCAGTGGTGCGATCTCTGCTCACTGCAGCCTTGATCTCCCAGGCTCAAGGGATTCTCCCACCTCAGTCTCCCGAGTAGCTGGGACTACAGGTGCACCATCACATCTGGTGGTCATTTTTTTTGTATATTTTGTAGAGACATGGTTTTGCCATGTTGCTCAGGCTGTGCGGAACTCCTGAGCTCAAGCAATCTGCCCACCTTGTCTTCCCCAAATGCTGGGATTACAGGTGTGAGCCATCGCACCCAGCCTGTTTCCCTTTCCTTGTTCATAAAGAGGCACTCTACTTAACATATGGGATTGCAGATTAATTAAGGCAATGCCATTAATTAATTTGAAGACACAATAATTAGATTAACAATAATAATAATAAAAGGATCTACCCATGGAAAATAAAAGTAGGAACAAAGAGTAGAAATTGTGATTTATGGATTGAGTACACATTTTGTATATCATCAGTACAATTTTAAATAATGCCTACTGGGGTTTTTTTCCTTTTTTTTTTTTTTTTTTTTTTTTGTTGGTTGAACTTAGTTGAGAGGATTCATTTCATGTTTCTTTCCTAAGTTTAAGTTTGTTCTGGAAATGGGGTTGTGTGCGTACCTGTTTAACAGAGATCAAATTAGGTCAATCTGTGTTCACACCATTTGGAACTGTAATTGGTTTCTTTAATTGACTCCTGTGAACCAGCACAGAATCAGCTCAGATTCTTCTGTCACTACTCCAGAGAGGGCTTGGTCTCCTGGGAACTTGAGTAATTAAAACTACCAAAGGGATTTAAATCCCGCACTCCATAGAGATGATCAGCTACAATAAGTTTCATGAAATTGAAGTTATTTTTCTTTACAGAGTCCCCATCTCAGTCGCAAACGTTCGCAGCTTCAGTTTGAATATGAAAAGAAAAACTGAGATACAGCATTCTCAAGAAAGATATATAAATCCATCTTTTTATCTTATTTCCTCTCAAAAGCAAATATATGGATCTTTTTTTAACCATGACTCTCGTGTCACATTTAAATAATGATATTAACCATCACATAAAAGTGAAAGGAATTAAACAAATGCCCCTCTCATGTCCTCAGTTTGTACTTGCACAATTTTTCTGTGCTTTATTTAGTTGCTTTTAAAGGCAAACTTACCAAATGCTCCCAAATCAAGTTTACTACCCACTGTTATGTGGGCAATTTTCTTAGCTATCACTAGAGCTGCTTTTGTTAACCTATTTGTGCCAAGCACTGAGCTAAATCTTTCACATATAGCCCTTATCACTAGCTCATGTTGCCTATGAGGAAATTGGTGTTCTTAGCATTAAAGAAACTGAACAACATTGATCATTGTACGCATTGGCGCCAGAATGGAACACATTGCCTGCCTAACAAGTACTTGATTTTTGAACTACTACTCAGTGCTTTTCTCAAGATTACGGATTCTTCCAAATCAACAAGTCACAGAATTGTGTCTTATTTTCTTATACGAACAGTTGTACCATTAGTACATTATTCCTGTCATCTGAGTTGAGATAAACTCCAATGTCCCTGGCATTCTTGAAGGTGTTAAGTCTAGTTCAAAACAGCCCAATAGAAAATTCAAAAACCAACATCATAGGCGAACCCAGACCAAGTCATGGAGTTAAACTACTTTTTGTTTTATTTCATCACTCTGTATTTTCTTCTCTGCATTTGGATAAGTAAGCATCCCATTAAACATTTCTCTTTTTTTTGAGATGGAGTCTCGCTCTGTCACCCAGGCTGGAGTGCAGTGATGCGATCTCCTCTCACTGCAACCTCTGCCTTCTGGGTTCAAGTGATTCTCCTGCTTCAGCCTCCCAAGTAGTTGGGATTATAGGTGTGTGCCACCACATCAGCTAATTTTTGTATTTTCAGTAGAGATGGGGTTTCACCATGTTGGCCAGGCTGGTCTTGAACTCCCAACCTCCAGTGATCTGCCTGCCTCGGCCTCCCAAAGTGCTGGGAGTATAGGCATAAGCCACGATGCCTGGCCCGTTAAACATTTCTTTTAAAACATTTTAATTGTTTATATCTTTTTATCTTTTCTATGTCGCTTTTGAATAATAAGCATGCACTCGTTGCTAAATTCTAAGCTATTTTATTTAAATAAAAAATGTAGAATGACTTCATTCATTTCACACTAAAATCTAAGCATTTAGAGATGACAAACTCTACAAAGAGTTCTGTTTTGTTTAAACATGTCCTCTTTCTGCGTGGCTATAAAATTTGAGTCCCTAAAATTATAGAAGTCAGATGATTAAAATATCAGAGGGAGAAATTAATTTATTTCTAAGTCACTTCTATGCCCGTGGCTTAATATTTGGTTTTGAATACATCTTTAATTAATTATTTTTGGAAAAGTTTTGGTCTTCTCTAGTTGCTAAAACAGGCTATACTTAAATACTAAAGATGAACATGAGATTTTTATATTTTCTCTCCCACTTAGCAATAAATACCTCTATCAAGTAACAGTAAAATTATAGCTTTATAATTTTCTGTATGCATTATATTAGTTTAATTCTTTTTATATTTTATTAATGAGGGAAGAAATGGGTAATGTAATAATACTTTGCAGTGTTTTACAGTTATGCAGAAAAGTAAAATTAAGGGAGTTTTAATTAACTGCGTACATGTATTCACATCAAATTGTGTTATAAAGATTGTTTCCAAAAGATGGAAAAGAATTCCACCAGCTGTTTGCTCTCCTATGACAAATGGGACCGGTGTATGCATGGTGGCAGTAATTTATGTAATTGTCACATAGCAGACTGGTTTCATAAATTGACTATTGGTTTCATAAATAGACCAGAAAGAGTTTGGAATATTTTGTTACTATTTGTCATAAAAGCCCTTTGGAAACACAGCTTCTTATTCAAGTAGGATCATTTATATATATACAGGCCATCAAGTTAAAAACAAAAAAGAAAAGAAAAGAAAGGAAGAGAGGTAGGGAGGAGGAAATGAGGGGGAAGAGAGACAGAAAGAGAAAGAAAGATGAAAGAAAGAAAGAAATTTTTTTTAATGTAAATCATTGATTTGTGAAAACCTTCTCTAAATAGTTTTTTTTTCCCCAAGGTCACTGACTATATATATATATATTTTATTACACTTTAAGTTCTAGGGTACATGTGCACAATGTGCAGGTTTGTTACATCTGTATACATGTGCCATATTGGTGTGCTGCACCCATTAACTCGTCATTTACATTAGGTATATTTCCTAATGCTATCCCTCCCCCCTCCCCTCACCCCACAACAGGCCCCGGTGTGTGATGTTCCCTTTCCTGTGTCCAAATGTTCTCATTGTTCAGTTCCCACCTATGAGTGAGAATATGTGGTGTTTGGTTTTTTGTCCTTGTGATAGTTTGCTGAGAATGATGGTTTCCATGTGCATCCATGTGCCTACAAAGGACATGAACTCATCATTTTTTATGGCTGCATAGTATTCCATGGTGTATATGTGCCACATTTTCTTAATCCAGTCTATCATTGTTGGACATCTGGGTTGGTTCCAAGTCTTTGCTATTGTGAGTAGTGCCACAATAAACATATGTGTGCATGTGTCTTTATAGCAGCATGATTTACAATCCTTTGGGTAAATAGCATTTTAGGTTAGCGATGTTGGTATAGAAATCTAGCAAAGCTCAAAGCTCAATTTTTGTTTTTATTGTAAATTTAGTTGTAAATATTGGACAACTTACCTAAATGTATTATGATACAGACAAGCTTAGGAAATTTAATCACCGTTTAAATCCAACTTACTATATTCTAGTATGCCATCTCCAAGAGGAAAGTCCAATATTTCGCATTGCAAAATAATGATCAGATTCAATGAACATACTTGATTCATCTTTCAACCTCACTAGTAATTTATCAATAAATTATGGTTTATTCATTCATGCCTTCACTGAGCATATATTTATTGAGAACTCACTATGTACCAGGCATACCTTGCTCTTGTAGAGGTTACATTTTCTTTGGGGGAAATGATTATGTAATGAAATGAAAGAATTGGTATCAGTGTTCTTACAGGAGGAAGGGTTGCTATTCCACAGATATACTGTTTCTACTGAATTTATGCAGCAAATTAAAGAGATTCAAACTTAATCAGTTGTCACATTATTTTTACATAAGAATCTGGTTTTAAAGATTTTTATTATATTTAAAAAAATTTATATACTATATATGAAAATTAAATAAAACTTTGGGATTTCAGATTTTGACATAACTACATTATAAATCTCTATTTTTAGGCTGGTACAGTGGCTTGTGCCTGTAATCCCAACACTTTGGGAGGCTGAGGGCGGTGGATCACAAGGTCAGGAGTTCAAGACTAGCCTGGCCAACATAGTGAAACCCCATCTCTACCAAAAATACAAAAATTAGCTGGGCATGGTGGCGCGTTCCTGTAATCCCAGCTACTTGGGAGACTGAGGCAGGAGAACTGCTTGAACGGGGACCCGGGAAGCGGAGGTTGTAGTGAGCTGAGATCGAGACACTGCACTCTAGCCTGGACTACAGAGTGAGACTCTGTCAAAACAAACAGACAAACAAACAAAAAAACCCAAAAATGCCTTTACTTTTTCTAAAATGATATTGAAAATTTAATATATGTTAATATTACATATTAATAAGGTATTTTTAGAATTTTCTCTGGAGTTATGAATATTCACTTTAAAATATAATTTTCTTTATCCTACGTTATAATTCAGCTTTTTTAAAAAAAACTCTTAAATATAGATTTAAAAGCTATTAATTTAAGTTTCCATTGGAATCAAGCAGGATAATTTAACAGGAAGGCAAGAAACAAGTTATGAGTTGATAAATTAGAAAACCAGGTTTCAGTATTCATTGTAATTTGTGATTATAATGGGAGCTTTCAGATGAGATTTAAGTGTCTCATGATATTTTATAGAGTCTCTAAATCAGTGGATTCTGAGCTGGTTTTAATTTACAGCAATAAGGTTTTAATTTAATAATGATAATCTTTAGCAATGCATGCAGGAATTATTTATGTTACCAACTTTATTATGCTGACATTTTAAAAACTGTATAATTTTAATATCAGCATTAAATTGTCCTCATATTGCTGAAGTATTTTCTTTTGAAAAATACTTCACATTCTAAAATGAATACTAAACACACAGATAATTTAGCAACAATCGTAGTCGTTTTTATTGTTTCATTCTGATGTGTCTGTGGTGTTACTCTGTTAATTCAGGCTGCAAAGTGCTGAATGTGCCTGTTAATGTTTAAAAATAATAGTTAACTAGAGAAAGGTATGCCTTTATATACGGTATATGAAAATTCAATAAAACTTTAGGATTTCAGATTTCAAGATTGTTTTGAAATTTAACTGCTTCTTTCACAAATCAACCTTGGCTTGCTTCAAAATCAACACATACGATTTATCAGCATTTTACGTGCTAATTAACGTCCTGGAGGCTTGGTAATGTATGCTGTTGCCTTACTGATATTACACTAAATAAGATTTATTCATACAAAGTTGATTATTTCTTGACTGGAATATACTGAAACAGCATTTCTGGATTTCTGTGAGTACGTTTTCTTTTGTCTGACGCTTAGATCTGCTAATGCTGAGTGCTGAAGACATCCAAGCACGCTGCTTGTGGCCGTCACGTCTGGAAAATCAGAGATAGAGATAGCAACATTGAAAAATTTCAAGTTGGCAATGCATGAGCAGAGGTGAGCAGAATTTGGGCTTCATGACACCATAGCATGGAGATTACTATGTTGACTCATGAAAACCAACATTGTGGTGAGTGAGATTTTTTGTTGTTTTGTTGTTTGCTTGTTTTTCTCTCAGTGGGAGGAAAATATGGGCTTCTTCCTCCATTGTAAAAAGAAAACTTATACTATATTTTATGACTGAGTTGGTAAAAAGATAAGTTACTATCCTATATTCAAACATTTCTTTGACTTAAAAGTTCAATTTTATTCTCTGATTTTTTTAAATTTTAAATTAAAAAAATTTTCCTCTGATTTTAGAAAACATCGAAACATTTTCATAAGTCCTTGTATCTCATGGATAAGCTAGACATGGGATCCAGGAATGGGTTTTCCCATGAGTTTTCCAGGTGATTCTGATGAATGGCTGGCAAAAGTCGAAGAGCCTTTGTCTTACCTGGAAGTAGGAGGCTATAGCATTCACAGATTAGGAACATTCGAGTTTTTACACTTGCATGTCTCATCCCTTTTCTCATGGCCAGCATAAAGGATCTTTTCATGAGGCATCTTGAGCAGATCTAGGAACCCTCACAATGACTCAAGAGACTTAGAGAGGACATTGATGGATTTAAGTGTTCTCTATGTGGATGTCCTGCTTCTCTTTCTTTCAGTAATTCTCTCAAACAAAATGGCCCTTAACCCAGAAAAGACATGAGGTTCAAACGCTCATTTCCTGTAAACACTGGTAATAACAGATGAAGACCCAGGAGTTCATGACAAGGTGATTTAATTCATCATCCAAAATGAAGCACAAAGACGCCAACCATTTTTTCCTTAAGATGATGGTGATTGAATATCTGACTGCACTACTGAAGAAAATCACAAACTGGCTTGTTCAGGAAAACTCTAAGCCAATAATATACATCTTTATGCATCTGTGCTGCCTTCAGTTGTTTCTTATCTGAAGCTTAAGAAACCAAAAACAATTTTGGAGTTCTCATCGGGTCTATGATACAGTTAAATCACATTCTTAGAATCTTTCCTCTGATAACCATGTGACCTCATTAACAAAAAATAAATACCCACCCATTTTACAATTTAGAGAGTTTCTCTTTATTTCCATTATATTGAAATTCTAAAACATTTAACAATAAGGTGTGTCATGTTAGTTACATGCACAACCATTGGCAGATGTTCTGTATGGAAGGATCCAGGGATACATTCAAAATCTCTTTAAAAAAATTTTATTTTAGGTTTGGGGGTATACGTGAAGGTTTGTTACATAGATATACACATGTCATGGGGGTTTGTTGTACAGATTATTACATCACCCGGGTATTAAACTCAGTACCCAATAGTTATCTTTTCTGCTCCTCTCCCTCCTCCTACCCACCCCCTTCAGGTAGATCCCAGTGTCTGTTGTTTCTTCCAGGGTTTTTGTAGTTTTGGGTTTTACATTTAAGTGTTTAATCCATCTTGAGTTGATTTTTGTGTACGGTGTAACGAAGGGGTCCAGCTTCAATCTTCTGCATATGGCTAGCCAGTTATGCCAGCACCACTTATTGAATAAGGAGTGTTTTCCCTATTGCTTGTTTTTGTAAGCAAAGATTTCAAAAGTAATGCAACATCTATTACTGTGTAATAAATTTATCTCTTTCGACCACATACCATAAAAATCTAGATAGGCTTTCATTCATGTGCATGTACAGAAAAGTTAAATGTGTATACTCATTAGTCCAATTTAAATATTGAAGAGTGCCACACTGGGTTGCAACTACATCTGATATTTTGGAATCCTGGAAAGGGAGTCCCTTTAAGGAAGTAAATGGCTTGGATACTTCATTAAGCCTTTTGTGTTCAACAAGCATTCCAAATTGTGCTTAGTTTTGCCATTGGTCGAATGTGAAAGAAGCTCTGTGCCTAAACACACGACATTTTATAATTGCCATGAATCCAAATTATTGAGCTTCAGTAACTCTATTTGTACCTAAAAGAGAAACAATTTTTTAAGGAACATAATATGTAGACACAGATAAATTGGCCAGTTTATGAGAAGCCTGAATGTTACAGGTGCATAGATGAATTAGCTTTTCTCTGGCCACACCTCTAACTGGATCTGGTTGAATAATTCATTCCCATCCCATAAAGACCTGGCCTGAGTGGCCTGGCATGATGGCACATGCCTGTAATCCCAGAACTTTGAGAGGCCAAGATGGGTGGATCAAGGGGGATAGGAGTTCAAGACAAGCCTGGCCAGCATTGTGAAACCCCGTCTCCACTAAAAATACAAAAATTAGCCAGGTGTGCTGGTGCATGCCTGTAATCCCAGCTATGCAGGAGGCTGAGGCAGGAGAATCGCTTGAACCTGGGAGGGTTTTCAACTTTACAGAGTTTTAACATTTCATCTTTAATTTTATCAGTTGCTTTATTAGTGTTTTTTTTTTTTTTTTTTTTTTTTTTTTTGACAGAATGTGGCTCTGTCACCCAGGCTGGAGTGTATTGGCACAATCATGGCTCACTGCAGCTTCGACCTGATGGATGCCAGTGATCCTCTTGCCTCTCCTCCAGAGTAGCTAAGCCAGCTACTGGGACTATAGGACTACTTGGTACTACAGGTGCATGCCACCATGCCCAGCTAATTTTTTGTATTTTGGGCAGAGACAGAATTTCCCTACATTGTCCAGGCTTGTCTCAAACTCCTGGGCTTAAGTGATTGGTCTACCTCGAACCGCCAAAGTATTCAGATTACAGGTATGAGCCACTGTGCCCAGCCAGTTTCTAACATGATAGTCATGTGTTGTTCTTCACAATTGTGTTGATAGAATCGTGTATTTAAATGAAGCACATGATTTCCAGTAATACCCTCTATTTGGACAATATCGTATTGCTTTATCAGCATATTGTTGATGGTGATTTATTAAAATGTATTCAGGAATATATATTAGTTACTGATCTGTAGTTCTTTTATTGTTATCTTGATTGGGGTTTGGTAGTAATTTATAATGATTTAATTAAATGGATCAGGGAACTCTCCTTTAAATAGAATTAATATTATCTGGTTTTGTGTACTTGTAGAGTAAAGGAATCATGTATAATTTAGCTTTGATACTCTAGTTGTGAAACACTTTGCAATGAAAATCAATAAAAAATATTGAAAATCGTTTGTGTTAATTGGTAGTTATAATCCTCCTTCTACATTGTGTCAAAACTCTTCTTTATTTGTGCTTCTTTTTTCTTTTTATTTCTAACACCTTACTACTTTGTCCACTTTCTCCTTATTCCTGAGTCTGTATTGATGTGATTTCCCTGATTTTTTTTCGAAGAACCAGCATTTGTACTTATACATAATTGCTACTATTTCTTATTTTCTGTACAATGTTTTGTCATTGTTACCTGAACCAATACTGCTTTCCCACAACCTTATTTTATAATTTTTAAAGTGACTATATCATTCCTCATGTTCAAAAATTGTCTTTAATAAAATATCGTTCATAACATTTGCATATGCATAATCTCATTTTAGTGTAGATGTGACCGTGTATTTTAGCATTCAGTGTGAATTATGCAACTTTGTATTCTAACACTCAGAGGAGTTTATTGTAAGCACTTTGATCCAATGAATATTTAGGAAAATGTTGCTTAATTTGTAAGCAGTGAAGACCTTGACGGTCTTTTATTGTTATATTCTAGTATGATAATTTAAGCTTAATAAATATATCATATTTGCATTTAATAATTTTATAATCTTTCATACAAACTTCTTTCACACATATTCTATAGATGTAAAATAACTAGGAACAGTTTTCCTTTTTATTTGTTCATATGCATGTTTGTTGTATTACAAACCTACTTACCTTTTCCTTTCGCTTACTTCAAAATTGGCTTCTGTTCAAAACCAGGGAAAGAACCAAATATAACTCTTAATCTTAGGCAAAAAATAAACCCTCTTTTTTTTAGAGTTTGTGTTTGTTCCAGAAAAATTAGTGTTTTTAGAATCAAACTTCATGTTACAGCACTAAGATAATTTCATATAAGCCATAGTATAGTTATTCATTTTATATTTCTTGTAAACATTTAACCGTTTGTTTCAAGAGTTGGTATTTTGTTGATCCGTATTTTTAAAACTTAGACATATTTAAATACTTATAAATGCCCAAGCCTGTGGTTTGAAATAGGAAGTAGAAGAAGTGAGTAGGACATCAGAGTTTATTCAAGAACATCAAAGTTTATCCAAAGGATAGAATAAAAAAACACTACATACCATGATTCAGACATTGATGAATATGTTGAAGGGGTTCTATTTTAAAATACTGTTTGGCTGGGTATGGTGGCTCATCCCTGTAATCCCAACACTTTAGGAGGCTGAGGCCGGCAGATTACTTGAGCCCAGGAGTTTGAGACCAGTCTGGGCAACATGGCAAAACCCCATCTCTACAAAAAATATTAAAATTAGCTGGGTGTGGCGGTACATGCCTACTTGAGAGGCTGAGGCTGGAGGATTGCTTGATCCCAGGATGTCGAGGCTACACTGAGCCATGATTGCACCACCGCACTCCAGCCTGGGCAGCAGAGTGAGACCCTTTCTCCAAAAAAAAAAAAAAAAAAAAAAAATCTGTGTTATATTTCTTCTTAATAAATTCTGCATAGCAGAGACATTAGAATGAGGTAAACCAGACATCATGAGACTTTAATGAACTGCAGAGGATGTCAGCTGAACAGCTGTAAATTCCCTGAAAATTGGAAACTGCCAGGAGAGATTTGGCACCTACACCCGATAGCTGTAAAAGATGCCCCCTGCTATCAGTTAATGGTATTTTTTATGAAAAGCTGAATTGAACATAATTTGCAGTTTCTAACATGTAATCTCTCGTAAGGACATAGTGATTTGCAGATCTGCTAACTTTTTAAAAATGTACATATTGCCTCAGCAAGGTACTCTTAGTAAGCCACACAAGGCAGTATCACCTTCACATTGTAAAACCGAAAAGTACCTGAGACAAGTCCCAATCAATTTAGGAATTTATTTTGCCAAAGTAAAGGACATGCCCAGGTCAGAGCCTCAGGAGGTCCTGAGCACATGTGCCCAGGGTGGTTGGGTTACAGCTTAATTCCATACATTTTAAGGGGATAGAAGTTACAGACAGACATCAATCCATACCTGTAAGATGTATATTGGTTTCATCTCAAATTGGTGATGGGAGGTCTCCACATCATAGGGAGATTTCAAAATTTTCTGATTCTCAATTGGTTGAAAGATTTATTATCTAAAGACCTGGAATCAATAGAAAGGAGTGTCTGGGTTAAGATAAGGAGTTGTGGAGATCAAGGTTCTTATTATGCAGATGAAGCCTCCTGGTAGCAGGCTTCAGAGAGAATAGATGGTAACTATTTCTTATCGGACTTTGAAAGGTGGCATACACTTAGTTAAACTCTCCTGGATCAGGAAGACACCTGGAAAGGGAAAGGCATTCTCCACAGAATGTAAATTTTCTCCACAAGAGACAGCTTTGCAGGGCCATTTTAAAATACATAAAAAATATTTTGGGGTAAAATACTTTTACTTTAGTGTCCACTATCTGTCATGTGATGTATCTTACTACATCACCTGTAAATTAGCCAAGTGAAGAAAAAAATGATTGCTATGGTGTATTAGTCAGGGTTTTCTAAAGGGACAGGACTAATACGATAGATATATACACGAAAGAGAGCTTATTAAGAAGTATTGACTCACACGATCACAAGGTGAAGTCCCACAATAGGTCATCTGCAAGCTGAGGAGCAAGGAAGCCAGTCCGAGTCCCAAAAACTCAAAAGTACAGAAGCCAACAGTACAGCCTTCAGTCTGTGGTCGATGACCCTGCTAAAGCACTGGTGTAGGTCCAAGAGTCCAAAAGCTGAAGAAATTGGAGTCCAATGTTCAAGGTCAGGAAGCATCCAGCACAGGGGAAAGATGGAGGCCAAAAGACTCAGCCAGCCTAGTCCTTCCACGTTCTTCTGCCTGCTTTTATTCTAGCCACACTGGCACCTGATGAGATGGTGCCCACCAGATTGAGGGTGGGTCTGCCTTTCCCAGGCCACTGACTCAAATGTTCATCTCCTTTGACAACACCTTCACAGACACACCCAGGAATAATACTTTGCATCCTTCAATCTAATCAAGTTGACACTCAATATTAACCATCACACATGGTGGAGCATAGTAGAAGCTTAGAAATTGGGGATAGAGACCAGAGTCACATTACAAGTTACAAAGAGTCTGTTTAATCAGTCTTAAGGTCTCTGTTTTAATGTGAATGCTGGCCAGCTGTGCCTGAATTCCAAAAGGAGAAGTGTGTAATGAGGTATGTCCAACCACCCATTCCCATCATGGTCTGAACTATATTTTTTAGGTTTATTCGGAATGCCCTTGGCCAAGAGCAGGGACCATTCAATTAGTTGGGGAGCTTAGAACTTTATTTTTGGTGCACAACATTAAACTCACTGATTTGCTGTTCTATTTAAAGGTGCTTGGAGTGAAATGACAGAAGGTGCTCCAGTCATAAACCTATTACCATGCAAAGGGGATTTATAAAGCATTGGCATACAATGCATTTCTATGAAGCATGTTGTAAGTGTATTTATACTGAACACAATAGGTATTTAATTTGTAAAGTCTCTAAATCACATATTAAAATATCACAACCAGATATATTTATTATTGCTAGAGAAAAATCAAAATTATTAAAATTCTGTATCGACTTCACAAATATAAGTAGTATTTAGGATTTCGCTGGGAGCTAGAATCATGTTAGTCTCATGTATTTCAAAAAAAGTATTATTTCTACTACTTTGAATGCACAAATTAAAATTGGAGTTAAATGTATTTCTGCTCCAAATATAAATTTCAGAGCAAGCTATAAATCATTCTGATTTTTAAATATAAATCAATTATGTCAATTGCTTCTCTTTAATTAATAGTGAGACTGTTTTGCAATCATGAATAAAGACTGTTATATCAGTGGGATATTTTGATATATTGATCAAATAATTTGAGCGATTGCGAGTAGAGTTTTGATTTGATTATGACTAGAGTTAGTCATATGATGTTGGGAAATACTATGTTTCCATTGCAGACATTATAATAGACTTATCAGAAGTGGTGTCAACACTTACTAATTCATCATAGCTATACTTAAGACAGGTAAAATGGAATTTACTCATGCTTTACTTAGTAATCAACATCATGCTATGATAATATTTCTAACTAAAATAATTGGGAAATGTCTCCCCATCTTCATAGAATTTTGCTATATTTATCTTAAATCAAATCAAAATAAAGGATAATTTTGTGCACTAAAATAAAATTGCATAATTTATATGAGCTCATTATCCGTTTAAAATTCACATGGTAGCTAGTGTTCTCCTCGTATATACATGTGCGGCTAAATCTTGATTAGTGAACAACACAGACATTCCAACACAATTCACTCAAGTATATTTTAAAGACTCACGGTATGATGTCAGCCCTTATTCTACTCAAAGTATAAACGGTAGAAATATACAGCACTTTTCTCCCAATTTACTCTAATAAGAGAATTACAATGCATAAGAAAATTAACCAAATGAAGAAAAAAGAAATGATTGTCATGGTGAAGAATACTTAAAGAAGGGTAGAAGCGTAGAGATTAAGGGTAGACACCAGATATGTTACAACTTATATGGATGGAGGTACTTTTGCTTCTGTGGGGAATCTTCCTCTATTAAAAACAAATACTGCAAATTATATTTTATGACCACTTTAGCATAAAAATGAATAGACTCCCAGAGTTGAATATTATGTGAACCTGGACATTTGTGTTATTTTGAAATCAGATTAACAGCCCTTGAGATTTCAATAAGGGGAGGAGATTTCATTACCTGAGAAAACTGCCTGTTGAATAAGGCTGAAGAAGAATTGAAACACATGATTAAGGCAATGACAAAAATTACTTTCCACTTGTATCTTACAAATTCTACTTCTACGGTATGAACATGCTAGACAGAAGTAACAGGAAAACCCAATAGATTGGTTTGGAATAAAAGTTTAATAACCTATTTTATATATATATAAATATACATATGTTTAAAATATAAAAAAAAACCCCAACAGTTGTCAAGACAGTGAGCAAAAGGCAATGAAAGATGGGCAAAACATGGACACAGGAAGGGGAACATCACACACTGGGGACTGTTGTGGGGTGGGGGTAGGGGGGAGGGATAGCATTAGGAGATATACCTAGTGCTAAAGAACGAGTTAATGGGTGCAGCACACCAACATGGCACATGTATACATATGTAACAAACCTGCACGTTGTGCACACGTACCCTAAAACTTAAAGTATAATAATAATAAAAAAATAAAATAAAATAAAATAAAATAAAAAAGAAAGATGGGCAAAACAAGGAGTTGAACCCCACAGTTGCCCCAAGCTCACAATCAGGAGAGAGTTTCCAGGCTACTGCATATGAAAGTGGATTTCAGAAGAAGCCCAGTGAAACTCCATGAATCGGGGAGACGAAGCTCAGAATCAGAGAATCATAGATTCAGAATCAAAGAAAAATATGGACATCCTTTGCAGGAGAGAGCCTTGAAGAAGAGAAGGAAATCTAGAGACCTACCATGGGTCCCCCCTACTATTCAGCAGAAGAGTGTATTGGGAAACTCCCTGAGGGCAGGAAAGAACCACCTGAATGAGTCAGAGCAGGGAGTTGTTTGTGCTTAGCCACATCTAAGAATACTGGCAGTCCTCGCCAGCTAGACTAGTTTAACAGTTCACAAGTCAGTGGGATTGGGTGAAGTACACAGAAAGGTCTGGCGTCTTTAGTAGTGGATGGTTTTGCCTAGATTAAGTGCTGCTCTGGTACCACCTAATATGCGTTGCTCAAAAAGGACCAAACTGTTTTCAACGTACCTAATTGAACCCCAGAACAAAGCTCAGGACTATTTATTGGGATACACACATGAAAATATTAGATCATCTCGTCAGATGATCTTGAGCATCCAACAAGATCAAATCTAAAATGCCAAGTGTCCAAATAAAGTTTAATTGATATGTAAAGTAATGAGAGCATAGAGTTGCAGAAATGAGAATACTATCACTAGAACATTGTCCTGTGTAGGAATCATGCCTCCTGGGAACATTGATAAGGATTCAACTCAGTAAAGCCATGGTCAAGATCAATGAGTAGAGTGCTCTCAACAGCTGCATCCATGCATTGAAGGGAAATATTACTTATATATATTTTCTTTTAATTTTCTTGTAGTGTGCACAGTTTAACATCTTCATTCTAATACGTACCTGCTACAGTGCATAATAAAAACGTAAATGAAAAGACAATTGGATATGTTGAAAACTAAATGAAAATGTATGTAAATGTAGGAAAAAGGCATACCAGAAATGCTGCTCCCCGAGCTCTCCAAAATCATCAGGAACAAGTCTAAATTGTCACTGTAAATGGAAATGTAAACCACATGACAGAAACTCCAATTAGCTATTTTGATTTTTTAAAAGTAATTAGACTTTTGAGGAGAAAATTCATTGTTACAGTAATTTCAAAAATAATTATAATTCCACCTGTGCTAAAACATGCAATGACCTTTCCTATTAGGAATATAAATTTATTCCTCTGTTCTATTATTTTTTTAATTAGAAAACAAATTGCAAACTTATTAATATGAAGATATAATCAGATTCAGGTTATGTCACTAAAATTTTTGAGTGATGGCCAAGTGTATTGATTTTTTCAGAATTACCTCTTGAATTCAAAGTTTCTGCTCATTAAAGTCACATGAAAAAATACAAGCAAAAGATAACTGCAGTTAAGGAAAAGAGCCATAAGGTTATGAAATTCTCATTCAAGGCTTTCTATGGTAATTATGTTATTTTAATATTCAGAGAACAAAGTGGAAACTTAGCTTGCCTGGCTATGCCTCTCAGCCTCCTGCCCCTCTTCATGCAAAAATCTGAAAAACAATAGAACACAGATAAAGAATAACTGATAAAAACACAATAGTATCTTATGTGTTAGTTTTGCAAATAATTCTGCCGGTTTTTGAATGAATGTGTTTCTTGGAAATTGCCAAGTTTTCAGTGCAAAGGTATTGCTACTATATCATCCCTGGAAGAGTAACAAAGGTTACAGGAAGAAAGTAAAAATTTAGTGTGATGTTCCAGGAGTCTACTTGCACAACCAAGTATAAGAAAATGAAGACTTCCTTGAACCAAATTGGATCAGGAACTGGTGATTGTTTATTTTTGTGTAATGGCAAAGGATCCTCCAATGACATAATTAGCATGAATTGTCATCACATATGCTTTCATCTTTTAATGTGTACGTGAGATATATATCTAATAGCCAGTTCTGGTTATTCAGTTATCTGGTTTTGTCCCTGCTCAGGCCAACTTTTCTAAACTCCCTTCTGTAACACTGGGGCTAGAAGTCAGCAAACTACATTTCCCAGGAGTCTTTGCGAGCTGTCTTCCTGACAGAATCTGTCTCAATGACAGTGAAATCAGAACACAGGAGAAAGAGAGATTATTGTATGGGAGTGCTGTCATGCCAGTGGTTGGCAGTCTTTTGTAGTAGCTGTAGTGTGAATTTGGGCAGGCAATTGTGGACTCTGTAGCAGCCCAGGGAAATGCTTGCCTGCTCATTGCAAAACCTCATTAGCAATTCCAGAAGCCACTGATCAGACATTTTTGTCACTGCAGAAGCAAGGCTAGAGCTTGGGAATTCAGCCCAGAGTTGATAGAAGCGTCCTTATTTGGAAGATATCATCACCTTCCTCACAACCTTTCCCTTCTCTGTTTTCCCTGGTTTTTGTTTTGTTTTGTTTTGTTTTGTTTTTGTTTTTGTTTTTTTCGAGACGGAGTCTTGTTCTGTTGCCCAGGCTGGAGTGGAGTTGCATGAACTCGGCTCGCTGCAACCTCCATCCCCCGGGTTCAAGCAATTCTCCTTCCTCGGCCTCCTGAGTAGCTGGGACTACAGGCGTGTGCCACCATGCCTGGCTAATTCTTGAATTTTTAGTAGAGAAGGGGTTTCACCATGTTAGCCAGGCTGCTCTCGAACTCCTGACCTTGTGAACCACCCACCTGGGCATCCAAAAGTGCTGGGATTACAGACGCAAGCCACCATGCCTGGCCTTCCCTGGCATTTCTAACATTAATTTTAATTTTTATTTTTTGAGACAGAGTCTCACTCTGCTGCCCAGACTAGAGTGCAGTGGTGTGATCACGGATCATGGCAGACTTGACCTCCCACGTTCAAGTGATCCTCCCACCTCAGCCTCCTGAGTAGCTGGGACCACAGGCACAAATCACCATGCCCAACCAATTTTTTATTGTTTGTAGAGACAAGGTCTAGCTATGTTGCCCAGGCTGGTGTCAAACTCCTGGGCTCAAGTGATCCTCCTGCCTCAGCCTTCCAAAATGCTGGGATTACAGGCTTTATCCACTGTGCCCAACCTAACATTGATTTTTTAAACCAAGCCTCTATATTAAAATCCTCAGTTTGAAATAGCTTGCATGTTTTTTTTTTTTTAATTTCTAGTTAATACAGCACTTTTGTGAAGCTTTATGTAACTAAAATGGGTATCCAGGTAGTCAGGATTTATGAGTTTGAAGACAAAAATAAAGGGGGCATGGTGTGGGATATGAGAGGTTCCCTCAACCTTGATTACGTGTACGAGTAGGACACTTGTTATGAAAATGTCAAACAGGGCACATAACAAATTATAAAGTGAAGAGAGACAATATCTACAGAAATTTTAGTTTCTTAATGGAGGATTTATATAACATTTAACACATGCTTACCATTCTGACAATTTCAAGAGTCATAAAATAGGTGGAACCAAAAAGGGAGATGATGTATATTTTGATCAAGAACCAAATTTATTGAAATGTTAAAAAGAAATGTAAACGTGTTATGAACACTTTATTCCTATAACTCCATGATGAAGATATAAAGCAATGCTGTGTGTGTCAGGCATGTATCTGGGATTATGTCTCATCTATATTTTATATGAGTAGCTCAACATCTTATTTAAACTACATGCATATTTTAAAAGTACATTGATTGTGGACATGACACTTAACTGAATAGAAAGACCATGAAATTTTGACATGTGAACAATGAAATAGAGGTAGCGACATAAAGCCTGAAGAAACAGCAAGAGGTGAATGAACTAAGGGGTCGGATTCGTTGGAAATTTTGAATAATATCTTGCAAGGTCCGACATCAACAACTAATAAACAGCATATTTCTATTCTCTCCACAAAATGTTTTATAATTTAACACTCTGAACATGGGTAATTAAAAAATAAGATGAGGTTGTTTATTTGATGGACAAAACAAGGAAGAGAAAAAACATTTAACAAAATGATTCAACAAGAAAAGACGTCAATTCTGGACTTGCCTGTCCTAACTTAATAAGTTAAATTAAGCAAAAATGTTGAATCGCAACCTGGCAATTTAACAATTGTGATGAAGACTTTATTCCGTGTCTTCAAGAAATGGGAAAAGTTGACAAAAATTGGTAAAAACCAAGAAGATATAAATTATGCTAACTATTGTCATCGATGTGCAGCTATGGTCTTGTCAACTGTTTACAAACCTGAATTCAGCTATAAGAATATTACTTGCTTTTCTTAAGCGTTCATAGAACATTTCTCAAAATCAACTTTTTGGTTTGTTCTGAATAAAGTTGCCAGTTAAAAGACAGTACACTCAGTTTAATTTGAATTTAAACTAACAAACAAATTATAGTAAACCTATGCCAGAATATTGCATTAGGCATACTTATACTAAGAAACTATTTGCTGCTTAACTGAAATTCAAATTTACTTAGGCATCTGTATTTTTATTTGCTAAATCTATTAACTCCAATTCTGAAGGAAATCTCAAAAACAAAAAACAAGCAAACAAACAAAAACATAAAGAATGGTCAAATATGCCATTTCCTATGATGGTGAAGTGATGGAGTTAGATATAAATAAAAAAGATCTACGAACCACTTATGTTTAAATATTAGGAAAATTCTACATAGCTCATTTGTTAAACAACTCACAGTAGAAATCACTTATCTGTCTGTCTGTATATCTACCTACTTACCTATCCATCCATCTAATCTATCCATCCCATCTATTTATCTGTCTGCCTGCCTGCCTATCTATCTATCATGTATCTATCTATCTATCTATCTATCTATCTATCTATCTATCTATCTATCTGTCTATTATCTATCTATCTATCTATCTATCTATCTATCTATCTATCTATCTATCTATCATCATCTATCTTAAAATTGGAGATCTTCCCCAGCATAAAATTTTAATGATTATTCCTATGATACAAGTACATGCACAGAAAGTATCAATGTGTATTAGAAAACCAACATCTCTGCTTAGGTCTCTGTTTATCTGCTTGGAACCCACTTTGTCCAGAGTTTAACTATATAATGCCTAGAAATGATTAAAAAAAAAAGTTGACTGTTTTGGTTCTGAAACAAACATCTTTATTCTATGCTGTCTGAATTACGTGGCTTAAGTGATATTTTCCAGGGAGCACTGTCCCACAAATCCATAGATTCAAACTTAATTTATCTGAGTAATTCTAGTATATTCTGCTGATATATGCTGCTGAAAACATTGTGAAAATAAGGATTTTCCCGCTGGCAAATATGAACGCTTTGTCAGCAGGCCTGACATTTGTTTTAATTTTATTATATGTAATTCAACTTCTATTCTTTCTTTTTTTTTCATCTTTCCATCTTTCTTCCTTTATTATTTCTTCCTTTCATTTTTCTTTTCTCTTTTTTCATTCTTGGTAAACGAAAAGAGTGTATTGCATGTTAGCTACCAATTTTATCATGTTCCAGTAATAAACAAGAGTCGAGAGAAGAGTAGGGAGAATTTTTTTTTCTAATTCTAGTTTTTTTAAAGTTATTTTTTAACCAAAACATTTTTGTCAAAATAGGTTTTCAGTTTGTTAAAGTAATCATTTTGAAAAATAATTTTAAACTTATTGTTGTTTTTTTTATACTTTGTTTAAAATATAGTCTTCTTAAAACAGTATCCATTTTTTGATACCTTTATGACAAATTCCTTTTCTTCTTTTTCTCAACATAAAGATTCATAATAAATATAAAATAATTGATAAATAATATTAAAATTATATTAAATAATACTATATAAAATAGGCAAAACAATATGTTATAAATTCTTCAGTGACTTTTAAGGACAAATGTATATTTTTTTGTTTTATTGTGACAGAGTCTTGCTATATTTTCCGCCCCTGATCTCCAACTCCTGGCCTCAAACGATCCTCCTGCCTCAGCCTCCCAAAGTGCTGGGGATTACAGGTGTGAGCCACTGCAGTCATTCTTTTTTTTTTTCCCCAGAATAAAGACAGAAAACACAAATAAGTGTTTCTGAGACTATGTTACAAGGCTCTTACCTCAAATTGATATAACATATAAAAATGTAAAGAACATTAGGATAGGGACAATCAATTTGAAAATTTTTATAAAACAAGCAGTCTTGTAGAAAATATCATTTACCAGAGGATAGTTCCTGGTTCAGTTAGATTTTGGGGGGTTTTAAAGTCCCAGAACATCCAGTGGCAGACCACAGTACTGCGAGATGTTCTAATTGTAGGTGGCCCTCCACCCTGCCTGGGCTCACTCACCCATCTGGGAATCAGCTTTCAATCATTCAGCAACCATAGTCTTGGCTGGGAGGCTTGGGGCAACTCAGTTGTTTCTCTTATCTTTTATTTTCAATCAGTCTTGCCCAGGATTTCCAAATGGCTTAGCCAAAGGTAGACCAGCAAATTAGCCCCAAATGAGCAGAGCCGTTTCACATCTCTGTTGTATCACATCTGCTAATCTCGCCATGGCCAAGTCCAGGGTCTTGCAGGAGCCTTGCATCCATAAAGCCAACATCCTATCAAATCCAAAACACGAGTGCCAGTGAGGGAAAACACGCAGACTGATTCTCCTTATTGGCATAGAAACAAACATGCTGCAAAGTTGAGCAAATTAAGTCAGGTAATAATGGCGATAACCCCAATGAAACAAACTTGCAAACATGATACAACATTGCAAAAATCAGCAGAATCAATGTATCCTTTTAACAGATTAAAATAGAGAGGCCTGACTTTTTTCAAGAGATATAGGAAATTAGTTGATACATTGTGACATCATGCTACACAATGAGCCTATAAAATTTGAAAGATAAAGGAACTCTCTTGATAAAACAGATGCAACACTATATTAAAGGAAATATTGGTATTAATGGTGAAATATGAGAAACATTCCCTTTAAATCCATAACATGACAAATGTCTCCACCATGACAATTTTATTTAATACTAAATTGGAAGTTCTATTGGTACAGAATAGAAAAAGACAGAAACAGTTATTATTGGCAGATGGTGCAGATGATATAACTTTTACATAGATATATTCATGAATAAAATAACATGATAATTTTTATAAAGTATGCTCAGTGTAAGATCAGTGCACACATATTAGTGGCATTAATGTACACCAGCAACTATCAAATACAAATGTAACTATTATTTATTTGGAAATCACAACTGCAATTGCACTAAACCTGTAAGTTCTTTGTGAAAAATGGGATTAAAAATGAACAAGAACTTTATATGCAAAAGAACAAAAGTTTAAAGAGCAACGTAACAGAAAATCAAAATAAACTGAGGTATGTCAGTATTTGATACAGGTTAGGATCAAAAGTGTAAGCATGTAAATTTCCTCCCAAATGAGTTTAGAAGATGAAAAATTTCCACTCAATTGGTTTTAAAATTCTAACATATTTTAACTATATTTTCTTGAACTGACAAACTTCTCCCCAAAACGTGTATGGAAATATACCAAGCCAAGGGTGTCCAAGAACATTTTGAAGTACAATGCAGAATAGTTGTTATGGCTTTTCTCCTTGGATGTCAAGATTTATACAGTGGTCACTGTGGAATCTAGGCAGGGTGAATAAAATAAATCTCTGTAAACTACAGAGCTTAGATGGAGATAGATGGAACATGGCAATTCTCATATGACAAAGTTTCCATTATAAGCAGCTGTCACAAGAACATCTCACATACAAAATAAAGAATGATAAAATGGCAAGTTTTCTATCAATTGCTCTTGGCTATTATAGTTTGACAGCTATCCATATCAATTGCTTAAACAAATGGCACTTTATTTTTGTTATATAATAATAAGCGTTAAGGTATGGAAAATGAAGTGCTCAAGAAAGTCATTCTGTACCAAAAATTTTGCAGTTTTCTTCTTCATTTTTGTGAAACCCAGGATTGCAGGGTTATAGCTCCAAGAAGCTCTGTATAAATAGTATTCGCACTACAGCTAGGACGAAAGAGGGGAGCAGGTCACACATCTGAAAGATTCTTCTTGTAGGAGTGAAGTAATTTTGTTCCAGCTGACTTGAGCCTTCATTGCGTTTTTTGGAAATGCATCTCATAGCTATACCTAGGTGTTAAGAGAGTTTGCAGAGGAGTGTATATCAGATTATAAGTGTCGATCATCCTGAACAAATCAGACCTGTTTATATGCAAACATATACGGATGGAAAAGAATAGATACTGCGGTAGCAAATAGCAATATTGTCACAGTTGTCAATACAGGAGGGAAAGACAAATAGAAATCTCCATGATGCACAAATTAATTAAACTCCAGGTGAACTTAAAACCTTGATGTGAAAAGCAAATGCTTCAAAAATTCAGAATGAAACATTGGATAATGTCCTTATGATATTAATGTAGAAAAAAATGCTTTACACCAAATACTAGAGCATTTTCTATGAAAGAATACATGGGGAATAGGGCTATAGAAGAGACAAAGCACTGTGATTGCTTGGAAAAACTTACAAACTTTGGAATTAAGCCACTGGGCTTTTCTCGGCCTTTGGTTGTTGAGCATTTTATAGAAATTTTCACTTGTCCTGGATAAAATAGATGATCTCATAGGCTGAGTTGTCATGAAATACACTGTGTGAAGACAGCTTTTAATGCATTGATTTATATGCTTCCCTCTTTTGTCTTTTTGTAACTGTTTACAAACCCATACCTGATTAAATTACATGTATTTGATTGATTTTTTAAAATATAGCAAGTGGTGAATCATGATTGCAAAGACGTGACCCATTGTGCTCAAATAAACCTGATTGAGGAAACATAGCATAATATTTGTCAAGAATCATTTTATTTTTCCCTTTCAGTGACTCTGTGTAAATACCTCAGGTGGGAATCAATATTTATAATTTTCAGAGCATTGCCCATAAAAGAGTGAAAAGCAATTTGTCGACGTGATTGTGTATTAGGTGGTAACATTTAGACCCAGCCAAGTCTCACAATTGAATAATTTGAATGATTTCCACAAAGGGAAATAAAGCACTTTAGAAAGAGATTGGCTTTCAGCTCTATATCATAAATGGGTCCATTTTGTAGAATTAGGTATTTATAGTAACATCTACTTAGAGCATGGAGGAGAGGAAGTATTCTAGATCATGCTGTCACACATTTTTATGTCTATTGCACTTAGATATTAGCAGCAGAAGATGGACATTTTTCTCATTCGTCTTTTCTTCCTCAATATGTGCCAATTCCCAGTAAAACACTGTTGAATGAAATCATGCAAAATTATGTTATATACTACTCTGGCTTAGTGAATAGAATCTAAAGCTTTAATATTTATTTCAGGTTCTGAATTGGTCAAATATTCTATGGGATGGAGTGAAATATGTCCGGGGGCAGGAGCACTTTGGATATTGACTGTCTACACTAAACCACTTTTTATTAAATGCTTGGTTTTGGAATGCTTAATTTATCACAGCATACCCATCTTAAAAGTGTTTTTAAAAAAGCCTTCATGTGTAGTATTTTTACCTGGAAGAAAATGTTCTCTAGTGCTTCTTTACTACTGATGTTTCAACATTAGGGTCAACCTAGCAAGATAGTGTTCCACTCAAATCCAAGCATTATTTAAGATGAATGATGACATTTATTTATGGTCCAGGGAATTAACAATTTTGTGGTCTGTTATGAACTACTAAAGTTTAATTTTAAAAAATCATTATTACTATAGCAGCTATTGTAACAGCTGTGGGTAATAAATACTTTTTTTTTTAGACAAGGTTTCACTCTGTCACCCAGGCTGGAGTGCAGTGGTGCAATCTTGTCTGACTGCAGCCTCTGCCTCCTCAGCTCAAGCAATCCCCCCACCTCAGCCTCCCGAGTAGCTGGGACTACAATTACACACCACCACACTTGGCTAATGTTTGTATTTTTTGTAGAGACAGGGTTTTACCGTGTTGTCCAGGCTGGTCTCGAACTCCTGGACTCAAGCAGTCCTTCAGCCTCAGCCTCCCAAGGTGCTGGGGTTACAGGTGTGAGCCACTGCATTGGGCAGCATAAATACAATTTTTACCACACCTTTGGCTACTAGTAGAACAGAATAAAACTTTAACATTGCATATTGAATAAGAATTTGTGAAAAGAAGAATGCATTTTTTTAAGCGATTTTCAAGGTACTTTCCTGAGGGACATTTTACACATTTTCAAGATAACAAATCCGTTTGAAGACAGCATTGGCTTGGACAACACAAGTTAGGAGAATGACAAGTCCTCTTCAGAAATGTCCAACCTGTCAACATGTTAGTATGGCTTCAGGGGAAAGTATTTTCTACGAGAATCTTATTAAGTTTCAGAAAAACTTGTTGTAAACATTGGATAAAAGAGGCATCACAAATTATTTCTGAGGTAGAGATACAGCCAGTGCTTCAAAAAATGAAGAGATACTGAAGTGCTTTGCAGTGAAAATAAAATCTCTCTCCTACTTCTGAAACCATATCCTGTATCCTGTGCCCTGAACCAGCACCAGGCTGCACTGTCTGCTGGTGATTAACTTCTTGTTTTTTTGTTTTGTTTTGTTTTGTTTTGTTTTTTGACAGAGAGTCTTTCTCTGTCACCCAGGCTGGAGTGCAGCGGTGTGATCTCTGCTCACTGCAAAATCCACCTCCTGGGTTCAAGAGATTCTCCTGCCTCAGCCTCCCAAGTAGTTGGGACTACAGGCACACACCACACCACCACGCCCAGCTAGTTCTTGTATTTTTAGTAGAGATGGGGTTTCACCATGTTGGCCAGGCTGGTCTCGACCTCCTGACCTCAAGTGATCCTCCTGCATTGGCCTCCCAAAGTGCTGGGATTACAGGCGTGAGCTACCATGCCCAGCCTGGTTCCTGGACATTGACTCTTCATTCTTCTCTATCTGGAGCCTGGCCCAACTTCAAGAAGCTTCCCCAACCCTCTGATTTCTGCTTAAGTTTGGCCAATGGATATCAGAAGATTGGGCAGAGCATGCAATTGAGTCATCCATGCCCTGCAGCTGTTTCCTGGGCCTTTATGCAATGCTAAAGTTCCTCTTTTCAGTTTTTTTTTGACAGCCACAGCCTATGTTCAGAATCTGATAACTGTTCTCTTCATTGGCCCCATCGGGGTACCAGGTCTTCCTGCTATAACTAGTCCTGGTTACCCCTCCTCATTTCCTGTAACCTTCCTCACATATTTGCACAATGTCCCTTTATCTAGCAATCCTCAATTGCCCCTACATGAGAGTGCCCTCTGTTCCCCTTAAACCCTGACTCAGACAAGTAGAGCTACATATGTTAGTGTCTTATGAATCCATCCAAAAAATTCTCTGTGCAATTGCAAGCAACTACAAACACCAGTGTTCATTTTCCACATTCCTTTACACAAGAGATGTCATATAGCTTCATTCTGTTCTCTGCTTACTAATCTTTTGTTGTTTTACTTAGCACTGTATTCTGACCATCATGTCATAATGCTACATGGTAATTCCGAAATGCCGTATTTTTTTTACAGCTATGTAATTTCCTTCATACATATGGAAAATGATTCATCTGTGTAACCAATTCTCTGTTTAAAAAGTGCAGCTATAAATAACCTTGTGCTTATTTTTCATAAAAGTGTGTATGTATCTGTAGGATAATTTCATAGCAATAAGATTTCTGGGTCAAGTATAGGTACACTTGTAATATTCTTAGATATTTACCAATTGACCTTGGTAGGAATTGAATTGTAGCTAATTTTGTAGCTCATTATAATCTGACACACTTCAGCGCTTATAACAGAGACTTAAGTCAAAATTTAAGCAGATTGCAAAACTGATAGTTAAAAAAATGATCTTAGTGTACTTTTGAATAATTTCTCTGCTAATTAATGGGTTGTACATATTTTATGTGACTAATAATTCATATTTTATATTCTGTGTACTCTATGTTAATTCTATTATCTCTATTTTATATTATATAGCTGAGTTTTTATATGTATTATACAATTCTAAGAGATTATATATATATAATCATTGCAAGAAATTTTATTTTATTTTCAGACATTAAAATTACCCCCAAGCACCTTCTTGACATTGGCTTGTTTCTTGACCTCCATGATAATACCTTTTCATGGTACCTTGGCTTCTTATTTTTCCATATTTCCCCTCTACAGTCATTTCAAGGCTTGTCTGTCCCTTTTTGTTCTTTAAAAATTCATATTCTAGGCTGCTATTTCTGAAAGATTGTTCTTGGGATAGATCCATGAAAGTCTCTTGGGGAACTCAGTAAAAACACATTTCTGGGCGCCATTTTGGATGTTCTGCCTTGACATAATTGGCAAAATCACCTTGGAATAAGAAGTGTTAACAAGCTCTGGGATGGTGGGAAGTGAGATAGAATGTGAAAATCTAAAGCTTTGCTCTACAGAAACATGATAAACTGGGTATTTTAAATTTGTAGGTCCAGTTGATATCTTCTGTTCTTCATGGTGGCAGATATCAATGATTAAGATAAGTTCTTCTGCAGAATTTAAATTTTAATGGGAATTCTCTTCAATAGAAAGAACAAATAGCTCTACCCAAAGGCAAACTTGAAATCCACCTTCAGTTAAAAAATGCTGAACCTAATTTTGGAATGCTATTTTATCACAATATAATTTCAGCCCCAAATCTATGTGGTTATAGTATAGAAAAGATATAGATATAGATAGATATATATCAATATGCATATTTGTAATATTATTTATTTTGTTTAGTTATTGAAAAATATATAGAATATTTAAATATTCTATACTATAATCCAGAATATTTATATAAATATTTTATTTGCTTTCAAAATATTTAGAGTACATGGGTTTGTTTTAGATAATCATTGAGAATATATGTTTGTATTATATAGATAAATCATTGAGAATTGTCTACTTAAGGAGATAATTTATATATATGTATTTATATATGAGAAGGCATATACATATTCTCAATGCTTATCAGTATAAAACAAACCCATGTACTCTTAATATTTTGAACACAATTATATATATAAGTAGTATATAGTATGCAATATTAATTATACATGCTTTCTATATTATTATAACATAGTATTATAATCAATATTTAAAGAACATCATCTGTCTGCCTGTAAACAAATCCTTTAATTTAAACTGGCCTATGTGGTTTTGAAGGGCGAATATGCTTATTTAGAAATGGTTAAGAACTAAGAAAAAATAGGGACCATTGCATTCTTTTAAGTGCAGTGATATTTTCATGACTACTAAATGTACTTATTTATAAACATGGCATAATTTACTTCATAGACATGTAGTTGAACATTTAATTCTGCTTAGATGCATTCTTCTCTGAATGAGATTGCAGATTTATTTTGTAGTTTAGGTCCTGAGAAAGCTCACAGGTCCAGGTAGCCTTCCTACAGCAGCTAATGGAAGAATTGTTCTTGACTGTGGTGGTCAAGCTATGGTGGATGCTGATGGACAAATGACTGACATGGTTTATGTCAACTGCGTGAGCTGGGGGCAGTAAAGCTGCTCAGTTTACAGCCCTTTAATAGCTTTTAGGAATAGTTCTTTACTAAGTGCTTCATATCCGTAGTTGGGTGCCCCAATAAAACATCCGATAAACCATTGATGAGAAACCATAAACATTGTTTTAAAACCAAATTGAGGTGTACGCATAATGCAGCCTTTTATAGAGGAACAGCTGAACGATCGTCAAGTTTCCCACCCCATCATCCCATTTTCTGGATCTAACAATGACGTGTCATCCCAGGGCATTCACGAACACTGATTCTCAACACCACAGCACACAGAAACATACTCTGGGTATTTGTTGTGGATATGCACTTTGTTCTCTGTTGCTGTCTGCTTAAACCAGCAACAAATTCATCAATAAAATTAAGCCCTGAGAATCAGTTATTTTGGAAATGAATTTCACAACATTTGGGGCATAGCATGATTCATTAGCAAAACATTAAGTTTTGTTAGCTAACAAAAGAAACACCAAGACTAACAGCATGTCCACTTGCCTCGTCATATGTGTCTTGAAGGATATTTTAAATAGTTTTGTTTGTTTAAAGCGTTTTGTAAGAATGTAATCACTCAGAGAGCGACCCCTAAACACTGCGATTTATGACACATCGGAATGGTGCTTGTCTTCCTAATATTTGTGGTATATAAACAGAAACTATGATTCCAACTAGGAAATAAAAACAAATCACTATGTAATGGAACTCACATGTAGAAGAGGCAGTGTCTTAATTTAAAACCACAAAGGAGTCTTTTTCTTGTCAAGATGTTTGTAGCTGAGTTTCTCAAGCAGTTGTAATTTAACCCCATCATCCCTCAGCTCACTACAGACCTAAAATGGATGGGAAATGTCTGGGGAGGTACTCAGGGAACTGATCTTTACAAAGCTCTACCATCAGATGCCCACAGTGGCTCACACCTGTAATCCCAGCACTTTAGGAGGCGAAGGAGGGAAGCTTGCTTGAGGCCAGGAGTTTGAGACCAGCCTGGACAACATAGCGAGAGCCCCATCTCTATTTTAAAAATAATAATAATTAACTATTTAAAACTTTTTTAACTCTATGATGTGTCTGATACTCAGCATTGCAATCTGGTGGATTACGTATTCAGTTACATTTATAAAAGTAACTTTGAATGCACTCATTTTGCTTAGTCTGTTTAAAGGCTGGGGAATACACAGATCTCTCTGGGTATGTGCATGCGGATCTCACTTGAGTATTTTTCCTTAGCCCAACAAGTTAGAAATAAAAGGATACAAGTTGTTCAACTTATAACACAACCTATCTTAATTGTCTCCTTTTGTTTTCTGTTGGTGGTCTGCTTTGTGCTTGATTGGTGGGGAAAAAAACTCATCAGGGAATCTCTCTAGCATCGACTCTGAATTACAGCTTTGTTTTAGTTCTGTAACTTTGTCGAAACAATGTTTCCATGGCATTATTAAAAGGTAGATGTGTCATCTGTTCCATGAGGAAGCTAAGGTTCATGTCTGGTTTAAAACTCTAAAGATATGAAATTATGCTTGAAAGATTTAGACATGTTCTGCATGTCTAAAGGTTTTAGAGCAGATAATGAAAATAATAAGGATAAAAATACAGTAGCTGTAACCTCATAATGTATTGACTGTATATAAATATCATAAATATTTAACCTTTCAGGTATATTGAATTTGCAGAAGGAAATATTTTGTCTGTATTGTAGTATATTTTGAAAACAATAATCATTCTAAGACATTTTATTTTATTTTATTTTCAGACATTAAAGTTGCCCCCCAAAAAACTTAATGATAAGAGAAATATTCTAAGCCAGGGGTTGGGAAACCACAGCCAAATTCAGCTTGTCCCTGGTTTTGGTAAATAAAATTCCATGAAAACTCAGCCATGCTCATTTATTTACTTACTGTCTATCCTTGCATTTTCAATGCAGCGGCAGAATTAAACACTGCAGCTTCAAGAGAGAACATATAGCCTACAAATCCAAAAAAGATTTACTACAAGGCTGTCTACAATAAAAAAAAATGTGCTGACTACCTGCTGTAAACTGACAAAGATATCTAGAAAACATTTTTCTAACCCATGATATTATATCACACCAAGCATGGTGAATTTCTTAGTAATATACCTATATTCTAATTAATTTGATTTTTAAAAGCATATAATTAATTTAACATGTTACACTTTCTACTCCATTGCTATGTGCTCATTAATAAACTTATCTTTATTTTCATTGAAAAAGACTTAAAACACACATTAGAGGCATCTTTTATAAAAATGTGCATTGGTCAATTGTTGGAAACATTTCTTTTAAAATAATGCCAATTTTTATTAGAAAACTAGCCATATTCATCATTAATTTATTCCTTTGTTTAATATTTGTTAAAGACTATATATTACGTAAGGAATCAGGAG
Organism: Homo sapiens; assembly: GCF_000001405.40. Classification (NCBI taxonomy): domain Eukaryota; kingdom Metazoa; phylum Chordata; class Mammalia; order Primates; family Hominidae; genus Homo; species Homo sapiens. The sequence goes on along the minus strand of NC_000023.11, from coordinate 4,931,118 downwards.
CGAAGCTAGGAGAATCTATCAGATGAAATATTGATCTCATGTTCGTCTATAATAATAGAGGGCATATACACAGAAAAAGTCAGTAGTAGAAAAAAATAAGTTGTGAAACTTCAGACAGTAATGACTGCCAGAGAGAAAATAAAATAGAGCCAGCTGTGGGAGGAGTGACAGGGTAAGTGTTGTCTTGTGTGGTGTAGTCAGGTAAGTAAGCTACAATCTGTCACCTGAAGATTGAGAAGGTTCCATACATGTGAATTTTTGGGGTGTGGGGTGAAAGAGGTTTCTTCCACAAGAAGGAAGAGCAAGTATAACGTCTTCAAGGATAGGACAAGCTTTTTATGTTCCAGGAAAAGCTAAAAGCGCCTGGATGGAGCTCACTGAACAAAGACAGGAGGAGTCGGAAGAGGATCAGAGAGCCAGGCATGGGTCCAGGTGTGGACAGCTTCCCACGCCACCGTAAAAAGTATACATTCCATTCTGAGTGTAATGAACTGTGTTGAGTTCAAGCCAGGCAGTGGTCTGACTGGGATTACAGGCTCAACAATCATTCTGTGTGCTCTCTGGAGAACGCACTACAGGATTCAAAAACAGAAATGGAGACATCCACAGGGAGGAAACAGGCAGGATTCAGGATATGTGTGGGGCAGGAGCTTAAAGCAGTGAGAGAATTTCAGAAACATTTTAAAAACTACTCATACAGGGATCATTCAAAAAATTTCTTTCTTTTCCTCTTCTTTTTTTTTTTTTTTTTTTTTTTTTTTTGAGACGGAGTCTCACTCTGTCGCCCAGGCTGGAGTGCAGTGGCGCTATCTCAGCTCACTGCAAGCTCCACCTCCTGGGTTTACGACATTCTCCTGCCTCAGCCTCCTCAGTAGCTGGGACTACAGGCGCCCGCCACCACGCCCGGCTAATTTTTTGTATTTTTAGTAGAGACGGGGTTTCACCATGTTAGCCAGGATGGTCTCGATCTCCTGACTGTGATCCGCCCGCCTTGGCCTCCCAAAGTGCTGAGATTACAGGCGTGAGCCACCGTGCCCTGCCGCAAAAAATTTCATTACTAACATGTTTGTAAATGTATCTGGTATTGTTTTTACATAGTATTTATTTTTAGTATGTATGTATTTTTTTGAGACAGAGTCTCACTCTGTTGCCCAGGCTGCAGTACAGTGGCGCAGTCTCGGCTCACTGCCACCTCCACCTGCCAGGTTCAAGCGATTTTCCAACCTCAGCCTCTGGAGCAGCTGGGATTACAGGTGCGCCACTACATACAGCTAATTTTTGTATTTTTAGTAGAGATGGGGTTTTGCAGTATTGCCCAGGCTGGTGTCGAACTGGCCTCAAATGATCTGCCCACCTCAGCCTCCCATAGTGCTATGATTACCAGCATGAGCCACTCCGCCTGGCCCATAGCTTTCTTTTTAAATATATGAGTCATGTTGATATATATATATATATATATATATATATATATATATATATATATATATATATGCACGTGTGTGTGTGTATGCCTTTTATCCATATAAGTACATACCCTACCTTTAGTCACTTTATGTTAACAACATTTTTCTATGGTACTATGCATCAGCTTAATGGTTAAATATTCTTCCATGAGGTAGTCATTGCAAAATTACATACAAAATCCCTTGTAATTCAACATCAGATTTTTTTTCTTTTTTTTCGATCACTAACATCTACAGCACCCACTAACAGCATTACGAATCTGTTTTTAATATTATTTTTTTCAAAATCTGTTCCACTTCATTGAGATATATCAAAAGAATTGAAATCATTTGGTGAGACAAATGAACATTTAACAAGTTTTTGGCACATATTGCAATATTGCTCTTCACAGTAGTATTTGAGAATTCCCATTTCACCTTCAGCAAAATGAGAAAAACACTTATGTTCAGAAAAATGCTGTAGAAAAGTTAATAGTTTCATTGACCTGGAAAAGAAAGATTAACATATGTAGAGGAAAATTCTGTTGATGTGTGAAATGCTTTTTTCTAATATGCTGAATTTTCCCTTGTTTACTTGGGTTCAGATAGGAAGAAATTTAAGTAAAAATATATGTATATATAAGTCTTTAAAGAAACATATATCTTTCTTTAAGCAATAGAAGTTTTAAAATCTGTGAGTTAATCAGTTTTATAGTTATGATTCTTGTTTTCCAATTGTTTTATATAAATTTGTAAATGATCCATTTCAACCAGTAGACCCTCTTAAATTTAATTTTATACACAGTCTATCCTCAGTTCGAACATGTTCTGTAAATAATTAGTGGGCCAAAGAAAGCTCACATTTAAGAAAACGTAGGGTGATTTTTGCAAAGTTGAAAATCTTCTTACTTGTCCTTTCTTACTTCACCTTTTGTGTTTCTTTTAAATTGTGTGTGTGTGTGTGTGTGTGTGTCTATGTATTTGTGTATTTTTTTAATAGGGTCTTTGTCTCCCAGGCTGGGGTAAAGTGGCATGATCACAGCTCACTGCAGCCTTGACTTCCCAGGCTTAAGCAATCCTCCCACTGCAGCCCCCTAAGTATCTGGGACCACAGCTGTGCACCACTACACCAGCATTTTTTTTTTTAATTTTGGAGAGGCGGAGGGGGGGTCTCACGATGTTACCCAGGCTGGTCTCGAACACCTGGACTCGAGTGATCCTCCCCTCTCAGCCTTCCAAAGTGCTGGGATTACAGGCCTCAGTGACCGCGTCTTGCCCATACTATACTGTAAATGGATAACTTTATATTTCAAAATGGCAAGAAAAAAATAAAAATTTAAACAGTGCTTGGTGATTCTATGGGCTTTTAGTGACTTATCAGGCATCTGATCTAGAATTAATTTGATTAATCCTATAATAAATTGATATAATTTATTCTACTACAAGCTATAAGATGGTGGATCACTTGTCCTAACAGTCATAAATATGTGAACAAAATGCCTGCCCTCGATGGGTACTATGAGAGAAAGAAAGAAACAATGGGTGAAGTGTTTCTTACACTTCAATTCCTTGCATCCCAAGAAAAATTCTATAGATTTGCTCAGAGGCAAGACAATGAATTAAAACTATGAATAAACACATTCTTGGTCAAAATTCCAGCCAAATTTGTTTCGTGGATATTGACAAGTTAGTTATTAAATATATGTGGAAAACGAAAGGAATTAAGCCAAAATAATTTGGCAAGCAATAACAAAGTTGGAGGACTCCTTTCATCTGTTTTGAAAATTTACATAAAGCTGCAATGATAAGACAGTGTAGTGTTTGTGGAAGGGTAGACACAGATGTTGGCATAAGAAAAGATAGATTGCAGAAATAGGGACAGGATAAGTTGTCAGCAGCTGGGTTTGGGGAGAAGGATGAATTTATTAGAAAGAAACATGATAGAGTGCATTGGGTTGAGGTAATTGTTCTATATTTTATCTGTAAGGATGATTACATAAATGCATGTATTATATTTGTCAAAATTAATAGAACTATAGAACAAGTAAATTCCACTGTGTGTAGATTAGGTTATACTATATAAATTACTTTTTAAAAGATGGCAAAGCACGAACTTATTAACAAATCAGGAAACACTGAAGAGGGAATTAAGAAACTGAAGGATAAATAATTGAAAATATGCAGAATAAAATATAAAGGGGTAATAAGATTGAACATACAGAAAACCACATAAAGGGCATGAGAATAAAGTAAATATGTCCAACACATGTATGTCTGGATTCCTATAAACACACAGCAGAAAGAAAATGGGGAATCGGCAATGTTCAATTAGGCCAACCTCTATTCAATTTTGACAATACGTATCGCAGTAGGCACAAGAAATAATTAAAAAGGAAAAAATAATAATTTGTAGAACTCCACATATATAGCATATAATAGTAAAATACTGAGAATTAACCTACAAAAATATAACAATAAATAATAGAAATTTTTTTGTTGAATTACCTTCCATGTAGTGATTATATTTAGAAGAGCAGCTATGAAACTTATGCATCACCTTTCAACAGAACAAGTGGAGCCAAGAAGAAATTGGAAAGAAAGAAAGAAGAAAGTAACTTCCAACCTAGAATTCTGTACCCAGTTTAAACACATTTCAGGAAAAAATAATGAGAAAAGACATTTTGGAAGACAAAACTCAAGGAACTTTACCAACAGTAGATTTTCACTCAAGGTAACAATTCGGGCTGAAAGAAAACTCTCTAAGATAAAAGTTTTGAGATGTGGGAGAAATTTAGAGAATCCAAATGGTGGTGGTGGTGGTGTGTGTGTGTGTGTGTGTGCAAAATTGATATATAATTGTTATGTATCACAATGTGTCATTGATATATAGCAAGCTAATATGTATTATGGTATAACATTGGTATATGTATAAAACGCATACACTTATATGTATGTATTTATAAATGTTTATGTAATAATAATATTGGCTTTTGGGTTTTAAAATGTAGATATAATTGACAAATAGAGTAAACAACAAATTTTGTTGGTGTGGTGTCAGATCTTTGCACTTTGTGGGAAGAAGTAGTAAATTATGATACAAGTTCTTTTCTATGCAGAACACAAAATAATCATTTAAATTTTTTACAGCATAACTTTCAAGAAGATAGCTGGAAAAAATAATAAAATGCAATTTTTCAAAAGCATCAAGAAATGAAGGAATGAAGAGGTTGGAATTGATGGGGGACAAGGGAATGTAAATAATAAGATAATAGATTTAAAAACCAATATATCAATAATTAGTTTTAATATACATGGATTTAATGCTCTAAATATGAGAAAGCAAATGTTAAACTATGTGAATAATTGTATTTTCCATAGAGGTCCATGACAATATTTCCATTCCATAGTGTCTCCTACAATATGAATTTCTCACACCTTGATCACGAGACGGAATCAGTTTCCTTCCCCATGAATCTCAGCGAGTTCTTCAGGGAGGAAGTGAGACTGTGTTACTTTTGAGGGTGAGTCATGTAGGAAGACTTCCATGTGGTCTACTGGAATTTTGCACTTGAGACCCTGAACCTACTTGTAGGAAGAATAACTATTAATGCTGTGGGGAAAATATGCCACATGGAAAGGGCACAAATAGGAGCTCTGGTTGGACGTTCTCATCTTTAACTCATCTCATGACCAAGCCTTCAGCCCAACTATCCAGTGACCTCTGACACCACGCTTCCCAGCTGAGGCTACTATATCACAGTGCATGCTGCTGTGTCTGAAGTCCTTATCCACAAAGCCCATGAGCATTTGGAGTTATCTGTTATACAGCCATAATATCTCTAACTGACTGTTGATTAAGAACAACAAAAACTAACAGATGCTGCTTACCAGAGGCATTCCTGAAATACAAACTAATTCAGATTAAAAGAATGAAAAATAGAACGTATTTTCAGCACTAAATAATGTAGCTGTCCTGGTCATGTGAATAGCTGTCAAAGCAGACTTTAAGAAAAATATGGGCTGGGCATGGTGGCTCACGCCTGTAATCCCAGCACTTTGGGAGGCTGAGGCAGGCAGATCACCTGAGGTCAGGAGTTTGAGACCAGCCTGGCCAACATAGTGAAACCCCATCTCTACTAAAAATAGAAAAAGTAGCCCGGCGTGGAGGTGTGCACCTGTAATCCCAGCTACTTGGGAGGCTGAGGCAGGAGAATCGCTTGAACCCTGGAGGCAGAGGTAGCAGTGAGCCAAGATTGCACCACTGCACTCCAGCCTGGGCAACAGAGCAAGACTCCATCTCAAAAAAAAAAAAAAATGTGGGGAGGGGTTTTACAATGAAAGGAAATTTTACAGTGAAAAAATATTCAAATATCAAAAAGTAGTAGCCGTTCTCAAACATTAGGCACATAAACAGGAGACAGCTACTGACCATACAGGACAATATTGAAAATGGCTATGTGCATGGATGGACAGGCATTTCTTTATGCCCTTGTTTTTAATTCTTTTGAGTATATTCATAGAAATGGAATTGCTGGATCATATGGTAATTATATTTTTTATTTATTGAATAAGCATCATACTGTTTTCCACGGTGACTGCTCGGCTCACTGCAACCTCTGTCTCCTGGGTTCAAGTGATTCTCATGCCTCAGTCTCCCGAGTTGCTAGGATTATAGGCGCATGTCACTACACCTGGCTAATTTTTGTATTTTGAGTAGAGATGGGGTTTCACCATGTTGGCCAGGCTGGTCTTGAACTCCTGACCTCAAATGATCCACCTGCCTTGGTCTCCAAAAGTGCTTGGATTACAGGCATGAGCCACTGCACCTGGCCTATTTTATCATAATTTGAAAAATAATTTTACAAAATAGCAGTGACCAATTAAAAGTGATTATAGCTACAGAGTGGGAGAACAAATCTGTGGCACGTGTAACAGATTTATATATACTGCTATGCAGTATATATAAAGAACGTGTACAAACAAATAAGAGGAAGAGAGACAATCAATTACAAATATAATTTCTTTTTTTAAATAAAAGGGTGAGGACTGAAACAAACATCTTCCAAAGAGAACATAGAAATGGACATTAAATTCAACAGAAGGCCCTCAACCTGTTTATTTAGCATATATAATGTATTAATAAATTAATTAACAATAGAAAGTAATTAATTCAATACTACACAATTGTATTCTATTGTATTATATTATAATAATTATTATATCACATTATATATTGTTATAAAGAATATTATTGTATCAACTTAGTAAAGGAGGTAATAAATTTATTGAATAATGTCCCAGTGAAATATCATTATAAACTCAACAAAGCCACTTTGAAAAATAAAAAAAAGTAGACAATTCTGAGTGTGGATTTGAATGTAACATAAGTATAATTCTTATGCATTGCTGTGGAAAATGTAAATTTCTATAAGTTGGGAAAACTGGCTTGGCAGTACCTCTTAAATTGAACTTGCCCATTCCTTATGAACCATCATTCTATGACAAGACCTATACATCACAGCCAGTCATGAACATGTGTTCTAGGTGGCACTACATGTATGTATAACATCATTATCTTCATAGCCAAATATAAACAGCCCAAATGTCAATGAGGATTTGATTCTGTCAATGCACTGGGTTACTCCACAGCACTGAAGGAGTGACTTATATCTGCGTGACCCAAAATTGATGCATCTCATGAACACGTTGGTGAGTGCCCTAAGCCAAATGCTAAATAATGTGTCCTCCAGATGTGCTTATATAAATATGAAATACAGCAAAACGGATTCATAATAAGAGAATGAAGGAAGTCTACAGAGGAAGAAGCAGTAATTGTAAGGGCACAATTTCTAACATGCCCTAAATACCCTTTTTTTAGTGAGGTATATTCACTTTGTAATAATTTCCCAACCCACACAGTTTGTATTTTTACATTTGGCTGCCAAAGTTTACTTTAATAAAAAATTTTTCAGGCTGGACGCAGTGGCCCAGGCGTGTAATCCTAGCAGTTTGGGAGGCTGAGGCAGGAGGATCACCCGAGCCCAGGAGTTCAAGACCAGCTTTGGCAAAATAGAAGGAGCCCATCCCTACAAAAAAAAAAAAAAAAAAAGAAAAAGAAAAGAAAAAATTAGCTAGGTGTGGTGGCACATGCCTGTAGTCCCAGTTGCTCAGGAGGCTGAGACAGAAGGATCACTTGAGCCCAGGAGTTTAAGGCTACATGGAGTAATGATCACGCCACTGCACTCCAGCCTAATTGACAGAGCAAGACCATGTATCTAAAACAAAAATTCAAAAAGTAGCGTAGGCAATATTACCTTGCATTTAATCCTGTATCACACACATGCATGTGAATATCTACATATTCGTATATATATATGTATATATATGTGTGTGTATACATGCACACGTATATATATACATGTATATGTATATACACACACACCCCTACATAATTTAAACATATTAGCAACTGTAGCAAGTATGTGCACATAAATATTCCTAATCAATCCAGAAGTGCATAGTATGTATTTAATTACTGCAACCATAGTAATATGATTACTATTACTATTAATATGATTAAATACATAGTATGTATTTAAATTACTGCAACCCATACGTATATGTATTTATGAAACCTAACATAAAATACTATTTTAATTGGCTTTAATTTCTCAATACAGATTTAACAAATTACTACACCTTTAGTGTCTTAATACAAATTCATACTCTTACAGCCTTGGAGTCAGAAAGTATAAAATCAAGGTTTTAACAGGTCTGTGTTTCTTCTCAAGGCTCTAGGGAGACATCTGTTCTCATCTCTTTCAACTGATAGAGTCTATCCTCATTTCTTGGCTCATAATTGCTTTTTTGCTTTCTTCCAACCAGTTGCATTTCTTCTGTATTCAAATCTTCCACTACCAACTCGGATTCTCCTACCTCCCTTTTCTATATTAGTACCTTCATGATTATATTGGGCCCACCAGGACAATCCAAGATCATCTCCCCATGTCACAATCCTTTACTTAATTATAGCCGCAAATTCCTTCTTACCATGCAAGCTCATGCATTTGCAGCTTCTGGGAATTTTGTCCAGGATACAGCTTTGGAAAACCATCATTTGGCCTACTATGGAGCTCATCGTTTAGGAGTGGCATTTATTATGGGAAGTTTTCTTTTTTAATCTCATGTTTATGACATGGTTTCTACCATAATCATTAAAGACTTCTACAACAATTTCTTTGGCTGTAGGAATATAACTGATCTTAGAATAACAGTTTCTTTCTCAACATATAGCCATGTCAACATCCCTTTCCCACTTCTGCAGTTGGGGCTCACAGTTTTTGGGGGGGTCTCCCGGGTCCTGCAGGAGCACTCCGCTTCCTTCAGAGCGTCTGTGGGTCCTCTCAGGATTGCTGGTTTGTTATTGCCAAAATGTCAGGTTTCTAATTTCAGAAATCTAGACTACCTTCACAACCATTTAATCTCAGTATATTCTAAGAATTATTAAATTAAAACCACATATTACCCATTTTTCTCTATTCATCTGTTATTCCTTTGTTCCTATACTTTTTACATTTATCACATGATTAAAAATAACTGGATTGAAATATAAGTTGCTTCTGTCTTTATTACTAAATAAAGTTTTTGGGGAAAAGAATACCCACATGTTCTTTCTAATTGGGAATTCATTTGAGATGCACATAGACATTGTGTAATTTGGACTAAACTTGTAATACTTAATCATTTTTCTAATGTTCAATTTCTTTACCATCACATCTTGTTAACTCTCAGATGTACCTGGCAGACGCTAAGTCCATGTGCCATGGATGAAAAATGTGCTCTTATAGCCCCTGCTTTTTAAATATGAGACACTTTCTGGTGTATTTTTAACTTTTTTTTTGGGGGGGGGTCATGATCAAAGATACAACAAGCAATAGAGTTAACACTAAAAGGTATATCTCGCCCAGGCATACTAAGATCTCATCTGAAGTTCTCAAGACCCATCTAGAAGTCTTCAGGCACTAATTTTGCACTTGAGAGGATTTTATTTTAACCCTCCTATGCACTTGTCATGAAGCACAGACATTAGAATCTGGAGACATCGCTCGGGATGAATGAATTCCAGGCGGAGAGAACATCCCTCACTGACTGACACATATGGCTGAGAGGCCTCTGAGTATTGCTGGCCCTATTCAATTGTTCCCATGCAGAAGGAGAGACTTGAATGTACACATGATTCTGCCATGGAGTACCATCAACACCAGGCATTAGGAAGAAAAACTATCTTTAAGCTTACATGTTCAGTTAACTACTAATTTTACATACCTACTCTCTTCCAGGCATTGTGTATATAAGAACATAACCCTTGCCTTTAAGGAAAAGTTTTATTTATTTGCTTTATTGCATTTCTCTGATACCTATTCATTCTACCACCATAGATTGTGGACAAGTCCCCTTTGACTTCTACATTGTAAAACAAATAGAAATTTCTGTGTCCTTCTTGGCCTTTTGGTCAATATTTCCACACTATTGCCCATTCCCAGTGATTGCAAAGAATTGCTTCCCTTGTCTTCACAGATGCAACTGTTTCCTGATTTTCCTTTGTCTCTCGATCTTAGTTTCCCTATCTATGTTGAAGTCCACCTATTCTACCTGTCTTTCAGATGCTGTCTTCCATACTGCAGACTTCTACAGTTACTTCTTTTGGCATTGACATAGTCTTCTTTTTTAATCTTGGGTCTTTGCTGGCCATCCTTGAGCTCTTATGAAAGCACCATGGTGCCTCCACTACTGATGGATGTCAGCACCTCCCTGGAATTCTTTATCACATTGCTACCGAGTTGACTGCTTTCATCTTTCAGGTCATAAAAGAGATGTATGAATAATATTTTCAGCAGAACATCTCCTGACTGTCTTTATGTGAGCAATCCTTTCATCTCGCCATTCACACTCACAATATCTTATCTTTCCTTCAGATTGTCTGTAAAAGTTGCAATGTTATTCATTTATGGACTAGTGTTTGCCACACTACTAGATTATAAGCTTCATGAAGGCAAAAGAGTGTCTATAGTACTCACCTTTTATCTCCTAGGTTGTTGTCCACCAATCCCATAGACTGATGTGCTGATATATACTCTATTTCTCAGAGCCTTGCATGATTATAATCATGCAAGTTTTGCTTTTATTTGTAATTATGGGAAATATGGGAGTTCATATAAGTCCTTTTATTGGGAATTATGATGGAGGGAAACCTGCAAACAAAACCAGTGAATAAAGCATCATGCATGATGTTGTGTACAATACACGCAGAGTTCATAAGTGGCTCACAAATGATGGTGTAGCCAGTTCTACTGGTGACAAGAAAGATCAGGAAAGACCCAATTAATGAGACTTAAATAATAAGACTTGATTTAACTCAGCTGAGTTATAGTCCAAGAAAATACAGTGTTATGGCAACATAGATGGGCACGGAAATCAATCCAGAAGAGAGGAAAATAATTAACAAAGGGATTCTTATGAGCAAGTCACCATGGTTTCTGCCTAGGGGTCTCAGAGGTGTGGGTACTAAGGAGAAGACTGCATCACTAGGGCTTGACGAAACATGTTCAGAAGACTGAGTGCTCTAGCATTGCTGACATTTCAAAAAGAAAGGAATGTACTGAAATGTATCATTTAGGAAGACCATTCCATCTACACTGCCAGTGATTGTTGGCAGAATTCTGGAGTTAAATGCATGGTATCCACTGTAGTTCAAGAGAACTAACATACAACAAAAGTAGGGCTTGCATTTGTTGTCTACAGTTTCTGTAACAAATTGCTACAAACTCAGCATCTAAAACAATGAAAGTGTTTGTCTTACAGTTCTGCAGAAGGGCTGGCGATCAAAATTAAGGTGTCAGTGGGACTGCATTTGTTTCTGCAGCCTCAGGGGGAGAAACTGTTTCCTTACCTTTTCCCAATTTCTAGAGGTGATCTGCATTCATTTGTACATGGTCCTATCCACGATTTTCAATGCCAGTAGTGCTGCATCTCTTTTTGAGAATTTTTCCATAGTTATATCTCCCTATGGTCACAGCTGGAAAATGATCTCTGATTTTAAGTTCTCATGAGTTGAAATTGGGTCCACTTGAATAATTCAGGATCATCTCCCCATTACAAAATCTGCACAGTTGATCACACCTTCCAAGCTTCTTTTTCCATGTAAGGTGACACATTCAGAGTTTGCAGAGGATGCAGGCATTTTGGGAGGGCCATTATCCTGCCCACCACAGGGTTTGTATCTGATTATTTGGGTCATAACATGTAAGATAAGGAAGAGGCCTGTAAATTTTATTGACGGTTTGTGTGTGTGTGCTTTGCTTAACTCCATTTCAGATCGTGTTTTGCATAGTCTTACTAAATATCTTGAGGAATACATTGTACCTTAATTCAGCAGCACAATGTGTATACATTTGGCTTGCAATGGGCATTCTGATGACTGGCGTATAAAATAAGAGAATAAAGAAAAAACACTTTGTAATTTGAGAGAACATGACTATTAATGGCAGGATACACATTTGTAAGGTTATCGGAAGGTTAGTCTCTGACTTTACAAGAATATTTTAAGCATAATTGCCAAATCAGAACTGATGGAAGAAAGAGAAAAATTCTAGCATTCAAATTTTAAATGCAATCAAGAATCTCAGCCATTTTTTTGAAGAATTGGGTTTATGAGAGAAAGAGAGACAGAGCCAGGGAAGGAAAAATCAATAGCTTGAAGTTAGTACTGACACACACTTGTAAAATTTCTTACCTAAAATTGATAATACTTAAATACAGTTTAGTTTGATGGAAAACACATTCTGTTAATAATTCAAAAATATATTACTTAAAACCAAATTATCTTTTCTAAAAATACATCTCCTTACATGAACTTGAAAGATAAAAAAAAAAAAAAGTTAAAATACATCTTCTAAGGGTCGGTCTCACTAGGTGAGCTTCTCTTTTTTTCTTTTTTCTTTCTTTTTTATTTATTTTTTCTTTTTTGAGACGGAGTCTTGCTCTGTCGCCCAGGCTGGAGCGCAGTGGCGCAATCTCGGCTCACTGCAAGCTCCGCCTTCTGGGTTCACACCATTCTCCTGCCTCAGCCTCCTGAGTAGCTGGGACTACAGGTGCCCACCACCACACTGGGCTAATTTTTTGTATTTTTAGTAGAGATGGGGTTTCACCGTGTTAGCCAGGATGGTCTCTATCTCCTGACCTCGTGATCCACCTGCCTCAGCCTCCCAAAGTTCTGGGATTACAGGTGTGAGCCACCGCACCCGGCCTAGTGTGAGCTTCTCATGCTAAACTTTAGTTGCGGAAAGATACTCCAACTGTCTTCAATTATTTAAGAAATGTAATCAATGTGTTTGATTTTTGCAAGAAGACAGTATACCCAGGAGCCCATTTCATTTTATTCTGTTTCTCTTGTTAAATAGAACATGCAACACCCGTCGTCATTCAATAATATTTTATAGGAAATGAATATCAATAAAATGAGATTGTTTTTCCTTATGAGGAACTTTTAATTGAACTCAAATTGGGAAGTATGTTAATGCAGGAATTAAACCTGCTACAATTGCAATAGTCTGTATGGAAAGAAAGAGATAGGACCAGCTTCAGGTCAGTGGTATCAGTTCCTCTGGGAACAAAATGACTCAGCTCATGGTTTTCCAAGACTGCCATCAAGAAATGCCCCATGATTAAAAACATTGATGATAGCCCACATTTATCTGATTCTTGTGAAGGAAATTGAATTTTTGTGTTAAATTAAGCAACGATGAAGGTCTCATTATGATCTATATAATTAATTGCCTTCTCCATAATTAATGCATCAATATGCTCAGAAATGTCTTGAGTTTGAGAGTCTATTAAAGCCTGAGGTAAACCTGACATGGAAGAGCTGTTTCTAGCGTTTTTCAACTTAAATCGTGTTGGTACTAAAGACATTAAAAGGAATAGATGATCCCTTCCTAGGGGTGTACTAGTAGTACAATCACACCCTAAAAAGGTTGCACTTTTGTACCAAAATAGACATATTTTTCTTTAATAGCAGTAATAAATTACTCCTAATTGAAACTCATGGGATATAAAACAGTATGCATTCTAAGAAACCGACACCAAATGCTATACAGTTTTTTCTTTCTTATTTTTTATATAATGCGTGTATGTGTGTGTGTGCGTGTATGTGTCTCTGTGAGTGTGAATGTGCGTGTGTCTGTGTGTGTGTCTGTGTGTCTGTGTGTGTTTGTGTGTCTTGTGTGTGTGTCTGTGTGAGTGTGTGTGCCTGTGTGTGTCTGTTTGTGTGTGTCTATGTGTGTGTCTGTGTGAGTGTGCGTGTGTGTGTCTGTGTGTGTGTGTGTGTGAATGAGGGACTCCTTTACTAACTGTAGCTTGTGCATTTTAGTCCAACATAAACTGTTGCTCAAACATAGAAAGTTTTCATAGGAACAGCATTAAAATACAATTACTACAGAGGCAATACCAAGAGACAATAGAATACATTGTTCTCTTTATACGGAGTGAAAGAAGACCTATGTTAAAGCAGGGGTGATTTTTTATTATGGGTTAGGAATAAGTTGCATTCACCTGCGGTAACCCTGAAAGGGGTGGGAAAGAAGTGAAGAGAACACAGGTAGATTTAAAGGAAACTGTGAGAGAAGAGATTCTATCAGGGGTCAGTAATGTAGGGGCAGAATGTAGAAGGTAGTCATGTTAGGCTTTCCAGGTCTCTGTTACAGCTACCTAAGGCTGTAGTTGTAGCACAAAAGCAGCCAGAAATGTAAACCAATGGGTATGATTGTGCTTTTATGAAATTCCATCTGCAAAAATAAGCGTTGAGACAGACATAACCCACCAGCTATGGTTTGCAGACCGCTGGTCTATAGTTAAGGTGCAAATAAGTTTCTTTTGTTTTCTTAGACATTCAAATCCTCAGCCTTATGGCTGATTATATTTTTGTTTGTTTGCTTTGTTTTGTTTTTGAGACAGCATCTCACTCCATTGCCCAGCCTGGAGTGCAGTGGCGCGATCACAGCTCACTGCAGCTTCAACCTCCAGGCTCAAGAGATTCTCCTGCCTCAGCCTCCTGAGTATCTGGAAACAGAGGCATGCCACTACCACACCCAGCTAATGTGCTTTTGTATTTTTTGTAGAACCGAAATCTTGCTATTTTGGCCAAGCTGGTCTGAAACTCCTGGGCTCAAGCGATCCACCCACCTCAGCTTCCTAAGTGCTGGTATCACGGGCATGAGCCACAGTGCCTGGCCTGATTATCCATTTATTGTAGACTTTAGTTTTCCACTACTTAAGACCATGCCTATCCCTAGGTAGAGAAAAGTTTAGTAGTCATGTGTTTGGAGGCTTGCCCCTAGGCCACGAATCTTGAAGCTGGTTACACTAAAATGTTGGTTGTCTCCATAGATTTCCCATGATTTTGCTCTTTCTACAATTCTCTGAGACCCTTCACCTGAGAAACTCAGTCATCATGTCCCATCCAGGGCAGATATCAGCCTTTACCTTTGATGCTTGATGTCCAGTCTCCCAACACCAAGATCCTGCTTCTCTGTCTCTTAGCTTATTGTTATTTCATTTAGATGCTAAATGACACCTTCCATGGGCAGGCTTGGCCAGGTGCCTTTTATAGTGATGTCAATTTGGTTTTTAGCCAACAGTACTAAATATAATCTCACCATTCGCTCTTCACTTCATTGCAAAGCTATCGGTAGGCTCAGTTTCGGTAAGGCTAGGAACCTTCAAAGCCACCTGCCCTCCCTTGCTCATCCTTACACCTTGGCTTGGTCCTTACTTGTCCTTAGACCCAAGCCCCCAAGCCACAGCCACTTCTCCAGTGAGAGAAATTTTTTTTTTTTTGACGGAGCCTCGCTCTGTCGCTAGGCTGGAGTGCAGTGGTGCAATCTCGGCTCATTGTAACCTCTGCCTCCCGGGTTCAAGTGATTCTCCTGCCTCAGCCTCCCGAGTAGCTGTGACTACAGGCACATGCCACCACGCCCAGCTAATTTTTGTATTTTTAGTAGAGATGGGGTTTCACCACGTTAGCCAGGCTGGTCTTGAACTCCTGACCTCAAGTGATCGGCCGGCCTTGGCCTCTCAAAGTGCTGGGATTATAGGGCTGAGCCACCACATGCACCCACCAAGAGGTACTTTTTCAACCCTCACTAACCTCCCATCATCCCCTCTTTTGGAGACTCCAGTGTTTATTATTCCTCACTTTTGGTCCATGGGTACCCAATTTTTAGCTCCCACTTATCAGTGAGAACATGCAGTATTTCACCTTCTGTTTCTGAAATGTCACTTAGGATAATGGCCTCCAGTTCCAGCCATGATGCAGCAAAATATATTATTTAATTCTTTTTTATAGTTGGGTAGTATTCCACAGTGTCTCTATGCCACATTTTCTTTAGCCAGTCATCTGTTGATAGAAACTCAGATTGAATCCATGTCTTTGCTATTGTGAATATTGCTGTGATAAACATGAGTTCAGGTATCATTTTGATAAAACAATTCTTTTGAGACAGAGTCTTGATCTTTTCCCCAGGCTGGTGTGCAGTGGTATAATCTCGGCGCACCAGCTCACTTCAACCTCCACCTCCCAGGTTCAAGCTATTCTTGTGCCTCAGCCTCCTGAGTAGCAGGGATTATAGGCATGTGCTACCACACCTGGCTAGTTTTTTTGTATTTTTGTAGAGATGGGGTTTCACCATGTTGGCCAGGCTGGTCTTGAACTCCTGACCTCAAGTGATCGGCCTGCCTTGGCCTCTCCAAGTGCTGGGATTACAGGTGTGAGCCACCACGCCCGGACTCAATTTCTTTTTCTTTGGTTAGATAGCCAGTGGTGGCATTGCTGGGTTGACTGACAGTTCTGTTTTTAGCTCTTTGAGAAATCTCTGTACTGTTTTCCGTAGGGGTTGAACTAATTAACATTTCCACCAACAGTGTGTGTTTCCTTTTCTCTACAACCTGCATCCTTGCTAATCCAACCCAAATTTTTATGTGAAATTTTGATGAGTATCCACAGCCGAGCCAATGATTTCATCAGCGCATGAAACAATATATTTTAAAATATCAAGAACAGTTGCTTTTCTACATCTTCTTGTCCAAGTCCAGTTGAATCTCCCATTTCAATCCTTTTCACTTCAATGTTGTCCTCTTTTTTCTCATGAGTAGCAGATAATTGCAGACTTCTTTTTTTGTTGTTTCTTAAGAGATGGGATCTTGCTCTGTCACCCAGACTGGAGTGCAGAGGTACAATTCTAGCTCACTGCAGCCTCAGCCTCCTGGGGCTCAAGCCATCCTTCCAGCTCAGCCTCCCAAATAGCTGGGTCTACAGGCATGTACCACCACGCCTGGCTAATTGTTGTATTTTTTATAGAGATGGGGTTTTGTTATTTTGCCCAGGTTGCTATCAAACTCCTGGCCTCAAGCTATCCTCCTGCCTCAGCCTCCCCAAATACTGGAATTACAATTTTCAGACTTCTTGAGTATGTTCTTAAAATGAGCTTTAATTATATTTTGAATAGTAATAATAATAATAATTACCTGTAATAGAAATTAATTATGTGAATCTCTTCTTTTGAATTCAAAATAAGCATATCTTCTCACCTGGAACTTGAAAGCCACTTTCCAACTGGTCTTTCTACTTCTCAACACTTTAGTCCTAACATAGCACCCAGAAGATTCCTAATAAAATATGTGACTTCATGTGACTCCTCTGCTGAAATTATCCAGTTTCTACCTCCTACTCAGAATAAAGGTCAAAATGCTGAAAATGACGTAGCCCACCATGATCTGGTATCCCCCTTGCTTATCCAATAGCTGACCCTACCAATTTCCCACTTATTTAATTCAGCTGTTGTTATACTGATCTTATTGCTCTTCCAGAAAATTACCAAGCATGGTTTCTCTTTTGCAATTTCATTTTCATGGTACTCTGTCTTCCCAGGGGGTTTGGTTATTCTAATTTTTGTGCAATTATCACCTGGACAGTAATCTGTCGCCCATGATTTTTAAAAAGTGAACCACACACACACACTGTGTGCAGCTCCATCTCCTACCACACACTTCCCCATTGCATTTTCCCACATCTAAAGAACTACACACATTACTCATTTATTTAATGTCCTGTCAGTTTCCACAATAGAATAAAATCTCTGTCAAGGCAGGAATGCTGGCCTCTTTTAGGCACTACTGTATCTCAAGTACCCTAAAAATGATCTAGCTCATTGTTAATAATAAAAGAAAATTGCTGAATAAATAGAAGAGTATTTTAAAATTATATTTTACAATTTTTCTCCCTGCGTTCACCTCCCCAGAACAAACAATGTGTTCTTTAATTTTAACCAATGTGTTATATGTATGTTCTTGTTTAGCATAAAATATATTTTGGGTGATGTGGTAGGTAGAATAAAACCACTCTACAAAAAAAAAAAAAGAAAGAAAAAAACATGTGCACATCCCAATCCCTGGAACCTATGGATGTGTAAATTTACACGGCAGAAGGGATTTTGCAAATGGAATTAGATTAAGGATTTTGAGGTGGACTGGTTTTCGTGGAATTATTGGGGTGAGCCCACTTTGTTTTTTATTTATTTATGTATTTATTTAGACAGAGTCTTGCTCTGTCACTCAAGCTGGAGTGCAGTGGCATGATCTCAGCTTACTGCAACCTCTGCCTCCGAGGCTCAAGTGACTCTCCTGCCTCAGCCTCCCAAATTGCTGAGATTACAGGTGCCCGCCACCACACCTGGCTAATTTTTGTAATTTTAGTAGAGATGGGGTTTCACCATGTTGGCCAGGCTGGTCACGAATTCCCGACCTCAAGTGATATGCCAGCCTTGGCCTCCCAAAATGTTGGGATTACAGGTGTGAGCCACTGCACCCGGAGGAGTCCAGCTTAATCACATGAGTTCTTAAAAGCAGAAAAGGGAGGCAGAAAAGAGTGTGTGAGATGGCATTTGAAGAAGAACTCCATGTCCCTGTATTAGTCTGTTCTCAGGCTGCTAATAAAGACATACCTGAGACTGGGTAATTTATAAAGGAAAGAGGTTTAATTGACTCACAGTTCCCCATGGCTGGGGAGGCCTCAGGAAACTTACAGTCATGGTGGAAGGGGAAGCAAATAAGTCCTTTTTCACATGGAGGCAGCAAGGAGAAGTGTTGAGCAAAAGGGGGAAAGGCCCCCTAGAAAGCCATCAGATCTCATGAGAACTCACTCACTTTCTCCAGAACAGCAGCATGGGGGTAATTGCCCCTATGATTCAATTACCTACCACCAGGCTCCTGCCACCACATGGGGATTATGGGAACGACAATTCAAGATGAGATTTGGGTGGCAACACAGTGAAGCCGTATCAGTCCCTGCACTGGTTCTGAGAATAGGAGGCTACGTCCAAGGACCAGAGAGAAACTGGCCTCTGTGGAAAAGGTCAGAGAATCGATTGACTTCTACAGACTACAGAAGAAAACACAGCCCTGTTGCATCTAGCTTTTAGCCTAGAGAAACCCAAGTTGGACTTGGACTTTCAGAACTGGAAGATAATAGAATTATGTCATTTTAGGCTACCTTATTTGTGGTAATTTGTTACAGCAGTCATAGGAAACTAATAGTGATTTTTTTTTTTTTTTGAGACAAGGTCTTGTTCTGTTGCCCAGACTGGAGTGTAATGGTGCAGTCTCAGCTCACCGCAGCCTCAAACTCCTGAGCTCAAGTGATCCTCTCACTTCAGCCTCCCAAGTAGCTGGGACTACAGACACATGCCACCATGCCTGGCTAATTTATTTTTATTTCTGTAGTGATGGAGTCTCACTATGTTGCCCAGGCTAGTTTCAGACTCCTGGGCCCAAGCAATCCTCCCACCTCAGCCTCTTGAAGTGCTGGGAATACAGGAATGTGCCACTGTGTACAGCTTTATAAATGGTAATTGTATTGTTGCTAATGGTAGGTTTTTTTTAGTTTTATATTTTACAAAGAGATGTGTAAACACACTCAAAAATCACAAACACTCCTTTTTTGACATACGAAAACTGGCTAAAACCTTGAATCTCTCACTGTGGACAAAAATGTCAGAAATTGTTTTCCAATTAACTTCTTAGGGACATATAAAAAATAAAAACCATTGATTGTCAATGAACACATCCTCTTGAAAATCCTGGGCAGCCTCTCACATGAGAGAGTTGGTCCCAAGAAGAATGAGAAAATGTTGGACACTTCAAGCAAAGCCTAGACCAGCAGTTCTAGATTTGATTTGGGTTGTTCTTCGGTTTCATGGTTTTTAACAAAATTCATCACTTCAGATGGAGACGAATGAAGAGACTCCAGTCAATTTTTTCCTGGGGGCTGGAACAAAGTTAGAAATATGGATAAGCTGTAGAGGGAGGTCCCTCTCATTACAAACCATACTAAAGCACATCCCTTCTACACAGTTTTATAACATGGGAGAAAGAACAAGACCCAGAGTGAAGATGAATAGAACTTTTTTATTTTTATTTTTTTGAGATGGAGTCTCACTCTGTCACCCAGGCTGGAGTGCAGAGGCGCAATCTTGGCTCACTGCAACCTCTGCATCCCGAGTTCAAGTGATTCTCCGGCCTCAGCGTCCGGAGTAGCTGGGACTACAGGTGTGTGCCACCAAACCCAGCTAACTTTTGTATTTTCAGTAGAGACGGGGTTTCCCCATGTTGGCCAGGGTGGTCTCGAACTCTTGACCTCAAATGATCTGCCCGCCTTAGCTTCCCAAAGTGTTGAGATTACATGCGTGAGCCACCATGCCTGGCCAAGACAAATAGAACTTAAACTAATTTTGCTCATCCAGCTTTCCCAGTTAGACAATCTCATTATGTCCCTGTGTTACATTCCATGATGTCTCCAGAGAAACAGAAGTAACAGGATATGTAGAGACATATAAGAGGAGATTTACTATGGGAATTGGCTCACACTATTATGATGACCAAGACGTCCCACAATCTCCCATCTGTGAGCTGAAAGGAAGCCATCGATGTCATTTAGCCTGAGTCTGGAGGCCTGCAAACCAAGAGCTCACATGTCCATGGTCAGGAAAGGATGAATGTCCTAGCTCAAGAAGAGAGAGCAAATTCACTGTTTCTCCAGCTTTTTCTTCTATTCTGGACCTCAATGAATTAAATCATACCCACCCACATTGGTGACATTGGATCTTCTCTACTCAGTCTACAGATTCCAATGCTAATCGCTTCCTGAAACTCACTCACAGAAACACTCAGAAATAATGTCTCACCATCTACCTGGGTCTCCCCTTGCCTAGTCATGTTGACACATAAAATTAACGATCGAAACTTCCCTTAGGCACCTTCAGACTTTCCTTGGAAGTGTCAATGTCTTCTTTGTAGAAGGAGAGGCCCTAGAAAATGAACATTTAATGAAATAAAATGAACATGCTTAAAAGCCTATAAATGTCAAGTAATCGATGGATAATGAAAAGGTATTATGAAGTCACGTTAAAATGTTCACATTAAGTGATACAGATTGGTATAACTCGTTCTAATCCTTTATTTGGATGAAGGTTTGCCAATCTTAGCACTGTTGACATTTGGGATTTGATACATCTTTGTGGTGGGGGCTGTCTTGTGTATTGCAGGATGTTTTGTGGCATCCCTGGACTCAACCTACCAGATGCCAATAGCACCTAATTTCCCCAATTGTGACACCCAAAAATGCCTGAAGACATTGCCAAACATCCCCTGTGGGACAGATTTTACACCAGTCGAGATGTGCTGTTACATTAAAACCAGGACAACATTTGTGGTCATTTGTTCAAATAACTGGAGATCTTGAGTGTCATTTTAACACTCTCTATTTTATAATATATTAACTACAGTGTTTACAATACCAAGTTTCAGCAATGTTTATGTATCAAATGAAGTGCGAAGTGTCATTACCTATTTTAGGAAGATCGTAACTTCTCCTTTTATGTGCCAGTATCTTGCAGCCATTTCAACATGGGAGAGCCACTTCAGGGTTTTCAATCGGAGAAGATTTTGAAGGGGGAAGTGTTCACAAATATATTTGACCAAAAATTAGAGAAGGGAAGGAATAGTTAAAGAGAGAAGCAGAAACACAGAGGAAGAAAGAGAAAGAAGAAGGAGAGAGAAGCAGAACAAAAAGAGAAGTAGAGAGAAAGCCTTGCTAAATAAATTGAGCTTTTACTTTCTGTTCAGTTGGAAGTAGTTTCTTGTTATTGTTCTGGCTCTGGTGGCGGTGGTTAGAACCAATTCAAATATAACCTTGATTAAGCCGAGGGGAAACAACTGCTGGTAAAACAAACAAACAAACAAACAACAAAAACAAAAACAAAACAAAACAAAAAACCAGAAGGAAGTCTTAGTATTTTTTGGCTAACTTTTCCTTTAACTTCCACAAACATTTCTGAATACTTAGATTGGTATGTTCTATTGCTGTGTTATTTATAATATTTTTAATGGTATAAATCCTAAACTTAAATTGAGGAATCATCTGGTAGAGACGAGTAGAAAAATATTTATACGTAGGAGAAACTGGTCTTAAAATAACAGCTAGGTAAATTTGGAAAAAACATGTAATATTCATAGAAATAGGTATTGCTAACTTAAAGCAGGCTGAGAATCAGTGAATTAATTTTTTTACAATTTGAAATAACAGTTTTACTTTTTAAAGAAATAAAATGCACAAATTTCAATCAAAATATTTTTAGAATTGTGCTGATTTGTTTAGTTATTCTGGACTGTAAACATGTCATGTTAGTTTTCTCATCTAATTGTTAAATAAATAATTCAAGGCTTTGTTTTTAACTTGCTGGATAACATGTAGATGAATAAAAGCAGTTTTAGAATTTTATTTACTGATGCTAAAATGACTGAAATAACATGATTAATGTTTAGTAGGGTTCGTGAGGTAACAGTATTGATTGGGCATTGTGTATTTCATAATTTTATATAGACATTTTGTACTTTCACATAACTACTTTTTTTTTTTTTTTTTTTTTTGAGATAGAGTCTGGCTCTGTCACCCAGGCTGGAGTGCAGTGGTGCCATCTCGGCTTACTGCAACCTCCGCCTCCCAGGTTCAAGCTATTCTCCTGCCTCAGCCTCTAGAGTAACAGGGATTACACGCATGCACCGTCGTGCCCAGCTAATTTTTTGTATTTTTAGTAGAGATGGGTTTTCACCAGGTTGGCCAGGCTGGACATGAACTCCTGACCTCAGGTGATCCACCTGCCTCGGCCTCCCAAAGTGCTGGGATTACAGACATGAGCCACCACACCCAGCCACATAACTGAACTTTTGTTTGGCAATGTTTTACTTTACTGCCTCCAGTATCAGACTGATGTTCTAACTTAGGCAAAGGTACTTGCACACGTTTCATGAAATACAAGTGAAGCATTTATTTTTTCCATTTATTTGGACTTGTAATAGTACAAAAATTTAATGGATAGTATTTTCATCCCACAGCTATTTCTCAGCAAGGTATAAATTATTTTTTGAGTGCAATAGAATGTTCTTCTAAATCCACTAAAACGGGTCCTTCCCCTACAATTTTCAAGCTGGGTCTCATGAAAAAATGATTCAGTTTGATGGAAAGAAATGAGGACTTATTTTTTTTAAAAGGAAAAGGTGAAAATGTGAAAATGATTGACTATTTTCTAGAACAAATAAAAATACACACAATATATCTTTTAGTGTTTTAGAATGTCTATACCTGCAAGAATTTTGTAGAATGTCATTTTTTTCTCTTTAAGAAATTAAAGATTAAAATAAATGTTTTGCTATTATTGATGATTATGTTTTATCAATAAACATCAACTAGCAGCTGGACAATCTGCTAAAGATTTTTTTTCTTTTTTGAGTGAAGCTTTTGCTTATCTTACTTATTCAGAATTAACATAGTGAAAGATTTGGCAAAATGAAGTTTTTTTAAATGAGTAATTTTCTTTTTATACTAGGTGATTCTTATGTGAACCAATTAAAATATCATACAACCATACCTAGCTGTAACAACATAATTTCTGTTTGAAAATGTGTATCTATAATGCTGGTGGTATAAAATAGAATAAGTAGAAGCAGGTTTGAAAATAAAAACAAGTATGTAGAACTTAAAAAATTTCTCCACCATGGGCACCGAAACAGTCATATTAAACTGGAAGTCTCCATGATTTCAAGTTGCTCACGTTATTGGCCAAATGTAATAAAGGGAGAAAGGTTACTGCGTTGGGTCATTGCATGGTTAGTTTTCTGCGTCCACTTGCCTAGGTTTTATACACACACTATCCCATCAAACACTGATATAAGTTTTGCACTGACGTTATTTTGTGTGTGGTTTGCACCCACAATCAGCTGACTTTAAGTCAAGGTCAAGCAAATTATCCTAGGTAATGTGAGTGGGCCTCATCTAGTCAGTTAAAACAGCTTAGAAGGACACACTAATGTTTCCCTGAGAATGGAGAAATTCTGGTCCAAGACTGTAATAGCAGCTCCAGCCCAAGAGCTGGCAGCTTGCCCTGCATCTTTGAGACTTGCCAGCCACAGAAGTTGTATCATGTACTCCATGAAATTTTATAGAGATAGATAAATAACAGAAAGATCAATGGATGGATGGATGGATGGATGAATACATGGACAGATACATAGGTTAAGTAGACAGATGATAGATAGATAGACAGATAGATGATAGATAGATAGATGAATAGATGGATACATAGATTCATAGATACCTAGATAAACGTATAGAGAGATAGATAAATGGATAGATAGATTGATGGATGGATAGATAAGATAGATGATAGATTGATTAGATAGAAAGATAGATATAGATAGATAGAGATGGAGAGATAGATACAGATAGATGACATATCCATAGATATATCCTATAGATTCTTTTTCTCTGGAGAACCCTGACTGGTAGAGCGATACAGGCAGGAGCACCCTGCACTAATTATTCCAAAGAAGCACAGCTGCTACTACAGAAACCCCTGATGCTGCCACACCTAGTGAAAAAGCAAATGAAAGCTTAGAACGACACAATGCAAGCAGATCCTCCAGGGCTTGTGATTGCTCAGGCATTCCACCTGAGGTCAGACCACCAGCGGAAGACCCTGAGGGCAGGAGCCATGGCAGCAGTGGTGGCATGGTGTAGGGAAGCAATTGCAAATGTTAGCGCTAGAGTCATTGCGCGTGTGTTCTTTCTCATTTGGTGTTTTGTGTGTGTGCCTGTGTTAGTCCCTTGCCTTATTTATTTTATAGAGAGCATGTTGTACTCATTTCTCAACTTATACTTGAGTTACAATCCATCATAA
Organism: Homo sapiens; assembly: GCF_000001405.40. Taxonomy (NCBI): domain Eukaryota; kingdom Metazoa; phylum Chordata; class Mammalia; order Primates; family Hominidae; genus Homo; species Homo sapiens. The sequence continues at coordinate 4,906,334 of NC_000023.11, read as the reverse complement.
TGGGGTTCAGAAGAGAGATGGAAGATTCAACCTACGATGGGTGCAAAGCACTGTTGATGACGGCTCCCTTTATAAGGAAAAGGTGAACACCCTTTTTGTGCCTCTCACAGTTCATGGACTGGTTGTTCTTCTCTCCATTTGGGCTGCTTTTCTGTACTGTGAAGGCTGAAGAGCTAGTCATTACCTCCACCTGCATTCTTTCCAGATATGGTGCTGAGTGAAAAATAGGTCCACCCAGTTTCTTGCACTCCTTCGAGACTTGGAGTGTGAAATATGAACGAGACCTTCTCCAGACATTTTCTGTGGTTTATGGCCCATCTACAACTTCCAAGCAGTTGTGTCTGCCAGACTAAGAGTGTCGGGGTCCAGTCCCCAGCTCGGCGGTGGTGGCTGAAGGTCGGCAGCTAAGGTAAGGTAGCCGCATTGGCTGGTCATCTATCCCAATCCAAAATCCCAGAGGTTTTAGTGGTAACTTCCTGATGCCTCCTTCCTCTAATCCCTCCAGCTAAGCACTAAGTTTCTTGCATTACATTTTGTGGTACTTAAAACCTCTGAAAGTGGTTTCCATTTCCTCCCCTAAATTTTAGATGATGCAACTTGTGTTTTGCTTGGTAATATTTCATCTCCAGTGTTTTCTTTAAACATAGTTATATAATAGCTTTTAATTTACATTGTCAAACTCTTATGATTTAAATTTTAGTTGATACGTTAGTCATTCTATCAAATCATAAACACACATATTATAAATATATACATATTATCTATATACGTAACAAATATGCCCACATATATCATTGTGTGTATATTATGTACTACCTTTTTATAAATGTATATATGTAATATATATACATATATGTTTATATACACATATATAAAATTGTGTATACATAATTTTATATATGAACGCAATTATACACACATACACACAATTATGATTAGATATTTAATGGTGGGAAATAGTAAATAACAAAAATTTATTTTTAAAAATTACAACGTATCTTTGTTACCAGATTTTCTTTGAGTAATACATTACAATTGAGACCTTACCAAAACAATATGTCATTTTCTCAGAAATAAGAGATGGGTTTATAAACTCTGTTATAGGAGGAATTGAGTGAAAGAAATAACATATTTTTGAGAGAGCCTAAGTCATATCTTAATGTTAAAGTAGAAAAGAATTTGGTGGGCCAGAGTTGGGCAATAGTGATAAATAATTTTCATAACTAAGAGGAATGTCATTTTCTGCTTGGCTACACAGTGCAGATTCAGGGACAACGGAGGAAAATTTGGCCTTCGCAAAATTATTTTGACAGAGTCCTACTGCAAGAGTGAGCTCTGCATTCTCAGGTAGAAAAGAACCAGGTTTCAGGACTCTGATGAAAACAATATCTGCCTGCCTTAGGAAAGTGCTGTTCTTATATTAAGAGTGTATTTTATGGTATTTATATGTTATTTTAAAACTATTTTTGATGCTGGGCGCAGTGGTTCACACCTGTAATCTGAGCACTTTGGGAAGCTGAGGCAGGAGGATCACTTGAGGTCAAGAGTTTGAGACCAGCCTGGCCAACATGGTGAAACGCTGCCTCTACTAAAAATGTAAAAATTAGCTGGCCGTGGTGGCACATGCATGTAGTCCCAGCTACTCGGGAGGCTGAGGAAGGAGAATCGGTTGAACCTGGGAGGCAGAGGTTGCAGTGAGCCAAGATCGCACCTCTGCAGTCCAGTCTGGGTGACACAGCGAGTGAGACTCGGTCAAAAAACAAAAAACAAAAAAGTGTTTTAGAGAAAAATAAAATTCAGATTTTCATAAAATGCTGTAACTTCCCATGGTCTATTTCTGGCTGAATTTTCATGTCCTCTTGGTGGTTCCTACCAATGGCTACATTTTGGAGGTAAGATGTCACTTTCTTTGAACACTATTGTTTTATTGATGAATATCATTCTCAATATTTGGACTTCTCCAGCACTTGATCTGGGGGTCTCTGAATTTCAAAACAATGTGGTTTGCAGGCATCTTTTCAATTACAGCATCCAGTTCTCCAGCTGCTGGGAGTGTTGGTTCTCATGGCTCACAACAGCATTCTTCTCCAGGAGACGCCTTGAACAAGTTCATGCCTCCTTGCACTCCCAAAGAGTGCTCAGTTGCTCAATGCTGTGGTTCAAAGATCTGGCCCCTCGCCTCATCTTGTCACACCTTGAAGTGAAAACCTTTCTTGTGAGCACACTTCAGTGCGTATCAGTTGAATCCTCTGATGCAACTACATCACATTTATTGCCCTGCCCAATCCTGCCTCTTGCATTTGGTTCTAAGCATCCTTCCTGCAAGCCCTCCTTCATAAAGCTCATGTATGCCCACTGCTATTCCAGCATCTGTTTCCAAGGAACCTGTTTTAGGTTGCTGGTGAGATTTGCCCTTCTAATATCAAAATAAGGAGGAAAGGTGGTGAGCTGCACTGAATAGTGCCTCCCAAAAATATTTTATCTTATTTTATTTATTTTTTGAGATAGAGTCTTGCTCTGTTATTCAGGCTGGAGTGCAGTGGTGTGATCATAGCTCACTGCAGACTCCAACTACTGGGATCAAGTTGATACAGGAGCTAAAAAGAAATTATTTAGGTAGTTAGTGAGGGTAAGAGAGTCCTCATAAAGGCTTCCCTTTTAACAAAAAGCAACCCCCAAATCATTTCTTTTCTAACAAAGAGCAGCCTGTAAAATCGAGCTGCAGACATAGATAAGCAAGCTGGAAGCTTGCATAGGTGAATGCCAAAGCTGTGCCAATAGGAAAAAGCTACCTGAGGGCCAGGCATGTTCAATATGGAGGCTCTATCTTCCCTTTTCTTTGTCAACCACATGTACAGTAAAGGAATAGCCAACATGGCACCAGCCAGGTAGATAACTCATCTGCATAATAAAAGGTTAGGGTGGGGCAGCCAGCTTCTTGTGTGCTATGGAAATGGCACACCTTGTCCAACCAATGTTTTGGGCTTTATGTAAATGAGACACTGCCTCCCCAGGCTCATCTATAAAACTCCATGAATTTCAGCACTGATCTGAGTCCCTGGTGAATTTTCCACGACCAATTCAAAATTGTAATTATAAGACATTATTCACACTTAGGACAATGTCTTCCTAATTGTCTCTATGAATTTGACTACTCTAAGGACCTCATATAAGTGCAATGATACAGTATTAGTTCTTTTGTGATTGGCTTATTTCACTTAGCACTTAGCACAATGTCTTCAAGCTTCATCCATGTTGCAGCGTGTGTCAGAATTTCCTTCCTTTTTAAGGCTGAATAACATTACATTGTATGTATGTGTCACATTTTCTTTATCCATTTCTCTGTAAATGGATATTTGCATAGTTTCCATATCTTAGCCATTGTGAATTCGACCCCTACCTTACAGCATACATAAAAAGTAAGTAAAAATAGACTAAAGACTTAAACGTTAAAACCTGAAACTATAAAACTCCTATACAAAATCATGGGGAAAAAAGCTCCTTGGTCTTGGCAATGATTTCTTTGATACGACACCAAAAATACAGGCAACAAAAGCAAAAATAGACAAGTGGGGTTTCATTATATATGCATTTTTAGGAGGACTCAGGATGTTTCAAAGCAAAAAGATAACTAAAATTAATATATGTATCTTTTGTTCTAAGCAAATCCCTCTCTGCTAATCAGTGATTTATGCTGATATTGACCAAAGCACATCCCTAAATATGGGAACTATATGGGGTCATTCACCTTTTGTTTCAGGGACCTGGGGAAGGAGACATGGAAAAAGGTTTATTTAGGGCCATAATGGTGTTAGCTGGGACAGCGAATGTTTAGATGCATGAATTTCCTTTAGTGAATGTGTATGAGTGTGTGTGTGTGCACCTTATGTGGGACTTTCTCAAATCAAAGAGCTTTCCTGGCTGCTTTTGGGGCAAAGCTGCTCTGTTTTTAACTGGCTCTCAGGGTTGTTTCTTCAAGAGAAAACAGAGCCCCATGTAAGGATTGCAACACAGAACAGGCATCTGTACATCCTAACACTATTAATGCCATGTAATGTTGAACACACCTAGGGAGCCAGCTCTATGCAATAGTTCATCTATATTTCACCTATGCAAGGAGAAAAGTCAGTGTATACATCCACCTGTCATAGACATCTGCTTGAACATGAGGAACAGAAAATTGCCTTGTTACTGCATTTAGTTCATATGAAGAGATCCTCATTTGTTGACAATTTATCTCCCTTGTTCTTTTTGTTAGCTTAAAAAAATTCTTTTTTTTTTTTTTTTTTTTTGAGACAGTCCCTCTGTGTTGCCCAGGCTGGAGTGCAGTGGCACAATCTTGGCTCACTGCAACATCTGCCTCCTGGGTTCAAGTGATTCTTCTGCCTCAGCCTCTTGAGTAGCTGGGATTACTGGCATGTGCCACCAGACCCAGCTAATTTTTGTATTTTTAGTAGAGATGGGGTTTCACCATGTTGGCCAGGTTGGTCTCAAACTCCTTACCTCAAGCGATCCACCCACCTTCATCTCCCAAAGGACTGGGATTACAGACATGAACCACTGCATCTGGCCTAAAAAATTATACCTTATGTATTTTCTCCTCATTCCACATATTATTTGGCCTGTAGGGTCAAAGAGAAAATACTTCCCCTTTGCCCTATAAAGAGTTGCTGAAAATGAACTGAGAATAGGCAGTTTCACAGGAAGAAAGGACATACAACATTTATTGAGCATGCATAAGCACAGAGGAATCATAGAAGTCCCGTGTGCTTATATACCCCTTTACATATGGGAAGGGGAGATGGGGGCTGTAGGAGTAAATGATTTTCAGGGGAAAAGGATAAGCCCAAAGAACAAAGGTCTGGGAGGAAGTTCCTCTCATCTTTGGGAGGAGGAGTGAAGGTGAGGGGCAGAACTTCACTGTGAACAAAGGTTGTCTTATCATGCAGATAAAGTCTCTCAGGCAATATATTGGGGTTGTGCTCAGAAGAATAGATGAAAGGTTTTCTCTTCTCCAGTGATTAAATATTTCCTGGGTATTTGATGATATTCCTAGGGGGGGAAGTCTTAAGACAATTGCATTTCTTGTGGACAAATATTTTCTAGAGATTTCCACCGGTGCTTTGGGAAGAAAGAGTATCAGAGAGATGGGGGGTGGGTAGCAGAAAGTTAGAGGAAGACTTTGGTCTTTTTTTTGAGAAAGGGTCTCTCTCTGTTATCCAGGCTGGAGTGTAGTGGCATGATCTTGGCTAACTGCAACATCTGCCTCACAAGTTCAAGTGATTCTCCTGCTTCAGCCTCTTGAGTAGCTGGGATTACAGTCATGCGACACCACGCTGAGCTAATTTTTGTGTATCTTTTGTAGAGACAGGGTTTCACCATGTTGGCCAGGCTGGTCTCGAACTCCTCACCTCAGATGATCTGCCTGCCTCAGCCTCCCAAAGTGCTGGGATTACAGGCATGAGCCACCATGCCTGGCCCAAAGTGCCGAATTTGGCATATCATTTTCTGCACACCAACAGACCACTGTTTAAAATTACAGAAAGTCATCTGGGGTTTATTCATGTATGCTTCTATGACATAAATTCCACACCACATTTTAACACATGGAAGGGCTGACTCATACAATCACATGGTAATTAGCATTTTTACATTTTAGTGTTTTGACGTTTCTTAAGGTGAATGTGAGATTCACTTAGTCTTATGTGAATTCAATTAAGATTCAAATGGAAGATTGAAGCAGGGCTTTTGGGATATGAAGGCGGAAATCAACAATCAGGAAGAGATAGCATCTAACAGAAAAAAGAGAGAAATTTGGGATGTGAGAAGAGTGAAAAAGGAAGAGAAAACATGAACATTTAATCTATAAGGAGTTACTATAGATAATGCAAGATTTTCAAAATGTATTAATGAGATTTTTTCCCTTAAGAATTCTCAGCATAAAACCCAAGGGAGAACTATATCAGTGAAATTTAATGCATTCTTACAGCCATGGGGTATAGATTTTCCTTTTCATATTTTTCTTATTTGTTTCTCTTAAATGAAAAATATTCTTTATAGCACATAGTAGGGACTCTATAAATTAATTCATATTTTTAAAAATTTTTAACTTTTCTTTAATGCATCATTAATTCCCTCTTTTTCCCCATGCCTATACAATCATCTACTATCCTTAAAGTACATCCATCAATAGCTGATTTCATTCTGCAGCATCCTAGACTTTCCTTTATTCTACCCCTAAATAAACCTTCCTTTCTTTTCTAGTGAGGTATATCTATCAACTCTCTATACCCTGTCATATGACATCTTCTTCCTCTGTGGTCTAACATCAGGATTATTAACACATTTGGCACAAAACATATAACATCTTCTTATCTTTTCTTACATATTTGCCTTGTCATGCCATAAAAACATCATTCTTCATTAGTAAGATCTCACCATAACATTTACATACTTTCTATGTGTACAAAGACACTCCATATTTTCTGCTGCTGGGACAGATTTGTAGGAAATATTCTGTTTTCTGGGGGATGTTGCTAATAAAGTTTAAATATAAAAATAAATATACTTTAAACTCCATAAAAAATACATTCATCCACAAATAGAGTTCTACTAAAGATTTATATGAACGAAATGCATCCAGAAACTATTAATATATGAACAATTAATATCTTCATTGAAGTGCATACATTGATGGTTCTTTCCAAATGAACCAATGCAAAGTAATACCATTACACCACACAATTTGCTGTTTCTAAATAATTACGTTATTCCATCGTTCATGGATATGGCTTGGCTCTGTGTCCCCACCCAAATCTCACCTCGAATTGTAATCCCCACGTGTTAAGGGAGGGAGGTGATTGGATCATGGGGCCAGTTTCCTCCATGCTGTAGTGTGACAGTGAGTGAGTTTTCATGAGATCTGATGGTTTTATAAGGCAGGTTTCCCTACTGTTGCTCCTCTCTCTCCTGCCACCATGGAAGATGTGCTTGCTTCCCCTTGCACCATGATTGTAAGTTTCCTGCAGCCTCTCCAGCCATGCAGAGCTGTGATTCAATTAAGCCTCTTTCCTTTATAAATTACCCAGTCCCAGATATATCTTTATAGCAGTTTGAAAACCGACTAATACAGCCATCAATTTAAACAAAAGATGGGAGTGTAAGTTAAGATCTTAATAAGCCTTTGAAAATAACCCAACAATAAAATATTACAGAATATTAGGAAAATGGTATCCTGAATTAAAAAGGATACATGCTTGAGGGGATGGATACTCCATTTTCCATGATGTGTTTATAATGCATGGCATGCCTGTATCAACATATCTCATGCAGTCCATAAATATATAAACCTACTCTGTACCTACAAAAAGAAAATTTCAATAATCTATCTTTGTCCTTTCTAAACCTCAGCTAATACACCACTATTGATGTCTGCATTGCGAAATAATACTTTGGGAAAAAGAATCCTGAATCATATGGAGTATTTCCTGAGCTCATCTGTAAAAATGGGCCATTTCCCCAAAGTTAATATATTCTAGGCATGAAACAAACAGAGAAGCACTCTAATTTCTCCCCCACATTTGCTTCAATGTATTGCTAATCAAGATCCATTATTCAGCTCTCAATTTAAATGATTATGCACACACCCTGGCTGTTCCTAGTTAAGAATAATCATGGCTGATTTATATGTAAGGAGAAATAGATTTTTATCCTGGAATTGTCAGTGCCTGAATTTTAACTCGAAAGAATAAAGAACAGGATGCGAATAACTGCCACCCCCAGACCTTTGATGAACACTTTCCATTTCCCAGCTCTGATATCTTGGCCTTACTGAATTTCACCATCTTCAAATGTACATTGACACATCTCCATAAGAGAATTTGCAGAACTTCTAAGATCATTAACATTTTACATTAACAATACCAACTATTAATAATCTTGTCCTCATTATTTGGATTACTTAGTCACTACTTTTTAAACACTATTACTGGGAGAAAATTGACAATCAAGAAACGTTGGACTATTATTTTGGTTTCGTCAAACATAGCCCTAGGCCTTAGAATGGAGGGCAGAGTATCTGATCTCTCTCGGATACTAACGAGTGAACCAGTCAAGACTGCAAGCTCCAGGATCACTCACATTTAAAATTTTCCATGCAAAAAAGCAAAGGGCAGAACACGCTAACCAAGCATTGTGATGATTCCCTCTAGAGCTACTCTGCTGAAAAGGGACCCTCTTTGGGGTAAGCACGTTTGTAGGAGAGACCCTTCTAACTTAATGGTAGTGAGAATCAGTCTCATTCAGAAACTTATGGGGCACACTCTGAGAAAGAAGGCTGAGGCAGTAGAAGGATACAGTAGGAAAGGGATAACTATGGTAGTGTTGAAACCTTCCAACCAGAGAAGCCATATGGCCAATAGAAAGCATGTGACACTGGAACCCATGCCTAAATTTGACCCCTGATTCCACCATTTAATGGTCCCATGAACATGAGATAATTGCATCACCACTGAATAATAATTAATGCACATTTCTGAATTTATATGCACCAGTCACTACTTACTAATCCATTGTAGAGCAAAAATAAAATTCTGAGCCCCTCGGTCATCTGAACAGACCCCTCCTCTCAGCAAGGGCATTCCAAAATTAACCTGAAGAACTAGTTCAGGTCATTATGGGGAGTGGGATCAAACATGGCTCATTATATCCTCCTTCCTTTTGGAATTCTGGAAAAGCCAACCAGCATTCACTTAAACACGGATGGTAAGTCTGATAAGAAACATTTACAATGTATTCTCTCTGAAGCCTGCTACCCGGAGGCTTCATCTGCATGGTAAAACCTTGCTCCACAACCCCTTATCATAACCCAGATATTCCTTTCTATTGATTTCAGGTCTTTAGATAATAACTGTTGCAACCAATTGACAATCACAAAATCTTTAAATCTACCTATGACCTGAAAGCCTCTGCTTCAAGCACTCCCACCTTTCCAGATTGAGCCAACATGCGCGTCCGTGTGAAGAGACCACCAAACAGGCTTTGTGTGAGCAACATGGCTGTTTATTTCACCTGGGTGCAGGCGGGCTGAGTCCGAAAAGAGAGTCAGCGAAGGGAGATAACGGTGGGGCCGTTTTATAGGATTTGGGTAGGTAAAGGAAAATTACAGTCAAAGGGGGTTTGTTCTCTGGCGGGCAGGAGTGGGGGTTGCGAGGTGCTCAGTGGGGGTGTTTTTGAGCCAAGATGAGCCAGGAAAAGGACTTTCACAAGGTAATGTCATCAGTTAAGGCAAGGACCGGCCATTTACACTTCTTTTGTGGTGGAATGTCATCAGTTAAGGTGGGGCAGGGCATTTTCACTTCTTTTGTGATTCTTCAGTTACTTCAGGCCATCTGGGCATATATGTGCAAGTCACAGGGGATGCGATGGCTTGGCTTGGGCTCAGAGGCCTGACATTCCTGCCTTCTTAATAAGAAAAATAAAACAAAATAGTGTTGAAGTGTTGGGGTGGTGAAAATTTTTGGGGGGTGGTATGGAGAGAGAATGGGCGATGTTTCTCAGGGCTGCTTCGAGTGGGATTAGGGGCGGCGTGGGAGCCTAGAGTGGGAGAGATTAAGCTGAAGGGAGGTCTTGTGGTAAGGGGTGATATTGTGGGGATGTTAGAAGAAACATTTGTCGTATAGAATGATTGGTGATGGCCTGGATACGGTTTTGTATGAATTGAAAAACTAAATGGAATAAGAGAAGGAGAAAAACAGGTATAAAAGGTCTAAGAATTGGGAGGACCTAGGACATCTGATTAGAGAGTGCCTAAGGAGATTCGGCATAGTCCTGCCAGCAAAGATTATTTATTTACTTCAAGAGTTAAGAGTGGCAGTTTGGGGATAGCACCAGGAGATATCAGCTGTGATGGCTTGGAGAAACAGTGTAAACCGGCAGTGTAAACAAGAGCAGGGCATGTATGAGTAGTTGAGAACGGTGAATAGGAGTATGACTAGACAGAAGATAGTAGGGATGACAAGTTTTTTTTTGGTGGGGGGCACAGTCTAAGTTGGTCTGGTGTCTGGAATGAGACTGGGGCCTAATAAAAAGGAGCATCTATACAGGAGCTCAAATGGGCTGTACCCTGTAGCATTCTGAGGACAGGCCTGATTTCTGAGAAGGGAAAGTGGTAAAAGTATTGTCCAGTCCTTTTTAAGTTGGTGGCTGAGCTTGGTGAGGTGTGTTTTTAAAAGACCTTTAGTCCGTTCTACTTTTCTTGAAGATGGAGGACTATAAGGGATATAAAGGTTTCACTGAATACTAAGAGCCTGAAAAACTGCTTGGCTGATTTGACTAATAAAGGCTGGTCTGTTATCAGACGGTATAGAGGTGGGAAGGCTAAACTGAGGAATTATGTCTGACAGAAGGGAAGAAATGACTGCGGTGGCCTTCTCAGACCCTGTAGGAAAGGCCTGTACCTATCCAGTGAAAGTGTCTACCTAGACTAAGAGGTATTTTAGTTTCCTGACTCTGGGCATGTTGAGTAAAGCTAATTTGCCAGTCCTGGGTGGGGGCAAATCCTCGAGCCTGATGTGTAGGGAAGGGACGGGGCCTGAATAATCCCTGAGGAGTAGTAGAATAGCAGATGGAACACTGAGAAGTTATTTCCTTGAGGATAGATTTCCACGATGGAAAGGAAACGAGAGGTTCTAAGAGGCGGGCTAGTGGCTTGTACTATAGCATAGCCTGCCTTTGCTGGTGTGTGGTGATTAGGCCTGGTGGAACCACCATCAATAAATCAAGCGTGATCAGGGTGAGGAACAGGAAAGACGGAAATTTGGGGAAATGGGGTGAATGTCAGGTGGATCAGAGAGATACAGTCATGGGGGTCAGGTGTGGTATCAGGAATAATGTGGGAGGCCGGATTGAAGTCCGGGCCAGGAACAATGGTAATTGTGGGACTTAACAAAGAGTGAGTACAGCTGAAGGAGCCGGGAAGCAGAAAGTATATGCGTCAGGTATGAGGAAGAAAATAGATTTTGGAAGTTATGAGAAATGTAGAGAGTGAGTTGAGCATAGTTTGTGATTTTGAGGGCCTCTAAAAATATTAAAGCAGTGGCAGCTGCTGCAGGCAGACATGAGGGCTAGGCTAAAACAGTAAGGTCAAGTTGTTTGGACAGAAAGGCTACACGGTGTGGTCCTGGCTATTGTGTAAGAATTCCGACCACGCTAACCATGCCTAGGAAGGAAAGGAGTTGTTGTTTTGTAAGGGATTGAGGTTTGGGAGATTATTCGGACATGATCAGCAGGGAGAGCACCTGTGTTTTTATGAGAATTATGCCCAGATAGGTAACAGATGAGGATGAAATTTGGGCTTGACTGAAGTAATGGGGGCTGTCTGTGAAGCCTTGCGGCAGTACAGCCCAGGTAATTTGCTGAGCCTAATGGGTGTCAGGGTCAGTCTAAGTGAAAGCAAAGGGAGGCTGGGATGAAGGGTGCAAAGGAATAGTAAAGAAAGCATGTTTGAGATCCAGAACAGAATAATGGGTAGTAGAGGGAGGTATTGAGGATAGAAGAGTATATGGGTTTGGCACCACGGGGTGGATAGGCAAAACATTTGGTTGATAAGGCGCAGATTCTGAACTAACTTGTAAGGCTTGTCTGGTTTTAGGACAGGTAAAATGGGGGAATGGTAAGGAGAGTTTATAGGTTTTAAAAGCCCATGCTGTAGCAGGCGAGTGATAACAGGCTTTAATCCTTTCAAAGCATGCTGTGGGATGAGATATTGGCGTTGAGCGGCGTAAGGGTGATTAGGTTTTAATGAGATGGTAAGGCGTGCTTGATCGGTCGCCAAGGAGGGAGTAGAGGTATCTTATACTTGTGGGTTAAGGTGGGGGATACAAGAGGAGGACGCAAAGGAGGCTCTGGATTGGGAAGAAGGGCAGCAATGAGATGCAGGTGTAATCCAGGAGTAGTCAGGGAAGCAGATAATTTAGTTAAAGTGTCTCGGCCTAATAAGGGAACTGGGCAGGTGGGGATAACTAAAAAGGAGTGCGTAAAAGAGTATTGTCTAAGTTGGCACCAGAGTGGGGGAGTTTTAAGAGGTTTAGAAGCCTGGCTGTCAATACCTACAACAGTTATGGAGGCAAGGGAAACAGGCCTTTGAAAGGAAGGTAATGCGGAGTGGGTAGCCTCCATATTGATTAAGAAGGGGACGGACTTACCTTCCACTGTGAGAGTTACCTGAAGCTCGGCGTCCATGATGGTCTACGGGGCTTCCAAGGCGATCAGGCAGCGTCAGTCTTCAGCCGCTAAGCCGAGAAGGAGTCAGTCAGAGAGCCTTGGGCCAGAGTTCCAGGGGCTCTGGGAGTGGCTGCCAGGTGAGTTGAACAGTCCGATTTCCAGTGGGGTCCCGCACAGATGGGACACGGCTTAGGAGGAATCCTGGGCTGCAGGCATTCTTTGGCCTGGTGGCCAGATTTCTGGCACTTGTAGCAAGCTCCTGGGGGAGGAGGTTCTGGAGGAACGCCTGGCCGCTGCGGTTCAGGCGTTTGGAAGTTCTTGTGTGCTGGAGATGTGGCTGGGGTTTGTCTCACAGTGGAGGGAAGGAATTGCAACTTTTTTTTTTATTATTGTACACCTTGAAGGTGAGGTTAATTAAGTCCTGTTGTGGGGTTTGAGGGCCAGATTCTAATTTTTGGAGTTTTATTTAATGTCGGGAGCAGATTGGGTAATAAAATGTATATTGAGAATAAGATGGCCTTTTGACCTTTTAGGGTCTAGGGCTGTAAAGCGTCTCAGGGTTGCTGCCGAATGAGCCATGAACTGGGCTGGGTTTTTATATTTGATGAAAAAGAACCTAAACGCTTCTGATTTGGGATAAAGAAAAAGGAGCATTAACCTTGACTATGCCTTTGGCTCCAGCCACCTTTTTAAGAGTAAATTGCTGGGCAGGTGGGGGAGGGCTAGTCACTGAACGAAACTGTAAGCCGGACCAGGTGTGAGGAGGGGAGGCGATAAAAAGATTACAGGGTGGAGGAGCGGAGGCTGAGGAAGAATTGGGACCTAGCTTGGCCTGGCGAGGAGGGGAGAGGTCAGATGGGTCTGTAGAAAAGGAAGATTAGAAAGACTCAGCGACGCTTGGGGTTGGGACTGAGGGGACAGGCGGGAGGGAAAGAAGGAAGATTTGGGACGAGTTGCACTGGGCACAGAGACTAGGAAGGGACTGATGTGTAAAAGAATGCCTGGACGTCAGGCACCTCAGACCATATTTGCCCATTTTACGACAAGAATTATTTAGATCTTGTAGGATGGAAAAATTGAAAGTGCCATTTTCCGGCTATTTGGAACTACTGTCGAGTTTGTATTGGCCTCAAGCGGCATTGCAGAAGAAAATAAGATGCTTAGATTTTAGGTCAGGTGAGAGTTGAAGAGGTTTTAAGTTCTTAAGAATATAGGCTAAGGGAGAAGAAGGAGGAATGGAAGGTGGAAGCTTGCCCATAGTGAAGGAGGCAAGGCCAGAGAAAAGAGTAGAGACACGGAGAAGGGGTTGGGGGTTCTTGCCCTCCAGAAAAGCAGAGAAAGGGTTGGGGCATGGAAATAAGGAATTGGGGCACAGAGATAAGAGGTTGGGGCACGTAAATAAGGGATTGGGGCACAGAGATAAGAGGTTGGGGTGTGGAAATAAGGGATTGGGGGTTCTTGTCCCGTAGAAAAGCGGGACTTGCCGCTAAGGGTGAAGGAGAAGGGGTTGAGGGGTACTTGCCCCTATCCCAGAAAAGCAGAGAAGGGGTAGAGACAAGGAGAGAAGGGTTTGAGGTACTTGCCCCTTCCCTAGAAAAGCGGGACTTGCCACTAAGGGTGAAGGACCAAGGCAGGCGTCCCTGCGTGGTCTGACACCCTTGAAACGTGGGTGTATAATCAGAGAGGCATTCCTGCAGTGATTAAACACTAAGGGAAGGCTGCCTTCCCAGTCTGTGACCGGCGCCGGAGTTTTGGGTCCACGGATAAAACGTTTCTCCTTTGTCTCTCCCAGAAAATGAAAGGAATTGAAATTAAGAGAAGGGAGAGATTGAAGAGTGGAAAGGAGAAAGTGGTTGAGGGACAGAGAGGTTGGAGAAGAGAGTAAGAAGAGGCCACTTACCTGATTTGAAATTGGTGAGATGTTCCTTGGGCTGGTCGGTCTGAGGACCTGAGGTCATAGGTGGATCTTTCTCATGGAGCAAAGAACAGGAGTACAGGGGATTGATCTCCCAAGAGAGGTTCCCCGATCCGAGTTACGGCACCAAATTTCATGCGCGTCCGTGTGAAGAGACCACCAAACAGGCTTTGTGTGAGCAACATGGCTGTTTATTTCACCTGGGTGCAGGCGGGCTGAGTCCGAAAAGAGAGTCAGCGAAGGAAGATAAGGGTGGGGCCGTTTTATAGGATTTGGGTAGGTAAAGGAAAATTACAGTCAAAGGGGGTTTGTTCCCTGGCGGGCAGGAGTGGGGGTTGCAAGGTGCTCAGTGGGGGTGCTTTTTGAGCCAGGATGAGCCAGGAAAAGGACTTTCACAAGGTAATGTCATCAGTTAAGGCAAGGACCGGCCATTTACACTTCTTTTGTGGTGGAATGTCATCAGTTAAGGTGGGGCAGGGCATATTCACTTCTTTTGTGATTCTTCAGTTACTTCAGGCCATCTGGGCATATATGTGCAAGTCACAGGGGATGCGATGGCTTGGCTTGGGCTCAGAGGCCTGACACTGAGAAAGACGGCTGAGGCAGTAGAAGGATACAGTAGGAAAGGGATAACTATGGTAGTGTTGAAACCTTCCAACCAGAGAAGCCATATGGCCAATAGAAAGCATGTGACACTGGAACCCATGCCTAAATTTGACCCCTGATTCCACCACTTAGTGGTCCCATGAACATGAGATAATTGCATCACCACTGAATAATAATTAATGCACATTTCTGAATTTATATGCACCAGTCACTATTTATTAATCCATTGTAGAGCAAAAATAAAATTCTGAGCCCCTCGGTCATCTGAACAGACCCCTCCTCTCAGCAAGGGCATTCCAAAATTAACCTGAAGAACTAGTTCAGGTCATTATGGGGAGTGGGATCAAACATGGCTCATTATATCCTCCTTCCTTTTGGAATTCTGGAAAAGCCAACCAGCATTCACTTAAACACGGATGGTAAGTCTGATAAGAAACATTTACAATGTATTCTCTCTGAAGCCTGCTACCCGGAGGCTTCATCTGCATGGTAAAACCTTGCTCCACAACCCCTTATCATAACTCAGATATTCCTTTCTATTGATTTCAGGTCTTTAGATAATAACTGTTGCAACCAATTGACAATCAGAAAATCTTTAAATCTACCTATGACCTGAAAGCCTCTGCTTCAAGCACTCCCACCTTTCCAGATCGAACCAACATACACCTTACATGTCTTGGTAGATATATTATATCTCCATAAAATATATAAATGGAGGGTTTACTCTGATCACCTTGGGCACACGTCATCGAGACCTCCTGAAGCTATGTCACAGGCACGTGCTTAACCTTGGAAAATAAACTTTCTAAATTGATTGAGTCCTGTCTCAGATACTTTTGGGTTCAAACTTTTAACTCTCAGAATAATCACCAGTGAAATGTGCAGAAAGGAGCAGAGTAGATTTTTCATAAACAGAAGTGGCTTTGATTCATTTCTGTTTTACATTGAAAAATATATCATGGGGAAAGGAAAAGAGGTTCTTCCCCCTGTGGAGGGAAAGACGTAGTTCAGTTGCTGTCATGTAAATTAATATGTTTCCTGTTGCTGAAGTAACAAATAATCATAAATTTGGTAGCTCAAAAGAACATTGTTTTATCTTACAGTGCTTGAGGCTAGAAGTCTAAAGCCAGTCTTTTTGGGCTATACTCAAAGATTTGGTAGGACTTGTTCCTTCTGGAGGCTCTAGGAAGGAATTCATTTTCTTTTTCAACTTCTAGAGGCTGCTTGCATTTAAAGCCAGCAGCATAGCCAATTCAGATTTCTCTCTGACTCCTGTAAGGGCTTTCATGATTACATTGAGTTTACCTGGATAATTCAAGATAGTCTCTCCACCTCAACATATTCAATTAAACACATCTGCAAAGTCCCCTTTTGACATATATGTAAATCATTCTATTATAAAGATACATGCACACATATGTTCATTGACACACAGTTCACATAGCAAAGACATGGAATCAACCTAAATGCCCATCAATGATAGACTGGATAAAGAAAATGTGGTACATATACACCATGGAATACTATGCAGCCATAAAAAGGAATGAGATCATGTCCTTTGCAGAAACATGGATGGAGTTGGAAGCTGTTATCCTTAGCAAACTAACACAGAAACAGATACCAAAGGGCATTAGAACATTGTGGCTGGGTCTTCCTGAGGGTGGGTCTTCCTCTTCAGTCCTAACCCCCACTACAATGTATAAATTTGAGGGAGACACAATTCAACTCATAACTATACCTGGTGTATTAGTAAATGTTCTCTAGAGGGAAGAAACTAATGGGATATATGTATATATGAAAGGGAGTTTACTAGGGAGAATTGACTCACATGATCACAAGGCCAAGTCCCACAACAGGTAGTCTGCAAGCTGAGGAGCAAGGAAGCCAGTAGTGGCTCCGTCCCAGTCGCAAAACCTCCAAAGTAGGGAAGCCGATAGACAGTGCAGCCTTCAGTCTGTGGCCAAAGGCCCGAGAGCCCCTGGCAAACCACTGGTGTAAGTCCAACAGTCCAAAAGCCAAACTTGGAGTCTGATATTCAAGGGCAGCAAGCATCCAGGATGGGAGAAAGATGAAGGCTGGAAGATTCAGCAAGTCAGCTTCTTCCACCTTCTGCCTGTTTTTTCTAGCCGTGCGGGTATCCAACTGGATTGTGCCCACCCACATTGTGGGTGGGTCTTCCTGAGGGTGGGTTTTCCTTTCCTGGTCATCTGACTCAAATCTCTTCTGGCAACACCCAGAAACACCCAGATACACCCAGAAACAACACTTTGCATCCTTTAATCCAATCAAGTTGACACTTCGTATTAACCATCACACCTGGCAATGCCTCAGCCTGAGATGAGTCTGCAAGAAATGGCAGCCCCATAGGAGACAGCTTGAGCCCAGGATATCTGGGCCCTGGGAGCAACTGAATCTCGAAGGCAGCTGCATTTGGAAGTTGTATTTTTCTTATTTTATGCCCCAAATTTCAGTTAAGCCATATTAGAGGCTGAAGCTTGTTCTCAAGGCCAGTGATATCCATTAGCCAGTGAGCGTAGGTCAGTGCTCTGAAGTAAAGCCGTCGCTGGTGCCCAGAATTTTTCAAAAACTGCTTCTTTAAATAAAATTACATAGCCTAAAATATCCAGTGGGAGGCAGGTTCCCAGTTCCTTATACAGTAGGATTGGTATTCTATACATGTGAATGATGTGGCACAGAAGTCAATTCATTAACTAATAAGCATGGAAGCAAACTCAAAAGCAAACTAATCAATGAAAGGAAGCAAAAGTAGCAACTAACTAGGTGACTGTGAATTTCTTCAGTTTTACAGTCGTGCAGAATTTATGCAGTAAGATCTGGGATGCTATTGCTGCTGATAAATGTAATAGGGCTTCATCAGCTTAAAGAGGAAGAAAACAAAATCATTCTTAGGCTGGGTATGTAGCCCTACTTATTGGTGATTAAAAGAAAAGGACAACCCATGTTATTTCTTAACTTCCTGCTTTTAATTGCTTGAGATTCCACTTGCTGTGAAGTGCATCTTGTGGGTTTTGAAGTTAAGGACAAAGTTGTCATTTCCAATCCTACCTTTATTTGTTGAGTTACCTCTAGCAAATAGTCAAACTCTGTGCCTTATCTTTCTCATCAGAAGAAAATGTCATAATAATCCTAATTCAAATAAATAGATGGAAATCAAATAGGTTACCAAATTTGAGACTATTTGTAAAGCGTAAAAATAAAGCATACAACATTATTTCTGCTATCATTATGACTATTTCTAAGTGTTTTTGTGGCCTTCGTTAATACTGAAATCTGTAGGAGTTGCATGTTTACACTCACCCTGGAGAGGTATAATGCAAGAGATTGTATTTGCATCAATTCTTTTTTAGTATTTCCAGCTGATCTACACACAAGCATAGAGAGCCTACTTTAGGGCCTATTCAACAAGGTGATTGGAAATACATACTGTCTGTATGCCACTGGCAACGTGAAAGAGATAGTCAAAGTTCTTCAGGCTTTGCTGAATAGTGCATTCCAATGATATAAAATCAAGGAAAGTGGGGGTTTAAATAAAGCAGATATTGCTATCATGAATATAAAGCCATGCCAGAAAATTACCAAAAGGGAAAATGATCTTCTGAGAGAGAGAAATGGGTTATACTATTTGGATAGAAGACAAAGTGATGGAGCTTACATTAGTAGGGAAAATAGTGAAGGAGTTTTACAAAATTTTTGTTGTTATTGAAACAATGCATGAATGATTAATTGGTTTATTTTTAATATATTTTCTGATGATGCCCCGGGGTCCCAAAGTACCTTTATATGTGTCCGCATAGCTTTGTGATGAGGGAGTAAGAAGAGCTGGATATCGTTTGTGAAATAATGACAACAAGAATACTAATTATGGCCGGGGCCGGTGGCTCACACCTGTAATCCCAGCACTTTGGGAGGCTGAGGCAGACAGATCACTTGAGGTCAAGAGTTGGAGATCAGCCTGGCCAGCATGGCAAAAATACCATCTCTACTAAAAACATATAAATTAGCCGGGCGTGGTTGCATGTGCCTGTAATCCCAGCTACTTGGAAGGCTGAGGCAGGAGAATCACTTGACCCGGGAGGTGGAGGTTGCAGTGAGCCAAGATCGTGCCACTGCAGCCCAGCCTGGGTTGCAAAGTGAGACTTTGTCTCAAAAAAAATAAATAAATAAAAATAAAAATAATATAACTAATTATTATTAGTGATCAGTGCTACCTTGTACCAGGAACTTAGCACTCATCTTGTAGAATCTTGTAGATTCTTTAGATTCTAATCTTTAGATATCTTGTAGAGGCTTTACAGAATTAAGTCATTTGTCCAAAGTCACGTAGCTAGTAAGTGGCTGAGCCTGGTTTCAAGCCCAGATCTGTCCTTCTCCAAAGCCCCCACAGTGGATTACTGAGAATGAAGGCATGCATTTGAGCCAGAGATAAAAATCACAAATTATAACATCTCTTCTACTACGTAAAATCCAGCTAAGATGATCCTATGAAAGGATAATTTTCACAGGGATATTTGTATTTTTTTATAGTCTCTAAAATCTGTTCCATGAGCCCACTATCAGTCATCTCTTTCAGCTGAAAGGTTAATAGGTGAGCACTTGTTTCTTATTTATTAAAGCATGGTGCAGCTGTGTGACCCAAAGACATGACCCAGAATTAAGTTAACACATCTGCTTCATGTTTCTTCTCAAACAACCAAAATCACAGTGCTACATTCCAGCTAGGGAACTACTGCCAACATTTATTCTAAGTGAGATTACATATTAATTACTTAAAATATAAATTAATAATACTAATTTTTATAATTTAAAATATAAAAACATTTGTAAATGTATTCTCAAGTTGAAAAAAGCATGCATTTCATTTGTCAATTTTATCTGATGTTTTCTTTCTTATTTTTTACTTTTGCTTTTGTATTGTATACAATAGTTGTACATATTGTGGTGGTACATAAAATGTTGTTTTGATACCTATATGCAAGGTGTAATGATCAAATCAGGGAAATTGGGATATCCATTACCTTAAGCATTTCTTTTTTCTTTGTATTGGAAGCATTATAATTTCCCCCATAGTTATTTTGAAACTTACAATAAATTATTGTTAACTATAATTTCCCTACTGTACTGTCAATTATAAGAAGTTATTTCTTCTAACTGTATTTTCATATCTCTTACGCAACTTCTCTTCACAGCTTCTGGTAACCACCATACTACTACCTACCTTCATCATCTTCATGAGATCCACTTTTTTAACTCTCATATATAAATGAAAACATATGGTGTTTGTCGTTCTGTGCCTGGCTGATTTCTAAGAGATCACGCTATTAGACTAAAATTACATCAATAGCAAGTTTATTTTAAGAAAGATGTCAAAAAGAAAAACAAGATTCAGTTATATTAAGGTCAAATTTTAAAAATGAGTATATTTTTATACAAATTTAAGTTAATGATATATGAGATATTTAAATATTTAAATTACACAATTTTATACAAAGCCTCTAGTATAATACATTTAAATAAATTTGATTTATTAATCTTTCACCAACAACATACAGACAGAAACACACACACACACACACACACACAACACATCCCTGGCTTGACCAACGTTATTATGGGAATGTAGAGTTCTGAGCAAGAGAGGATCTTCAATCACACATGCTCCTTAACTTAAAATGGGGTTATGTCCCAATAAATCCATTGTAGTTTGAAAATATCATAATTCAAAAATGCATTTAATACAACCAATCTATCATAGCTTAGCTTAGCCTACCTTAAATGTGCTCAGAACACTTACTTTGGGCTACAGTTATGTGAAATCATCTAATGCAAAGAATTTTTTGCAAGAAGATGTTGACTATCTTACATAATTTATTGGATATGGAACACTGCAGAGACAGTGTTGGTTGTTCACCCTCCGATCGCATGGCACACTGAGAGCTGCAGATCACCACTGCTGCACAGTGTCACAAGAGAGCATTGCATTGCGTATCATTAGCCCAGAAAAAAGAGCAAAATTCAAAATTGGCAGTAGGTTTTCTAGTAAATGCATATCACTTTTGCACCACCGTAAAGTCATCATAAGTCAAACCATCATTAAGTCAGGGACCATTTATAATATAAAGCAATTCTGCAGACAAAATATGAATGGTTTTTATTACAGAAGCAAAGATACTTTGAACCTAGTGAATTCCATTTGTGATTAAGGCAATATTTATTCAAATTTTTGATTATGCAGAAAAGTATAATTATTAAAAATCAGAAATAAGACAAAGAAATAGACTTCTGTTTTCCTTATTCAGTACATAAAAAATGCCCATATGGTCTTCTTTGTTAGAATTTCATAATGCAAATATTTTTACTAAAATTCAAGAGAGAATAGCCTTGTTAACAAAACATAGTATTAGAATAAAGGCAACTCCTGTTTTCTTGAATTTGCATTTAGTTCACTGTAAGCTAAGAGTTCTTAATGGAAAACTCATTTTTATCATTTCCATATAGACGTGTAAGTTTCTCATTTAGTTTCTTTTGAGAACATTGATTTTTATGTTCTCACTGTGTTTTTCAGACATTACAGACCCGGTCTGGTCATTCTTGAGAATTTGCTTGAAAGAAATGATGATCACTTGTCTCTTCTGCCACCACCTTTTAAAGGTGGTGGAGAATTTGAGATGAATTTTAGAATAATAATTATTAATAACCTAGCACTCGTATCGTTATCAAAATTTGACTGACTTACATGAAATCTGCTAGTCTGTAATACAGGAACCTTAAGACAAAAAATGCCCAGTGTTTTGCACCTTTGGGTCACACATCTCATAAAGTCTCTGAAATTAGTATTAGAAAGCCATGGTTTCTTATTAAATTACAAAAGTCTAGCAGGAATCACATTTTACATGGAAAACAAATTTGCAGACCAAATAAAATGGAAAATTTCTTTAGACTATGAATTACATCATTTCACTGTTATAACAATCATTATTTCATGCCGATCAGAAACTGATAAGCAATTTTCTTTTATAGATGTAAAATAGGAAAATGTTGTTTCAATATAAAATATTTGTAAAAATCTTTTAAAACATTAAGTTTATAGAGGGAAATATCATGAGGCTCTGTTCCATTTTATTGTGGAAATATGATCTAATCCATCTGTCTTTATTAAAAAAATAAGTTACAAATTATTCATTTTATCATTATGTAATGTCCACTTTCATCCATGGTAATTTTATTCTGAAAGTATTTTGTCTAATATTAATTCAGCCACCACATAGATGTAAAACATCCTGTGGAAGGAGGATAGGAGAGATCAATAGGCTATTCCCTGCAGGGTACCCACTTTCTGGAATTCCAACTCAATAAAGAGGTTTATAGAGAGGTTTTTTCTTGGTTCTTTGTCTGTCCATGTCTGCAGCAGAGTTTTAAAGGTCAAGTTTGCCACAGGTCTGAGTCAGGAGAGACGGGAGGGAAAAAAAGAGAGGGACTATCATGAGCAATGCAAGGTCAGAGATAACCCAGTCCATGCATGTTTGTGTCTTTCTATAAGGTCACATGTATTGATGCTATTTCAATGCAAAAGCCACAAGCCACATGGAGTTTCCAAGGAGGGAATTCTCCTTAGTATTTCTTGTTCACTCAGTGGTCAGAGCTGCAGGCACAGAGGCTCAAGTCACTCCACAAGTCAGTCAATACTGTAAAACCATACATATTATCATACTTAACCAATACATAAAATATTATAGATTAAGCACTCCACAACAAACAATGTAACATTCAACATCAAGAGTAAAGAGATAGGAAAAATAGTTAAGCAAACCAGTCCAGGGAGAATAATATAGACAAAAAGAAGATCCTGGTATGGCCTGCTCAGTCCATCTGTCTTGCAAGGAAGAAATTTTAATATGGCCAGAGCCTTTGCTAGCAGACGTCAGGTGCTTATTACAAGTGACAGCAAGATGGTGCCTGTTAAGACAACCATTTCAAGTACTTCAGTGCTGAAGTACTGCTGTTTTTATGGCCACAGAGTCCTCTGGTGAAGACTGATAGTGGAAGAGTGTGCTTGGTTATGTCCTTATCTGGTTGGGTGCAGTCTTTATTGATTAGGCAAGACATCTGGTCCCCGTTGGCAAGGCAACTTTTGAAATGTAAGATTGAGCCTTTCTCTAAGATGGAGTCACTTATGTCAAGGGCACTCTATGCAGAGCCCACTGCTCTTTGGTCATTCTTTGAGTTCTGATTTTCCTCTCTAATCTGCTGGTTACTCTACTTCTTGGAATCTACTTGTAATTGTCTTGTATGTTCTGTTCAAGCTTTGAGTTGTAATCAGAGGCAGACTTAGTGTGGAACATGCTTTCTTCATCTGAACCAGGCCTGCTTTGCCAATTTATTCTGCTCTACGTGCACTTTTTTCCTGACCCAAAGAGCTTTGAAGGAATTTATCCATCAAATATTTATCTCCTGAAATGGAAAATGGGTTTGGACCCCTGCATTAGCCTGGAATTCAATTTTGAGGAGGTTGTCTGAACTCTCAATGACCCACAGCTGAACTTCAAATGGAAATTCCCCAAAACGACATCGAAGTCATCTCATATTTGTATTGTTCGCATTTAAGGCTGGGTGTAAAAACATCATTCATGAATAAATCATCTCCAACCAAAGCCAAAGGCCAATTTATTTATTTATTTTTAATTATTTAAGGTCACCAACAAATCTCTTTCTTGGACTCCATTTCTTTTGCCATTGAGTGTCTATTTTGAGCTTCAGATGCTAGTTAAGTCTGTAAAACATCCTAGATTAAATGATAAAGATCACATTATCCAAGCTCTGTTCAAATGTGCCCCTTGCCTTTTAATATCTCCAAATAATAATGAGAAATTTTAGAAGTGAAATGTGCCCTTCATCTCTGAAAGCAAGAAGGAAGGCTGGGTTTGATCACCAGATCTGCAAAGGAACTGGGTGTTGTCAGCGTGAGAGCAGGTCAGCCTCAGAGAGGGTGAAGACCGTCATGTGAGGCAGTGCTAATGGTTTTAATCAAGGAAAAGTTAAACGACGAGTTAATGGGTGCAGCTCACCAACATGGCACATGTATACATATGTAACTAACCTGCACGTTGTGCACATGTACCCTAAAACTTAAAGTATAATACAAAAAAAAAAAAAAACGAGCTGCCTCCAACTCTTGTCTCCACCTTGAAGATGAGCATCAAAGAGGCAACAAATCACAAGTCTGCCTTTCAGCAAATTCCATATGCATTTATATTTAAATATCTTAATCTGACCCTTTTTCTTTAAATGCATACCATAGATTTCTAACAAAGATGACTTTTTGGAAGATTTCTTTATAGCTATTATTAGAAAGACGCAATGAAGACGGGGGATTGTGATTGACAATTCCTCCTAGACCTTTCGGAGGTGAGACATCTGTGCCACTTGCCTGAAAATGTTGGCTGATTTTTCATCAAAACATGTGCAGCTACGGTAGGTATTGGAAACCCTGCCAGGCAACACCTGCAGACCACAACAGACTCACCCTCATGTACTTTAATAAGATGTCTTCTGTTATGAAACCAGAATTCCATTTTGCAAGCCTGGCCTCTTCCGAAGTAGAAAATTGGTCTCAGAAGTGCCTCTCTCTTTTCTCCCACCTGGAGTTGTTTTCAGGGGTTGTTAATATTTAAGAGCCTATTACTAATTTCAGTGATTCCTGCACAAACCTGTTCTGGACTCAGTGTTGCCAAATTGCCCCTCTAAGATACGTGCTGCAAATGCGTCCACAGTTCTCTTCGAAGATATTGGTCAAGGACATTATCTGTTCTCCCAGAAGTCCTCCATCCTGACTCAGGTTACGGCAGACAACTAAAACACACTGAGAAGAGTCAAGATCAAACTGTGCTGGTCTTATCCAAAGCCTTGGATGGTCCCAGAACTCTGAAAGGATGCCAGTGGTTCAGCAGCTCCTGGTTTCTTCATATGTCATTTATCTTTCAATTTGTTCAGTACACAGACTAGAAGCAGCAACAGCGTGAATGCTGGAGGAGCCACAGTTGGCTCAGACAGCAGTTGGGTCAGACAGCAGGAGAGAAGGGAGCCTGGAGAACGCCAGCTGGACTCAATCCTTTACCAACCCAAATATTTATCTTTGCAGAAGTAGCAGATTCCTTCTTGGTGTCCAGTTCCTAGGCATCCATATATCTTTGTGCACACTTCTGCTCTTTTCTTAGGTAACACCATGGGTTATTTAAAGCAGTTGACAACCTGTCTCTGCAACATTTGAATCAGTCTGGTTTATAAATGCTTTAAACTCTACTGCTCACTAAATTGTTAGTGAGGGCCGAATGTGGTGGTGCACGCCTGTAATCCCAGCACTTTGGGAGGCCAAGGCAGGAGGATCACTTGAGGTCAGGAGTTTGAGACCAGCCTGGGCAACATGGTGAAGCGTCGACTCTACTAAAAAAATACAAAAATTAGCCAGGCGTGCTGGTGTGGGCCTGTAGTCCCAGCTACTTGGGGGCTGAGGTGGGAGGATGGCTTGAGCCTGGAAGGTAGAGGTTGCAGTGAGCAGAGATCGCGCCACTGCACTCCAGCCTAGGCAACAGAGTGAGACCCTGTCTTGAAAAAAAATAATAATAAAATCGTGGTGGCTTTTTAAAGACATGTATGCAATGCAACTAAGAAATAAGTTAATTAGGACTGAGTTTAATAAAGTGTTGACAGTTGACCATATATGCATTACAATATAAAAAATACTTTTCTGGAATATCTGGAGTTTTCTTCTAGAGATATATTTATTTAGCTAATTGCAGCTGCTACTAAATTTTAAAAAGAGGAGTATAGTTAGATTTTTTAAACCAGCCATTTAAAAAAATGTCTGCTATGCATTAGAGATAAAGTAAACATTTGACATTATCCTGCTACATAAAACCTGAAATAAAATCTAAAGCAAAAGTTATTACTCAAATCCCCCATTTTATACACAACGCATACATACTTAGGAAGCGTAGCCATGCTCATTTTTCTTTTCAGATCCTGAACAGTGGATCTGAAATTTACACTGAAGACTTACTGATGCTAGACCCACTTTGTTCATTATACTTCTAAAGTATTTTCTTAATTAGAGGTGCAAAAAGTGAAGGCTGTTAAGGCTTCCCTTCGCTTAGTTAAAATAAGACCAAATAGAAATGAAAACTGTAAAAGCTAAGTCAGAGTGGCTCCCAGATTCCCCCAACTTTCAGTAGAGTTCTTTTCTACTTGCTATTTTATGGGGAGTACATTTTTTATCAAGTTTGGGACAAGGACAGAATCTACTTTTTTCTACACTTGTTTTCCAACACTACGATAATGCTTGACTTGTTATATTAGCCCATTACTTTCAACACTTTTGGAATAAAACAGGACACACATAAATAAGCAAAACTGTATGCCAGGTATTGGTTGTTGAACTTTGAACCCTTAGGTAGCCAGGAACAAGAATGGGGTGCACACTGTGGATTGCCTTGCGTATATGCATTTGCTATCAATTCCATGCAGAATATCAATTTCTTAAAGCATTTATTTCTTTCCAGATCTAAGATTTGAGAAAAAATGATAAAACCTACAAAATCTAATTGGATTAAATGAAATTACTTACTTTCCGTGGCTGAGGAAGAAAATCTCCCTCAACCACCCTTCCTAAGCATATAAACTCATGTTGGATGTGACCAGCATTATAATCTTGATAAAAAAAGAATTGACTTAGTTCTGCATTCTCTTCATGAACTCAGAATACTAAAAGTAATTTCAACAGACTTTGGTCAATTTTAGATGATACATGTGAAGTATTTTCACAAAGAGCATGCTAATTTAATGGAAATCTGATTTGGAAATGCATGCTCTAGAGCCCTAAAATATTATGTTGGAACTCACTTTGTGAGTTATTAAAATATATCTCACTTTGTGCGATATATCAAAATTATTTTTAGGTGATTTTTCCCCTTAAATCTTCTGTTTTTTAGATTAATCATAAGATTTATGTTGGAATTTAATTATGGCTGCTAAGAACTTAACCATTAATAGTGTCAAAGGAACTTCTAGACACTTTTTCCTCTTAATAAACACTGACAACCCTATGGAATGTAATGATGTTCGAAAAGTATTTCCTGCCACATTAATAAATCCACCAACCACTGTGCCACCTGGACTATACTCTAGAAACCTTCTCTCACAATTTTTTTTAATGGCCTAAACCTGGAAAATGTCACAAATTTTTCCCTTCTAGGGCTGAACATATGTCATATTTCTTTCCTCCTGGGTCTCTTGACAGTTCAATAATTCTAAAGTTTCAGAATTTACAACAGCATCCGATGGGTGAATTTTATTTTCTAGTGTTGAGGACATTTTTTTTCTTCATCACCAATTTAGTGTTTGATCTGAGTCAGAAAATTTGACTTGTACATAATAGGGATTCAAATACTTTTTCTATACAGCAGATTTATGCCAGCGAACTCCAGAGTTAAGTTTGGTTTTAATTTTCATATATCCAAACCTCTAATTAGTGAATCTCAACCCTGCCTGTACATAAGAATCCCTTGAGGGAATTTTACAAAATACAGACATCTCAGGTCCATTCTTAGAGATTCTGAGTTAATCAGTCTGGCCTGGGGATTTCTTGAGAGAGGCTTTACAGGCAAGTATTTTAAACTCCTCCTTTCTACTTAATAATAAGCAAAGTTGTCAAAGAGCCAATGTTCTACTTTACCTGCTGAATCAGCAAAAATTATTCAAACATTCCCCACTTAACACATCCAGTTGGAGCAGGTGGGAGGACGTGAAATGTGTTACTTTAAAATGCAGTCATTGAAATATATCTCTAAGGGTTTAGGACATTTTTCCTTCTGTAATGCAAATATCATCCTGAATCTTCGTCCTTCGTATAGAAATATCTTGCTTTGCATTTGTTATCACTTTAAGGTTTACAGTGACTTTATGTTGTTGACAAAGTTGTGATTTCCATTCTGCATGTTGGGAAACTGACGCTGAAAGACATAAAGTAACTTCTCAAAGGTTACAGTATAAATGTTTGTATTTGTGAGTGTTCTCTAGAGAAACAGAACCAATAAGATACAGATATATACCTATACATATAGATATAACTAAAAAAACTCTATATTTATCTATCTATTAACATATATATTATAAGGGGCCAAGAGCAGTGGCTCGCACCTGTAATCCCAGCACTTTGGGAGGCTGAGGCGGGCAGATCACCTGAGGTCAGGAGTTCGAGACCAGTCTGGCCAACATGGTGAAACTCTGTCTCTACTAAAAATACAAAACTTAGCCAGGTGTGGTGGTGCATGCCTGTGGTCCCAGCTACTTGGGGGGCTAAGGTGGAGGATCGCCTGAGCCCAGGAGGCAGAGGTTACAGTGAGCCAAGATCATACAACTGCACTTCAGCCTGGGTGACAAAGCAAGACTCTCTCTCTCAAAAATATTTATGATAAAGAATTGGCTCATTTGATTATGGAGGCTGAGAAGTGCCATAACCACCTGTCTCCAGGATAAAGACCCAGGAAAGCCAGTGGTGTAGTCCAAAGACCAAAGAAACAGAGGACGATGGTGCAGATTCCAGTCTCCTCTGAAGATCTGAGAACCAGGAGCACAGAGGACAGAAGATAAATGTTCCAGCTCAAATAGTCAGGCAGAGTTAATTCAAACTTCTTCCACTTTGTGTTCTATTCAGTCCTTTAAGGAATTAAATGAGGCACACTGACACTGGGGAGGGAAAAATATTTTTTGAGTTGACTAATTTAAATGTGGATTCCTTGTGGAAACACCCTCACCCTCACAGGCACACCCAGAGATAATATTTAACCAGCTATCTGGGCACCCGTAGTCCAGTCAAGTTGATGCATAAAATTAACCATTGCAATGCTGAACTCTCTATAGAATACCATTATAACTAACATCTCAAAATGAAATGGTTAAGTACCAGGAGACATCAACACTACAAAAAGTCAAATAAGTTTGCTTAGAAGGGTGTTCAGATGGCACCAATTACTTTATGCATAACATATGTTTCTGATTGAAATTTTTTAGGCCAGAGGTAACTGTATCACATATACTGGAACACATATACTGTATCCTTATTATAAGTTGAGATTGGCTGGTAATTCTTCTGAAAGTGCCAGAAAGTCAGAAACAGACAATACAACAGAAAAACAACGTAAGAAAGCAAAATTGAAAAAACTGAAGAGTTCCCCCTTTATAGACTATGTGTGAATGGTATTCTAATAGTATTTACAATAACATCAATGACTAGTCTTACCACTATTAAAACAGCAGTGATGTTATTAATTGAGGATCTAGAATATGCCAGATCATCTCAGATGTATAAATTACTAGAGATCGCCCATCTCATCCAGCCTGGAATACTATTGCCTTTGAGATGTAAAATTACACTAATTAAATTTGTCTCAAATACCCACTATGTCCTGCAATGTCTCAGGGATTCTCTAGTCAGAAAAAGTGACATGTATTTGGAATTTTGGGTTGTTTTCTACCTCTTTTACTACCTCATTTATAAATATTATCTAATTCTTTGTGTCTCGTCTTGATTAAACCATTTTATCACTTGCCAAAATTGTTTCTTTTCAACAAGTCATGTGTCTTTCCTTGCCATAAATATGGTTGACCCAAGACTTTTTGGGGGATATTGGGAAGGGCTTGGCTTTATATAACATATCCACACAACAAGGGTATTAATATTGATTACATCTATGAGTGGAAAGTTATACTCTGCATTTTAGCTATTTTCCTTTTCCATTGCACTGCAGACCAAGTCCATGGTACTATCTAAATATATCATCAAATTATTATTTTTTTCTTTGAAAGGAGCTGTCCTCTCCTCCCTGTTGTAGCATCAGTTGAAGCATTAGGCAGTATTCGTCCTCTCCTTTCTGCTCATGTAAGTAATCTAATTTATTTTTCGTAAATACCATTTGAAAATCTTATTCTTCCCTTTTTACAGATAGGAAATGGGAATCTGTTAAATAATAGAATGACACGCCCAAGGTCATGCAAGCAATTGTACCAGTGGGAAACAAATCCACAACACCCTGACTCCACCCTCTTCCTCTTTCCACTGAATTTGTTCAATGATTGAGAAAAGGAAGAGGACACTTTGTACTGTTCCTGGTTGTTTAACATCCTGTGTAGTCTTGGGTTTTGATCAGAGATTTTGATCCAAATGTGTTTGTCTCTAAAGGCTCTGTTGTTCCTACTAAGTTACACCCTCCTTCTGTTAAAAAAACAAATAGAATGTGTCAATATGGCATACACACACATATATATACACACACATATATATTTGTGTATGTACATAAAAAATATATATATATAAAATATATATATATGAGACAGAAAAAAGAGGAGAAAGAGGAGAGAGAGAGAGGGTAGAGAGAGGAGAGAGTCGGAGATAGAGGAGGGGGGAGGGAGAGAAGGGGTTGATCAAGAGAAGAGAGGGGACAGCGGAGAGATAGAAAAGAAATGGTGACGGCAGTGTTAACATAAGATGAACGTATTAGTCAGGGTTTTCCAGAGGGCCAGAACTAATCAGACAGATGTATATATGAAGGGGAGTTTATTAAGAAGTACTGATTCACATGATCACAAGCTGAAGTCTCATAATAGGCCGTCTGCAAGCTGAGAAGCAAGGAAGCCAGTCTGAGTCCCAAAACCTCAAAAGTAGGGAATTTGACAGTGCAGCCTTCTGTCTATTGCCGAAGGCCCAAGAGCCCCTGGCAAACCACTGGTGTAAGTCCGAGAGTCTGACAGCTGAAGAACTTGAAGTCTGATGTTCACGGGCAGGAAGCATCCAGCAAGGGAGAAAGATGGAGGCTGGAAGACTCAGCCAGTCTAATCCTTCCATATTCTTCTGTCTGTTTTTATCCTAGCCAGGCTAGCAGCTGATTAGATGGGGCCCACCCAGCTTGAGTGTGGGTCTGCCTTTCCCAGTCCACTGACTCAAATGTTAATCTCCTTTGGCAACACCCTCACAGACACACCCAGGAAGAATGCTTTGCCTCCTTCAATCCAATCAAGTTGATAGTCAATATTAACCATCACAATGAGCATGCCAGAAGGAGGGAACTCACATCCACATTTCTATTTTGATCAGGAAGTTTGGAGTGTGTCTTGTCTTAGTCTTCTTGCCAATGAGTTTTTTTCATTTCTCATCTCCATGCTGGTGGTGGCTCCTCAGCTGATATCACTGGCAGATCTGTCTCCCAAGCCCATGATTATAAAATTCAATTCCTGTCCTAACCCATCAGGACAATCTTGTGGTATATCACAAGAGACGTTAACCTCATATGTCTAAAGCTGAGTTTATCATCCACATGGTCCATCATTTGTTCTACAGCCAGCCAGTGTTCCCTGTTTTAATTAATACCCTCACCTCTTAAGATCTACTGTCTTAGTAAAATCAAGTACATAATGCAGTATTATTAACTGTAGTCGCCATGCTGTACATTGGATCTGAATGTAATCATCTCGTGTAACTAAAAGTTTGTACCCTTGACAAACATCACCCATTTCCTCTTCCCCCAGCCCACGGTAATGACCATTCTATTCTTCTAAAGCAATAGCTTTCACTTATTAAAATTCCACATACAAGTGAAATCATGTGGTATTTCTCTTTCTGGATGTTGCTTATTTTGCTTAGCATAATGCCCTCCACCTCCATTCATACAGTCACAAATGGCAGAATTTCCTTCTTTTTAAAAATAATATTCTGTTACACACACACACACATATACAGTTGTCCATTAGTAACCACAGGTGATTGGTTGCAGGACTTCCTCCCACCACAACCCACCACGGATACCAAAATCTGCAGAAGCTCAGGTCCCTGATATAAATAAAATACTGTAGTATTTGTATGTAACCTACGCACATCCTCCTGTATATTTTATACCAATTCTGGATTATTTATACTACTTAATATAATGTAAATTCGACAGAAATACTTGTTCTACTATATTTTTTAATTTGTATTATTTTAATTGTTGTATTTTTATTTTTAATTTTTTTTAAAAATATTTTCCATCTGCAGTTGGTTAGGATGCAAAACCCCGAGATGTGTGATGCCAATGTGTTTTTATAGACCACGTTTTCTTTATCCATTCATCCATTTAGAGGCATTTAGTTTGTTTCCATATTTTGGCTAGTGTGAATAATGCTATAATACATATGAGAGTGCAGGCATCTCTTTGACATACCAATTTCATATTCTTTGGATATAGAGCCAGAAGTAAGATTGCTGGATCACATGGTAGTGTAGATCTTAAGTGTTCAAACACACACACACACACACGCACAGATATACAGTGGTAACTATTTGGGATGATGCATATGTTAATTAGTGTGATTGTGGAAACCATTATACAAGGTATCCTTATATCAAAACATCATGTTGTCCATCCTAAATACATGCACGTTCAATTTGTCAATTCTCTCTCAAGAAAGCTGAATAAATAAGTAAGCAAATAAACAATTTTATCGCCAACCACCACTTCAGCTACACAATTGGTTGTAATCAGAGACGATCTTCTTCTCTCCCTAATCTCTTCTCAGTGCCTTTTAGTGATACCTCCTCCAGCACATTATAGTCTATCCATATTTTTTCCTTCATCATTTTCATAACTCTTTTTTCTTCAGAGTTTTCCTAAGTAGACGTCTCACTGATTTCTTTGTCTCTTTGCTCATCTTCAATTTATTTGACACTCCGCAGCCAGAATGAATGTTCTAAGGCCAAAACCCCCTCATGTCATTCTCTGATTGAAACTCTTCCATGTTACCTCCAAATCTTTGAGATAAAATTCAAAGATTTTAGCTCAGTGTCAAAGAGAGCTGATAGCTTATCTAATATTTGTGATGGCAGAGGGGGATTGCGTAGAAATAGAGATAATATGCAGGATAGGAAAGGGCTTCTGGGGCAGGAGGCTGGGGTCCAGGCAGTGCCATGAAAGTAGAAAAGCTTCATGCCTGTAATACTAGCACTTTGGAGGCCAAGGCTGGTGGATCACCTGAGATCAGGAGTTTGAGACCAGCCTGGCCAACATGGAGAATCCCTGTCTCTGCTAAAAAATACAAAATTAGCCAGACATGGTGGTGCATGCCTGTAATCCCAGCTCGGGAGGCTGAGGCAAGAGAATCGCTTGAACCTGGGGGGTGGAGGTTGCAGTGAGCCTAGATCATGCCATTGCACTCCAGCCTGGGCAACAGGAGCGAAACTCTGTACCAAAAAAAATAAAAAATAAAAAAGTGAAAAGCTGGTGATGACCACAGATGAGATTTTCTTTCCTGTTCTCCCCGAAAAGCTATAGCAGTG
Source organism: Homo sapiens (assembly GCF_000001405.40). Classification (NCBI taxonomy): domain Eukaryota; kingdom Metazoa; phylum Chordata; class Mammalia; order Primates; family Hominidae; genus Homo; species Homo sapiens. Next base: position 4,873,215 of record NC_000023.11, on the reverse strand, counting down.
TGGCTTTTGACCTGAATAGGTGGATGGGTTTGGGTAAACCAATTCACAGCTAAGTACTGACCATACACGACTAAAATATACACAAGGAAATTCGAACCACTGGGGACATTCAACAGCAGTGAACTATTTGACTGGGACAAAGCGGGGCTGAACCATCACTCCATCCACCTATAGCAAACCTGAGCGTGGTGAAGAATATCCAAAAGATGTGGAATTGAAAATTAGGGGAGAGAGGATGTCAGCTTCACTCATCAATGCCTGACTCAACACTGCTATATAAAATTGTTCAGTTCATTACACTCCATTCAAGGGAGATTTTGAGGCATGCAAAAAGTGCCCGGCCTAGATTAGAGTATTAGATATTCCCAGATAGGCAGCATTGAAAAAAATGTGGCTTTCAGTACTCTTAAGTTAAAGAGCATGGGAGAGTTCTGACAAGGATATTCACGAGAGGTTTCGTATGTAGCTGAAGCTCGTGGTGGAACAAAGAGACGTACTTATCAACATAAAAATATGACAAAAATTAAATTTTAAATATAGAGCAAAATCCTTGTCCTGATTGTTTTAATGGAGATAAATATTTTATGCAGGGCTAAAAATACACATACCAAAAACGATGTTTATCTTTACATCTAGTCATAAATGCACTATTAATAATTAGATAGAAGTCTTTATCATAACATTATTGTTTTTTAAAGACAACACAATGGGCCGAGCACAGTGGCTCATGCCAGTAATCCCAGCACTTTAGGAGGCCGAAGCAGGTGGATCACTTGAGATCAGGAGTTCAAGACCAGCCTAGCCAACATGGTGAAGCTCGTCTCTACTAAAAATGCAAAAATTAGCCAGGAATGGTGGCACACACCTGTAATCCCAGCTACTTGGGAGGATGAGGTGGGAGGATCTCTTGAACCTGGGAGGTGGAGGTTGCAGTGAGCCAATATCACATCACTGCACTCCTGCCTGGGCGACAGAGTGAGACTCCTTCTAAAAAAAAAAAAAAAAAAAATGGTGGCTGGACATGGTGGCTCACACCTGTAATCCCAGCAGTTTGGGAGGCTGAGATGGGCGGATCACCTGAGGTCAGGAGTTCAAGACCAGCCTGGTCAACGTGGCAAAACCCTGTCTCTACTAAAAATGCAAAAATTAGCCAGGCGTGGTGGCAGACGCCTGTAATCCCAGCTACTCGGGAGACTGAGGCAGGAGAATCGCTTGAAGCAGGGAGGCAGAGGTTGCAGTGAGCCGATATCGCACCATTGCACTCCAGCCTGGGCGACAGAGCAATACTCCTTCTCAAAAACAACAACAACAACAAAACAAAACCAACAAAAAAATGATTAAAAGACGGGTCAACAAGACATTCGTATTCAATACTGGTGGCAATATTATTACCATTTTTTTCTTTTTGGAAAAAAATTAACAGCCTGAACCAGCGATCTCACAATCCTACATTTTCTCACAATAATTTCATTTACTGGAATCTATTGTAAAGAACTATCAAAATTATCTAGAAAGATGTGTATGCAAAGATTATCACATGAAAAGGTCAAATAGGAAAAAGGAAATATGGCTTTTCCAATATGAGATACATCATTAAAGATACAATATTCTCAGTAAGGAATCTAGGCAGGTATACAATAACCCTTTAAAAATGATTAATATTCTATTCTGTTATATTGGCCTATTAATTCAAAAAAACAATAAAAATAATGAAATGAAAAATAATTTCAATATTATCTTGAATGAAATACACTATATGAATGCATATGCTTGTGTATCTTATTCTTAATTTTATAAAACACACAAATATAAAAAAATGCTAAAAGAAATAAAACAAAATATACGTGATTTAAATTTTGTTCCCTCCCTTCTATATTTCCAAATTTCATATTCTGCATTATATACCAGAAAATAAAAATTAGAAATAAATATTTTTCTTATATAAACATAAATAATGCTATGATAGAAACATTTATATTTGTGATAGACCTCCAAGATGAAGTGATCAAATATCCCCTATACTATGTACGATTTCTGCAGTCTGATTTTTGGAAAGAAGAAAGTAAATATTTGTTGAACACAGCTGAGTTTTCTTTCCCAGTTTTGAAGACATGTTATAATGATATTTCTCAAATGTGTGAAATGGTTCTAAGGGAAGACAGGTTTGCTAACCTCAAAACACTTCACATAGCCACTCAAACAGGGGACAAACAATCTTCTTCTCTACCAAAGACAAAGACATTGCCTGAAAATGTGGATGCAATTCTGAAATGTAAGTGATAGGTGGTATTAAAAAGATAATAGTTAATTAGACATAGTTTTCCACATGGAAAAGAAATGATTGGAAAACTGAGTTGTTTTGTAAAATTATAAACCATAAAAATTGGGGAACTGTGATAATATTCAACATGAAACATTATATTACAAATATTATTAATATTATATTGTTTTAATGTGTTATGTAGTAACCAGGAAAGGATATTTAAATTTGGGGTTATTGCACAATTTGACATACCAATTTCATATTCTTCGGATACAGAGCCAAAAGTAAGATTGCTGGATCATATGGTAGTGTATGGTCATTTTCTTGGCCACATTTCCCAAAATGTTCATGCATCATTGAACATTTTTTACCTAAGTTAATACACTGAATTTGAAGCAGAAAATATTAGAAAATGAATGACTCCTTATAATTATACCTAAATTATACAATTATTATAAGCACAAAAAACATATAATTGCTTATTTAAACTGTGTAGGCTGGGCCCAGTGGCACAAACCTGTAATCCCAGTACTGTGGGTGGCCGAGGCGGGCAGATCATGAGGTGAGGAGATTGAGATCATCCTGGCTAACACACTGAAACCCTGTCTTTACTAAAAATACAAAAAATTAGCTGGGCGTGGTGGCACGCCCCATAATCCCAGCTACTCGGGAGGCTGAGACAGGAGAATCCCTTGAACCTGGGAGGTGGAGATTGCAGTGAGCCGAGATTGCACCACTGCACTCCGGCCTGGGCAACAGAGTGAGACTCTGTCTCAAAACAAACAAAACAAAAAAAAGTAAGATTTTCTACAATATTTTCAAAACATTGCTATGATTTTTATTTAAGTAAAAACTATCTTGCTGAACATCTACTGTACTTTTCCAAGCAGGAGATCCACTTTAAAAAACAAATAAACTTTACTAAAACTAAAGATCTCAGGGTCTGAATATCACTTCTTTCACACTTGAATTGTGTGCTACAGGTGAAACTCAAACCGTGGATAAAATTTTCCTTTTATCAAATGCATTCTTGCAGGTTACTCTTGTTTACTTTATGCAGAAGGCAAAATGAATCCCAGTGATACTGATTGAGAAGGCAGTTGAGAAGGCAAAGGAGAGACTAGTTGGCGGTGCAAGAATTATTAAAATCCACTAAGACTCAGACATCTAGACAAATGGGCCATTTCTCATTTCAGACTTCCCTCTTTCCCCATAATATGAATTGTACTCATGAATAATAGGTATAATCCTATGGCAGAATAGCGCAGATACAAAGTATCTAACAAGATCATAGTGTTGGTTACACGAAGGAAGTTCCCCGTGTATCACTTACTGTATCAAATGTTGAAACACCTTATACTCAATATATATACATATGTGAAAGTGATATATTTTCACCATAGCATCATTACCATCTGTTGTGAAACTGATCTATTACCACAGCAGTTAACATTTGCATCAAAAAGGAAGGAGAAAAACAAATGTATTACTGGGTCCTTTTGACACATTCTAAATTCATTGTTCAGCTCTTCCTTTCTTTGGGGCACACAATAGGATATTCTTAGCTCAACTCACAGTCTCTCAACCCCATGAAATCAGCTATGTTCCCAAGGAGCCTTGATTCCTTTTTAATAACACCAATAATTAGAAATCAGGATCTGAGAATTGTTTCATTCCGGCACTGACGTCATAGGTTATAGACCTTACTACTGCACTGAGTTATAGTACACCTTTTCTTTAAGAAATTGTGAGTTTATATTCATATTGTTACTTAAATTTCAGCATTGTATTTTAAAAATTTTTCATTTTAAAATATGTGATTGACAAATATTGGAAATATTCAAGGTGTAAAATATAATTTGATATATTTATACACTGTTTAAGGATTCTCACAATCAAATTATTTTACTATTTTGTATTTGAATCTGTTTTTTCTTATACCAAAAACCTTAGTTTCTAATAACATCATTATATCTATTTGTGTTAACTTTAGCAACTTATTTTCTTACTAACATAATACTCAATATTGCTATCAATTTGATGTAAAGTTAGACTTCTTTTATTGTTGGTATTGTTTATAAGTGTAGTTTTGTAACCTGTTTGATTTAATTTTATTAACATATAGAATGTTTATGTGGTGTGAAAACCAAAACTTAATAATATACCTTAGAAAAGTTTTTGCTAAGCCCTATATTTCATTGTAGTCCATCCCACTTCGAACAGTTCCTCCACCTCACTGTTATAAGGATCATAACAGCTTCTGATCCTTGATTTCTTTAAGCCAGTTTAGAAAAAGTAAACAGGTAGAATAATGCGCCTGTTATTATTAATAGAATCTTAATCTATAGTATAATTAGATGCCTCATTTATTACCCCAAAAATTGTTTTGCTGAAACATGATCATCAGAGATTGTTGGGAAGTTAGAAACATTGCTATTTCTTAAGTAATTGCTATTTTGATAAAAGGCATTTGGGGAAAATAAGGATTAATTTGCAAGCAGAATTCTCTATTTTTGGTTATTCTTATTTCTTTAAGTTAGGTTTATCAGTGTATGTTTTGTATATTTTTATATATCCGTATATTTTCTATGTAGTTACATTTATTTTTTTGGTGCATGCTTCTGGGGTTTGTACTCTTTGATGGTAACTATTACCATAGTCATGATATGGAAACAGTTTTATCATCCCAAAATGTTCCCCTGTGCCTCTTTGTACTCAAACTTTCTCCCAACCCACATTCCCTGGCAAACATGAAACAAATTTTTATCCCTACAGCATTGGCTGTTCCAGAAAGTCATGTAGAGGGAATTAAAGTATATGTAGACATTGGAGTCTGACTTCCATTACCCTGAATAAAGCACTGGTGATTTGTCTAGGTCTCTGCGTGCACTAGTTATTGCACTGCTGGTAAACCACTAGTTAAGTGTCAGTGTTTTCTTTGTTTGTTTTTAAATTGTTGAGAAATATCTCAATGTATGATTGTGCCACAACCTAATTGTATGTTTGCCAGTTGAAAATTTACATTGCTTTCAGTTTTGCAGTTATGAATAAACCTGTATTCACGTAAACAATCATTTTTGTTTGAGCATAAACCATTATTTCTTTAAGTTAAACATCTAAGACTGGGATTGGCAGCTCAAATGCTAAGAATATGCTCAACTTTACATTTATTAAAAAAGCCTGTCAGGTTATTATTCCAATTCTCATAGCCATGTATGAGAGCTTCAGTTCTCATCTGTGCCAGCACTTAATATAGTCAGATTGAAGGGATTTTTTTATTGTTGCTGTTGCTTTGAAGCATTCGGATATCTGTGTACTGGTATCTCATTTTATTTTGCATGTTTCAGTTACTAATGATTTTGAATATATATTCAAAATCAGTCATATTTGATATATATATTTGATGTATATATTTGATATATATATTTGATATATATGATATATATTTGATATATATATTTGATATATATGATATATATTTGATATATATGATATATATTTGATATATATTTGATATATATGATATATATTTGATATATATTTGATATATATATTTGATATATATATATTTGATATATATATTTGACATATATATATTTGATATATATATTTGACATATATATATATATATATATTTGAGACAGAGTCTTGCCTTGCCACCCAGGCTGGAGTGCAGTGGCATGATCTCGGCTCACTGCAACCTTCCTTTTCTGGGCTCAAGTGATCCTCCCAACTCAGCCTCTCAAGTAGCTGAGACCAGAAGTGTGCACTACCACATCCAGCTAATTTTTTTTTTCTTTTAAGACAGGGGTCTCACCATGTTGCCCAGGTTGGTCTCGGACTCCTTATCTCCAGTAATCTGCCCACCTTGGCCTCCCAATGTGCTGGGATTACAGGAGTGAGCCACCACACCTGGCCTTTCAGCATCTTTTCATGTGCTTATTTGCCATGCATTGGTAAATTCTCAATGGTTATATGTCGTTCAAATCATGTATCCATTTGTTATTATTGATTGGGTGGTTTGTCTTCATTTTTTTTTTTTGAGTTTTGGGTGTTCTGAGGAGTTCAGAATATAAGTCTCTTTTATCATAAACGTGGTTTACATATGTCTTCTCCCAATCTGTGGCTTCTCTATTCATTTTCTTAACAATTATAACAATTATTTCTTTTTCTTTCATGGATCATTTTACTTGGTTATTTTAAAAAAATATTTGTCTAATAAATTGCTACTTCAAAGACTTAACCTTATCAGGCTGGGCACAGTAGCTTCTGCCTGTAATCCCAGCACTTTGAGAGGCCGAGATGGGTGGATCACTTGGGGCCAGGAGTTCCAGGCCAGCCTGGCCAACGTGATGAAACCCTGTCTCTGCTAAAAAATACAAAAAAATTAGCCGGGTGTGGTGGTGCACATCTGCAATCCCCGCTACTTGGGAGGCTAAGACAGGAGAATTGCTGAAACCCAAGAGGCGGAGGTTGCAGGGGGCCGAGATCGCGCCATTGCTCTCCAGCCTGGTTGATGAAGTGAGACTCTGTCTCAAAACAAAACAAAACAAAACAAACCTTAACCTCATCAACTGGCCAGGGGAATAGGGCAAATATAAATAGGATAAATATAAAGCATCTCAAGAGAGTGGGTGAGAAGAGCCACCTGCTAACCAACAATCCATTTTCCTTCTTTCTTGTAAACACACTAAAGACAGAGCTTCTGGAAAACATACTAATGCCATTTGCTAGTGCAAAATCCCTTATCTATGGAATAATATGGGCAAAGTATACCTGGGCTGGTGACGATGGCTTATAGTAAATACTTAGAAACAATGGATTTATAGCACATGGATTTCTGGAGAATATCCCATGACCTATGTAACTACCAGAGTGTAAAAATGAAGCTTTATGACAGAAATATTCAGCTCAATGGAGAGGAATGTGTAAAACTAGATGCATAAAGATATAAGAAATTCATTTTCATATTTTTAAGGATAAATTTTTGGAAATCATCAGGTGAGTTCCTGTACACATAATAGAATTTCATGTATTAGAAACACACAAATGAAAGAAAATAAATTTGGAGAAGGCAGCTCCAAAAAGTACAAAAATAAGGCCACATAGTTAGATACCAGTATGCCAGTTCTAGATATAGGCAGGGTGCTGTCTTTGTAGAACTGGCATCACTGCCTGCAGAACATGGTATGTGGAAATATGTTAGCCATTTGGAAATTCTTTTGTCTTAGTTTTTCATTTTACACATATGCTAATTGATTTACAAAGTTAGAACAAATAAAAAGGATGTGAAGTTTGTCTTCAATTGCATTTGGATTTTAAGACTGCCTCTGATGTTCAGGCATTAATCAAAATTACCTTGCATCTGTTTTCTACAGGAAAAAATACTTTACCTTATGGCATTCAATGCTTCCAAGTGACAAACTGGAGCCATTAGCCACACTCATGTTAATAAATGAGCTCAGTGTAAATTATGGATCTGTAAAGTCATTTTCTCCAAGGATGAACAAGTATTACTTACACACCACTAAAAAGAGCTCTCTCTTCTCACTGCACATGACTATCTTTATAGACAGAGACATTAGACACACATGCAAAAGTGCATCATTTGATTATGCATAATTTATGTATATACTTATGATTGTATATGCATATAGATGAATATATATATGAATATGCACATATGTGGACATATACTAATATGTATGTATATGTATAGACAGGTTTATTCCATATATTACTATATTTTATAAATGTATATATAATCGAGATAACCATTCTGTCACACTGTTTTCTAGGTTGTATAGATTTTCATTTGCATTAAAGTTCTATATATACAAATATATGCATAATCTATATATAAATATATATAACCTATATTTATATAAATATATATAACCTATATTTATATAAATATATATAAACCTATATATATGTTACATCTATAACCCAGCCTATATACACATATAGTCCCAGACTATATAGATGTACTATAGTATAGTATATATGTAATAAACATATCTGTACATACATACATATATAAATGTATGTTCATATATGTACAGGTTTAATTCTATATATTTATATTTAATATATGTTTATGTTTATTATACATTTATATTTGTATATTTGTATATATTTACACATATTTATGTTCATATATTTATATATGCATATGTTTATCTATTTGTATAAATAAATTCATATATTCATATACATGTATATGCTTATATATGTACATGTATATATATTTATGTATGATATATGTAAATATGTATGCTTTATCTATTTGTATATATAAATATATTCATATGTGTGTATATATGAACATATATAAATTTATATATTCATATATTTATATATGAACATATATAAATTTATATGTTCATATATTTATATATGAACATATAAATTTATATATTCATATATTTATATATGGACATATATACTTTTACATATTATATACATATATTTACATACATATATGTATTATAGTAGTTATATATGTTTATTGCATATATATGTACAATACTATAGTGTCTGTGTGTATATACATATTTCTAGGCTCTCTCTATATATAGTCTACAGCTTCAATACAAATGAGAATCAATACTTCCTAGAAAAGCATGTAACAGAGTGGCTACATTTAGTTATACAGTCTCAGTTATATTTTATAATACCAGTATTGCCCCTTGACTATTACTGAATTATTTACAGAATAACATGATCTTAAATCACTGGTTATCATACAAGTAGAACTGAAACCAAAGGCCAGGGTCACAGAATGGCAATACCACGTGGGAATATTAAGAGTCAAATAAATAAAACAACCAATAAGCTAGCTTCTGTAGAAAAAAATAAGCACCTGATGTGCACACACACAGGAGACACTGGTTTTATATTAGGCACAGTACTGGTCCTAAGAAATGAAAATAGTAGAGCAGCATTTACAAATAGGAGTCCTTTAAGAAACCCTCATCTCTCATTACCTTGAGGAGCAAATCTAAATACCAAAATCTCCAGTGTCGGTCTGCTATAATTACTCTACATGTCCCCTGAGAATGTGATAAATCAAACCAGTGTCTTAATGAAATATGGACAAAACTCTGTATCTTTGGGGACTTGGTTTAATGAAAACAAAAAAAAATCCGAAGTTATTTGATTAAAACAAAAATATCAAGTCTGTTCATCTGTCTCCTGCACCTCAGCTTCATTTACAAGTCCTGAAACCAAAAGGACAAACCTATTTTTCTTCTCATTCTGCGAAGAGAAACCTTGCCATTCCTGTCAAAGAACCACATCTTCCAACATAGAAAAAAACAAAAGGTGGTATTGAGCTCTGGCTTAGCATTCTAAAAAGTTATTATGGGGGGTCTTCCTCCATATTTCATCGACATGAGTAGATTTCATTTTGCTTTATTCATGTTTGTGATTTAGAATCATGGGGCGAAGATAAGCACAGACACACATATACATATCTGGAAGCCTGCAAACCGTGGATGTCCAGGTGAATCTATCAGTGAGACACAATGCCAAGACAGTGCAGCCAGGAGGCTATTTTATAATTAAATAATTAATTTTCCAATACACAAATAAAAAATGCATATATTTATGGTGTGGAACACGATGTTTTAATATATGTATATGTTATGGAAAGGCTAAATCAAGCTAAGTGACATGTCTGCCACCTCAACATGCTAATCCTTTTTTGGGTGTGTAGGGAGAAACTTTAGAATCCATACTGTTAGCAATTTTTAAGCATAAGATACATTGTTATTAACTGTAGTCACCATGTTGCACAACAGATCTCTTGAAATTATTCCTCCTGTCTAATAGAAATTTTGTATCCTTTGACATGTCCCTAATGCCACTCCATCCTCCAGCCTCAGGCTCTGGTAAGCACTGTTCTATTCTGTTTCTATGCATCTGATTTTTTCATAGATTGCCCATATGAGTGAGATCGTGCGGTATTTGTCTTTCTGTGCCTGCCTTATTTGACTTAACATAGCATTGCCCAGGTTCATTTATGTTGTCTTTTTTGTTTGTTTTGTTTTGTTTTTTTGAGATGGAGTCTCACTGTGTCACCCTGGCTGGAGTGCGGTGGTGTGATCTCGGCTCACTGCAACTTCCGCTTCCTAGGTTCAAGTGATTCTCCTGTCTCAGCCTCCCGAATAGCTGGGACTACAGACGCACGCCACCAAGCCCAGCTAATTTTTGTATTTTAGTTGAGACAGGGTTTCACCATGTTGGTCAGGCTGGTCTCGAACTCCTGACCTCAAGGCCTGCCTCGGCCTCCCAGAGTACTGGGATTACAGGCATAAGCCACTGTGCCTGGCCCATTCATGTTGTCTTAAATGACAATATTTTTTGAAATTAAAAAAAAAAAAGCTTAATAGAATTCTATGATGTGTATATACCACGTGTTCTTTATCCATTCATCCATGAATGGACACTAAGGTTGATTCCACATCTTGGTTATTGTGAATACTGTTGCAATGAAGACGAGGGTGCAGATATTTTCATGTGTTTTTATGGAGGTAGTAGATAGCATTGTTTCTTTATTTTTAGAATATAATTAAATTGACTTTGTACCAAAATACATTTCTATTATGCTTGCTGTTCACTCTCGTAACCACAGAGTCTAATTAAATATCCAAAATGTAAGGTATTAAAATAATATTTCTAATCACATCTAGTAAGGATGCCTTGCATACAGGTAAGAAAAATGTGCATGAATATACTTTGCATAACTATGGACATTCATGGATAAACTTTAATAATCAGAGTGCATGCCATAAATTAAATATTGCACGCATTGTCAACATAATCGGAGTGCTATTTTGTAAGTGTCTCGGGGCTGTTTATAAATAACTAAAACATTCTTGTTCTGCATGATAGCAAGTAACAAAACGCAAACAGATCCACGTGTGCTCAGAGTTTAAATATTTAACTTGCAAGTTAGCAGGTGAATTTTACATGTATTCCACGCAGGAGGATAAAACAAAAGATTGCAAAGGTGCTTATACAAAAGCTTATAAAGGAACCATTTAGAACATCCTCTTCATGCCATACCATTCATAAAGCATAGGAAAAAGAACTGCATTCTAGAGAGATTTTTGTTCATTAACTATGGGATTGGGTGTTAGGAGCACCTGTAAAACTTATGCTGGAAAAATATTATTGAAAGGATATTTTGTTGCCATTAGGACCCATGGTTTGTTTTAATAAGCTAAGATTAGTTATACATTTTCTCTGACAGATGATATTATTCATATGTACTAGGATGATAAAAGGTTGATTCATGAAATCGCCATTTTTATAGGTCAAAAATGACAATGCCACGTGATCCAATAACATAATTAAAGCTCAAATCTATTCTAAGATTTTTTGAACAGGGTGAAGCTCCTTTCTCAGTAGTTGGGAACTGGTGCTTGGTGCAATAACATTTTAATCAGGGTTACAGGGCATTCTCTGATTCTGCTATGTCCTTCCTCTAAGAAAAGAGCAAAGCGTACACCAGAAAGAGAGACGACTTACTGCCTTTTTACAAAAATTAAGCCAGATTATTAGAAACACACATGTCATAATTAAAGAACTTTTTATTTAACTGAAATACCAGGGCCATTAATCTAAAGCAGTTCACAGCTGAAGGTCATGTGAGCATTTCTATGAGTAAAACATGAAATATGATGAAACTATGTGAACTATTTTTTAAAATATCCAAAAAACAAAGTGGATACAAACAATCGTATGAGAATTATGTTATACGGAGGAGATGGTGGTTAGGAAATCGCTCAGAGCTGCTCTTAGTGAGTTGAGACTAATTGATGTCTGTGATTATATTTCAAATTGTGATTATGAAGAAATGTTTTCTGAAACTCTGTTGTAAATAACTTACAAGTATCTGAAACAATACTACGTGTAAGAAATAAGGTTAGTTTACTAACTTGGAACATGTAAACTCATTTTTAAAATTTTTAATTGGCATATAATAATAATATATAGTATTTGTGGGGTACAATGATATCTGTATATGTTGTGAAATGATTAAAGAAAGCAACTTAGGCTGGGCACAGTGGCTCATGCCTGTAATCCCAGCATTTTGGAAGGCTGAGGCAAGCAGATCACTTGAGGTCGAGTTCGAGACCAGCCTGGCCAACATGATGAAGACTTGTCTCTACTAAACACACATACACACACACACACACACACACACACACACACACAAATTAGCCACGTGTGGTAGTGTGCCCATGTAATCCCAGCTACTTGGGAGGTACAAGAGAATCACTTGAACCCAGGAAGCGGAGGTTGCAGTGAGCTGAGATCATGCCATTGCACTCCAACCTGGGTGACAAAGTGAAACTCTATCTCAAAAATAAATAAATAAATAAATAAATAAATAAATAAATAAATAAATAAAGCAAATTAACATATCCAACTTCTCACAGACTTATTTTTGTGGTCAAAAGATTTAAAATGTACTCTCAGCAATTTTGAAATATGCAATACTTTTTAAAATTTCTTCTATAAAAAATGGGATATATGTGCAGAATGTGCAGGTTAGTTACATAGGTATACGTGTGCCATGGTGGTTTGCTGCACTTATTGACTGGTCTTCTAAGTTCCCTCCCCTCGCCCCTCATCCCCCAACAGGTCCTGATGTGTGGTGTTCCCCTCCCTGTGTCCATGTGTTCTCAATGTTCACCTCCCACTTATGAGTGAGAACATGCAGTGTTTGGTTTTCTGTTCCTGTGTTAGTTTGCTGAGGATGATGGTTTCCAGCTTCATGCATGTCCCTGCAAAGCACATGATCTCATTCCTTTTTATGGCCGCATACTATTCCATGGTGTATATGTATCACGTTTTCTGTATCCAGTCTATCATTGATGGGCATTTGGATTGGTTCCATGTCTTTGCCATTGCAAATAGTGCTGCAATAAACATACGTGTACATGTGTCTTTATAGTAGAATGATTTATATTCCTTTTGGTATATACCCAGTAATGGGATTTCTGGGTCAAATGGTATTTCTGGTTCTAGGTGATTCCTTGAGGAATCACCATACTGTCTTCCACAATGGTTGAACTAATTAACGTTCCCACCAACGGTGTAAAAGCGTTCCTATTTCTCCAGACTCACCAGCATCTATTGTTTCCTGACTTTTTAATAATCGCCATTCTAACTGGCATGAGATGTTATCTCATTGTGGTTTTGATTTGCATTTCTCAGATAGATCTGTAATGCTGAGCTTTTTTTCATATGTTTGTTGGCTGCATAAATATCTTCTTTTGAGAAGTATCTGTTCATATACTTTGCCCACTTTTTGATGGGGTTGTTTGGTTTTTTTCTTGGAAATTTGTTTAAGTTTCTTGTAAATTCTGGATATCAGACCTTTGTCAGATGGGTAGATCACAAAAATTTTCTCCCATTCTGGAGGTTGCCTGTTCACTCTGTATGCAATAGATTTTTAAGACCTATAGTCACCATATTGTGCAGTAAATCACTAAAACTTATTACTTCTAGAAATATACTTAGAAAACAAATATCAAAGTGAGAAAGCATATTAATTAAAGGGTGTGCTGAACATAAAGGTGTTATAAAATATAAATTGACAATTGTCATGGCAATTATTGTTTAGGTTGTTTAATGTCCAACATATATATATTTGGACTATGTATATAATATATTCGTATTATATATATAATGTATTCATATTATATATTATAATATATTCACTATATATAATGTATATGTGTATATATGTTATATATAATATAATGTATATATAATATTTATACATTAAATATTAAATACATATATTAAAAACCTTGTACCTGGAGAAAAAATCTTAAACCAAGATGCTTTTTGTATAGTTTGAGCCCAAAATGTGTAGGTTGAGCCTATATATGAATATATATGTGTATATATGTGTATATATGTGTGTATAATATATACACATTATATATAATATATTAAATATATTAATATATTTAATTAATCACACATACATGTGAATATGTATATATAATATATGTGTATATATGTATCATACATGTATATGAAATATATACATTATATATAATATATTAATATATTTAATATATATATTTAATGCATATATACGTTATATATAATATATGTAATAAATATATTAATATATTATATAATATATAATGTATCTATACATTATATATAATATATGTAATAAATATATATAATATATAATGTGTGTATACATTAAATATATATAAATATATTAATATACATATATATATATTTCATATACATGTATTATACATATATACACATATACATATTCACATGTATGTGTGTATATATACATTATGTACGTTTTATATATAACATATACTGTGTGTTTGTGTGTATACACACACATACATATTTATATATAGGCTCAACCTACACATTTTGGGCACAAACTATACAAAACACATCTTGGTTTAAGATTTTTTCTCCAGGTACAAGGTTTTTAAATTCACCATTTCGGCCATATACGCACACATATATATGCATTTTATGCAGGTATCACACCCTAAACCTGATGTATATAGATGTACACCAGCATTACTGTCTTTTACATAATTCAAGTACACCTAGAATCTCTATAGCTATTTCCATTATATATAATTACATATTATGTTATATGTATTATCTTACCTGAAATAATTTAGAAACAGAAGATCAAATACCACGTGTTCTTACGCAAAAGTGGGAGTTAAAAAATGTATACAATGGACATAGAGAGTGGAATAATAGATGTTGGAGACTCAAAAGGGTGGAAGAGTGAGAGGAAGGTGAGGGATGAGAAATTACTTAATGGTTTCAATGTACATTATTCGGGTGATGGCTACAATAACAGCCCAGACTTCATCACTATGCAATCACTCCATGTCCCATAACTGCACTTGTACCCCCTAAACCTGTAAAACTTAAGAAAAAGAAACCTTTTTAAAGTGAATACTAGCTGCACTTGCTTGAAATATTCAAGTATTTCAGGCATGGCAACATCACAAACATATTTGATAAGATTGTTGGAAGAATTAAAAGTAAATTTAGAAGACAAAGGGTTTGGCCGGATGTGGTGGTTCACGCCTGTAATCCCAGCACTTTGGGAGGCCAAGGCGAGCGGATTGCCCAAGATCAGGAGTTCGAGACCAGTCTGGCCAACATGGTGAAACCCCGTCTCTACTAAAAATACAAAAAAATTAGCCGGACGTGGTGGCAGGTGCCTGTAATACCAGCTACTTGGGAGGCTGAGGCAGGGGAATTGCTTGAACCAGATGGAGGTTGCAGTGAGCCGAGACCATGCCATTGCACTCCAGCCTGGGAGACAGCGCGAGACTCCGTCTCAAAAAAAAAAAAAAGAAAAAAAGACAAAGGATTTGGCATATATGAGTGTCTTATGAAATGCTACTTTATTACCCCATTTTTCTGCTTCAAGAAATTTGGCTGCATGTCTAAGGCCATTTACTACATGTGGTTGGCCATAGCAGGCAAACTCTCAAGAGAACATGAGTGGCCGGCTAGGGTCCCAGTACCACTTTCAGAAAACAATCTCACATATCTTCTTGCATACACTACTGACATCGCTCAGAGCTCGTCTGCACTTGAAAAGCAACACATTTTAAGTTAACACTAGTATGTGATTCAATCACAAAAAAGTAACATTTAGTGATAGGGCAAATGGCATCATCTTTAAGGACTTCCTCCAAGAAAGAGAACATGTATGTGCTTTTTCCAGTTACTGGACCACCATGCAAGTCATGCGTGAACTGGCCTAACTGGTTTGTTCCACCAAGGCAGCAGAGATGATCCAGGCCTCAGATGATCAAAGTCCTCAGGGAGTCCCTATGGTGTCTGGTATTTATTCCTTCCAAGTGTCCTTGTTGGGAACACCTTGAAACATCTAAAATAAACCTAACTGATAGAAATCTAAAACATGATTGAAACCCAAATGAAGAAGACTCATCTATGGCTACAGTAACATGCAGGCCATAAGGAGAAAGAAAATAAATAAACCCATGATTCTAAATGTATAGGGTTTAGAATGTTGCAGAACGATCAAGACATCCTCATCTCTATTCCTATTTGAAACTGCTAAAGGGAACAATTCCTGCTACTATTTACTATTAGGTTGGTGCAAAAGAAATTGTGCTTTTTGCCATTACGTTTAATGGAACAAACCGCAATAACTTTTGCACGAACTTAATACTATTAGCCTATTGGCTTACTATGTGCATTTTATCCTATATTTTTGAGCTCTGAGCTTTAAAATAGATGTTATGGTAGCTCCAGCCTATACTCATAAAGAAGAAAATTTGCCACTGGTAATGCCCTCAAATTTCTTCATATATTGTCATTCAATTTTAATTTCAATGCAGTTGCATATGAAGCCATACACGTGGCCTGCAGTGAAATGGATATGTCAGGTTTTGTGATTAAATCCACTGGACCAATGCCTCCTTAGGGTATGGATGTCACTTGACACATTCATCTGATGGATTCTAAAGTAATAACTTCCCCAAACATTAATGTATGGAATGAGGAAAGATTCATTAGTAGTTTTCTCACTGACTGATCACATCAGTGAGTGATATATTACAACATGACTTGCAGATACCCACAACATGACTTATTATGGTCTTTTTATGAGTGACTATTATGGTATGGATTGATGCTCTCTCCATCATTATTCTGGTGTTCAGGAGTTTGGCATTTTGCCGTGAAGGTTTTTCCTTTTGGGTTCAATCTGTACAAAAAGCATCTTGGTTTAAGATTTTTCTCTAGGTCCGAAGTATCTATTATTTATTTACTTATTTTTGAGACAGGGTTTTGCTCTGTCACCCAGACTGGAGTGCAGTGGTGCGATCTCAGCTCCCTGCCGCTTCTACCTGTGGGGCTTAAACAATCGTCCCATTTCAGCCCCCTGTGTAGCTGGGGCCTCAGGGCCATGCCACCACTCCAGGCTAATTTTTGTATTTTTTGTTGAGACAGAGTTTTGCCATGTTGCCCAGAGAGATCATGTAGTATTTGTCCCGAACTTTTGGGCCATATTAAAAATGCAACTGGCCCGGCACAGTGGCTCACGCCTGTAATCCCAGCACTTTGGGAGGCTGAGGTGGGTGGATCACCTGAGGTCAGGAGTTCGAGACCAGCCTGGGCAATATGTTGAAACCCCATCTCTACTAAAAATACAAAAATTAGCCGGGTGTGGTGATGGGCACCTGTAATCCCGGCTACTCAGGAGGCTGAGGCAGGAGAATCGCTAGTACCCGGGAGGTGGAGGTTACAGCGAGCCAAGATCGTGCCACTGCACTCCAGCCTGGGCGAAGGAGTGAGACTGTCTCAAAAAAAAAATGCATCTGAACAGAAGAATGATGTAACTAATGTGTGTGCCAATGTTCTTACTGATCAATGGATACAAAGTTCTAATTAGACAGGAGAAATAATTTCTTGTGTTCCGTTGCACAGGAGGGTGATTAGAGTTAACAGTGAGTTTATTTAAGTCATCTATTTGCAGTACGGCATAAATCTGAATTCTTGTGTGTATGTATGTGTGTCTCCACCTTGAATTATCTTGAAATTAATTAATATTAAAAACAATTTCAAATGTATTCCATAGTTCATAAAGCATGAAAGAAATCTAATTTCAGTTACATAAAAGTTTAACATCTCCCAAATACAAAGTTTTTTAAAAAATTTAATTGACAGATTAAAATTGCATATATTGAAGGTGTACAACAGGGGTGTCCAATCTTTTGGCTTCCCTGGGCCACATTGGAAGAAGAGAAATTGTCTTGGGCCACACATAAAATACACTAACACTAACGATAGCTGATGAGCTAAACAAAAAAATTAAAATTGCAGAAAACAGTCTCACAATGTTTTAAGAAAGTTTACAAATTTCAGTTGGGCTGGGTTCAAAGCTGTCCTGGGCCGCATGCAGCCTGCAGGCCGTGGGTTGGACAAGCTTGGTGTACAACATGAGGATTTTATATACAAATACATTGTGTAATGATTACTACAATCAAATTAATTAATGCATCTATTGTCACCCATAGTTATTGTGAGTGTATGTGTGTGTGTCTTTGTGTGTATTTGTGATGAGGACACTTAACATATACTCTGTTATCCAGTCTCAAGTAAAGAATACAGTATTATTAACTATTGTCGCCATGTTATACATTAGATCTTCAGAACGTATTCATCCTGCCTAACTGAAACTTTGTACTCTTTGATCAACATCTCACATTCCCCCCAGTCCCCAGCCCCTGATACCTACTATTCTACTCTCTGTTTCTGTTAATTCAACTTTTTTAGATTCCACATATATGTGAGATCATGCAGTATTTGTCTTTCTCTACCTGGCTTATTTCATTTAACATAATGTCCTGCAGGTTCATCACAAATTACAGAATTTCCTGCTTTGTAATGGCTGAATAATATTCCATTGTCATACAATGTGTATTAAGGTTATTTCAGTTTTCACATTGTTGGCACTATGGGGCTGTCTTCATTGTGCTTACATATTCCCAGTATTTAGATGTGTACTTCATTTTTCTCACCATTAGGAGCTGTAATTTGCAGTTTTAAGTTCATCTAAATAGTCACCTGTTTTTCATTCATTAGTTAAATATCAGTGAGTGATTATTATGCTGTATAAATATCTCTCAGTGATATTACTCTGTATGACACAATAATGATGGATACATCTTATTGTACATTTGTCCAAATCCATTGAATATACAAAACCAAGGGTAAACTCTAATGTAAACTATGGACTTTGGGTGATAATGATGTGTCAATGTAGGTTCATTTTTCTGCTCAATTTTGCTGTGAACCTAAAACTGCTCTAAAAATAAAGTTGCCCCGGTGTGGTGGCTCACACCTGTGGTCCCAGCACTTTAGGAGGCTGAGATGGGAGGGTTGCTTGAGCCCAGGAGCTTGAGATCAGCCTGGGCAGCATAGCAAAATCCCGTCTCTACAAAAAATACAAAACTATTAGCCAGGCATGGTGTCGCACACCTGTGGTCCCAGCTACTCGAGAGGCTGAGACGGGAGTATCGCTCAAGCGATCCCAGGATCCCAGGAGATGGAGGCTGCAGTGAGCCAAGATTGTGCCACTGCACTCCAGCATGGGTGACAGAGTGAGACCCTGTCTCAATAAAATAAAATCAATCAATTAATTACAAATAAAATAAATTACAAATAAAAAAAATCTATTTAAAATATTCACTGAGTAATATACACAGCTGTTGTGTCGTGCAGAAGAGGGTAAATGTAGACGCCACCATCTCTTTTCAAATTACAAAGGATGTAGAAAAATATTAAATGAAAGCCAGCCCCTCGGATTAAGTAAGCTGTTATTGGCATTCTGAAGTATTGATGGACTAGTAGTATTAACAGAAAACAGCAGCAGGATATCAGGACAGATGAGGCTCTTGCTTTATGGCTCGCAGGTATTATTGAGTTCAAAAGGCCACAGAGTAGAGATGGAGCAACCCATGTTAAGGACAAGTTAAGGTTTCCATGCAAGACAGGGTAGGGCGTAAGGGTGTCATAACTACACATTTGGTTCATATGCCTTGCTGTTCTGTAGGGTGCAGTTTCCTAGGCAACATTGTAATTATGGCCCAAATGACATGGAATGTTCCCTTCTAGCCCAGCCATTTATGAACCCATCCTCTATAAGGTACAGACACGCAAAAATTGCAAGAACACACAACATGTAGTAAAAGATAACTCCGATCTTAAGTGACCTCCCATGAATGACATTGCTCAGAATACCAGTTCACATGTACCAATCCATTTCAGCAGCAGGAATTGTACTCTATTGTGTTGAGATTTCTTGCAGCTCTAGGATTGGTCTGGGTTGATGTGTACCAATCGTATGGTCCATATATGGCAGTAGGATATGGCACCATGAGCAAGTAATTAGAGCTGAAATCATGGTCAGTGGCCAATGGCTCAGACAACTGCTCTCCGCTAACAAGTGACTGCTCTTACTACAGCCTCCAGGGTCAGGGTGCTGTGAGCTCTCCTAATAGAACACAGAGTCCCCTGTAGCTCTTGAATGCTCAATCAGAAATGCATTTTATATTCTGTTTCGATTGCTTGAAATGCCTTTGTGACTAAGCACTTACATAGCTCACTTGCTGGAAGAAGCCTCAGCAACAAGATTGACAACCACAAGAGTTTTCTTCCACCTGTCCAAGTATGACATTGTCCTATCGCTCATAGGTTGTGAATTCCTGTCCTTGTTCGTGGTTCCCTGTAAGAGGCCTTTACGATGTTACATTTTTATTTATTGCTTTAGTTTGTCATTAGGGGAAATTTCAAAACAAACATATAAAAAAGCATGGGTCTGGCATGGTGGCTCAAGCCTATAATCCCAGTGCTTTGGGAAGCCAAGGTGGGTGGATCACTTGAGCCCAGGTTCAAGACCAGCCTGAGCAACATAGGGAGACTTCATCCTCTACAAAAATACCTGAAAAAGTTAGCCGGGCGTGGCTGCATGTGCCTGCATTCCATCTACTAGGGAGGCTGAGTTGGAAGGATGGATTGAGCCCATGAGGTCAAGGCTGCAGTAAGCCATGGTCATGCTGCTTCACTGCAGCCTGGGTGACAGAAAAAGACCTTGCCTCAAATAAAATAAAATTAAAATAAAATAAAATAAAATAAAATATAAAATAAAATATTTCGATGAAATAAACTGATGAAGCAGATACATAGCAAAATGTTAATAACTGTTAATTCTAGATGATGAATATGTGGGTGTCCATTACACTATTCTACTATGTCTCTGTATGTACAAACATTTTGATAATATAACTTAGAAATTAACAACAAAAAGCAAATATTTCATAGTCATCATAAAACACCAATAAAATAGAATTTGCAGCAACAGGAACCTTCATCTATGTTTGACAGAAGTGTGAATTTGTAGAGTGTCTTTTGAAAATAGATGGTATTACTCAGTAACACTGAACATGTGTATGATCCAATACAGGTAGAAATTCCTGCCATATGCAAACAAAAATAGATGTAAAAGGTGTACATATATGACATCTAGCCTCTTAAAATCTTCCAATAACATAAACACCCACCCGCAGTAGATGAATAAATATATTGCGGAATATTTATATGAAGAAATGCTGTGCAAGAGTGAAAATAAATGAATGACAGCTCTGTGAATCATCAGATGACTATCAAAAATGTAATATTTTGTGAACAACAGCAAGATTTGTCATCCACACCTAATGGTAGTGTTAGTGGATTCTTGATCAAGAGAACCTCTTAAACAGTACTGAAGTATCTCTAAGATTAAACCAATCAAGGTGTGATAATTAACTGAGGGGCTATGACTGTTCATTGTGTTGACTCAAGACAGGATTCTGTTGAGCAGACCTGGAGTTTTCTTGTTGCTGTTTTCAAGTAGATCAAGTAAAGTCCTCTTGGGTTTTCCATTTTATTCCACCATGGACCCTTCTTGATGCATCATACAACGTCAGGGCTGTATGTAGGCTGGCCATTATAACAGCCAGTCTAGTCATACTGCATATTATAATATTCATGGTCATGTTGTCTCTTGTGGTTAAGCACTTTCCACTGGCGTTGGCCACTCAGGGGTTCCTTTATCCCAGCTTCATTTGAGGAGTTCATTGGAATAGAAGCATCTCTCACCTTCTTCTCTAAGTGTCCATCAACAGATAAATGCATAAAGAAAATATTACACACACACACACAAGAATATACTATTCACTCATTAAAAAGAAGGAAATGCTATCATTTGCAAAGCAAAGATGAACCTGGAAGATGTTGTGCAAAGTGAAATAAGCCAGACACAGAAAAACAAATACTGCATATTTTCACCTATGCATGGAGTGATCACTTTTAATACAAATTCTCGAGTGCACCCAAATGAATATATTTGGCTTGATTCCTAATTCTGCTTATTTATTTCTGTGTCTAACACCCTTAGCAGCCATCTTCATATAGATTACTCACATTTCTAACAATATGACTTGGCAAAATCTTATTTCGTTAGCATGCACATTGTTTCTTCCTGGATGAGACTTTCTACTTGTCCTCCTGGGACAAGATGGAATCTGATTTTAATGATATGTCTGGAGAAAGGGAAGGCCTTTACTGGTGGTATGATAATAAGGGACCTTCCTTTGCAAGACAAACACCTCAAGTGATATCAGGCAAAATATGTACGCAAGCAAAAATTAGCTCCTCACATGGAAAGAGAGGGCATTTTGGGGGTCAATTGAGGATTGGCTGCATTTGGGAGTTCAGCGAACTTAGAGTCCCATGAGCCCAACTAAATGTCCTAATCCAATTCTCTGAGTTCCATGGCTCATGACTGCACCTCTTGTCTCATACGCTGCACTGCCCTGCTAGATCTGAACAAACAAAAGTGAATGCTTGGCACCATCCCCTGTAATGCCCACAAAGCTAAGAACTGTCCTATGGAGTGATGAGACATGGGAAAATAAAACTCCACTGTGTATTTGAGTGTTCCAGTGAGAAAGAGCAGAGGCAGTCTATCTTCCACCTTCAGAATTTTAGGTGCTTGCATCCAGTCGGCAAAGACTAAATCACATAAAGCACCCGGAATTTTACTCATAATTATATTCTCTGTGAACCAAGTAATATGATGAAAAATGCTCACAGCTGCATGGCTTAAAGGAGCTGCAAATGAAATCAATTACCATATCTGCCAACAATGGAATGAATCAATACACTGTGGTATATTCATAGAATAAAATACTAGACACCAGAGACAGTAAATCCACTACAAGGTATTTACAACACCTGGCTGGATCTCAAAATGTGATAGTCAGTGAAAGAAGCCAGAGACAAAACAACACATAAGCTATAAGCTTATTTATGAGAAATTCCAAAATTTTCACTCTTATGCATACAAGTTTAGAAAAAAAACACGAGGAAGCAATTGCAGTAAAATATGAGCTAAGGCTGTCTCCAAGGGGAAAGGCAGAGAACCCCTGTGGGGTACTTCAAGGTCCTGATGATTTTCTATTTCTTGATAGGGTGGTTGGTCTATAGGTCTTGCCTTATTTGGAAAGCTGGTTGATTTTTCTAAGACCTTTTTCAGAATACATGTTTTATGTCATCAAAAAAGTTTACAAAGAAAGGGAAAAAGGTCTAAATTGCATGCATAATCTTTATCTGTAGAGGAAATGAAGAGTGCACTTTTTTTTTTATTTTTCTAGGTTCAGCAATGTGGAGGGATACATTGAAAGGGTTTGAAATAGATATTGAGTGAGAGTCTGTCATCCCCTGCACCTCCACGCCACCACTGGGAAACTGGGTTCAACATCTCCCATTTGAAAACATCCGTCACTCCCCACCTCTTGAAGTTGAGTGGGTTGGGCAAAGTGGACAATTTTATCAATGGCTCGGGGTTAACACTGCATGGCAACTCTTCACATTTTTGTTATCATCTCCCTTAGTTTGTGAACATTAGCAATATTAATTGGTTATGTTTATCTCTGTCATCTATCCCTCTGTCTTTTCATCCACCCATCCATCTATTCATCCATCCTTCCATCTGTCAATCTACATAAATAGAAGATAAATAGAAAAACAACAGCTATATAATATGTATATACATATATACAGGTGATAAACAGATACAGATTGGTAATGAATATATAAATGAAAGATAGCTAGAACATAGATACGAGTTAGTATATCTAATATGTATTACATATAATATTAATTTATACTCCTACCCATATAGTTGAACTCCGATGTAGAGTAACCAACGAGTAGATGTCAGCAATTTGTATTAACTTACAATTACACTTGGTATACTTAAGACATATACCAAATTTAAAAAAATTCTTTTAAAGTTCTCTTGACTAGAGTATTCAGATAAAAAGAGCTGACAACCCTCAATATCAATACATATATATCTATCATTTATTTGCCTAATTTTTGATCCATTTATCCATCCATCCATCCATCCTTCCATCTAGATAAATAGAAGATGGATGATAGATGGTAGATAGATGCATAGATATAGATAGATAGATTAGACAGATGATAGATAACAGATATAGATAGATAGACAATATATTGGTAAATGAGAGATATATGTATCTCATTTACATATATATATATATGCCATAAATAAAACATTCTTTTACTTTGAAACTCCTAGCCTTCAGTTGAATTGATGACAGTCCTCAGTTTATGGCTAGTTATCATCACCTTTAATCAATGGAAGTCCCATCTTTCATGTTTTATTGCCTTTTATTTCCATAATCCATTCTTTTTCTACTCCATCTACTCTCTCAGTAACTTCCTTTTTATTGAATTTCATGCATGTATTTTTTTGCATATTTTTCTTTTTTTATTATACTTTAAGTTCTAGGGTACATGTGCACAACGTGCAGGTTTGATACATAGGTATACATGTGCCATGTTGGTTTGCTGCACTCATTAACTTGTCATTTACATTAGGTATTTCTCCTAATGCTATCCCTCCCCCAGCCCCCGACCCCCCAACAGACCCCGGTGTGTGATGTTCCCCGTCCTGTGTCCAAGTGATCTAATTGTTCAGTTCCCACCTATGAGTGAGAACATGTGGTGTTTGGTTTTCTGTCCTTGTGATAGTTTGCTGAGAATGATGGTTTCCAGCTTCATCCATGTCCCTGCAAAGGACATTAACTCATCTTTTTTTATGGCTGCATAGTGTATATGTGCCACATTTTCTTAATCCAGTCTATCACTTATGGACATTTGGATTGGTTCAAGTCTTTGCTATTGTGAACAGTGCCACAATACACATATGTGTGCATGTGTCTTTATAGTAGCATGATTTATAATCCTTTGGGTATATGCCCAGTAATGGGATGGCTGGGTCAAATGGTAATTCTAGTTCTAGATACTTGAGGGATCACCACACTGTCTTCCACAAGGGTTGAACTAATTTACACTCCCACCAACAGTGTAAAAGTGTTCCTATTTCTCCACATCCTCTCCAGCATGTTGTTTCCTGACTTTTTAATGATTGCCATTCTAACTGGCATGAGGTAGTATCTCATTGTGGTTTTGATTTGCATTTCTCTGATGACCAGTGATGATGAGCATTTTTTCATGTATCTGTTGGCTGCATAGATGTCTTCTTTTGAGAAGTGTCTGTTCATATCCTTTGCCCATATTTTGATGGGGTTGTTTGCTTTTTTCTGGTAAATTTGTTTTAGTTTTTCGTAGATTCTGGATATTAGCCCTTTGTCAGATGGGTAGATTGCAAAAACTTTCTCCCATTTTGTAGGTTGCTTGTTCACTCTGATGGTAGTTTCTGTTGCTGTGCAAAAGCTCTTTAGTTTAATTAAATCCCATTTGTCTATTTTGGTTTTTGTTGCCATTGCTTTTAGTGTTTTAGTCATGAAGTCTTTGCCCATGCCTATGTCCTGAATAGTACTGCCTAGGTTTTCTTCTAGGATTTTTATGGTTATAGGTGTAACATTTAAGTCTTTAATCCATCTTGAATTAATTTTTGTATAAGGTATAAGGAAGGGATCCAATTTCAGCTTTCTACATATGGCTAGCCAGTTTTCCCAGCACCATTTATTAAATAGGGAATCCTTTCCCCATTTCTTGTTTTCGTCAGGTTTTTCAAAGATCAGATGGTTGTAGATGTGTGGTGCTATTTCTGAGACCTCTGTTCTGTTCCATTGGTCTATATATCTGCTTTGGTACCAGTACCATGCTGTTTTGGTTACTGTAGACTTGTAGTATAGTTTGAAGTCAGGTAGCGTGATGCCTCCAGCTTTGTTCCTTTTGCTTAGGATTTTCTTGGCAATGTGGGCTCTTTTTTGATTCCATGTGCAAGCATGTATTTTTCATTACTCCTTGCAAGCGCGTACTGCTTTACCCACTGCAAGAAATCATTTCTCTCTTACCTTCAACTAACATCAATCATCCACTAGTTCTCAAATGTTCCCTCACCTTAGTGGACTTTTTATATCTACTCTTCCAATACTTTTGTTAGCCCTTTTTCATTTTCAAGAAACCCCACTTTTTATTTCCTTTAGAGCAGTGAGATATAAATATCATGTTTCCATTCCCTCATTTAAAAAGGTTTTATGCACTAAGATTCCTAGGCTCAGAAATTTTCAATCTCTCCTTGAAAAAAAAATAATAATTCAAGAAATCCATTATCTTTCTAATTTTTATGTTTCCAAAATGAGCAACTAATTACAGGGAATTATATTGGGTGTCAAACAGAGGGTGATAATCCTGGGATGCACTAATTGTGAGAAAGGGAATTTACTTGAACTTAAAAAAGTTTTGCGAAGCACGGAAGAGTCATCTGAGGTGTAGTCTATTAGATTTGCAAGCAAGGTACTTGTGCTATCATTCCTTAACCTGAAACAGCTGCATGATTCTCCTATGGCAAATTGACTCTGCTGTTCTGTACAAACCACAAACGCAGATGAACTGCTAATGCCTGAAAGACCCTATAGGTTGCAAAAAGGCACAATGCAGGAACAACCTCACATATGTGGCATATCCATGGAATAAGGAGAAGAACTGAGTTTGTCTCATCAGCTTGTTGAGATGGGCTATCTGAGTCAGGGCATCAGCTGACCTGCAAAAATAAAGAAACTCAATATTTCCTATGCAATTTAGATGAGACAGAGAAATCAGAGCAGCTGGTATTTGTTAACATTTTGTTATACTTTTCATATACTTACAGATGCTGTTTCTCTCTATTGCTTGACTTTATGCTTTGTGAGGACAACAAAGTCATCTAGATATCATTGTAGTCTTGGTAGCACAGGCTCTATCTAAAGGTGTTTACTAGATGAGTATGTGTTGATTGGATGGATTTGTAGTAGGCATCAGTTTTTGAAAACCACTGTGTGTCCTAATATTTAAACAGTGTGGTCATATTCTGAGTTATAATGCAGTAAATATTCTAAAACTTTGTGTGAGCTCACATTTCTCATAGGTATTAATTCACTGTGACTGTAAGGTAACAATGTGAGTTTCATGGCTGGCATAATCACTGAGTTTGCAGTTGGTGCTTGACAAATCCAATAGGGTCCTTCTATGGTAGCCACCTGGGCTCCTCCCCAGAAACCATGATCATCATCTTAAAGGTATTGGAGTTGTCAGTCATGGCTATTGTCTACTCATGGTCACTAGCATTGCATTGTAGCTGGGCAAACGCCAGAATGTACCTTGTCCATATCTGGCTCCAGGACATAATCTGTGGTTAAGTCTCATAATCAAAACTATATATTAATATATCGATGCTGCCAGATTCTTTAGGCTGGAGGTAACCATTTAATATGTTAATTTGTTAGGGCTGCTATGTGAAGGTGTCATAGACTGGGCTGCTTAAACAATCGAATTTATTTTCTCATAGTCCTACGGGCTGGAAGTCTGAGATCAAGGTGTGGGCAGGGCTGGTTCCTCCTCTCTCCTTGGCTTGTAGATGCCGTCTTTTCTCTGTGCCCTCACAGGGTCGTCCCTCTGTGCATGTCTGTGTCCTCAGTCCATTTCAGGCTGCTATAATAGAATACCATAGACTAGGTGGCTTAGAAACAACAGACATTGATTGTCCCACAGTTCTGGAGTCTGGAAGTTCAAGATCTAGGCGTGGGCGGGGCTGGTTCCTCCTGAGGCCTCTCCCCTTGACTTGTAGGCACCACCTTCTCCCTGTGTCTTCACATGGTGGTCCCTCTGTGCGTGTCTGTGTCCTCATCTCTTCTTATAAGGACCCCCATCCTATTGGCTTAGGGTCCACAGTAACAACCTCATTTTATGTTAATCACCTGTCTAGAGGCCCCACCTCCAAACACAGTCACACTCTGAGGTCCTGGGGATTAATGTCTCAACATGTGAATTTTGGAGAGGATAAAGCTCAGCCTAAAACAGCAACTATCATCTAACTCTAGATGGATTAAACATACAGGGTGCTAATTTTCTCAGCTAACCAGAAGCCTGAACATGGTATGCCGTGTTAAATAAAAGAAATATTAATTATGCCTGTTAAAGCATGGTAAAATAGACATTATTCTGGGCTATTGGGATAGATACAGGGACTATGGCAATGGGGTCTTGCAGTGGGGGAGAGGAATTGGGCTCAACTCTCAATATAGCATGGACAAGTGGGGATTTATAGCCGGGGAGCAGGGCGGAGGTCAGTGGATGGAAAATGACTAAGAGGAGACACCAAGGATGACAGGGATTCTGGCTAAGCTGACCTAACAGGATTTTAGCTGAAGACAGGCCAGTGAAATCAAACATCACCTGGGGGAGGGAGGGGGATGAGAAGTCTGAACAGATATGGAGAGTGAAGCGTTCTTGCTAAACTGGCTTAGCAGGGTTCTTGCTAAAACTGGATTTTATAAGGAAGTGCACAGAAGGACCTAAGATAAGGTTTAGGAGCATGACCACAGTTTGGTCAAGCAAAGAAATTCTGTCGGTTCTGGCAGGGGATAAGAGGCTCCATGAGAATGTTTTTCTGCTTCCTGTCTACACATCAGGCAGAGAGATGGAGGACAGATGGCCACACCACTCCCTTCACCAGTGGATACACCATGTACATTACTGGCTGTACAGGTCACATGGCCCAGGAGAAGTTGGGTAAGCAGGAAGAGAAATGTCATGATTGCATTGGATCAATATTGATTAATCACTTGATTTATTTCACATTGCTGTCACACTTTTAGGATTTCTGATAGCTGGAAAAAAATGGGCATATAGATGTTGCGTAGCCAACTAACCAAATATACCTCACTAAGAAAAGAAAAATTAAGTCATTCTTGGCTGATAATAGAAATGTACAAAACCATGTGGTTTTCTAGTATCAGCACTCCATCAATAATCATTGACCAAATTATTCATCATTTTAACATATTTTCAAATGAGAGATATGTCAACTGTTTATCACTGAACTTCATTAAATCACTGTATTTTAGAATATGTTGCTTCTATACGTAAGTATGTCAGGAACAAAAACTTGCAGTTATGCATTGTGTAATATTTTTAATGAATTTTCAAATATTTTTCTGTGATTCTGACTTCTGTTTTTGTTTTATATTGCCATCGATAATTCTTCTGATTTAATGCAATTTTAGTGGCATAGTCTCCCTGTTGGAAACAAAAACCTTTATAGTCCTTATATGTCATTATGTAATGTCAAAATAGTCATATTTCTCTTAATTTAAATATGAGAAAAGCATACTTTATATATATGCATAAGGCTTATATCTCCATTTTCCTGCAAGAAAATTGTATTATTCTTCTTTTTAAATGATTAGTTAAACCATAAACCTTGCGATATATTTTCTCCATGCATATCACACAGAGGGATTGAAAATAATAAATATATCAATTTAATTTATAGTATATAATTCAATATAATTTAGGCTTCCAGGTAGGGAAAAAATGTTATTTGATTGATTACAGTATTAGTAGTGCAAATTTTTATGGTCACATTTCATTCTGGGCTTCAGTGCTGGATGGGGAGGGGATACGTGCTCTGAGATGCAACCATTCCATTTGAAGCTATGGACAAATTTGCTTTGAGGTGCAATCATTCTATCTGACTTATTGAGCTTAAGTAACAAAAATCCCATCCCCCTTTGAAGTTCTATCTCTGAAATTACTTAGAAGGACTGTCTCTGCTTTAAGGTCATACCCACCTCTATGTTCTTTTTCTCATTGTATCAGGCAATTTAACTCTAACTGCATATCTCTGGAATTTTGACGTTTGGCGTAAAATAGAGACCTACATTTGTTTTTTCCAAAGTTTGCATTTATTTAAAAAACATGCAAGACTAATGTTTCTAACACTCACTAAATGCATTATCTTCCTCATGCACTAAAAACTCTTATTTACTGGTGACCATTTCTGGGTTGTCTGCTGATTTCAGTGTCTTTCATTTATTTTGTCATTTAAGTGAACCAAGTATTGTGGCATTAGATAAGCAGTTTCCAACTGGTGGATGTTTTGTCTACTAGGGAACATTTGATAATTGAACATTTGTCTGTAGACATTTTTGTTTGTCATGGCCCAGTGCGGAAGAGGGAATAGAGTCAGGGATGTTCCCTAGTGGGCAGAGGCCAGAGGTGCTGCTAAACATCTTACAATGCATAGGACAGCCCCCACCACAAAGAATTACCCAGTCCCAAATGTCAGTAGTATCCAGGAGGAGAAATCCTCTCTAAGAAAATTCCCTTTTTTGAAATCAACTTTATTGAGGCATCATTTATATATAATGGAATAAATGTATTTTGAGAATATAGTTCCATGAGCTTTGAAAATGTGTATACCCGCCAAGCACAATGGCCCACACCTAAAAACCCAGCACTTTGGGAGGCCAAGGGAGGAGGATCACTTGAGCCCAGGAGTTCAAGACCAACCTGGGCAATATGGCAAGACTTCACCTGTATAAAAAATGTAAAAATTATCCACGCATAATGGTGTGCACCTGTGGTCCCAGCTACTCAGGGGGCTAAGCTAGAAGGATTGTTTGAGTCCAGGAGTTGGAAACTACAGTGAGCCATGATCTCACCCTTGCACTCCAGCCTGGGTGACAAAGGGAGACTCTGTTTCAAAAATAAATAAATAAATAAATAAAGCAATTTTCTAATCTAGAACCCACAGGCTGAGAAATGGCTTGATTCCTAGAAGGAGGAACTCTACAATAATAGCTCAGACA
The DNA here is from genome assembly GCF_000001405.40 of Homo sapiens. NCBI lineage: Eukaryota > Metazoa > Chordata > Mammalia > Primates > Hominidae > Homo > Homo sapiens. Next base: position 4,842,213 of record NC_000023.11, on the reverse strand, counting down.
GTATGGGCTGCAAATGTCTCACTGCCCCACTTTTTTCCAAAGGGAATTCTGGACTTCTGGATTTCTGAAGTTCAAGACCAGGCTGGGCAACAGAGCAAAATCTCATCATCTCTACTAAAATATATTTTTTTAATTAGCCAGTCATGGCAGAATGCATCTGTAAAAAAGCAGACCCTGTCTTGAAAAAAAAGAAAAGAAAATACGCATGCCACAATACACATAAATGTATCAATGTGGGTTGGTCATGGATATGCATTGCTCAAGTACTCAGGGAGGAAAAGCTGAAAGCGGTGACTGGCTCTGCCATTCTGCAGTCACCACTGCTGTGCTGATATATATATATATATATATATATATATATATATATATATATATATATATATATGGCTATGAGATACTTCAGCTGGTAATTTTTCATGAGTGCTTAAGACACCAGGTTATTTAAGACTGTATGTCTGCTACTTGAACCCTGAAAGCCAGGCAGTGAGCCAAGGCTGTGATGCCCAGCCTAGGAGCAGGTGTCTCTGAGAACTCAAACATCCCAGAGCATATCTAGATATATACCAAGAAAAACAGTCTCATCACATGCAGTAGGTAAAGAGTCAGAATATTAGCTTAAAAGCAGCTTTGAGACAGGCAGCAGGGCAGATCTCTGGAGCTGTCCAGCTGCTGCCCAGGAGTACTTTATATTTAAGTCCTAATAAATGCATCTACTCAGCAAGCTGGACTTGTCTGAGGCATTCTTTGGTCTCTGGGTTCCTTCCAAGTTTGGAGGGAACATTCTTTGATATAGTCCCGGGTTTGTCCTGTAAAAAACGTGCAGAGAACATACCCTTCACTAAGGCAGTCAGGAATGTGCTGTTGAGAGAACTTCCCTCAGAAGGTCTGAGTCAGCCTCCTGCACAGGCCAGGGCTGTTGATGGCAGGGGTGGTCACAGAGCTGTGCTTATTCACATCCATGGGATGATCCTGTGGATTGGAAGAATTAATATTGTTAAGCTGCCCATACTTCCTAAAGAGATAGACAGATTCAATACAATCCCTATCAAAATTCCAATGGTATTTTTCACTGAAATAGGAAAACAAGTTCTAAAATTTGTATGGAATCACAAAAGGTCCCGAATAGCCATAGCAACCTTAAGCAAGAAAAAGAAAGCTGGAAGCATCAAACTTTATGATTTCAAATTATAACTACAAAGCTACAGTAAAATCAAAACAGTATGATGCTGGTGTAACAACAGACACACGGAGGGAATAGAATAAAGAACGCAGAAATAAAGGCAAACATATACAATCAACTCATTCTTGACAAGGCCACCAAGAACACACAATGGAGAAAAAAAAGAATAGCCTCTTTGGTAAATGGTGTTTGGATATCTGGCTGTCAACATGCAAAAGAGTGAAATTGGACCCTTATCTTCCACCATACACAGAAGTCAATTCAACATGGATTAAAAACCCAAACTTACAACCTGAAATCCTTTAACTAAACTTCTAGAACAAAACAGAGGAAAAGTGTTTTGCTGGCCTCGACAATGACTTTTGCAAATCACACCGAAAGCTCAGGTAACAAAAGAAGAAATAGAGAAGTGAGACTACATCCAACAAAAAACTCTGCAGAACTAAAAAAAATAAAATAAAATAAAAAAGAAAAAGAAAAAGTCACTCTACAGAACAGGAGAAAAATGTGTAAACCATATATCTGACAAGGGGTTAATATTCAAAGTATATAAGGAACTCACACAACTCAATAACAAAAGACAATTAACCCAATTAAAATACAGACAAAGGACTTGAATAGGCATTTCTCCATAGAAAACTTAAAAATAGCAAACAGATATATGAAAAGGTGCTCAACATCACTAATCAAACAATTACAAATCAAAACTTTAATGAGATACCACCTCACTAATGTTAGGATGGCATTATCAGGAAGACAAGAGATAACAAATGTTACAGAGGATGCAGAAGAAAGGGAGCTCTAGTAAACTGTTGCTGAGAATGTAAATTACTACAACCATGATGGAAAACAGCATGAAGAGAGTTCTTCAAAAATTAAAAATAGAGCCACTGTATCATCCAGCAGTCTCACTACTGAATATATATCCAAAGGCAATACAATTAAAGTCTCAAAGAAGGATGTGAACACCCATGTTCATTTGTAGTATTATTCACAATAGCAAATATATGAAAACAACCTAAGAGTCCATTTAGGGATGCATGAATAAAGATATTGTGGTAGATATACACAATGAAATATTATTCAGCCGTTAAAAAGGAGGTTCTTTTATTTGCAATGATATGGATGAAACTGGAGGACATTATGCTATGAGAAATAAGCTAGGCACGGAAAGAAAAATACTGCATTATCTCACTTGTATGTGAAATCTTAAAAAAAAGTTAGATACATAGAAACAGAGAGTAGAATGGTAGCTTTGAAGTAAAGGAAGAGATGTAGTTAAAGGATACAAAATTGCAGTTATACAGAATGAGTAAATCTAGAAATCTAATCTACAGAAGGAGGACTACAGTTAATAATATTGTATACTGGACACTGGCAAAAGGCAGATTTTGGTGTTTTCATCACATGCATAATATAGATAACTATGTGAGATGATGGATATGTTCACTGGCTTGACTAGTAATTATTTCACTGTGTATATGTGATATGGTTTCCCTCTGTACCCATCTAAATCTCATCTTGAATTGTAGCTCCCACAATCCCCACATGTCATGGGAGGGACCCAGTGGGAGGTAATTGAATCATGGGGGTGGGTTTTTCCCATGCTGCTCTCGTAGTAGTGAATATGTCTCACAAGATCTGGTGGTTTTATAAAGGGCAGATCCTCTGTACACACTTACTTGCCTGCCACCATGTAAGATGTGCCTTTGCTCCTCCTTTGCCTTCCACCATGATTGTGAGGCCTCTGAGCCATGCAGAACTGTGAGTCCATTAAACCTCTTTTTCTGTATAAATTACCCAGTCTCAGGTATGTCTTTATTAGCAGTGTGACAAGGATTAGGGATGTAGCAGAAGTTCATATATATATATATACACACACATATACGTATATATATGTATATATGTGTATATATATACACGTATATGTGTATATATATGTGTATATATTATATATGTATATATATACGTGTATATATAATATATGTATGTATGTATATATACGTGTATATAATATATTTGTGTGTATATATAATATATATGTGTATATATACGTGTATAAGTGTGTATATATATACACATGTGTATATATATATGTGTATATATGTATATATATGTTTGTGTGTGTGTGTACAACATAATGTTTTTTATATACATAGTGACTAGACAAGATAGAACAATCAAGTAGGTTGTACCTAGCTTTCCCATAGGGAGGTGATCTTCAGGAGGTGGTTGTCTAAGGCAGATACCTGGATCAACTACCTTGAGGAACTGGGAGGAGATAGAGAACCAGAAACTGTCAAGATTGACTAAGCCCTGTTTCTGGTATGAGAAAGTTAAACTTATATTCAGAAGGGTTGTCAAGTCAACCTAAAATCATAAAAATTTACTCCAATTCTAGAGAAGGATGCAGTTGGCTGACAGTGGAGACTAATAATTGCCCCTAGAGCAGCTGCTATGTCTGATGGGAGTATCTTTGCTGAAGTAGGTTAGTAGGACTCTTGCAGCTGTCAGATTGGAAAATATCTCATTTTGTATTCTATTTAGAAGAAAGGCTCAGAAACAATGACCTTTTGTGTGGCACGGAGAAAAGTTTTCATGTAACTTTGCCCCAGATCCATGTTAACTTACCGCCTTTTGTCAGAGTATAGTCTTAAGAGATACAGACTCCCTGCATATCCCATAAAACAGTGGTTCCCAACCTTTTTGGCACAAGGGACTGGTCTTTGGGAAGACAATTTTTTCACGGACCAGGTTAGTGGGGATGGTTTCGGGATGATTCAAGTGCATGACATTTATTGTGCACTTTATTTCTGTGATGATTACATTGTAATATATAATGAAATAATTATACAACCCACCATCATGAAGAATCGGTGGGAGCCCTGAGCTTGTTTTCCTGCAACTAGTGGGTCCCATCTGGGGGTGATGGGAGATGGTGACAGATCATCAGGCACTAGATTCTCATAAGGACCATGCAACCTAGATCCTTTGCATGCACAGTTCATGATGGAGTTTGCACTCCTATGGGAATCTAATGCTGCCGCTGATCGACAGGAGGTGGAGCTCAGGTGATAATGTAAGCAATGGGGAGTGGCTGCAAATACGAATGAAGCTTCCCTTGCTTACCTGACACTTACCTCCTGCTGTGCAGCCTGGTTCTTAACAAGTCCTTACTGGTCTATGGACTAGGGGATGGGAATCTCTGCCATAAAGCAATCCACTGATCCATTAACCCCTGGACATCATGCTAATAAGCCAGACCTGGAGGTCTTGGTGCCATGCATGTTCTAGCAGATGGGAGTAAATCCCAGGAAGCTATAGACACTATCAATCCTTAGCCTCCTTTACCTTCCAAAAGTATACATTCCTTTTCTTGCTCCCAGCAACTAGAAATCCTCCTTTGCATAAGAGGACTATAAAACTTAATCCACTTTTAAATGATTTCCATTGCAAAATTTTTATTAATTGCAGGAACTGGCAGACTGGGAAAATATAATTTGAAAGTATCCAATGTTTTCAATAGGTGACTTCTTAAGAAAAAAACCCAAAATTGAAAAAAACTGAAAAATTTAGGAGGCATAGAAGAAAGATAATGAGGACAGACTTAGATTGCTGAAGGGGGAGTTTGAAAGCAATTTCTCTAGAGTTCTGATTTTTTCTCTCCCATGTTTACTTTAAGATACTCTTATGAGGATTTCAAAGAAAATTAAAATCTGTGAAGGGAGTAATGAGAAGAACAGATACCTTTGGGCAGAAGGTGACAAAATGTCCTACAAATGCTTTTCTCAAAAGACACTCTGCCAGCAGAAACAATACAAGTGACTGTAGACCAGAGGTGTGCAATCATATTTAGAGATAACAGGATATTTTTCCAGTTATTCTGAATATCCAACCTGCAACTATATTGTAAACAACACATGAAGGTCATCCAGAGCTGGGAAGAATTTGTGTACCCGGTAGTATAGAGTCATTGAAAAGTCACATGCAACAAAGCGGTGCTTTGTTGTGTTGTTCACATGCTCCCACAAACACACACATGCACAGAACCTTTTATTTTCTTTGGAATAAAGTTGAATGACAATGTTTCAGATGCCTGTTTGCTATTATCCAGAATAGCACTTGAAGGTGTATACCCAAGAGAAATAGAAACACATGCCCACATAAACACATGTGCACAAGTGTTCACAGCAGCATTTTCCATAATAGCTAAAAAGTGGAAGTAACTCGGGTTTCCATCAATGAATGAATGGATGAAGAAGTAGTCTATCCACACACTGGAAAATGATTCAGCCATAAAGAGGAATGAGTCACTGATACATGCTATAACATGTATGACAATTAAAAACCTTCTGCAAAGTGAAAGAAGCCAGACATAAAAAGCCACATATTGTAGAATTTCATTTATATAAACTGTCCAGAATAGGCAAATCCATAGAAATGGAAAGTAAATTGGTGGTTGCCAGGAGCTGGGGGGAGGAGACGTGGAGTAACTGCTAATGGGTATGAGGTTTCTTTTTGCGATAACAAAAATGTTCTAAAATTGATTGTGGTAATGGATGTAAAACTCTGAATATACTAAAAACCATTGAATTGTATACTTTAAATGGGTAGGTGGTATAAAATGTGAATTGTTAAAGCTGATTTTTAAGATACATGCTTAGTTTTTGTTTTTGTTTTGTTTTTGAAAAAGATCCTTAAATATATTATTTTTCTTCATTTATTTTATTTTCTCCCTTACCTCTTACACTCATGAAGTGTGCAAATCTCAGAATCTCTATAGCAATAACTTTCTGCAAACACAGGGATATAACACCATCATTTTGTTTTCATTTGAGAAAATCAATTCCCTATTATATCCTTTATGTCAGCATGATCCGTGGAGAATGGTAGCGTTCTCCATATATTCATGTACTGTATATTTTCATCTACCATAAATCCTTAGCATGATGAGTTTTTTTGGAAAACATTACTACACATTATTTATATCAATGTGTTTATCCAATACTATCTACCTAGATTAAGCTTCAGAAACTCCATGTGCTCCAAGGAGAAAACATTACAGGGTTTTCCATTTGTCTCTTTTTTTGCCACTAGTTATAGACAAGTAGTATCTATTCTGTATACACAAGTGGAGATACAATTTTTAAAAGAAAAAAGTAATATGCAGTTTTATTCTCTGTCAAAATACCCAAACTAAATTCAGGTGAGGGTCTTAATGACCTGATATGGAACTGGAGATATTCTCGCATGGCTCATGTCGCTCATTTATTGAAACAGCACACCTTTCCCAGGGGCGCCTTCCATGCAGATGTGTGATGTAGCCATAGGAGGCAGAACAAAAGGCAATAGTCCTCTGGAATTGTCATCCTGCATCCTAGATTCTGCTCAATGGCCTCCATCTTTGTAGGAAGTACAAGTACCTTCCTGCAAATGTGACCCACATCCCTGTTGTGTTCACACCTGAAACCGTCCGTTCCTGTATCCCTCATCCATGCTCCCACTGGCTTCTTGAAACTCGTAATTTCTCCTTTTCAACTAGGTCCTGCTTGGATTGACTCATCCCCTTATGCAACTTAGATTTTCTTGCCATCATCTAAGTCACCGTTTCACCTATATCCAAGACCTCCCCTTTCCCTCTCCTGTTGAATTTTACTAGCCAGAAAACAAAGTTATAATTTACACTTATATTCATAAATGCACATGTACACACATGTCCATTTCCAATGTGAAAACATTCTTGCATTATTGGAATTAGTCCCATTAGGTCATGAAAAACATACTATTTACATTCTGAGCTCATATCTGCTTGTTATGGATGTAGAAATCTTGCATCAATTCGTCATAAATAATTTTAATCTACACGTGTTGGCATTCAGTTATATCAAATAGGAAGATTAATGCTTTAAAAGTTTTCCTTCTTTGTACACATTCTAAACAGCTTCATTATCTCTGAAAGCCTATGTTATATTATGTAAAATTTATAGGAGCAAACATTTACACTTAAGCATGTTTAAGAATCCCGTTGACATATTCTATGATAATTACATAATAACACTTCATATACCTTCTGTCGGTATTCGAGTGATTTTTATTTCCCTTGAAAGTCATTTTGTCTGGGTTCCACATTTATGTATATCATTCATCAATAAATTAAATTATATAGTATGAAGCTGAATTCCTTTCTATTTTCTTGTGTATTCTCTTTCCTAACGCTGTTACCTCTCTCCTGCCTTTCTGTTCCCACTTCTGCATTTTAATTCCCATCAATTTATTCATATTTTTATACTCTTGAGACAATGGTTTTATTTAGGCCTGCAAAAATGATCACATTTTCAGTGACGGGTACGACTCTACAACTTAAAAATCACTGATAATATCTGTACATCTCTGCAATTATTGTTATTTTAAACTGCAGAGCCAATGATGTTGTTGCAATTGAATTTTTCATCTCTACAATTATCAGTGTTTCCACATCGTTGGCAACAACAGAAGCACAAATGATGCCCCTTTCATGAACATTTTGTTTAGAATACGTATGAATGATACATTTCTTGAATACTTGCTTTTACTTTGTCAATTGCCCCCTTTTTCTCCAAACACAAACTTTTTCTAGCTTAGGCTTGGTGTTTTCCAGTTGATTAGAAACCATGTTACTGATAACAGAGTGCATTCTTCATCTAACACCAACTTTCTCTTCCACACTGGGCCAGTTAAGCTTTTTAAAATTAATATTTTTAAAAAATATATTTTTTATTTTATTCATTGTTTGATGTGCAAGTTCTTTTCTCACACGGATGAATTATATAGTGATGAATACTGAGATTTTAGTGCACCCATCACCTGCGTAGTGTACATTGTTCCAAATGTGTAGCTTTTTTATCCCTACTCCCCTCCCACCCTCCCGCTTCTGAGTCTCTGAAGTCCATTATATCACTCTGTCTGCCTTTGCATCCTCATAGCTTAGCTCTCACTTATAAGTGAGAACATACAATGTTTGGTTTTCCGTTCCGGAGTTACTTCACTTAGAATAGTGGCCTCCAGCTCCATCCAAGTTGCTGCAAAAGACATTATTTCATTCCTTTCTATGGCTGAGTAGTATTCCATGGTGTATATATACCACATTTTCTTTATCTACTCATTAGCCGATGAGTTAGTTCCACATTTTTGCCATTGTAAATTGTGCTGCTGTAAACATACATATGCAAGTGTCTTTTTCACATCATGACTTATTTTTATTTGGGTAGATACCCAGTAGTGGGATTGCTGGATTGGATTGTAGATCTACTTTTAGCTCTTTAAGGAATCTCCATACTATTTTCCCTAGAGGTTGTACTAATTTACATTCCCACCAGCAGTGCATAAGTGTTTCCTTTTCCCCACATCCATGCCAACATCTATTGTTTTTCTGACTTTTTAATAATGGCCATTCTTATAGGAGTAAGGTGGTATCTCATGGTTGCTTTAATTTGTATTTCCCTGATTATTAGTGATATTGAGCATTTTTTCATATCTTCATTAGCTGTCTGTATATCTTCTTTTGAGAGACGTCTATTCATATCTTTTGCCCACTTTTTAATAAAATTATTTGCTTTTTTTTTTCTCTTGGTGATTTGTTTGAGATCCTTGTAGATTCTGGATTCTAGTCCTTTGTCCAGTGCACAGTTCGCAAATCTTTTCTCCCATTCTGTGGGTTGTCTGTTTATTCTGTTGATTATTTCTTTTTATCTGATTATTTTCAATGTCTTTATAATGATTACCTTTTTTAAATTATTATGCTGTGCTTTTACTATTTCCTGGGATTCCACTTTGGCTTTTTACATTTGGACCTGCCAAAGAGCAAGCTTCAAACATAACTTCTATCTGTTTCTCCTTTAATTCATCACTCAACGCTCATCTTCTGAGTGGCATTAAAAACATCACCACTCAGAAATGCTCACCCCCACTCTTATTTGGTGGGAGATTTAACTTGGAGAACCCTACAGTTAAGGCAGCTCAGGAGAGAGGAAAAAATAACTCCTTATTCAACATGGACAGTCATCTACCACAAGAAAATTGGCTTTCATTTTGCGATATTTGTTTTTTCCATCTGACAATTATAAATAAAGGGTCTACTTCTGTGTGTTACTTTCCTTAAAAAATGGACATTATATAATATGTTATATGAATGTTCAATTTAATAATCATGAATTCAAAATTATTCCTTGATTATGAATATTAAACATGGATTATTGATTCTTATTCTCAAAAAATCAGATATTAAGGAGAAAAATGATCATTCTAGCTTCCAATAATTATTCCTGTCTTATTTTATTTCCAATTTTTCTAGTGATTCCTCTATACTCTTTAAGAATATTCATAAATCTATACCTTAATGTATCATCTTTAAAATATCTTCTTACTTTCTTTATGAAAACGGAGAGAGAAATTCATTTCAACTTCTACCTGGCAGTCTCTCCCAATCCACTTCTACTTTTTGTTAGTGTTATTATTTCTCTATCTTCCACTTGTAGAACAATTAAATTATGCATGTCAACCACTTATCCTTGATACAGTATTGGTGAAATGTTGAGTATGGATTTAATGTTCATTCATTTGCTTGATTGGCTGTCTTTGGAGTCACTTTTTAAAATTTGGAGTAATTTTATGTGGAGTAACTTTAAATTTTTTAATTATTATTGGTATATAATAGTAGTATATGTTTATGAGGTACAAGTGCTGTTTTGATACAGGCAGACAACGTGTAATGATCAAATCAGGCTAACTGGAATGCCCATCACCTCAAGCATTCATCATTTCTTTGTGTTAGGAACATTCCAATTCCATTATTTTAGTTATTTTAAAATGTATAACAAATTATTGTTAACTATATTCACCCTATTGTACTACTGAACAGTAGATCTTATTCATTCTATCTGACTGTATTTTTGTACACATTAATCATCCACACTTTGCCCCTCTCCCTACTACCCTTCCCAGCCTCTGGTAACTGCCATTCTACTCCCTATCTCCCTGGGTTCAATTTTTAGCATTTTTAACATTTACATATGAATGAGAACATGTGAAAGTTGTCTTTCTGTGGCTGGTTTGTTTCACTTAACATAATGTCCCCCAATTCCATCCATGTTGTTGCAAATGACAGCATTGCATTCTTTTTTATGCTGAATAATATTCTCTTGTGTATATATGACATTTTCTTTATTCATTCATCCATTTATAAACACTTAGATTACTCCCAAATCTTGGCTATTGTGAAATAGTGTTGCAATAAACAAGGGATTGCAGATATCTCTTTGATGTACTGATTTCCTTTACGTTGGATAGATATCCAATAGTGGAATTGCTGGATCATATAGTAGTTCTGTTTTTAGTTTTTTGAGGAACCTCCATACTGTTTTTCATAATGGTTGTACAAATTTATATTCCCATCAACACTCTAGGAGAGTTTCTCTTTGACCATATCTTTGCCAGCATTAAGAAATATTCTTTAATGTTTCTGAATGTCTCCTAAGTTTGAAATATTTTTTTCATATATTTACAATTGAATGGTAACAGTTGAGGGTAAGGGATACTTCCAAAAGGTGATGGCTAAGCGAAATGAAAAACAGTTGTAATACCTGACACAGGGCTTCACTTGTTTCACGCAAAAAATAATCAAATGGGAATAGGATAGGGTGGCAGCCAGTATAGCAAATCAGAGAAAATCAAGAAATGTTAAATAGAAGATTTATTATTCCCTCTGGGAAAATGAACTGGCCATTTTCCAGAGAAAATGCAGGGAATGGCCACTCCTCTAAAACCGTGTTTTTTCAGAAAAACTTGCTTGTGGCTGAGGTTGGGACGCCTGTGGGTCTTTTTCACCAGAACATTTTTCAGCCTTCTCGTTCTCTCTCAGAGAATGGCACCTCTTGTTCATGACGCATTGCGCTGGAATGTCAAATAATATCGTAGGTTATTCAGCAAACAATGAGTCCAGACTTTTCTGTTGACTGAGCTTCTTTAATCAAGGTAGCCTAGACCACAGCTAGGGATTTGCATTTTTCCCAGTCTCGTTCCTATTTCTGTGAGGGCTGAAAACTTCTGGCCCATGAGAAGATACTCTGAATTCAGATTGATAGCAGAATTACACAGAAGGAGTGGTGATAACTTTCACTTAATAACCCTGCATTTTTCTGCCTATTTTCAAAGAAGGAATTGCTCTGGGGGGAACATCGTAAAAAAACAAAACAAAAAGATTATCTGTAGAAAATTAAATACCAAGAGTGGTGACCCCTTATGTGATCCCGTGGACAAACACATGGCAGAATCCTATACCTTGCTTATCTATCCATCTTACAATTAGATTTTGAAGCTCTATAGTAAACATGCAGAAAAATAACACTAATCTACAAATCACTGCCCTTTCTGCTTTTATATTTTTCAGTATTCTCAAGAGTCGCAAAGAGGTTGGTGAATTCTCCCAATCACTCTTGTCTCAAACTATGGCTCAGTTTTACATTATTTTAGAAAAAAAGTGGCCAAAAGTCACAGGTGTACGCCAAACAAGAGTCATATAACTTCTAGTAAAAGAAGCACGTAGTGGAGTTAAGATGCCGTCTTCTCTTTTAATGAGAATTATAACTTGAAAGAGGACCTTTTTTTATTATCATTTGCCAAAAGGTTATTGGATGCTATAGAACAAGTCTTTTGCTTTCTATACATGTTTATGTATTTACTCCTATCATGTATTTATTAGATTAATGGGGACTATACTGTGAATTTTGCTGAACATATGCAGTTGCCAATATTATTTCATAAATGTAGTTTCAATAATGTTTCATAAAACATTTGCAAATCTTGTACTTATTAGAGGCTAAATATGGTCTCATCTTCTCAGTGCTATTTTTCCATGACATATGTCTTATTCTAGGAATAAGTAGACTCAATCCCTCTGTACATAAAGTAGTGAAAAAATCTTCACTCTTATATTGAGCAGCATATTCCAAAGTGATAAACTCATTATTTTTGAATGTAATTATTTATTGTAAAAATGTAGTGGTTGCATTACTTTTGAATGCAACTATTATATATGTGTGTGTACACACCTACATATATAGAGGTGATAAACAGTGCGCTTTTAATAATTATGATAATTAATCCAGAAGAAAAAGAATTAACACTTTCTGATGTTAGGAGCTATGATTCACACAATGATAAAAGATATCCAAATAAAAGAACCTATAGATAAGATCTTTATAGGAATGGCTTGGAATTGAAGGTATGAGTGTGAATTGATTATTCCTAAAATATGCATAGGTAAGTGTATTTACCAGTACATGTGCATACGCATATCTGTAAGTGTGTGTATGTAAGCCCAGGCATGTGTATATTAGTGTGTAAATACATATAATTCCTGTATCACTTCACTGAAATATCCAAGAAGAAGCAAAGACACCCATTAGCAATGAGCACACCCTAGCATCCAGATTACTTATCTCTTACCTGGCATCATTATAGGTATGACCAACTCCAGTTTTGTGGCTGGGTAGATATGAAAAGAGCCTGAAATATCTTCCAATAGTCAAAATGTAAGAAAGTGCTCAACAATATTACAAGGGCATGTCAGAAAGACGTAGGAGCCAGAATGAAGAACATCCCATTTCTCGGATAATTTAAGCACCAAATAAAATAAGTACAATAATAAACTATAAACCTTTCAAAAAATAGCAATGCATCTGTTCATATTGAATATAAATAGGTGTGTATTTGTATGTATCCATATGTACATACAAGTATATATGCATATGTATATAAAGTCATATACAATGTGTATATGCATACATTAATATACATAAAATGTGTATATATATATATATGTGTGTGTGTGTGTGTGTGTGTGTGTATGTGTGAAAAAATAACTCTTTACAATAAAATGCCCAGTCTTGACTGCTAAATATGGAGCAAACGCTGTTGTTCAGGGGCTCCCCCTGACCAAGGACCAGTCCTGGCACAGCAGGAGGTGAGCGGTGGGTGGGCAAGCCAGTGAAGTTTCATCTGTATTCACAACCACTCCCCATCACTTGCATTACTGCCTGAGCTCTGCCTCCTGTCAGATCAGCGGCCGCATTTGATTCCCACAGGACCTTGAGCCCTATTGTGAGCTGCACATGTAAGGCGTCTAGGTTTCATACTTCTCATGAGAATCTGATGTCTGACGATCTTTTACTGTCTCCCATCACCCCTAGATGGGATTGTCTAGTTGCAGAAAACAAGCTCAAGGCTCCCACTGATTCTGCATGATGGTGAGTCATATAATTATTTCATTATATATTACAATGGAACAATAATAGAAAAAAAGTGCACAATCAAGGTAATGTGCTTGAATCAGCCTGAAACCATCCCCCAGCCAACCCCCGACTGGTCCATGGAAAAACTGTCTTCCATGAAACCAATCCCTCGTGCCATAAAGGTTGGGGGACTGCTGATGTAACTGGAAAAAATATGTACATAATTGTGTAACCACCATGGTATAGTTTGGCTATCAGATCTTTTTTTTTTAACTTTTATTTTAGGTTCAGTGGTACATGTGCAGGTTTGATACATGGGTAAATTATGTGTCGCGGGTGTTTGGTGTTCAGATTATTTCACCACCCATGTAATTAGCATAGTACCAGGTATGTAGTTTTTCAATCACCTCTCTCCTCCCAGTCTCCACCCTCAAGTAGGCACTGGTGTCTATTATTTCCTTCTTTGTGTCCATGTGTAGCCCATGTTTGGCTCCCACTTAAAAGTAAGACACGCAATACTTGGTTTTCTGTTCTTGTGTTAGTTCACTTAGGATAACGGCCTTCAGCACCATCCATGTTGCTGCAAAGAAAATGATTTTATTCTTCTTTAGGGCTGCATAGTATTCCATGGGGTACATGTACTACATTTTCTTTATCTAGACTATCAAATCTTACTAAATATAGAGGGAAATTTTTTTCTTCAACTTTAAATTTCAGGGGTACATGTGCAGGATGGGCAGTCTTGTTACATAGGAAGTGTGCACCATGATGGTTTGCTGCACAGATCATCCCATCACCCAGGTATTAATCCCAGCATCCATTAGCTATTCTTCCTGATGCTCTCCCTCCCCCAAAACCACCCCCAACAGGCCCCAGTGTGTGTTCCCCTGCATGTGTCCATGTGTTCTCGTCATTGAGCTCCCATTTACAAGTGATAACATGTGATATTTGGTTTTCTGATCCTGCATTAGTTTGCTGAGGATAATGGCTTCCAACTGTATTCATGTCCCTGCAAAGGACATGATGTTGTTTCCTTTTATGACTGCATACTATTCCATGGTATATATGTACCACATTTTCTCTATCCAGTCTGGCACTGATAGGCATTTAGGTTGATTTCATGTCTTTGCTATTGTGAATAGTGCTGCAATGAACATATGCATGTATGTATCTTTATAATAGAATAATTTATATTCCTTAGGGTATGTACCCAGTAATGGGATTGCTGGGTCGAATGGTATTTCTGTCTTTAGGTCTTTGAGAAATCATCACACTGTCTTCCACCATGGTACAACTAATTTACATTCTCATCAATAGTGTAAAAGGGGTCCTTTTTCTCCCCAACCTAACCAGCATCTGTTGTCTTTTGACTTTTTGATAATAGCCCTTCTGACTGGTGTGAGATGGTATCTCATTGTGGTTTTGATTTGCATTCTCTAATGATCAGTGAAAGGGGGTATTGGCATGGTCTTAATGTACCTCCCTACAGAGATACTTTTGTTTCTGAGGAGGAAAACAATATTTATTCAAGGGGGAACTCCAGCAATGATTCAATTGAGTTATCCAAGTTAGCAGCAGCAATGAGTGGCCAATGGCTACTCTGAGTAGGAGTCCACGGCACTGGTTCCACAACCCAGCTGAGAATACATAGCCAGGATCTCATCACAGGGAAGCAAAAGAAACAAGCCAACAATAAACAAACAAACAAGGGAGGAGGAAAGCATTATATTACTTCCATTTGCACCAAAAGAAATGAACTATTTGGAGATGTGTTTATACATGGAAGATCTATGTCAGGTGTACTTGTCCATGTCCCGTTGGGAACTGGGCAGCACAGTAAAAGGTGAGTGGTGGGTGAGCAAGTGAAGCTTCATTTGTGTTTACAGCTGCTATCACTCACATTACCACCTGAGCTCTGCCTCCCGTCATATCATCCGAGGCATTATGTTCTCATAGAAGCATGAACCCTATTGTGAACTATGCATGCAACGGATCTAGGTTGTGCACTCCTTATGAGAATGTCTGATGATCTGTCACTGTGTCCCATCACCCCCAGACGGGGCCATCTAGTTGCAAGAAAACAAGCTCCAGGCTCCCACTGATTCTACATTTGGATGAGTTGTATAACTATTTCATTGTATATTACAATGTAATAATAATAGAAATCAAATGCACAATGAATGTAATGCCCTTGAATCATCCCCAAACCATCCCTCCAACCTTCATCCATGGAAAAATTGTCTTCCATGAAACTGGACACTGGGGCCAAAAAGGTTGGGGACCACTGAGCTACTTTGAAAACATGCAAACAAATAAACAACAAAACATTGATGAGAGACGATAATAAAGATATAAACACTGCATTGTGTTGTATTACAGGGAGAAGGAAATAATCAGAAATAACTTACTTTCTGCCAAAAAATAACAATGGCAACAACAACAAAGTCAGGCAGTGAACTTCTGGTCTTTCTTCATTCTTTCTCTGTTTTTGTTTCAATTACCTGTGATTTCTTCTAATGCCTGAAGTTTTAGAATCAATAGGGCAGTTTTCTGTTCATGTTCCTACCTGGGTATTTCCCTAGTTGCTAAGGCCTTGTGTTAGGCTCAACTTTCCTGAGCGCAGCTTCCATTGAAGTGCTAGGCAGATATCCAGCATCTAGTACTCACTATCTGTTCAAGGGTTGGGTTTATAGCAAGTGTCCTGAAAGGCAATGCTTGTGCTCTCATGAGTTGCATTCCTTTGGGCGCTGAGTGTAAAATATGCAAGAAAATAACCAAATACATTAACAGGTGACTTCAGGAAGTGACAAGATTGCAAAGCAAAGAGAGAAGAAGATGTCAGAGGGATGGATGAAGTCTAATTATGATAAGGTAGCCTGGCGGGGAGTGATTTATGTTGTCTTAGTGATGAGAGGGAAGAAAGAGTGTTTGAAAAAGTGCACAACCAGCACATGAGCTGGGAGGAATGGCTGAGCTAGGCAGGTTCTAGCACGAGAAGTGTAATGAGTGTGGCTGAAGCTCTGAGCTGCAGAGACAATGGAAAGTGATGAGTTAGGTGGTAAAAGAGGAACTAGATTGTGTAGGAACTTAAAGGCCATGGCTCAGCTTTCTGCTTTATCATAAAATAAATTAGAAGCCATTGCTTTATTTTCAGCGGGGAGAGCAATGATCTCATTTGCATTTTTACCACCTCATGAGAATTTTAGAGGGAATATTTATTTTTCACTTGAGTTTAGTAGTGTTTGTTATACTAATACAGCAGTTCTCCCTTATCCACAGGAGATATATAGTAAAAATACTCCCACCCCCAGTGGATGCCTGAAACCTCAGATAGTAATGAGATAGATAGACGATAGATAGATAGATAGATAGATAGATAGATAGATAGATAGATAGATATGTAGCTTTTTCCTATACATGTTTACTTATGATAAAGTCTAATTTATAAATTAACAACTAATAATAAAATAGAATGATTATAACAATATGCTTTAATGAAAGTTATGTGAACATGCATGCATTGGTGCTTCCTTTCTTTTCATATATTACGGACTTTACCATGAGTAACTGAAACTACAGAAAGCAAAACCACAAATAAGGGAGAACTATTGTATAGTATAACATAACAATTTCATTGGGGAGGCCTCACAATCATGCCGGAAGGCAAGGAGGAGCAAATTACATCTTACATGGGTGGTGGCAGGCAAAAAGAGAGCTTGTGCAGGGAAACTCCCCCTTATAGAACCATCAGATCTTGTGAGACTTATTCACTATCACGAGAATGGCACAGGAAAGACCTGCCCCCATGATTCAATTACCTCCCACCAGGCCTCTCCCACAACAAGGGGGAATTCAAGATGAGTTTTGGGTGGGGATATAGCCAAACCATATCAGTGCGATATGCAGAATAATGGTCTCTCAAAGATGCCTAGGTCCATGGTCAATAATAACCTAATTGTATACTTAAAAATAGCTAAAAGACTATCATTGGATTGTTTGTAATACAAAGCATAAATGCTTGACAGGATGGATACCTCATTCTCCAAGATATGACTATGATGCATTACATGCCTGTATTAAAACACTTCATGTACTCCATAAATATATACACTTACTATATACCCACAAAAATTAAAAATAAAAATAAATTTTAAAAAGATGCCTAAGCCCAAAGAATCAGCCCCTGGGAATATGTTACCTTTCATGGCAAGAAGGACTTTGTGGATGGGATTAGGGCTACTGATTTCAACATGCAAGAATACCCTGCTTTACCCAGGAGGGCCCAATGTCATCACAAAAGTTGATAAAAGTGCAGAACATTTCCTGGCTCTCGTGCCAGAAGAAGGGTCAGAGAGAGATGTGATGTTAAT
Source organism: Homo sapiens (assembly GCF_000001405.40). Classification (NCBI taxonomy): domain Eukaryota; kingdom Metazoa; phylum Chordata; class Mammalia; order Primates; family Hominidae; genus Homo; species Homo sapiens. The sequence goes on along the minus strand of NC_000023.11, from coordinate 4,824,397 downwards.
GGCCGTGAAGATGACCAAGGAGGGTATGAGCTAAGGAACATGGGCGATTTCATCTAGAAGCCAGAAAAGGCAAGAAAACAGATTTTCCCCTTCAGCCTCCAGGAGCAAATGCAAACCAGCCATAGCCCTTATTTTAGCATGTAAGACTTCTGACTTGTAAGACTTCTGACCTGTAAGACTGTAAGATAATGTATTTCTGCTGTTTTAAGCCACTCGGTGATAATTTATTACGGAAACCATCAGGAATGAATGACACAATTACTTTTTATACAATGTAAAAAATTTTTATGTAGATATCAGAAAAGAAGACTAAGCCAAAAAGAAGCAAACAATCATAAGAGTCTACAATAAGGATAGACACTCGTGGACTCCCTGGGAGCAAATGAGGGCAATTTACAGAAAAAAAAATGTGCTGTGTGAGAAAACCCTGAATAATACTAAGAGTTAATGATTTGGTAGAACAGGGTGAAGAAGATCATGAGGAACTAAGAGGAAGAATACAAATTGTTAGAATCATCAAAGGCTGAAGAAAATGCTAGTGGAAATGAGCAGTGTGGAGAATTGGTAAGTATTGAATGTGGTCTATGGATTACAAGTGCAGATTTCATGAGACATGTTAAGCAGAGCTGTTTCAGAGGTACAGTGTGTGAAAGGAAAATATCTTGGGCACCCAAAATCCCTAAGCTAAAGTGAAAAGTCAAGCTGGGAACTTCTTAGGGCAAATCTGCCTCCCATTCTATTCAAAGTCACCCCTCTGCTCACTGAGATAAACGCATATCTGATGGCCTCCTGTATTAGTCCATTTTCACACTGCTGATAAAGACACACCTGAGACTGGGAAGGAAAAGAGGTTTAATTGGAATTATAGTTCCACATGGCTGGAACTATGATTCTGAGGCCTCAGAATCATGGCGGGAGGCAAAAGGCACTTCTTACATGGCAGCAGCAAGAGAAAATGAGGAGGAAGAAAAAGCAGAAACCCCTGATAAACCCATCAGATCTCATGAGACTTATTTACTATCATGAGACTAGCACGAGAAAGACTCGCCCCCATGATTCAATTACCTCCTCCTGGGTCCCTCCCACAACATGTGGGAATTCTGGGAGATACAATTCAAGTTGAGATTTGGGTGGGGACACAGCCAAACCATATCACCTTCTTTGGAAAGGCTAAGCAGAAACTCAAAAGAATGCAACCATTTGTCTCTTGTCTACCTATGACCTGGAGGCCCCCTCCCCGGTTCGAGTTGTCCAGCCTTTCCAGATCAAACCAATGTTCATCTTACACATGTCGATTGAGGTCTCATTTCTCCCTAAAATGTATAAAACCAAACTATGCTGTGGCCACCTTGGGCACATGTCATCAGGACCTCCTGAGGTTGTGTAATGGGCGCGTGTCCTCAACCTTAGCAAAATAAACCTTCTAAATTAATTGAGACCTGTCTCAGATTTTGGGGGTTCACATGTGACTCCTGACAGAGTTCTCAGCATTACCCAGTAGTGTTAACATCCACCATGCTTGTTAAATTGCTGCCTTCTTCATCAAACCAAAGCTCACGAGGAGCAGAAGCACTGTGTTTTTATTCATCCAAAAAAAAGTTAGGTCTCACCAAAGTTTCTTGCTACCATGTGTGTTAAAAAGCATTTAGGGAGTGTTGCACTATGGCGTGGGGGAGGTGGCACATTTGATTTTATGCATGTCTACCTACTCATGCCCTTAAATGCTTCTCTCATGACGCGGTCTTTCATTAATGAGTGTATCCAGGGTTTTATTGACTGAGCACTTATCTTCAGTGTGACTTCTCATGCTGGAGGTGGGGAGTTGAAGTGAAGAGGATTCACAGGTGGGCCACCCAGACTCCCAAAATTCCATGTCTGCCATTTGCTGCCAAGTTGATGTGACAGCTACCACAAGGAGACAAACTCTAAGGTGAAAGAAACACAGTGAAGAAAAATCAAACCCACAATATTTTGTCAAGATTTTGAAGATGCTTTGCATGCATTTATTCTTTTTTGAATTTGAAGGTATCTGTAAATGCTCATTATCAGGGCTAATTAATTTGTATCAATTCACTTGTTTGATAATTGCGAGACACCAATGTCTCAGTTGTTATTTGGTTTTGGTGATATTTTTGTACCCTGAGATTTAAATATAGCCTTGCTGTGGGTTGCTTTATTGTGTTACAAATGGCCTATAAATCAATTTATTTGCCTTTTCTTCTGTCTGTTGAGCCTTGCTGTGGATTTGTTTATTGTGTTACAAATGGCTCCAAAGACAAGAGCTCTCTCTCTCTCTCTCTTTCTCTTTTTCTCCTCTCTCTTTCTCTCTCTGAATCATAACCTTGGCCTTTTCTTATGTCTATTGACTCTTGCTGTGGACTGGTTCATTGTGCTACAAATGGCTCCAAAGACAAGGTCTCTCTCTCTCTCTCTCTCTCTCTCTCTCTCTCTCTCTCTCTCCCTCTCTCCCTCTTTTGTCTCACTCTCTCTCGCTCCTCTTTCTCTCTCTCTCCCTCTGAATCATATCATTGGCCCTTTTCCATGTTTATTGATTTAAAGGTCCACTCTCCATACCTCAGGACATTCATCTTAACAATTTATCTTTAAATAAATGTGGCCTTCCAGCTCTACAGAGTTGTGCTCAGAGTTCTTTCCCTGATGTCTTTTTATCCTTTGCTGTCACTTCAGATTATCTTAGGCTTTGCAATCTGATTTTCTTATCAAATAGAGGCAACATGATTCTGGAGATAGAATATTGCCATGAAAATATATTGAAACTCAAATGCTATCATTTACTCAGTTTATAGTAATTGCACATATAGTTTGAATAATGCAAAAAAATTTTTGCACAAATTCAAAACCACTGGATATGTGTAGCCCAGCAGTTTTTCATGTTGAAATATAAAAATACCTTCTTTAATGTGATTCAGAATCTTAAACTATCAAAATATTTGTCAAATTAGAATTTCATTAAAATATTTGATTCTGTAATAAAACGGGTATTGCAGGATCAAACTACTCATTAAACAGGTGACTCATGGTAAGTGTATACTCGCTTTTAAAAATAAAATAAAAACAAATAGATGCCTATTAGAAATTTAAATGTATTGACACTGATTATAGTAGTAAATTATATCAAAATGATAAAAACTATGCAAAAATAAAATACTCATTGTAGTTTCATTGTTGTTGTGGATAGAAAAGAACAGAGACAATCTATTTATATTAAAATCTTACCTTGTGTTTAATAGTTTGTTCTACAAGAGGTTTATATGTTTTGGGGAAAGTGTTAAATGTGAGTTTACAAGGTAGATAAATTAGATAAATAATAGCCACCTAGCTAGCTATCGTTTATCTAATTTAGCTAGCTAGATAGCTAGAGGGATAGGTAGATAGATAGATAGACAGGCAGACAGACAGACAGACAGATAGATAGGATAGGTAGGTGGCTGGATGAATGGATAAGTAGAGATAGGTAGATAGACAAAATCGATAGGATAGATAAATAGATGGAGATACATAGATGAATGGATAGGTAGGTAGACAGATAGATAGATACATACATACATATGTACATAGATGGAATAAATGGAATAGATGAGATAAATATAAATACATGAAGATAGATGCTTAGATATTTATTATTTTTAAATATTCAAGGTAAGGTAAAATAACACATTGATACACATGTACACGAAAGAGTTCAATTCTGGTTTTTATTGTGTTTTTTATGTTCCACACAATTTCTGTAAAGTTAGATGCAAACTTTCTATAGAAGCTGCTCATACATTTTGTGGCATTTATAAAAGTGCAGAGGTAGCATATAACAGGTGAGAGAAACTCCCTAAAAAAGGTCAGCCATTCATGCATTTCTTTTCTAATTGGTATTGTTTCTCTTTACGCACCTGCAATGTCCTTTTCTCTGCATTTCATTTTGTCCCTGGAGAATCATATCCTAGGACAGTACGTTTTTCAGGGATGTGTGGAAGATTCTAAAGCCTTTTGCTCTTCTGCTATAATTAAACATAACTATATTTGGAATAATAATTTCCTTATTTATTGTGCATGTTACCTCCTTTGAGACAATCAAATCATAATTAATATCAGTGATTATGTTTTCTATGCAGCAAACAACTTCTTGAAAGTGAATTAAGGTAGAAGAATACAAAGGGAGGTTAAGATTGGCCATGCAACCTAAATGTTTTCCACTTCTGAATAGTTCTGAAATAAATATGCATTCATGGTCTTTTTGTATGTAACTTACAGTATGAGGGCACTCAAACCAAAAAATGAACCCAATTGATAGAAAAATAATAGAGATATACAAGCATTCCCAAAACGTTTTTTTCCCAGAAACCCACGTCACTCACACAAACAAAAAAAATCTAGTTGACTAATGCCCAGAGTATGAATAACGATTCTGAAATTTATTCAGAGTTCTTAAATTTCTCTGGATATCATGATCATTTCCGCTCTCAGTGTCACTTAAAGATATCCTATTTATTTAAGACTTATCTATGTCCTAAACCTCTATAGGAGCCACTCCTCTTTCTGCATAAGATGATTACTAAATTTAGCAAATTAAATTACAGCAACACACTGTTTAATTCAAATTTGAGAAAACTGCCGCATACTCTTTCTGTATAAGCATTTTGTAACATGCCACAGTTAGGATATGCTCATACTAATACTACATTCGGAGTTTATCAGAACTTCAAATGTAACTGGGCAGAAACAATTCTATTTCTGGAAGAAGTACAGTGTATATAGAAGGTCAGAAACAATTCTGTTTCTGTAAGTACAGTGTATATAGAAGGTCTCCGTTGTGTGTTTGTGGTGGTTCTAGTGATATCCTCTGCATTCTTGCCAAGCTCTTCTATCCCTGGTGAGAAAGCCAGGCTATTTGCTCGAAATCACAACTATTTCATCCTAACATCTATGATACCCATTTGTTCCTCTCATGTGATTATGGCTGTCATGGGCACAAGTAAGTCACTTTTACAGAGAGCATCAGGAGCCCTTTCTATGGGATGCATTAAGTGTTACAATTAAAAAAATAATAATTTCCTCTGATACACAAAATAAGTGTATAAGTAATGCCCTAGATATCTAATATTTTATTTATCTAATGACTTTCCTGTTGCTAAAACGTATATTTTTCTGTGTTTGAATGCTTTGGTTCATTATGGACACTACTTCTGCCTGTCTGCTTCTCCCTTTTTTCCTTTTTCTTTTTCTGTCCCCTCTCTCTCTCCATAGAAGTAAAACATTTGAAAATATTAATGAATAATATATATAAGCATATAATTCCTATGAAATTACTATACTTGTAACTTTAAAAATTGTTATGTATTGTCAATATTGGCAATTCATCTGACACAAAATACTGCATGCATGTATTTTTACATATGCATATGTCTTTCTATCCATCCATCCATCCATCCATCAATTCACCCACCCATCCATCCATTCACCTATCCATCTGCCCATTCATTCATTAATTCACCTATTCATCCACCAATCCATTCTTTCATCTATATACACATCCATCTATTCATTCACCTATCCATCTGCCCATCCATTCACTCATCTACCTATCCATCCATTCATTCACTTATTCATCTGCCTATTCATCTATCCATCTATTCATCTACCCGTTCATTCATTCCTTTACCTATCCATCTGCCCTTTCATCCACCAATCCACTTTTTCCCCACCTACCTATCCATTCATTCCTTTACCTATCCATCTGCCCTTTCATCCACCAATCCACTTTTTCCCCATCTACCTATCCATTCATTCATTTACCTTTTCATCCACCAATCCATTCATCCATCCATCCATTTATCCATCCATCTATCCATCCATCCATTCATTCACCTGTCCATCTGCCCATTCATCAAACTATTCATTCATTCACATATCCATCCACCAATCCATTCATCCATTGAACCATTTACCCGTGCATCTACCCATCTATTCATTCATTCACCTATCTACCCATCCACTCATTTATGTACCGACATATCTATACATATATACATCAACCCATCAATGTACCCATTATCCACTTGCCCATCTTTTCATCCATCCACTCATCCATCTACTGATTCAGCATCCATCCATTCATTTATTTATTTATAAGCCATCCATCCATCTATTGATTCATCACCATCTATCTTTGCACTCACCCACATTGATCTATCTCATTCATATGCTTTCCTGTATGCATCCATTTCTTTCTACAGATGTTGCCCAAGAAGGCCTTCCTTAATAATCACCCACATGTTCAGTTCCATCCCAGAAAAACTAATCTGCACCCCATCCCAAATTCAAGGGTCACAGCATCTTCTTTGCAGACTCCATGGCTACTATCAGAGTGTTTGGCTCAAACAATTCTTTAATTCAACCATTCATCCATTTATTATTTCTCAAGCATTGCTGACCACCTAACATTTTTCATACCATATAGGTGGTGTTGAGGATGTCATGATCTATACAGCCTATTCTCTGCACTCAAAGACCATACAATCTCGTAGATAATGAGAAAAATATCATATAATATGCAGTTTAATTAAAGTTTGTAAATGACATCATTGGAGAAGCAAAAAGGAGAAGACAGGTTGTTGTACTTAGGTTTGAAGACAGTCTCTTGATTTCTTGAGGTTTCATGCTTTTTCAAGACACTCAAATGAACACATTCAATTAATTTTTATTTTATATTTTTGAAAAAGAAAAATAGAAAGAGGAGGAAAAGAAGAGAAGAAGGAGAGAAGGAGAGCAAGATGGAGAAAAATGGTGGCATGAAGGGCAAATTGAAAGATTAAAGAAAAAAAAATCCTTCAGAATATTTAATTAATCTAAATTTGATTCTAACTAATGGATTAGCTTTTTATTTTTAATTTTTTTAGAGTGAGATCTCACTCTGTTGCCCAGGCTGGAGTGCAATGGCAAGATCACAGCTCACTGCAGCCTCAACCTCCCGGGCTCAAGCAATCCTCCCATCTCAGACTCCAGAGTAGCTGAGACTACAGGTGCATTCCACAATGCTGGGTTAATGTTTGCATTTTTTTGTAGAGATGGGGTTTCATTATGTTGCCCTGGATAGTCTCGAACTCCTGAGCTCAAGCGATCAGCCCATCTCAGCCTCCCAAAGTGCTAGCATTACATCCTTGAGGCACCACATCCGGCCATGAACTAGCTTTTTAATTACTTTTTATTTTTATGTGTCTTTCCAACTCATATGGTGAATATTCTATTAATAAATAATAAATGAGTGAGTCATACTCAAAGTGTAAAGAAACATAAACTTCTGAAATGAGGTTTATTATATAGAATCATGCATTTTTCTATAATTTATGACTTAAAAAATCAGGTCCCATTTTCTAAAATTGCTTTTGCATAATCTTTTGAAATTATTTATTTTGATAAAATATTATCTTTCAATACACAAGTAAGTGGCTTGTTCTCTGAAAAAAATATGTGTTCACCAGAAAAAAGGTTTTTGTTCAACTTGATTGCTATATAGTTTCTCTCTTTTTTTTTTTCTACGGCCCGGTAAGAAATGGCTAGAATGTGAAAAATGTGTATCTTTATATGAAACTTGAAGGAGCGTTGACCATATGTGATCGTGTATGTTTCTCTAAGCAGCTCCTTTACACACTGTATAAGCAGACAGCAAATAAGACAAAAAAGTTCGCATAACAATCTTCATGCTGTTTTTCATTTGATATCCATGGCAGTGATGCTCTTAAAAAGACCCAGGGGTTCTCTCTCTTGATCCTCAGGATAATTTTTTCTTCTTTCTCCAACTTTAAATTGGATGGAAACTCATCTAAGGCATGCATAAAATCAACTCCACTCTGAATTTAGTCCAGAAAGATAGTGTTTATATTCATGTTATAGTTCATTTTCTTGCAATGTAGCTCATGTTAATAAAAGTATTTCTGAAAGGTTGACAGCACTTCTCTCTTTGATGTCTAAAATCTTCAGAATTATAACATTTATTCTTTGAATACATTTTTGGTGTCGAATGGAGAGAAAAGAGATGTTTGTGTTAGAGGAAAAGAATATCAATGGACAGAAAGGATTGATTTATGAACTCTTAGAACAACTACTATCTTTTTTGATATTACAGATATAGATGTAATTTCCAGCTTTAAAAAATTGGCAGTATTAAAGAGAATGTATAAGCAAACTATTGGACTAAGAAATGTCAAAGTATGGCTATGAATTCATTCACATTTTAAAATTAACTTTGTATTCACATTCATTCACAATCTTTCTTAAATTACCTGCCTTTTCTCAAGTATCTTTCCTCTAAAAATATGTTTCAATCATTTTTGAAAATTTGGTCTTACCAAAACATTCTAAAACTTTCTTTTCTTTCTTTTTTTTTTTTGAGACAGAGTCTTGCTCTGTCACCGAGGCTGGAGTAGAGTGGAGTGGAGTGGCGTGACCTCGGCTCACTGCAACTTCCACATCCTGGGTTCAAGCGATTCTCCTGCCTCAGCCTCCCAAGTAGCTGGGACTACAGGCATGTGCCTCTAAGCCTGGCTAAATTTTTTGTATTTTTGGTAGAGACTGGGTTTCACCATAATGGCCAGGCTGGTCTTGAACTCCTGGCCTCAAATGATCTGCCCGCCTTGGCCTCCCAAAGTGCTGGGATTACAGGCATGAGCCACCGCACCTGGCCTTAAAATTTTGTTTCGTAAACAGATCATTGAAGAAAACATTATCTGTCCTACTCATTTCCATAAAAAAGGACACTATATGTAGTGTATGTATATGTGTGTAAATATACATACATAAATATACTATATATATAAAAAAGCTTTAAAATTTATAAATTAATATGCACATGCAAGTTATGATTATTTCATGTTTCAATTTAAAATAAACTAAAAATGGCCTTTCTTACACCAGTGTTCCCATTTTAAGCAAGTTTCTTTGTATAATGTGGCTAGCAGCATAACTCATTTTTAAGTACAAATAAATATGATATTCTTTCAATTAAAATCAATATAGTTCATTTCATAGGCAGCACTTAAGATGGAAGGATAACTTGTTTGGTATATGTAAAATATGAAACTGACATGGAGATACCACAGTACCAGGCTTATAGAAACAGTTGAAATAACTACTAGTAGTTTATGATGCCTTCCAAAAACAAGGAAAAAATGCAAAATGTTGTAGACAGGCTTAGGCTATGTAAGCTGAGTGAAATAAGCCATACACAGAAAGACAAGTACTGCATGATCTCACTTATATATGAAATCTAAAAATGTTGACTTAATGGAAACAGAGAGTAGAATGTGGTTTCCAGGGGCTGAGGGGTGGGGGAATGGGGAGATGTTGGTCAAAGGATACGAACGTTCAGTTATAAGATGTATAAGTTCTGGGCATCTAATGTACAGTATGGTAGTGATGGATGGGCTTAATAATTTGATTGTGTTAGCCATTATGTGATATATATGTACATTATAGTTATTACAATATTATATACATTATACTCCTTATACTATATATATAGAATAGTGATTACATTGTATATATATTATAGTCATTACACTATAATAGTCATTACAATATCTATAATACTCATTATACTATTATATATGTAGTAGTCATTACACTATATATAATTATGGTCTTTACACTATAATATGTATATTATAGTCATTACACTATATACGTATTATAATCATTACACTTTTTTTTATTTTGAGACAGAGTCTCACTCTGTTGCCCAGGCTGGAGTGCAGTGGCACCATCTGTGCTCACTGCAAGCTCTGCTTCCCGGGTTCACGCCATTCTCCTGCCTCAGCCTCCCAAGTAGCTGGGACTACAGGTGCCCGCCACCACGCCCAGCTAATTTTTGTTGTATTTTTAGTAGGGATGGGTTTTCACCGTGTTAGCCAGGATGGTCTCAGTCTCCTGACCTCGTGATCCACCCGCCTCGGCCTCCCAAAGTGCTGGGATTACAGGCGTAAGCCACCACGCCCAGTCTACACTTTTTATACATAGTGTATATATATACACACACACTATTATATGCTATTAAATTACCTGTCTTTTCAATTTAAGTCAATACACTATTATATATAACAGTGTAATGATAATACACTATATTTTAAATATATAAAATAGTTATTACACTATTACATATATAATAGTCATTACACTATTATATATTATAGCCATTACACTATATATTATATCACTACACTGTTTTATATATAATAGTCATTACACTATATATAATAGTCTTGACACTATGTATACATGCACGTTTTATAGTCATTATACTATATATTATAGTCATTACACTATATATTAATAATCTTACACTATATATAGTGTAATAGTCATATATAATAGTCAATAACTATATATAATAGTCATTTCACTATACATATAAAATAGTCATTACACTATATAAATTATAGCCATTACACTATATATACATTATAGTCATTACATTATATATATAAAACAGTCAATACATGATATATATAATAGTCATTATACTACATATAATAGTAATTACACTATTATGTATATATTATAATCATTGTACTATATAAAATAGTCATTATACTATATATAATAGTCATTACACTATACATAATAGTTGTTACACAATATACGTAATAGTCATTATACCATATATTACAGTTATTACACTATATATAGTGTAATAGTCATCTATTTATAATAGTCAATACAGTATATACATAAATCATTATATTGTACACCTTGAATATATATATAATATTTACTTGCCAATTAAACATTTTATTTTATTTTTATTTTTATTGGTTTTATTTGTTTGTATCTGAAAATGTGTTCTTTTATCTTGCATTTGATGCTACATATAGAATTCCAGGTTTAAAATCACTTCCCTCAGCCCTCCCAATTCAACATTTTAAAAGAAAAAAATTAACCTACGTGTTTGTGGGAAATATTTGCTCATTTTAAGATGGCCCAAACTTTTTCCATAAAAGGCCAGAGAGGAAATATTATTGACTTTGTGACCTGTGCAGTCTGTCTCAACTACGCAACTCTACAGTTTACTGTGACGAAAGTTACAGAAAGCACATCAACAAATGGGTGTGGCTGTGTTTCAATAACACTTTATTTACAAAAACGCTTGGACAACCCATAGACCCTAATTTGCCAGCCTCTGTTCTAAATGTTTACAGTCAGTAATAGAGCATATGATAAAATCTGGGATGCCAGGCCAGATGCTCATGCCTGTAATCCCAGCACTTTGGGAGGCTGAGGCCGGAAGATCGCTTTAGCCCAGGAGTCTGAGACCATCCTGGCCAAGATGATGAGATCCCATCTCTACGAAAGAAAAAAAAAAGGAAAAAAAATTGCCAGACATCATGGCACACACCTGTAGTTCCAGCTACTCAGGAGGCTGAGGTGGGACGATTGCTTGAGCCTAGGAGTTCAAGGCTGCTGTGAGCCATGATCGAGCCACTGAACTCCAAACTGAGTGACAGAGTGAGACCCTGTCTCAAAACAAAAACAAAAGCAAAAACTGGGATGCCAGCACTCGCAGCTTAATTATCAGGACTACATCAGCCTGGCTTTAATATTCCTTCCCAACAATGCTTGCAAAGGAATGTAAAGTTGTAAGCTAGTGAATGATTTCATAGATTCAGAATATTCAAACTTTAGGTAACTCATCAGGGTGAACATCCTCCTCAGGATAATTGAACCTCAAAGCAGAAAATTCTCTTGCTTATCAAATCAAATCTTCCTCAAAACTCATTCCCAAGCTCTTCCGTGCTTATATTTCATGTGCCATTTTTACCTACATAGGAATCTCAAAGAATACCACAGAACCAACCCCAAGCTATTTCATTGAAGGTTTGTCCAAATACAAACAGATACCGACATCAAATGGCCAGGCTTAAAATAAATCCCTGCAACCCAGACAGCCAAAACCTATAAATTTTTTCTCTTGTGTGTTCCCTTCTGAGCTGTTCCCAAGGCTTTATAGTTAGTGGACTCTCTTGGCTGTGTTTGCCCCATGTGGTATCATGTCACTTTTGAAGAACTGATGGTTAACAGGGAGAATAAATGTTTGTTCTAAATAAAATGTCCTAGTTTTTACATTTTCTTATAGGTGTAGGGGGACAGCTATTGTTCCTCATGTAGCAAAAAATAAGAAAAAAAAAAAACAGAAAAAAGTGACATAAATTCAAATCTGCATCTTCTGAGCAAACATTTTGGTTTATTTGGTATTTCATATGAAAACAGAAGGCTTCTTTGAGGTTCTTCTTGCAGTCCTCAGAAGTGAAAAAGGAGCTCTTATACGCTGTTGGTGGAAATGTAAAATAGTTCCACTGGCCGGGCGCGGTGGCTCACGTCTCTAGTCCCAGCACTTTAGAGGGCTGAGATGGACGGATCACAAGGTCAGGAGATCGAGACCATCTTGGCTAACACGGTGAAACCCCGTCTCTACTAAAAATACTAAAAATTAGCCGGGCATGGTGGCGAGCACCTGTAGTCCCAGCTACTCGGGAGGCTGAGGCAGGAGAATGGCGTGAACCCGGTAGGCGGAGCTTGCAGTGAGCCGAGATAGCATCACTGCACTCCAGCCTGGGTGACAGAGTGAGACTCTGTCTCAAAAAAAAAAAAAAAAAAATTGTTCAACCATTGTGGAAGATGGTGTGGCAATTTCTCAAAGACTTAGAACCAGAAATACCATTTGACCCAGCAATACCATTACTAGGAATGTACCCAAATGAACAAAAATCATTCTATTATAAAGATACATGAATATGTATGTTCACTGCAGCACTATTCACAACAGCAAAGATGTGGAATCAACCCAAATGCCCATCAATAATGACTGGATAAAGAAAATATGGTACATAGACATCTTGGAATACTATGCAGCCATAAAAAGGAACAAGATCATGTCCTTTGCAGGGACATGGATGGAGCTGGAAGCCATTATCCTCAGCAAACTAACACAGGAACAGAAAACCAAATACCACATGTTTTCGCTCATAGGTGGGAGCTGAACACTGAGAACATATGGACACAGGGAGGGGAACAACACCCACTGGGGCCTGTGGGGGCAGAGGAAGGGAGAGCATTAGGAAAAATAGTTAATGTATGCTGGGCTTAATACTTAGGTGATGGGTCAGTAGGTGCAGCAAACCACCATGGTACACGTTTACCTGTGTAACAAACCTGCACATCCTGCATATGTACCACAAAACTTAACATTCAATTACATTAAAGTTAAAAATCGACTCAATGAAAACAACTCTTCCTGAGTACTAAGTGAAAATGTTTAACCTTTTATCCTTCTTAAATACCTGTGAGAAGAGTTTGATGTGTTTAATAACTGAGAGCCAAGCAGCAGAGCTTGGTGCCCATTTGCTGACATATTGTCCATGACTGCTTCCACATGTTACCTTAAGTTCAGCCTAAAGCTGCTTCCTTACATGCTTTAAGTTCAGCCTAAAGGTTTTTCCATAAGTGAACGGTAACCCAAGTCGTTGTGCAAACAGACTCTAACCTACTCTTTTTTTTTTTTTTTTTTTTTTTTGGTGTGGGGGAGACAGGATCTCACTCTGTCTCCCAGTGCAGTGGTGCAATCATGGCTCACCACAGCCTCCACCTCCTGGGCTCAGGTGATCCTCCCACCTTAGCTTCCTGAGTACTTGGGACCACAGGAGTGTCAGCAAGCCCAGTTGATATAATTTTTAAAATTATTTGTAGACATGGGGGTCTCACTATGTTGCCCAGGCTGGTCTTGAGCTCTTGGGCTCAAGCAATCCTCCCACCTTGGTCTCCCAAAGTGCTGAGATTGCAGGTGTGAGCCACCATGCTCAGCCACCTGCTCTTGTACCAATCACAGAGTTTCAGCCAATCAAAGGCAGCCAAATGTTCAAGCCATGGCTAAATAAGGCAAACACGGAGCTGTAAGCAATCCAGCTGTGTTTGTACCTCACTCCTGTCTCCTGTGGATTGCTTTCCTTTTCCTGTCTATAAATATTATGTGACCATGAGGCAGCCCGGGGGTCACTCTGAACCAATTCTGGTCTGGGGGTCGATTCATGAATTGTTCTTTGCTCAATGAAACTGTTAAATTCAAGTTGTCTAAAGTTTTTCTTTTAACCCATGCTGCAATGGGAAAGTTGCTCATCGTGACAGAGATGTGTGGCCCACAAAGTTAAACATATTCACTATTTGGCTTTTGACAGAAAAAAAGATGTAGAAAAGCCAGAAGAGAGAGAAGATGTTCCTAACCTTAATGTCTATGTTTTCAATGTCCTTCCTTTCCTCTCCCCTTCTCCATCATTCCTTCTAATGCCTGAGTTAGAAATTGCTTGTAGTCCATTTTTAGCAACTCCACTAACACAGTCCTTTCTATATCCTTTCCAATGTCCCCTGCATTTTGTTGTTAAAAGTTAGGAATTTGCCTTCAAATTCTGCTGACTTCTGATATAAAAGGAACTGTGTTCCATGGCTTTAAATGGTAACCACTCTTTTCTTTTTATAGCATTTCAATTTTTTTTTTTTTTTTCTGAACACATATGGACATTCCCTGGTGTTCAGGAAATGGATGGCGGGGAGGATCCCGTGCCAGCTGCTTCTCACGTTTGTCACACTAAAAATAAAAATAGCTTCTTAAACTGATATCAGTTCATCAATTCTATTCATGGTGTTCCTTAAGATTCCTATGTAGGTAAAAATAACACATAAAACATAAGGCATATGCACTTTTCTAAAGGGACCAGGAGTGCAAGCCTAGTTTGTAAGAAGAAAGCATCGTGTGAGATTTTCAGGAAGTCACACGTCTCCAATCTGATCTTGCATAGCGCAACACCCGAATAAATGGTCTTCATGGATATTTTTGTACATTTTGAGTCACTGTTTTTCTATACTTATCTGAAACTCCTAAAAAATCCTATATAATTTTAAATGCCACTATAAAACTCATGCCTTTAAAGGACACAAATTTTCATTCCCATGCAGAGAAAATGTATTATTTAAAAAAAAACTAATTTACTTCAAAGACAGGACTCACACCATGCAATTAAGTTTACTGCCTAATGAACAAATTGCAATATTATAATAATAACTTTTATTATTAGTTTTACCTGAAACTTGAGTTTCAATTAAAACACATATAACTTAAGTAGGTGCAGTTATTCTCAAAGTAGGTGTAGTGCTACATTTTTAATAAAACAGAAGAAATACAGTACAATTTTACAGGAAAATCAGTTTCTTGCCACCGGCAACATTATATTAATCTAATTTCTTTGCAACTTTTGTTTCCTGGCAGCTAGAAATGGTGGCATTTCTTTGGATGCTACTGGTAGTCCCTGCTGTTAAGCTAATTGCAGCCTCTGCCCCAAACAAGGTTCATTAAAGGCATAATCTCACTGAAAGTATCCTCAACCATGCCCCTAAGAGGCATATTCCTATTTTCCGCTCAACAGCAGACATTAGCTTTTCAAATTGCCTTTTGAAATGGGCAGCAATATCCTGATTTTATCTCCTCTATATTTATCTACTGCCCTTTTTATAAAGTCTCTGGACTGTTGGTGTCTCTTTTCTGCTCATTTTTTTTTCATTTGTTCAACCTTTGAGCATTTGAGGGAATATTTTATATCACATCTTATATAGGGCATCCACAATTCAGAGAGAAAAACACAAATTGATTCCCTTTCAGTACTCTCAAAGTTTGGTTCTTGCTAAAATAAATTCATGGTATATAAAAACCAGATAACAAGAAAGAAGATATCCCATAAACTAACCACCAGACACAACGATTGTTACCCTCCTGGAAGAAATATTTCATTCCAAGTTTTTTGCACATTTTGCAAAGTTGATACAGTAGATTAGTTGCACTAATATCCTCATTTTTTTTGTCTAGGACATTTGCATATGACCTTTCTTTCCCCCATCAATAAGTGGAATCTATTTCTCTATATTCTTTGAACATTCTTTGTAACACACTTTAAGCCAAGGGTCCCCAGCCCTCTGGTCTGTGGCCTGTTAGGAACTGGGTCACACAACAAGAGGCAAACAGCGGGCCAGCCAGTGAAGCTTCATCTGTATTTACAGCCACTCCCCATCGCTTGCCTGAGCTGCCTGAGCTCCCCCTCCTGTCAGATCAGCGGCAGCATTAGATTCCCATAGGAGGTGCAAACCCTATTGTGAACTGCACATGTGAGGGATCTAGGTTGTGTGCTCCTTATGAGAATCTAATGCCTGATGATCTGTCACTGTCTCCTGTCACCCCCATATGGGACCATCTAGTTGCAGGAAAACAAGCTCAGGGCTCCCACTGATTCTACATGATGGTAAGTTGTAGAATTATTTCATTCTATATTACAATGGAATAATAGTAGAAACAAAGTGCACAATAAATGTAATGCCCTTAATCATCCTGAAACTTTCCCCCCAACCCTGGTCTGTGGAACAATAGTCTTCCATGACACTTGTCCCTGGTGCCAAAAAGGTTGAGGGCTGCTGCTTTAAGCAATAGGATGTCAGCAGACACATGATATAAGCAGGCACATTCAAAAGTGCTTTTCTGTTACCACATCTTCTCCTGGAGGCTCCTACTACCGAGGCTAGCCTACTGAAGGATGAGAGACCATAGGAAGGAGAGTTCACTTGTTCTAGCGGAGGCCATTTTTGACCAACCTGCCTCTGGGCAACCCATCACCCAACCTCAAACAGATGGGATCAGATCTTGACTTGAAAAATATTAAACAACAAGCAGAAAAAGAAATATTAAAATGCTGTCATTGGGAAAAACCCAAATATTTGTGGAATTATTGGCTCACATTATGTTTTCTAGAAAAGCAATGTGATGATTAATTGTATGCATCTACTTGACTGGGCTAAGGGATACCCCAATTGTTGGTAAAACATCATTTCTGGGTGTGTCTGTGAGAGTGATTCCAGGAGAGATGAACACATGAGTTGGTAGACTGAGGAAAGAAGATATTCCCTCACCCATGTGGATGGGTATCATCCAATCTGCTGAGGGCCCCCATAGAACAAAAGGCAGTTAGCACCTTTGCAAAATTATGACTGAGACCGTGAAAGAGATCTAACCAACCAACTCCATCTTGCTTCTAAACTTTAAGCTGTCCTTGTTCCTTCCTTGGCATAGGTTGAACTAACTGAGAGGAACTTAGTTTATAGTTCATAGTTTAAAACAAAGATGATAACAGCCCTTTCCCAAAACAAACCTCCTTCTTGCCTGGGGAATAGACTGCCTTTGAAGGACTAACAAATTAGCTACAAGATTAGAAATTATGGTTTAGGAGTCATGTAGCTGGAGGCTACAAGATTCTGACCCTCCCTAAACTGCTTCTACAAATAGTGCCTGAAATATTTTGCAGATCCCACACTTGATGGATCAGCTGGCACCACCCACATTGATAAACCAGCTGATCTTATCTTGTGGCTCCCACCCAGGAATGGACTCAGCACAACAGGACAGCTTCAACTTCCCATGATTCCATCTCCAACCCAACCAATCAGCTCTCTTGACTCACTGGTCTTCCCCCACCCACCAAGTTGTCCTTAAAAACTCTGCTGCCCAAATGCTCTGGGAGACTGATTTGAGTAGTAATAAAACTCCAGTCTCCTGCACAACCGGCTCTGCATGAATTACTCTTTCTTTACTGTAATTCCCCTGTCTTGATAAATTGGCTCTGTCTAGGCAGCAGGCAAGTTGAACCTGTTGGGTAGTTACAAGCCGACAAAGCTCTGCTTGATCTTGGACCTCTGTCTTCTTCTACCCTCAGTCATCAGAGCCCTTGCTTCTCAGGCATTGCAGACTCCAGGGTTTACAGCAGTGTCCCTCTAGGTCCTCAGGTCTTTGGACTCAGACTGAATGACACCACTGGCTTTCCTGGAGGGTCCACCTTGCAGAGGGCAGATTAAAATCTGATTCCATAATCCTAAGCTTAAGCAATCCTCCCGCCTTGGCCTCCCAAAATGCTGGGATAACGGGTGTGAACCACCATGCTGGGTCAGCCACATGGTTTTTATCTCAACCAGTCAACTGCTGTTGTAGTGAGAATGCAGCCAAAGAAAGCGCATTAAAAAAGACTGTGGTTATGCACCAATAAAACTTTATTATCACAAACAGTTGGCCAGCCCACAGCCCATAGTTTGACAACTATGGTTCTAGATATCCACAGCCATTTTTACAGCATGTGCATGATACATCTTTGTAAGGAGAAAACTGAATGTTGGTGCTTAGAACTATGAGGTGGAAATTAAAGAAAGAAAAATAAAAAGAAAAAAAAGGCTTTCCTGTATTAGGCTGACTTATCCCAGAGGCAGCAACAGGCACAGCCCAGACCCAGGAAGAGCCTCCATAAACACTATCTGAGAAGTTAGGACACAAAGGAATGTGCTCTGGAGACTCTCCCAGCACTCCCTCAACATAGGGAGGAGAAAAGCAATTTTCGTTTCTCTTATGGTATGAGTTTATAGATTCCTGTTCTCTGTAACTGGTAACTTCAAGCATTCTGTTTTATCTAAGCGGTACAGTGAAGGTCATGAGCTATCTGAGCAGGCCTGGACTACAGCCACCTGGGCGACATAGTGAAGGTTATGAGATAAGCCCAGGCAAGGCACTAGAGCAAGCCTAGATAATAGCCATCTGGGCCACATAGCAAGATGTCACGTGTAATCCTGAGTAATGCACCTGTCACAATTTGATTAACTGCCTTTGTTTTGCCTCTGTATCCTTGCTTTTGCTTCGCACCACTGTAAGCTTGTTTCAGGCTAGCCAACCCCCTTTTTGAAGTGTGTATAAAGGTCAAGTGCTGTCTTTGTTCTGGGCCCAGTCTCTGAATGATAATCCACTGGGTCTGAGTGCACTGAATAAAATACTTCTGCTTTACCCTGTGGCGTCTCTGGTCCTCCTGATTCCCGCAACACTTAATGTCAGGATTCTATCAACCAGACATTACTGCTTGCTCCAGGCAATGTATACAAAGCATTAGAAGCTTGTAAACCAATGAGTAACTTCATAGCTAGATTTAGGAACTTCCTGAAAAGTCTATGTATTATAGTATCAGATGATTTAACTGGATAACCAGCCCACTTCTGAGGATAATTGATAATGTAGAGCAGCAAACTCTCTTGTTTATTATATCAATTCTTCATTCTTCAAGACTCATTTCAAAAATTTTCCATTGCAAGCCAAGCCCAAGCTACCATACCCAATGTTGCCCACATTTAATCCAACACCCACCTCAAAAGACCTGTCTGAAAGCATGTGAACCTAGAACAGTGTTCAGGCAAAGAGTTAAGGAAATCTCTTAGCAGAAATTGCATTTTGTTGTTTCTTCTCTGTGCTATTCTGCTTTGCAAAATCTAGCTGCCCTGACCTCCTCAAGCGCTGTGTTTTGTCTCTTGAACTCAAGGAGACCTCTGTGCTCTGGTTGTATCACCATTTCCTAAACAACCCTAACCTGGGGCACTCTCTCCCAGGGCTTAGCTGTAGCTGTTTCTAATCTCTCAGAGACTGCCTTACTGTGCTCCCTAATGTCTCACTTGTGTAGGCAGAGGAAGTTGTTTAGTATACTTTTTGTTTTTCTAATTTTTTCATGTGCTCTCATTCTGGTAAACCTTTCATATCCATGAGAACTAAGCTCTGATTTTTTTATCTTGCCCAAATTCCTATCTAAGAGGTCTGGAGAGTCATGCCCTACAAACCATAAATCCTCATCAGATGAATTTCATTTAACCCTATATATTGTGACTTACTTTCCAGTCTGACTCTGGCATAACAGTATGAGACAAGGAAAAAGTTAAAATATTTTACCCCAAAACATGTTTCTTTGCCATACCTTGAAATGGCTCTGCAAAGCTGTCTTTTGTGGGAGAAAATTTGCATCTGTAAAGAATCTCTATTAACATAGCTACATCTTTTTCTTCCAGACCCTCCCAATCCTAAAAAGATTAATTAAGAGTCTAGCACCTTTTAAAGATCTGAATAGGAAACACTTGTCATCTGTTGTCTCTAAGGGCAGCCACTATAAGAATTCAAAAGAACCTTGATCTCCCCAGAATATATAAAACCAAGCTGCACTCGAACCATTTTGGGCACATGTTCTCAGGACATCCTGAGGGCTGTGTCACAATCCATGGTCACTCATATTTGGCTCAGAATAAATCTCTTCAAATATTTTACAGTTTGACTCTTTTCATCGGCATCCAGAAGGAGAATTCTGGATATTTAATTGGGAGTGTCAGGTTAGGTTGAAATTTCATTTAACTTCGAGATTAAGGGTGGGACATGAATGGGGTTGGGATTTGTATTTGCTTAAATGTTCTGATTCCCATTTTTCATTTTCTTTGCATATGAGTTTTTACATGATGGCTATTTTGGTCTAGGCACTTTGTACGCAGGGTGGATGACAAAGAATTTAACCGAAAACTTTTATGTCACTGCAGAAAAGTGAAACTTCTTCAATGAGTGGTGTCATATGTGTGTGTGGGTCGGGGGAAAATGTATTTGGGAGTAGCATCATGTATCCTTGATTTTTTTCTTCTGTGAAAGGTCCTGAATGTCTCTTCCTTTCCATTTCTTTTCACTACATCATCTCCAAAGACAGCATTTCATTCTTTTTTACAACTGACTCCCCAAAATTTGTCAAGTTGTTCCTGGAAAGGAGGTGCTGATGCAGAACCTAAGAGAAGGTTCTTGGACCTTGCACAAGAAAGAATTTGGGGTGAGTCCATAAAGTGAAAGCAAGTTTATCAAGAAAGTAAAGGAATAGGCCGGGCGTGGTGGCTCACGCCTGTAATCCCAGCACTTTGGGAGGCCAAGGTGGGCAGAACACAAGGTCAGGAGTTCGAGACCAATCTGGCCAACATAGTAAAACCCCGTCTCTACTAAAAATACAAAAAATTAGCCAGGTGTGGTGGTGTGTGCCCGTAATCCCAGCTACTCAGGAGACTGAGGCAGGAGAATCATGTGAACCTGGGAGGTGGAGCTTGCAGTGAGCCGAGATTGTGCCATTGCACTCCAGCCCGGGTGACAGTGTGAAACTCCGTCTCAAAAAAAAAAAAAAAAAAAAAAAGAAAGTAAAGGAATGAAAGAATGGCTACTACACAGGCAGAGCAGCTCTGAGGGCTGCTGGTTGCCCATTTTTATGGTTATTTCTTGATTGTATGCTAAACAAGGGGTGGATTATTCATGCCTCCCCTTTGTAGACCATATAGGATAGCTTCTTGAAGTTGTCATGGCATTTGTGAACTGTCACAGTGCTGGTGGGAGTGTAGCAGCGAGGATGACCAGCAGTCACTCTTGCTGCCATCTTGGTTTTGGTAGGTTTTGGCTTCTTTACTGCAACCTGTTTTATCAGCAAGTTCTTTGTGACCTGTATCCTGTACTAACCTGCTATTTCATCCTGTGACTTAGAATGCCTAACCTCCTGGGAATACAGCCCAGCAGGTCTCAGCCTTATTTTACCTAGCCCCTATTCAAGATGGAGTTGCTCTGGTTTGAACACCTCTGACAAAGTGAGCAGCACCCTGAAACCTTCCAGTTTCATCTTAGTAGTCAATGATCTGATATTCAAGATACCTTTATGACTATTTTTGCAGTTAATGTAGACTTTCTATTTTTAGGAGTATATTGGGTCAATCTTTAGACTGCTTTTCCCATCCTTGCCTTATTTTTTGTTCTGTTTTTGAAACAGAATCTCTTTCTGTTGCCCAGGCTGTAGTGCAGTAGTGAAATCATAGCTCACTGCAGGTCAAACTCTTGGGCTCAAGCAATCCTCCTGCCTCAGCCTCTTGAGTGGCTGGAAGTACAGGCATGTGCCACAACATTAGGCTAATTATTGTTTTGGATCAGGGGAGAGATATAGTTTCACTATGTTACCCAGGCTGGTCTCAAAATCCAGGGCTCAAATCCTCCCACCTTGGCTTCCCAAAGCACTAGGATTATAGGTGTGAGCCACCACATCTGGCCTTCATTCTCTTTGAATATTGTATAGAACCCCCTAGTTCTCTGCCAGAGATTTTTGCAGGTACTGTGTGCAAGCTTAGGAGATGGCTTCTCCAGAATTTTTGTTAAAATTGTTTCTTCATTCAAATTATTTGAAGTTTACAGTGTTATTTTTTTCTTATACGTTATACTGAAGGCATAGAGTTTCCTTGGTTTTATTTTATCTATTAATTGTATCTATTGACCTATAAATTTTTTTTGGAGGTTGTGTTAAAAGATATGGATTTAGGTGGCCACCGTTACATTGGCCTCCTGCAATTATGTTTTAAAACCTAGTTCGATTTGAAGTCCTGTAAACCACAAATAACTCGGTGTTGCTTTGAGAATATACAGCTACCTCTAGTATTCCTTTTAGATCTTCAGTGTTCCCAGAAATTATTCACTTATCATAAACATACTTCTGAGAAATATGCATCCTTTAGATGTCATAGTTTCTTTACCCTCCTAACAGCAAAAAATGGATCTCATGCCAAAAATCTTCTGCTATTGATAAGAACTGTCAACAAACAAAATAGTGTGCACATGCTTTTCTTATAACTGAATGATTAAGTAAGTATCACTATGCAAATTTAATAGTCCTGAAACATAGACATATAAAGTGGTCATTTTCTTACTCTTCTGTTTATTGACTAACATGTTACTGATGCAATTTTCTCTCTATCTTCTTTGAATCCTTTCCACCAAGCAGAGTTTTTAATGCAAACACTGATCATGAATGTAAAGTGATTTCTGGGGTTGTCTGCAGCATCCACATATGCATGCTCTTTAAATATACTTTCTATTTCAGAAAGGAACACACCAAATATGACACTCTAACACCTTGAAAACTCCAGCTCCCAGTTGGGTGCAGTGGCTCATGCCTGTAAACTCAGCACTTTCGGAGGCCAAGGCAGGAGGATCATTGGAGGTCAAGAGTTGGAGACCAGCCTGGGCAACATGGCAAGAACCTGTCTACCAAAAACACACACACACAAAAAAGCCGGATGTGGTAACACATGCCTGTAGTCTCAGCTACTCGGGAGGCTGAGGCGGGAGGATTGCTTGAGCCTGGGAGGTGCAGGCTGCAGTGAGCTGAGATCACACCACTGCCTTCCAGCCTAGGTGACAAAATGAGACCTTCTCTCAAATTAAAAAAAAAAAAAAACTCCAGCTCTCTGACGATGAGCTAGCATGTATGCCCTGCCAACATCCTTCATTGTTAAAGATGTTTAAATCGTTGTGAAAACTGAACATATTGAAGAGGCAAATTCTGCATGCAATTAAAAAAAAAACTTATTACATTGGTTGCATTCGACTGTAAGGAAAGAGTTGCTGAGGTTGTGAAAAAGTTTACGCTTTCAAGGCTGTTTTCATACAGTGTCAGTAATTTGCATGATTAAATGTAATGGGTTTCTGGTAATATTCCTATGGAGCAAATATGAATACAACTTTGCATTGCTAGTTAGGTTAATCTTTTCTGGATATCCCCCGCAGAGAGCCAGAGGCAAGTGTGTTAAAAGCTCTTTCTATGTAAGGAGGCAATCTGAATTCTGTGCATCTCCTAATGATCTTCCAAATGAAATTGTATTCTTAGCCTTTAAATGGGTTTTGTGTTTTTGTCAGTCCCCTGTATCATAGAGGTAAATTTGGCTCATGCTCTAAAATAATCACAGTCATGGGATTTAAAAAAGAGACATGCTTTAATACACTTTGATGTCCTAGTTTTAAAAATAATATTTTATTCAGGAAAAATATCTGTTCTAGATAATTAACTTTTAAACGCTATTAATACTTGTTGACCCTGGTTTCTCAAAAAAAGGCGTTAATCCTATGCAATTGGAGATTCATTCTACTTGTTTGCATATTACTTTTTTTGAAGATGATCTTTCTGTTTCTGATTTATAATTTCCAATTTGTCAGTGCGTCAAGTTGAGCATTCAAATCTAGACAGTTTCCCATACCATTGATCTACCAAACATCCAAGAATTAATCATGCATGCAAATGTTATCTAGACTTCGCTACTCTTTTTTCTTCCTCTGATGACTTTGTAGGAGATATATGAGGAAATTCTCAGAAAAAAAACACCCCAGAATTACACATATCAAATGACCAAAGAAGCTGCTTCTACAAATGTGCATTTATTTTTTAGTAACCAGAAATTGTATTTTAAAAATTCTTTTGGTTATGATTATTTTTCTAAAAGGTTATGTTTCGATGGAAGACATTATGAAATACATATTGCAATATTAATTTTTCAACATGTACATATGTGTATAATACACAAATATAGGCATGTGTATATATACACTTGTATGTATATGCACATACTCTACATATGTGTGTTTGTATACATATATATAGATACTTATTGTGTGTGTGTGTCACAAACAATACAAGGCATATTTATGAAACAACAAAGAACACTCATGAAGTTTGGAGAATGCTGCCAACAATTTCCCTTCTCTCCTCTTCTAAAATCTTCACTCCCACCTCATCTAGGTCCAAGAAGAAGGCTTCCCTGTTTCTTTCTCTGACTTTTCCTCTACCATATGGAGAGAATGGTTTTCTATGTCTTAGTCACTGGCTCACATCAACAATCGAGAGACTCCATTCTGTCTTTACAGGATGGCTCTCCCAGCATTGGAATCATGGAGGAGCAGATGTTTAAGGTACCCATACAAGAGAAGGATGAGAAAAGAAGTCCTTGGAGTGAGATATTCCTGAGAAGAGGCTAGAAAAACACCTCAAGAGTCAGAAAAACACACTAATCACATGGCAACATAGTTTGAATCCAAGCAAAGGGGTCAAGGGGTGCGCTATTCTGCCCTATTAATGGCTAGAGAAAGGTAGGGCAAAACTTTGCATTCAGCATTGCAATCTTACGAATGAAAAATCCACATAATCTCATTATTGTCATGTTTGTATTAAAGCAGAGTCTCTCAAATTAGACCCATCTCCGGTATGATGCGCTCCTTCCATACACCAATATGTTAGGATTTCTTTACCTTGTTACTGATACAGACAGGAGACAGGGAAATACTGAGTAGAAGAAGGCAGTTCCCCAGCAAAGGCCCCACCCTCAAGCCTGGATACCTGCAGCCCTAAATGAGAACAGGTATTTCTGTTTTTCTGCCCCAAAAAGTTGCTTTTGGCCTGCCATGCCCCCTATCCTGTACCCATATAAACCCTGAACCTCAGGATCCAGAGGCAGATGAGGAGATGAGGAGACAAGCAGATGAATAGCAGAACGGCATGGCAGAGAAAGAGAGAAGGAAAGGAATGTCTGAGTGCTGAGAGGAGTTCGGCTGGGGGTGGTTGAAGATGAGTTCGGATGCTGGACAGCCAAACTCCAGGGGAGGATCATCTTCCCACTCCATCCCCCTTCCAGCTCCCATCCATCCCACTGAGAGCCACTTCCACCATTCAATAAAACCCCTGCATTCATCCTTCAAGTCTGTGTGTGACCCAATTCTTCCAGGATGCTAGACAAGAGATCAGGATACAAAAAGCTGTCACACTGGCCCTCCACCATTGCAGAAAGGCAGAGGGGACATTGAGCTGGTTAACACTTAAGCCATCTGCAGACAGCACACCTAAAAGATCATTGCAACACTGGGGCCACAAGCATCCACCCATAGACACTACCATGGGGCCAGAGCCCAAAGCGCTTGCCCCAGCTCCTGCACCTGCTTGTCTGTGTGCTCCCCCTCCCGTAGGTGTTTGAGCTCACAGCAGTCAAAGAGAGAGCTGCACCCCTGTTGCATGCCCTGCAAGGAGGGCCAGTGAACTCTCCTGTCTCATTACTATTGACATTTAGGGCCAGATGATTATTTGACATGGTGTACTGTCCTGTGCAATGTAGGACGTTGAGCAGCATCCCTGGTCTCCACCCACTAGATCTGAGGAGCAACTACCACCCACAAATTAGGACAACCCCAAAAGTCACCAGATACTGTCAAATGCCTAGGGGACAGGCAGAAATTGCGCCCATTTGAGAATGACTCACAAACAGACAGATACACACACACACTAACTTACCTTTTGTTATACATAACTAACACAAAAATAGATAAAATTGTATAATGAACTCATTTTACCCTTCAGTTATCAACGCACATTTTTCTACGCATGTATCCACTAACCCCCATGCATATTATTTATGTATTTATGTATTTATTTAGTCAGGGCTGGGGACACAGGGTCTTTCACTCTCTTGCCCAGGCTGGAGTGCAGTGGTGCAATCATGGCTCACTGCAGCCTCAACCTCTCCGGCTCAAGCCATCCTCCTGCCTCAGCCTCCTGAGTAGCTGGGAACACAGGTGCATACCATAACACCTCGCTAATATTAAAATTTCTTGTAGAGATAGAATGAGACCCTATCTCTACAAAAAATTTTAATTTAAAATTTGCCCAGGCTGGTCTGAAAGACGTGAGCTCAAATGATCCTCCCTCTTCATCCTCCTAAATCACTGGAATTACAGGTGTGAGCCACTTCACTGGGCCCTACCCTATTTACTGAAGCAATTTCTACCTACCACATGATTTCACCTGTAAATATTTTGATATTAATCTCAAAAAGATGAGAACTATTTTAATATATAACCACACTATCATTCTACTTTAAATGTTAACAATATGTAAATATTAAATATTAAAAACAATTAATATTTCCATAATCTAGCAAGTATTTCGATTGCCTGGATAGTATCAAATATATGTACACTACTAATCTGTTTCGGTTGGAATCCAATTAAAGTCTACACACTGCATTATTTGATATAGCTTTTAAGGTCTCTTTAAATATTTAGAATCTCTTTTTCTTTATTTTCTTTTCTGGCAATGTAGTTTTTTTTTTTTAAAGACCATTTGTCCTGCAGTTTTTATCCAGTATGAAATTTGTTCATTACATATGCAGGGAAACCTTACCTTTTTCTTTTGTTTTTAAATATTTTCTGTACTTAGCAGTAGAGGCTTGAACACATACAAGTTTTATTTTTTTATCAAAAATACTTTATAGGTATATACCATCACCGAGATTGCCTCTCTTTTGTTGAACAACCATCAATGATCATTACTTAGAAATCCATTATTATATTATTTATTTTCATGATATACTGTTTCACTACTTCATAATTGGTTTCAAGATGGTGAAATTCCAGTTCTTTTCGGTCTTTCTATTAGCTGGATTATTTCTATAAAGAGAAATGTCCTGGAACCATACAAAACAGATGGTATAGCTGGCTTATTCTTTACCTTTATATAGCAATCTTAAAAGATGATCAATGTAATAGGTTATAAATGTAACAGGTCCATTTATGCACCAGTTCATGGCTGACACAGTATGTTGGTATTAGAAGGGTAGAACTGCCAGAACAAAATACCATGAACCTGGGGGCTTATACAACAGACACGTACTTTCTCACAGTTCTGGAGCAGGTAAGTCCATGAGCAGGGTGTTTGCCCATTTGGTTTCCCATTGAGTGCTCCTTTCTTGGCTTGCAGATGGCTGCCTTCTTGTCACAGAGAAAGCTCTGATACTGCTTCCTCTTCTTATAAGGACACTAATTGCATCATGGGGGCAAGACCTTCATAATCTCATCTAAACATGATTATCTCTGAAAGGCCCTATCTCCCAAGGCCATTCCATTGGGAATGAGGGTGTATTAGTCTGTTCTCAGGCTACTAATAAAGACATATTCAGAACTGGGTAATTTATAAAGAAAAAGAGGTTTAATGAACTCACAGTTCCACATGGCTGGGGAGGCATCACAATAATGGCTGAAGGTGGATGAAGAGCAAAGTCACGTCTTACATAGCAGCAGGCATGAGAGCATGTGCAGGGGAACTCTCATTTATAAAACCATCAGATGTCATGAGACTTATTCACTAGCATGAGAACAGCACAGGAAAGACCCACCCCATTATTCAACTACTTGCCCCGGGTCCTCCCACAACACGTGAGAATTATGGTACCTACATTTCAAGATGAGATGTGGGTGAGGACACAGCCAAACCATGTCAGAGGACTTCACCGTATACATTTTAGGAGGGACCCAAACATTGAGCCCATAGCAATGCTGTATAATAAGCCATCTCAACATCCAACAAAAAAAGATACTGATTCCCACTCATTTCCTGTGTTTCTACCAGAAATAGGCTCTGGAATTAGCTGTCCTAGACTTGGGCTTGATTCCAAGCAACAGGTTACTTCCAGGGCAAACCCACATAGCTCCTACCTACTTGAAGCAGTGGACTATGTCTTTTCATTATAGCAATGGCAGAATTACAGGAGGGCAGGTTTTACTATGAAAGCTCACTTCAAGCAACTTTATTTGCGTCACATCCAGTAATATCCTGTCTATGTTAAATAACAAGATATAGAAAATATGATTAGGAATAGAGTGTATTAGAGCCCAAATCAGGAATAGCCACCCAGGAAACAGACTCCAGAGAAACAGGGCCAGCGCTCTGAAGTTAAAAGTTAAGAACTTGGGCTGGGAGCGGTGGCTCACACCTGTAATCCCAGCACTTTGGGAGGCTGAGGCGAGTGGATCATGAGGTCAGGAGTTCAAAACCAGCCTGGCCAATATGGTGAAACCCCGTCTCTACTTAAAAAAAAATACAAAAATTAGCCAGGTGTGGTGGCGTACACCTGTAGTCCCAGCTACTTGGGAGGCTGAGGCAGGAAAATCACTTGAACCCAGGAGGTGGACGTTGCAGTGAGCCGAGATTGCACCACTGCACTTCAGCCTGGGTGACAGAGTGAGACTCCATCTAAAAAAAAAAAAAAGAAAAAAAGTTAAGATCTTGTTTATATAGGCATAAAAACAAAATAAATTTAGTAGGATTATACCATATTCTAGACAAAGCTTGTTTATGAGTTACAATAATTTAACTAGCGACAGTTTGTTTTTTTTCTCTGTACAGCTTCTTTTCTTTACAGCTTGTTTTTATTTCCTTTCCAAATTAAAAGAATGTATTTAATTTTCCATCTCACACAGTGTGATAGCCATGAAGACTTTGTGTGAAGAATGTAAGAAGAAAGTTAATCTATAATGAAGATCTGCAGTGAATGGAGAAGGAGGGTTCCCTGGAGCCCTTTAAATGTACAATCGTTTACAAAACATTTCAGTTAAAGAGATGGCTTAATCTATAATCAGAGAAGCAAAAGTCTCAGTTGACTAAGTTACACTGCCTGTCACATGATTTAGTTCCTCTACTCACATGCCTTTAAGTCTAAAAATAAAATAAAATTTCAGGCTGGGTACAGTGGCTCGTGCCTGTAATCTCAGCAATTTGGGAGGACGAGGCAGGCAGATCACTTGAGGCCAGGAGTGCCAGACCAGCCTGGCCAATATAGTGAAACCCTGTGTCTACTAAAAATGCAAAAAATTAGCCAAGTGTCATGGTGAGTGCCTATAATCCCAGCTACTCAGGAGGCTGAGGCAGGAGAATCACTTGAACCCTCAAGGCAGAGGTTGCAGTGAGCCAAGATCATGCCACTGCACTCCATCTAGCCTGTGCAACAGAGCAAGACTCTGTCTCAAAAAAAATAAAAATAAAAAATCAAAATTCTAATGGTTTAGATTTTTGAATTATATATTTTCCAATTCCATTGGACCAAGCAAGTTTCATGGCCAAACTAACATCAGTGTAGATTTCGGAAGAGAGAAGTTAGTATCTGCTTACATAACATTTCTAAACTCTAATAATTCCTAGAACCCAATAAAACTGAAGTTTAAATTTTTTTCATCTTTTTTTTCTGGTGTTGAGGGAGGATAGGTGTATCATTATTAACCCTTTTAAATCTGTTTTGATCCACTGCAGTCATTATTCTTGTTTCAAATTGTGTTGCTCTTGGTCATCTTTGCTGATGTTGAGAGTCGCCTCAAAACTTGTTTTTCCCTGCAGGATGTTAGTGGACATGATGAAAATAAACCTGCTTGAAGTATGGGCTCCTTCCTGTTTGAGAAGTCCTTTAGACTGACCTCAGTCATATTTAAGAGCCTTCTTTCTTTTCGCTGTGATCCAAGGCTATAGGTTTTTCCTGCAGATTTCTACGTGCTATAACAATGATTAACTGGCGTTTCTGCTTTCCTCAGCCAAGAAGAGAAAGAGGAAGCAGCAATGGGCACAGGTGGGTGGATCAACTGAGGAAATGAGTTCGAGACCAGCCTGGTTGGCATGGCAAAATGCCATCTCTACCAAAACAATATAAAAAATTAGCTGGGCATGGTGGTGCATGCCTGTAATCTCAGCTACTCAGGAGGCTGAGGCAGGAGAATCACTTGAACCCAGGAGGCGGAGGTTGTGGTGAGCTGAGATCCTGTGACTGCACTCCAGCCTGAGCAACAGAGCAAGACTCCATCTCAAAAATAAATAAATAAATAAATATTTTTAAAAATAAAATAAAAAGGAGGAGAATAAGAGAATTAGAATAACATAGTAGGATTATACAAGACAGGTAAAATCATGGTGTTGTTTGGTGCCTTCCTGTGTGTTTTGTGTGTGTTTAAAAATCTAACTCCACTTGCAATTCTCAAAGAAACACCCCCTGCAAAAAAATTAAATAACAACCACCACCAAATATTTTCAAGTGCCTTGAGTATGAATTTCCTTAGTAAATAATGCCTAAACAGAAATTTAGCAATTTCAGAGAAAAGAAAAACTGATTTAAACAATAAATGTAGTAGATTCATTTTAATATGGTTACACATTATTTTGCTTAAAAAATGCTTGCTTCAAAAAATACAAAAGCTTCCCTGGCATTTATATTACTCTCTGCTGTAGTTTGTCTGTTTGACCCCACAAACCTCACATTGAAATGTGATTGCAATGTTGAAGATGAAGCATAATGAGAGGTATTTGGGTCATAAAGGTGGGTCCCTCATGAACAGATTAATGTCTTTCCTGGAGGACAGGGGAGTGAGTTCTTCTCTATTCATTCCCACTAGAGCTGGTTGTTAAAAAGAGCCTGGCATTTCCCCCTCTTTCTCTCATTTCCACTCTCTTCCTGTGATCTCTGCACACATCAGCTCCCCTTCCCCTTCCACCGCGGAGTGGAAGCTACCTAAGGCCTCCCCCAAAGCAGATGCTGGTGAAATGACAAAAGTTCTCTTATCCCCCTAACAGGGCATGAGATGGGGTGTGGCTCGCTTCTTTGGTGCCCGCAGCTCAAACCCCTACGGGGAGTATGCAGATGAGCAGGTCGTGGGGTAGCATGAGCTCTGACCCCACAGTAGCCTGTAGGGTTGAGTGTTTACAGCGCCAGAAGCCCCAGGGGGCGTGTGTTACAGTGTGCTCTTTCAGTTTAGCCGTCTGGCCTCAGGCTGGGTGCAGTGGCTCATGCCTGTAATCCCAGCACTTTGGGAGGCCAAGGTGGGCAGATCATCTGTGGTCAGGAGTTCAAGACCAGCCTGGCAAACATGGTGAAACCCCATCTATCTCCACTGAAAATACAAAAATTAGTCGGATGTGGTGGCACGCACCTGTAGTCCCAGCTACTGGGGAGGCTGAGGCAGGAGAATCGCTGGAACCTGGGAGGTGGAGGTTGCAGTGTGCCGAGATGGTGCCACTCACTCCAGCCTGGGCGACAGAGAGATACTCCATCTGAAAAAAAGAAAAATCCTCCTCAATCTTTGACAAGATTCACATGATTCCCATTGGCCAATTATATTAATTTGTTCTCACACTGCTAATAAAGACGTACTTGAGACTGGATAATTTAAAAAGGAAAGAGGCTTAATTGACTTACAGTTCAGCATGGCTGGGGGCCTCAGGAAACTTACAATCGTGGTGGAAGGGGAAGCAAAGGAGAACTGCTGAGCAAAAGGGGAAGAGCCCCCTATAAAACCAACGGATCTAGCGAGAACTCACTATTTTGAGAACAGCAGCATGTGGGTAATCACCCCCATGATTCAATTACCTCCCACCAGGTCTCTCCCATGACACATGGGGATTATGGGAGCTACAATTCAAGATGAGATTTGGGTGGGGGCACAGCCAAACCATATCAACCGACCAAGTTGCTATTTAACTTCCTATGGCTGTGATCCAAAAGGAGCTACAATTCAAGATGAGATTTGGGTGGGGACACAGCCAAACCATATCACCAACCAAGTTGCTATTTAACTTCCTATGGCTGTGATCCAAAATTTCTTCATGATTAGATCTCCATCTCATGAAACCACCTATCCAGACGGTCACAGGGCTTGCTCTCGGCTATTTATTATACAGGATGGAAATTAATAAATTAAGCCACACCAAGGCAGAACACACCAGCAACAGGTACTGATTTGGCCGTACAGCTCTCTCCAGCCATTGTCTTTGCTAAGATGTAAGCAAGTGCAGTTTTGTTGTGGTGTATGTTTGACATGAGCTTTTATTCCACTTCTGTTTATCCTCCCATGAGATAGCAGATTTGTTAAGCCTAAGTATGGCTTACTATTAATAAAAATATGTGTCCTGACCATCATTAAGAATAAGAACATATTTTTAGGATTTAGAACTTCAAAATACATTTTTTTCATTGCCAGTTAATACTTTATCAACAATTACACAAATAAAAGATATACATCTAGTGAAGAGTTTAGGTTAAGTAAAATTTAAAAAGCATACGCAAAAATGTCAGAGAAATTTAAGTATATTAAAAATCATTTAATTGTGATTATATAAAAAAGACATATGTTTCTAAATCTAATTTCATGTCAACAGGTTTTCCAGAAAAAAAAGGACATTGAGAAAACATAATTTAGTGTATGTAGTCTCTGAATTCTGAATACTTTAATGTTGCCTCGAGGATTTTTCACCAATATCTAAAGTGATTATGTGTTCTCATTTCCACAGCAATTAATCTACATTTTTATTTAAATAATTTCAAAGAAATATGCCTCTCTTGAGAATCTTAAACTAATAATCGCCTGAATTGTTTTTGTTAGTTCTGATAACACCAAGGTAAGAATAAGACTTTACAAGGAGAAGTGGTCAAATTTTTTAGTGAGGCCGGGTGCCGTGGCTCATGCCTGTAATCCCAGCTCTTTGGGAGACTGAGGCAGGTGGATCACCTGAGGTCAGGGGTTCAAGACCAGCCTGGCCAATATGGTGAAATCCTGTCTACCAAAAATACAAAAATTAGCGAGGCACGGTGGTGTGCACCTGTAGCCCCAGCTACTTGTGAGGCTGAGGCATGAGAATCACTTGAACCTGCGAAGTGGAGGTTGCAGTGAGCTGAGATCACGCCACTGCACTCCAGCCTGAAAGACAGAGTGAGACTCCATCTCAAAAAAAAAAAAAAAAAAAAAAATTGTTGAGTGAATATGACAGAACTGTGATTTAGAAGGCTTGCCTTTCCCATTTACCACTTAAAAAAATTAACACAGATAGTACGAGTTAAGAAGAAACAGGAGGAGGAGGAGGAAAAATAAGAGATGGAAAAGGAGGCCAATAATTTTCTTATTGAAATTATTTTGAAATCTATTTACGTTAGTTCATCCACTTTGTATCCATTGTTAGTCATAGGAGGCTGCAAATGCAGAGAATGTTTGAAACTGTCAGCGGCAAGAGTAAGAGTTGAGCATGAAAAGCAGAAATAAATGAAACACATTGAGTTGTTTCACATGAAGTTTAAGCCCAATGTGCTTTTCATTATGTACCCCAACAGGAACACAAAGGGACCCCGTCCAGGGGAGATTCACTCTTCCTCTGAGGTGTTGCAACTTGGTAACCATTTCGGTGAATGCATGTATCCATTTGAAAATGCAAGGTAACACTGTTTTGTTACAGGTACTTGCAAATGTGCTTTTTCTATCAAGAGAGTGGAAAACTTAACGAGACTCCCAGAAGAACACAGTTCCCCCTAAAGTGGAAAACATTCCTCTTTCACAATCATTCAATCAATCATAATTTACTGAATAAGTGATGTGCAATTCAGGCAGAGCCGTGGACTCTGCAGCTCTCACAAACACAAATTCTCTTCTCTAAAGCACCTTCTACCCTAATAGGACAAAGAGACATTGACAAATAAATTAACAAACAAATAATTAGGAAATTCAAACAGCTCTGCAGGGCTGGCATGGAGTTCTAGTTCGATAAAGTGCAAATAGCAAACCTATGAATGCTGATAAACCAGAGACCTGAAGAACTAAAAGGATTCGATCATTCAAAGAGCAGCTGGAAAAGAATACTGGGTATAGGAACAGCACATGAGGGCAGCTGTGAATACGTACTTACATACACATGTAGTATATACAATTTTATATACGACAAAAAACAATTATATATCTGAATTATAACAGCTAATTATAGTGGGTTCCTTTTTAGTAAGGGATGTATTTTTAAATGTGCAGATGAAGTCCATAGTCCCACCATACAACTACACCATCTTACATATTTTAAAATAAGAGTAGAACTCTCTGAAATGTTAATGTCTTGTCTTGCATCCTGGCCATGAGAGCAAAAGAGAACCCTGTCTGATCTTCAAGTGGAATTCAAATATGGGACATAAGACAAGGAAATTCTTATGAAGAGCTTCACACACCATTTCAGCTGCTCTTAAGTTAAAAAAAATAGAATGAATATATTCACTAAGTTACGTGTTTTTTGTTTGTTTGTTTGTTACATTATGGCAGATTCTGATCTTACAGTTTTTTAAATTATATCCAGCCTCATTAATTATATTTACTTCTAACACACTGATTACTTTAACCTTATTACCTTTTTATTTTTATTTATTTATTTATTTTATTCGGGGGGAGGCGGGCGGGAGACAGAGAGTCTCACTCTGTTGCTCAGGCTGGAATGCAGTGGTGTGATCTCAGCTCACTGCAAGCACCACCTCCAGAGTTTAAGCAATTTCTGTGCCTCAGCCTCCTAAGTAGCTGGAACTACAGGTGCATGCCACCACATCCAGGTAATTTTTGTATGTTAGTAGTGATTGGGTTTCACCATGTTGCCCAGGCTGGTCTCGAACTCCTGAGTTCAGGTAATCTGCCTGCCTCAGACTCCCAAAGTGCTAGGATTACAGCTCTGAGCCACCATGCCTGGCTTTTAAAATTTTTTTAATGTTTTTTGCCCAGGCTGGAGTGTAGTGGCACAATCATAGCTCACTGCAACCTTGGACTCCTGGGCTCAGACAATCCTCCACCACAGCCTGCTGAGTAGCTGCGACTATAAGCCCCTGCCACTGCACCCAGCTAATTTCTAATATATATATATATATATATATATATATATATATATATATTTTTTTTTTTTTTAGAGACAAGGTCTCATTATGTTGCCCAGGCTGGTCTTAAACTCCTGGCCTCAACAATCCTCCCGCCTCAGCCTCCCAAAGGATTACAGGCATGCACCACCACACTTGGCTAATTTAAATTTTTTTTTGTAGAGACAGGGTCTCGCTATGTTGCCCAAGCTGTTCTTACCATTTGCAGATCTCACATATCATTCCCCAGAAGGTCTCTTTTACTGATCCTTCAAGAGCAAATACATTTTACCTCTCTTATTGATTCTGGCTTTTAAATCACATGTCATGTGCAAGATATTGTTCTGTGTAAACGAAATTGTCTCAGTTCGTTTCTTTACCTGCCCTGGATAACAGGTACCACTCTTTTCTCTATTTTACAAATTGGGGTAGTACAGCCCTACAAGGCTATGTAATTTTCCCAGTTTCATAGGTTGTTAATGAACAGGATAGCTATTTGAACCCAGTAATTCCAATTCAAGAGGTCATCTGGAGTGCCACTGTCTGGAATTGAAGCATGCCTCTACAACCTAGGAAAATATATCACCAGGAAAAGTAATTGTGCACAAACGAATACGCAGATTTTAAATAACCTTTTGGAGTTTTATTTTGAGCAAATACAGTATAGCAAAGGCATTTTTATTTGACATAATATTATACTCATGTTAAAAGAAAAACCTTAGACAAATTAAATTTAAAGTGTTTAATTTAGCAAAGAAGAATTCATGGATGGGGCAGTTCTCAAACCAGAACAGATTCAGAGAGACTGAGGCTGCATAGAGGTCAAAGTTATGGACAGAAAAAGGAAAGTGACAGAGAAAATGAAAGTGAGGTAGACAAACACCTGGATTGATGAAACCTCAGCATTTTGCTTTATTTGAACATGGTTTGAAAGGTGGCAGCCTTTGACTGGCCAAAAGTCAGTGATTGGCACAAGAGTGAGTTCTAGTCTGTTTACAGACCTAGTTAGGCTGCACTTCACTGTATACAGAGACACCTTGAGGCTGAGCTTAAAATATGTACAGAGGCAGCTTTAGGTTACATTTCATTTAACACTTAGAAGAATAAAATATTGATCTGTATGCGTGAGATATTCACATAAGGTAGTTTAGTTCTTAAAACTGTATAATATCTAAATAACATAATTCCACAATTCAAATAAAGATATGTCCCTAGATTTGCGAATTTATTTGACAAGCATTGTAATAATTGTATTTTAAGTAAATTCAGTGACAGTTTCAACAACTCTTACTATTTTAACGAAATTGTCCATTTTGGGGGTTTGCAAAGCTACTGGGCGGAAGAGGCTAACTATCTTTTCATATTCTGAATGTTTATAACTTCATTTTCCTCCTGAATTATTTTCTATTTTTTGGACAGTTTTCCTCAAATGTTTGGATGTTTTTTTCCCTGTTGCTTTTAGTCTTTTACATTAACGAATAAGTGCCCTCCAGCTACAGATTCCTGCATTATCTGCAGGGCTTAGTGGTGTCCTAAGTCTTGCTATAGGATGCTCATGCTCAGGTGTTTTTCTTTTTCTTTTTTTTTTTTCTTTTTTTTTTGAGACGGAGTCTTGCTCTGTCGCCCAGGCTGGAGTGTGGTGCAAGCTCCGCCTCCCTGGTTCACGCCATTCTCCTGCCTCAGCCTCCCGAGTAGCTGGGACTACAGGCGCCCGCCACCACGCCCGGCTAATTTTTTGTATTTTTAGTAGAGACAGGGTTTCACCGTGTTAGCCAGGATGGTCTCGATCTCCTGACCTCATGATCCGCCCGCCTCGGCCTCCCAAAGTGCTGGGATTACAGGCGTGAGCCGCCGCGCCTGGCTATCAGGTGTTTTCATATTCTGCTCCACAGACCTCTGCCCCCAAACCATAGGTTCAAGTAAATGACATTCTTTGACCTACTGGTTATTCTGGTCAGGCATCAAAAGAAAATTGCAAATTTTCCGTAGGTTCCATGTTCACGTGCATATGAAATAAACATGACTCTAAAATTTATTGTGAGACTGTTTTCGTGCATTCATAAAATATGTATGCGACCCATCTAAGGATATCAGTGCAATGTTGACATGCCATTTTCTGTGCTGAAAGTCTCCTGTGAGAGCCTGTGTTTCAGTGCTTTCTAAGAAAAGTTTCAATCTAAAGTTGTGCTGCTGATGTATCCATTAAGACACAGCACTTATTTGATGTTGTCTGGATTCTGCAG
The DNA here is from genome assembly GCF_000001405.40 of Homo sapiens. NCBI lineage: Eukaryota > Metazoa > Chordata > Mammalia > Primates > Hominidae > Homo > Homo sapiens. The sequence continues at coordinate 4,786,940 of NC_000023.11, read as the reverse complement.
AAAATTTGACGCAAAATAAATAAGTTTAAGTAAATGGATATAGCAATACTTGCAGAAGAAAGAAAATAATTCTGAAATTGTGTTATAGCTCTTGGAAACATGCTTAGACCTGCACTGGGATTTCTCTATGTGATTGTAGCAAACAGAACCCAACTTCTGCTCACATTCCTTATGAAGACTTTCCCTTCACAGATAAGTAAGACAAATAAGCATACTTTGGATTTATTTATATATCAATAGATATGTTTGTAGAAGTGCAATACACTTCTTTTCTGAAGTTTGCAGAAATCTACAAATAATATTAAAAATTGATTTGGCTGCATCACCCACACTTACAGCCACTTATCTGTGTGCACAAAACTCCCATCTGTTAGCTATTTAGTGTTGTCTGTGTCCATTCGTGGACATCAGGATGGAAGAATTGATGACAAAGAGACTTGTTTTCTGTCTCCTGAAGGAGACACCCCTTCGGAAGAGGAAAACATGATGAATAGTCACCAGAAAACTGTTCTTCCTGCTTCCAGAAAACTTGGCATCTTCCTTGTATGAAGCACATGGAAAAAATGTTCTTGTATATTTGAAAGGAAAATAAAAAATAAAATCTCAGGGCCCCAAAATCACCATGCCACAAGGAAAAGTTAAGCTTGGAAACTGAGTCATGCAAAAAAAAAGCCTCCCATTATTATTATTATTATTATTATTACTTTTTATTTTATTCTTTATCTTTTATTTTTTTGAGACGGAGTCTGGCTCTGTCACCCAGGCTGGAGTGCAGTGGTGTGATCTTGGCTCACTGCCACCTCCGCCTCCCAGGTTCAAATGATTCTCCTGCCTCAGCCTCCTGAGTAGCCAGGACTACAGGTGCGTGCCACCCAGCCCAGGTAATTTTTGTATTTTTGTAGAGACAGGGTTTTGCCATGTTGGCCAGGCTGGTCTCAAACTCCTGGACTCAGGTGATCCGCCCGCCTCTGCCTCTCAAAGTGTTGGGATTCCAGGCGTGAACCACTGCTCCCAGCTCCATTTTGCTTTTAAACCCATCTGCAAAGGTAGAAGGCTGTATACCTCTCCAGGGGGCCTTCCACACAATTTCTCACAAAGTCCCTTCTGCACCTGACCCTATACCCGCCGGTTATTCCTTGGTTACATTAGTAATGCAACAAAGAGTAATATTAAAAGCTGATGATTAATAATATTTATAATAATGATTGATAATTGTCCATGATCATCTCTATATCTAATTTGTATGATGACTATTCTTATTCTAACTATTTTCTTTAATATACTGAAACAGTCTGTGCCTTCAGTCTCTTGCCTCGGCACCTAGGTAATCTTCCGCCCACAGGCCAGGCTGGTCTTGAACCCCTCACCTCAAATGATCCACCTACCTCGACCTCCCAAAGTGCTGGGATTACAGGTATGAGCTACTGTGCCTGGCCCGAACCCTTGTTTTCAATTATTTAAAATATATACCTAAGAGTAGAATTGCTGGGTCCTAAAGTAATTCTATATTTAAGTTTTGGAGGTACCGCCAAATTGTTTTCTACAACACTGTAGCCGCAGAAAGGAGTGGAACACTGACACATACAACATCCACTGTCCCCAAACTTTTTGGCAGCAGTGACAGGTGTTGTAGAAGACAATTTTTCCATGGATGGTGATGGTGGGGTGGGGGGGGGGTGATTCAAGCACATTACATTGATTGTGCACTTTATTTCCATTATTATTACATTGTACTATAGAATGAAATAATTCTACAACTCACCATCGTGTAATTGCTCACCTCCTGCTGTGCGGCCCGGTTCCTAACAGGCCACAGACCGGTATGGGGCCTGGGGACCCCTGTGCTACAACAGAGGTGAACCTTAAAAGCATCATGATCAGTGAATGAAGCTACACACAAAAGCCACACACACAAAGGGATTGTACAATTCCACTGATACGAAATGTCAAGACTGGGCAAATCCACAGAAACAGAAAAAAAATTAGTGGTTGCCTAGGGGTGTGGGGATAGATGGAATATAAAATAACTGCTAATGGGCACAGGATCTCCTTTTGGGGTGATTAAAGTATTGTCGAAATCGATGGAGATGATGGTTGTCCAAATTGTGAATGTACTACATGCCACTAATGATAAATTTTATGTTATGTGTATTTTACCACACTAAAATATTATAATAATAAATGGTGAAAATAAATAGGGCAATAAGAGTATGGAAAATCGGCAGATGCTATAAATGAATATTTTATTTTATCTTATCTGGAGCCAACTGTAAATAAGATACAACTGGTGGCAAACTTGCAAAACACCAATAAATATAAATTTCCTCTCAAGGGGAAGGTATCATTGGGAGAAGAACTTTTCTTCTATTAATATCTATTAAAGGCTGAGCACTGTGGCTTAACATCTATTAAAGGCTGGGCATGGTGGCTCACATCCGTAATTCTAGTGCTTTGGGAGGCTGAGGCAGGAAGCTGGCTGGAGACCCCAGCCTGGACAACACAGCAAGACCCAATTTCTAAAGAGATAGAAAACTTTGCTGGGTTTGGTGGTGGTGTGCAACCGTAGTCCCAGCTACTTGGGACGCTGAGGTGAGAGGATCACTGGACACCAGGATTTTGAGGCTGCAATGAGCTGTGATTGCACCACTGCACTCCAGCTTGAGTGATAGAGTGAGGATCTCTCCCTAAAAATAAAAAATTCAAAAAAAAAAACACAAAATCCATTAACATCTGACATGCAGCTTCTCTGCACCAATGTCCTTATTTTGAGGTTATCAAAGAGACATACATAGCATGGAAGTTGAGCGGTTATTAGAGAGAAGGCTAAATTTTCCAGAATAAATCAAGCTAAGGCATATATTTAACGTCCTGAGAGATGGTGAAATAGAAAAGAAACAGACTATGTTTCTGCCACAATCAACTTTATATTGCTGCGGTGGCCATGGCTATACTTCAAATAAATAAAATATATAAAATATAGTGTAGATTTAAGTGCTAAGGAGAAAAATAAAGCAAAGGAGTAGAGGGCATGTTTTCAAGGTAAACGTGCTTTTCAAAATTAAAATTTCTTTGAGGATGGCATGCCCCTAAATCACCCCTTGATACACAAAGAACAATGTCCTAATATGTGTCCCTTTAAAACCAAGAGAATAAAAGCAATCATTAAATGTGTGTGTCTGTCAATTACCAAACTGATGGTTTTTCAAACAAACCACATAATGCAGTGGACTCTGAAAATAATTGAGTGAGGGAAGCCAGAATCCGATACAATCACATAGCCTTGCAACTTACTTAGAATCCTCTGGGCGGAATAGCTGAAAGGTTTCTCAGTTTACAATTATAAATCAGGTCAGAATACCGCTAAAACACATCACCCAGATGTCTTTTAACTCTCTCTCTCTCTCTGCCTCCCTCTCTCTTCCTGACACTTGACTTTTAAAATGTATTTATTTTCCCTTATGTCAAATGAAGTGGCATTTGGAAATTTCCTCTTTAAGACTGAAATACCCAGAATACAAGACAGCACAGTTCTGCAAGGCCAGAGTCTAATAGTGGAAAAAACATGACACTTCCATCAATATTTTGACAAAGTATATAAAAATGATAATCTGGAAGAAGAAACATTAACTTACGGAGTGTTCTCTTTAATAACTGAATATTGATAAAAAAAATTTATTGAACAGAGCATACTGAACCAAAACTATGTCTACCCATCTCTATCTATCTATCTTTACCTATCTATGCACCTATGTATGTATGCATATATGTATGTATGTTAATATGTGTGTATCTATCTCTCCGTCTGTCCATCTATCAATCCATCCATCCATCCATCCATCTGTCCATTTATTCAGCCATCCATCCATTGATCCATCCATCCATCCATTCAACCTTCTACCCATCTATCTATCCATCCATCTATTCATCCATCTATCGATCTATCTATTCATCCATCCATCCATTATCTATCCATCTGTCTATCCATCCACTCATCTATCTATTCATTGATCTCTCCATGTCTATCCATCTCTCAATCCATTTACTCAACCATTCATCCATTTATCTGTCTATCCATCCATCCATTTATCCATCTATCCACTTATTCATCTAGCTATCCATTATCCCATCCATCCATCTATTGATCTATATATCTATATATCCATCCATCCATCCATTCAACCATCTATCCATCTATCTACCTATCCATCCATCCATCCATTCATCCATCTACCCATCCATCTATCTACCCATCCATTCATCCATCTACTCATCTATCTATCCATCCATTCATCCATCTACCCATCTATCTATCTACCCATCCATTCATCCATCTACTCATCTATCTATCCATCCATTCATCCATTCACCCATCTATCTATCATCTATCCATCCATTCACCCATCTATCTCTCCATCCATTCATCTATTCATCTATCCATCTAGATGGATGAATCTAGATGGATGAATCTATCTATTCATCCATCCATCTATTCATCTATATATCTATCATCTATCTACCTATCTATCCATCCATCTACCCACCAATCTGTCATGTATCTATCTATCCATCAATCCATCTATCCATCTATTTACCTGTCTATACCTATCTATCCTATCTATGTCTATCTATCATCTATCTATTTCATTTATCTATTATCTATGTGTCTACTTATATGTGCATATGTATGTGTATGTATGCATGTGTGCATAATTGACTTTAAAAACTCTTGGCATGTAATTATTAAATGTAATTTTTGTGATAAACACCTTTTATTTTAATAAAGCATTGATTTTCTTTGTACATTAGTGTTTACCATAAATTAAATCATAAAACCTCACTCCATATGTAGTGATATCTTTCTAATTTTATGAAAGACTATTCTGAAGCCCAATGTGCTTAACTTGCTGAGTTTCACACAAATTTAGCAAATAGTGGCACCAGTATTTGTCTGGTGGCAAAGTCCAAGCCTGTAACCTATAAACTCTTTAAGTGAACTTATTTATTTGTCATGGATATTTATTATGATATTTCTCACCTCCTTATGTCTTTGATCCAAAATGGTAGAGAAAGGATATTTTCTAATTTTACATATAGGAGTATTATTTCAATGCAGTGATATAATATTTATTAACTTAATTTAAAGTTAAAATATGATTAAAATATAAAACACTATTAAATATCAAAATATTTAAGATTACATTTTAAAATATTATTGCATAAGTAATTCCAAGCATGCAGAACCTGTGCAAATTTAGTGTGTACCTCTAGCCACTCTTTAATCTCAAAGGCCAATATAGTTTATAAAAAGGTAATTATCGAATAACCTGCTTTTAGTTATGCACTATAAGTTTAATGAAGGGTTCGTAATGATTCTGTCTTCATGCTGCTTACTTTTGTCTTGATTATATATAATCAATAAATAATCCTGCTTATGCAGCTTACTTCAACAGATAAAGTTGGGTTTAATTAATTAATTGCTGAGAACTAGACATCCAGATCCCTAGGGTTTACATATGATCTAAATTGAATTAACCAATTGACTCTCCTGTCACCAATCTTTGGAAAGAGTCATTTGTGGGATCCTATTAACTTCACCATTGTAGTTGTTTTATCAGAGTGGCTTTTCCAATAAACACTCATTGCATATTGAAATACAATTTCTTATGGGGAAATGGGCATGGATTAAAATAAATACATTTTAAAATAGTATTTCTGAAGAAAAAATAAATATACAAAAATAAAGAATACATTCAAGTAATGTGAAATAAAAAATTTTTCATTTATTACCTACTTATTTTAAGGAACTAAGTTGAGTATTATGGCTTTGATGTATGCCGTTTTATTGTTTAAAAAATAAGTAAAAATTTTTAAAAATTCTATCTTGAGAATGTCAAAATCAGATTTTGGTTTCTCCATTAATAAGAATATTTTTGACAGTGAAATACTAAATGAAGTTATATAATGTATTTATAAGAGAAGACTTGAATAAAGTATGACATTCTAAATAGCTTACAGTAATAAAGAAATGGATAGTTAGGTTTTGTGTTATGCATTATCTATTGTTCATGTTTGCTTGGGACTCTAAAATTGCAAAAGATATAAACATAGATTGTCACTGTGACATATTTGCCTTAAAATTTTATAAAACATGGATACCTGTGATAGTCTGCCTTCATAACTGTCCTAAAATAATTACTTCCAAAATTTTATATAGTAAAATGAGTACACATAAAAATACATTCAAGTTTTAAAAACACTGATATGCAGCTATAGAACTGAGTAACTATTTTTTTATTCATCAGTCCCTGACCATCAGACAGAAGAGGCCAGTCAAGGATGGAGTTGGTTTTGGAGAAGGATTCTTCTTTTCCTTTCCATTATGAGTATGTTTCTGTGAAAGATAAGTGCCTGACCATGGAAGAGAGAAATATAATATGATATGCTTCTGTCATACAATATATTAAAGGATGACCATAATTACCCATATTGCTAAAGACTGCTATTACTACATACGTGGCTGGTAGTGTAAGTTTTGATTTTAGTAAACTCAGTGATTGTATGTGCACACACACACACATACACATACATATACAGACACACACACAAAGACAGACAGAGAAGAGAATTAGAACAGGGGAGAAAGGATCTGAAAGCTAGAAAAAGAATATGAGAGTCTTGCTTTAATCAAGGCAGGAAACATTTCTAGAAGGCAGTTGGCAGTAAGCAAGTCCATATACTGCATGAATTTGGTGATTGCTATTTATAACGAGCATCACCAAGCTTCAACTGTGTATTCACTTGAAATCCACAGCCTTGTGAAAAGTTAGGAAGTGTCCAGGAAGATTTCCAGTTGAGAAGCTGATGAGGTTTGGCAAAAAGGAGTACAAATGCTTAAAAACCTGTTAATTGGTAAACATGTATTCTGTATCAATGAATTTATGATATGAGTGATTAGTCACACACATTCGAGCAGCTATAATAACAGACAGCTTTGACTGCATATATCATTTAAGACACCTGTAAATAAATACACAAAGCTTCAAGAAAATTAAAAATTGTACAGAATAGCAACCTAAGAGATTAATGAGTTTTAGTGTTTCCTACTTGAATCACTGGTTATTTCTATTCTGGTTTTCTCATTCCAAGAAATTTATAAGAATCTGTTTTCTTAAATGTTTTACTGGCTTCAGTAATTATTGCATTTATTCATTTAAAGCTATTTATCAAGCACATGCAATGAGCAAATATACATATATATAAATATATATGCTCATATTCAGAGATGCACATATAAATATAGCATCGGGAATCAGCAGAAGTAATTTTCCTTCCATAGGCTTCTAAATATGACACATTTAGCAGTCAGCAAAATAATGTTCTGGTTACAGGTTACTATTTTATTCTTTCTGTGAGAAATATGAATGAATAAGCAAATGGTCTTGTGAGAGTCATAGATACAATAAAATGAATATGAACCTGCTTAGAAAATGCAATCATTTAAATATGGCAGACCATGGGAGTCAACAGCATGGGACAGCATTTATAGCAAAACAGTTGTACTCAACGTAGTTCACTAACCTCTAAAGATGAAATTAGACATGTTACATCAAGGCACTCAGTGTAGTTGGGGTAAAAATATTATGTAACAGCACCCTTAATGAAATGTTGCCATTTGTTTAATGGGCATGTGTGGGATACTATGGATAGATACTATATGTAAGATACTATGGGGTAGAACAGAAAGGAGGTAGAAAAGTATGCAAGCAAAGTCACCAAATAGTGAAGTCTGAGTTGAGAATTCAAACATGGATAGGACCCCATCAGGCAGGGAAAACAAAACTGGAAAGAGGAACCTCAAGAGTACAAAAGTGGTTGGGTGCCATGGCCCATGTCTGTAGTCTCAACACGTTGGGAAGTAGAGGCAAGAAGATTGCTTGAGCCAAGGAGTTTGAGACCAGCCTGGGTAACAGAGGAAGACCCTACTCTACAAAAAAAATATTTGACAATTAGCCAGATGTGATGGAATGCACCTGTAGTCCCAGCTACTTGGGAGGCTGAAGTGGGAGGATCGCTTGAGTCCAGGATTTCCAGCCTGCAATGAAGATTGCACCACTGCCCTCCAGCCTGGGCAACACACAAAGACTCTGCTCAAAAAAGAAAAAAAAAAAAAAAGAAAAAAAAAGAAGACTAAAGTTTAAAAAATAACACATATTCTTAGTAACAAAAAAGAAATTAAATAAAAAAATTATTTTTGTATGTTCTTAGGCAATTTCAAGCTATTAAGAAACTGTTAGCCAAGGACAAATTTCTAGAAATCACAACAATAAAAAAAAAAACTAGCAATCATTGTAGAAATCTGAAATAAGACTATTTCTTTTTTAAATATAGAGAAATTAAGAAATAGGACAAGTTGTACCTCTTTAAATATGATATAAAGGACATTTAGCAATATATTAATCAAAAATAGACAAGTTATAGAAAATGTGAGGAAAATGATTAAAAAAGAAAAGGAAAGCAGATCTAGGAAGTTAAATAACCGTCTTACCAGAAAAAAGTAGAAAAAAATGGAAATTAGAAAAAAAAAACAAAAAACAAAACAACAACAACAACAACAACAACAAAACAAGCTTTCTGACCAGGCACGGTGACTCACGCCTGCAATCCCAGCATTTTGGGAGGCTGAGGTGGACAGATTGCTTGAGCTCAGGAGTTAGAGACCAGCCTGGGCAACATGGAGAGATCACATCTCTACCAAAAATACCAAAAAACTAGCCAGGCATGGTGGCACACGCCTGTAATCCCAGCTACTCAGGAGGCTGAGGCGGGAGGATTGCTTAAGCCCGGGAGATGGAGGTTGTACTCCAGCCCGGGCAAGATTGAGATCCTGTCTCAAAAACAAAAAAAGAAAAAAGAAAAGGGAAAAGAAAAAAAAAACTTTCTATTTCCTAAATAAATATTGAAAGTTTTAGGTTGAATTTTTAGAAACAGAGAGGAGAGAGATAAAGAGACAGGGGGGTGGAGAGAGAGCAAGAGAGAGCAACAGAGAGAGAGAGAGAGAGAGAGAACAAGAAGGAGGTAGACAGGAAGAAAACCTTTACAAATACTAACAAATATTAAATATGCAGAGGACTTCCAAAACTGAAAGAACATGTAAAGATCTACAGACAAGTGTGAAAGAAAGACTAACTTCCCAAGAAAACGATTGATATATTTAGAGTAGGCAAGAAGATAGACATGCAATACCTTCACAATTTCAGAAAATATGTTTTAGCTTAGAATTTTATATACACTCACTGAAGGACAGGTCAAACTAAAGACACAAGGTCTAAAAGTTGACTGCCCACATCTGTTGTGAAGGATACAATTTTTTTCAATTGTGTACCTTTATCAAAATTGTATTTTCTTCCTTGGAGTTCTAACCTATCAAGTTTTTATAGACCCATAAATCAAACCATAACAGATGCATTTGACTTTGATTTTTAGAATTAACTTACAAAATGTAAGAGACTTACACGCATATATACAGAACCGCATATAAAGGACGAAAATCTAAAAATCTTTGTAATAATGTATTTATTCCCACCAGAGATTTAAAAACCTAGATTCCTAATGTTCAATTTTTTATATTATGAAGAGCCAATGAATGAGGTTTAAAATGGTTAAATTAACAATTGGATTTTTAAATATATTACTTAACGTTAGAAAGGTCTTCATAAGGAAAACTGAAATTAATAATAACTAGTGTTAGACTTTTAAGTATTCATCTATTTATTATTCTTCTTATTATTATTATTATTTTGAGATGGAGTCTGGCTCTGTCACCCAGGCTGGAGTGCAATGGCATGATCTCAGCTCACTGCAACCTCTGCCTCCCAGGTTGAAGCAATTCTCCTGCCTCAGCCTTCCGAGTAGCTGGGACTACAGGTGCGTGCCACCACGCCCAGCTAATGTTTGTATTTTTAGTAGAGGCAGGGTTTCATCATTTTGGCCAGGATGGTTTCGATCTCTTGACCCTGTGATCCGCCCGCCTTGGCCTCCCAAAGTGCTGGGATTACAGGCGTGAGCCACTGCGCCTGGCCAAGACTTTTAAGTATTTAAAGTTTTAAAACTTTATATGTAAAATACTAACGTAATTGTTACAATCTGTTTGAAAATACTTTCCCCAGTTTATAACTGCCTTCCTTTCTTTCATGATATATTCTGCTTGAAAAAATTTGTAATTCTAACAGAATTAAATGTGTTCATGTTTCTCTTTGTGATGAATACTTTCAGTGTTGTTTTAAATAATTCTGTCAAGGAAAGAGTTAAGAACAGTGTTCACTATTTTTGACAGCAAGCATTTTCTTTCAATTTAATTATAGTAGTCAAAACCGGGAAAAGTATAAAATTACATATTTCTTGTGTATTATATTAGTTACAATATTACATATATCATGCCCAAAAATATGAGAGAAAAAATGAATATTTTGACTGTTTTAATTTTGTTAATTTTCTGCAGTAAACATCTATTACTTCTATAATACAGTGTATGTTAAAAAATAATTAGGGAAAATAAACATACACAAAAAATGCAAACTATTTTCCATTGTGTTATTCCATTACAGGTTCCAGAAAGCTACCACATCCACTTATTGTGATGGACTCTAATTCATTTATAACCTCATCCTTCCAACTTGCTCTATGAACTCACCTAATAAACTCGTGATGATACAGTTTACAGGAGCATTTCAATACCAGACTGAAACTAAGGTCAACATGCCTGGCCCAGAAGAATTTAGACAGAGGAAGGGAAAACTTACAATATAGCTGTTCTGAGAATAAAAAGGAAACCCCACGGCACATAATATTTTGTTAGAACAGTTAAAGAAAAAAAAATCAAGAGGGAGAAAATCTCCCACCACTGGGTGTATGTACCATATGCTATATTTTCAGAAAAATAACCATAAAATTTAATGGCAGTCAACAATTTAACTTTTATAAAGTCAATAAGAGGTTGCATATCTTAATAATTTAAATTTTAATATTTGCTTAATTTAGAGCCATCCTCATTTATATGCATATTTGTGGATTCTAAATAATTCATTAAATATGTCTGTAATGATACTAACTTAACTAGTGAAGTATCACATAAATGAAGTACAAAGTAATGACTTTCTCTCATTTATATATTAAATGTGATAGTCTCCCTTGTGATGGAATACTGAAATTTCACCAAAAAAATGTACTATCAATGTATTTTCTCCATTTTATTTATGTTATTAATTGGAATATGCATTTGTTAGATCAATGTTCAGAAAACAGGAAAGTTGGCGGTGACTTAAAACAAAAGATAAGACTTTTCCCCTGTGGAGGAAAAGTTAAATATTAAATTTGAACTCAATTGAACGTGGACACAAACAATGGTCACCAAGTCCTGGAACAGGTTGTCTAAGCCCCTTGAGGCATTCCTCCAGCGCTGTTTGGGAGAAATCTCTATTTCAATCTATTCCTGTATGTTAGTTATTGAAAAACAACAGACAATCACAAAAACGGGTTGACCTTTTTGTATTCCTTGAGCCCAGTTATGAAGGGCCCCCGTGACTGGGCCTCATGCCAAACAACTTGTTACAAAAAGAGCTAGGGTCCCAGACCGTGCGGAAGCTTCATGAGACCTCTCCTAGTCTGTGCACGGACAGGCGGCAGACTCTGGAGCCCAGGCTGTTGCTTCCCGGTCTGGTGATGCTTCCTCCATAGTCTGGTGAGTGTAAATATATATATATATATATATATATTTTTTTTTTTTTTTCCCTTCTCCCCTTGGCATTGCAATTTGCTTATTATATCTGTATTGCCATTTACATGGGATAAAGGTTGTTCACCCTTAAAAGTATTGTGTGTGTGTCTTTTCCCCTCACGCATTTCCTGCACAGAAGATTTTTTGGCGTCACGAACAGGATGGGAAGAGGGTGCCTTTGGGGTTTTGGACCCAGAAGCTGCCAGAGGCCGGCAAAGCTTATACCCCTTTCGAAAAGCAACTGTTAGCTTGCTATTGGGCTTTGCTGGAAACAGAGCCCCTCTGCTTCAACCATGATGTTTTTATGAGACCTAAGTTTCCTATTATGACTTGCGTCAGAAGCTCCCCTAAAACCCATCGAATAGGGCACGCCCAAGAAAGTAGCATCATAAAATAGAAATGGTATAGACAAGATAGGGGTAAGCCGGGACCAAAGGGGGTATCATTTTTACCTGAGGATGTACAAAACATGCTAACTCAGGAAACCACTGAGCAAATCCTACAGATAGGGAAGGAGATCTCCCCTGTCCAATGAGGCAAATCCTTTAAAGAACTAAGCCCAGAGGATCAGAAACGCGCTTGGTTTACTGATGGATCTGCCAAATACATTGGTGGAACCCGATGCTGGAAGGCTGCGGCTTATAATCCTGTTAAAAACATAAGCATTTCTGATGAAGGAAGGGGTGGGAGCAGCCAGCTGGCTGAACTAGTAGCCATCCTCCCAGCTATTCAGGAGGAGGCCAGGGGGATTTGTCACCTGTATGCCTACTCTTGGTCAATAGCAAATGGTTTCACTACTTGCAAGACCCAATGGCAACGAAACAAATGGTTACTCGGGAATAAAGAGGTTTGGGGAAAACAATACTGGGAAGATATCTGGATTCTGGCGCACACTACAACTATCACTGTTTTCCATGTTGGTGGAAATGCTTACGCGTCTCTGCTTTCTCTTGGCAGACTATTTAATCAGCAGGCAGATCAACAAGCTCAAATTTCCACATTACTGCAGAATCGGGCCTGGGAGAACAGGACTGGGCTGCACTCACGCGATGGGTGCATCACAGGTGCGGGCATCTATGTGTCCACGGGACCATGGTTTGAGGAGAGCAAAGAGGAATATCATTACCCCAGGATGTGGTTTGCACAATTTTATCCCAATGCACTGCATGCCAGCAGTTAAAACCAAGCAGTTCCTCAAAGGGTTATGGGGCACATTCATAGGGGGAAAATGCCCGGACAAATTTGGCAAATGGATTACATTGGTCCATTGCCACACTCCAAAGGATGTCAGTACCTATGCACTGCCGAGGATACATATTCAGGATTTCTAGTAGCATGTGCCTACGGCAATGCTAATCAAACCAATACCATCAAAACTTTAAATATTTTAATTTTATATTATGGTGTTCCCACACAAATTCAGACAGACAACCTTTGCCACCCAACATGGCATTGAATGGGTTTTCCGTATCCCTTACCACCTGCGGGCGGCTGGCTTCATTGAAAGAAAGAATGGGTTATTGAAAAAACAGCTAAAGGTGTTAGGGCAAGGTAAGTTAGAAAAATGGAAGGATCACCTGTTTGATGCACTACAGGTTTTAAAGACTCAGCCATTAACAACTTCTGAGACCCCGTTAAGCCGAATGCTTACTCCACACCTACAAATTGCTAAGTGTGCAGGTGTAGTCCGACCTCTCTCGCTGAAATGCTGGAAAATCCACCCAGAGGCTATATTACCTTGGAGAAATACAGTAGAAGCTGCCGGTTTGGACTTATATAGTTTCAAGCCTGGAATAATTCCTGCCCAAAGTACATACGTGGTAGCCACCGGCCTAGGAGTTATAATACCGTGCAAACATTATGAGTGGATTACATCTTGCAATGCGGGGTATTACAGTACATGGGGGCATAATTGACAGTGATTACCGGGGAAAGTTAAAGGTCATTTTATGTAATACCCCTCCAGATATTTTTGTTATAAAACCGCAGATGCGGGTTGCTCAGTTGTTAGTGGTACCTTGTCAGCAATTAACCCCTGAGGAAATCTCTGCCCCAACAAAGGCTACACACAGAACCGGGGGATTCGGATTCACTGGTACACGTAGCTTAAACCCTGGAGCCAAAATATGGGTACAGCATCTGTCAGATCCCACCCCTAAGGCTGGTGACCTTGTAGCTATGGGAGCAGAAAATGAAGGCATAGTACAATGCCCTAAAGATGAAAAACAATATCATGTCCCTCTTCGCTTTTGTTACTACAGAGAATAACTCTCCTGTTGATGGCCAGCACCTGAATTCTCCTTTCTGAGGCAGATAACAAATTCATCAATTGGATGGCCACATCTGCAGGGGAAGTGAACAGTAGTCAGTGTTGGCTTTGCACTGAATTGACAGAGGCCGCCAGAAGGGGACTACCATGGAAAATCATTCCCGCTAATGCGACAGAGTGGCTATGCCACTGCCAATGGGGTCACAACAATAATACCTGCAATCCAACATGGACCTCTCTCACTCACACTAAACAGGCACTCTTTGCCCAAGCCCGACATAGGGCAAAATCCACCCTCACCTTGCACCAAAAGTCTTTGCTTCCGGCTCGATATGCATGGAATGGTATATATTAGGAACCAGCTTTGCTAGTTGCTGGATTTTCTAAGGCTCCCCTTTGCCTAGAGGCATTAAATGGCTCCCTTAATGCCACCTTAGGATTTCTCCCATTAGATAATTGTAAACACATTCTCCAAATCAACAACACTGCCCTCAATGAAACACAAACCCTTTCCCACTTTAATGAGATACTATTACCACAATATAATTACAGCCAGGTCCTCATCGTCCCCTGGGGGGCCCTATGGGTATGCGGGCTCTCAGGGTGGCGATATCTACCCCCACACTGGACAGGAAGATGCACTTGGGGGTGGCCATTAATTCCATTTACGGTCCATGATGACATTTCTCTCCCTAGTAATTTAGAAACTTATAAATATCGCTGGTTGCAAGTGCGTCGAACCCCATGGTGGTGGTATCCTGTCACAATACTCTATCCTGCTGCAGGCACTGTCTTACTCCAGCAGCAAACCAAAGTCTTAAGCTTGCACACAGAAAAGGCTCTTAATGATAGTAGTTCTGGGCTTATGTTATTATTAGATCAACGTGCTCAACTGCGCACAGTTGTCCTGCAGAACCATGTGGCACCTGACATGCTTACTGCAGCCCAAGGAGGAGTACACACTAAGTGCTGTGTATATATCCCAGACAATTCCCGCCATGTCACCCTTCTTGCGAAAGGTATGTGGGCGCGAGTACAACGTCTAGAATCTAGCCGTCAGGACCCCATCGTGGACTGGCTTTCCAACTGGCATTGGCGTTGGCCATGGTGGGTGTGGTTCTTGTTACTTGTGCTTCTGATTCTCCTCAGCTTACCCTGATTCTGTAACCTCTACCAATTATGTATTTCCCATTTATCTGCAAGGGTATTTTCCTAAAACTGGGTATGAAATTGAGGCCAAATATGGAGGAAAAGTTAAATATTAAATTTGAACTCAATTGAATGTAGACACAAACAATGGTCACCAAGTCCCAGAACAGGTTGTGTGAGCCCCTTGAGGCATTCATCCAGTGCTGTTTCTGGGAAATCTCTATTTCAATAGATTGAAATAGTTATTGAAAAACAACAGACGATCGCAAAAATGAGTTGACCTCTTTGTGTTCCTTGAGCCCAGTCATGAAGGGCCCTCGTGACTAGGCCTTATGCCAAACAACTTGTAACAAAAAGAGCTAGGGTCCCAGACTATGCTGAAGCTTCATGAGACCTCTCCTAGTCTGTGCGGGACAGGCAGCCGACTCTGGAGCCCAGGCTGTTGCTTCCCGGTCTGGTGAAGCTTCCTCCATGGTCTGGTAAGTGTAAATATATATGTGTGTGTGTGTGTGTGTGTGTGTGTGTGTGTGTGTGTATACACATATATACATACATATATATACACACACATATGTATTTTCCCTTCTCCCCTTCCCATTGCAATTTGCTTATTATATCATTTGCTTATTGTATCTGTATTACCATTTACATAGGATAAATGTTGTTTACCCTTAAAGGTATTGTGTGTGTGTCTTTTCTTTTCCCCTTGGACGTTTCCCACACAGAACACCCCCAAATTCTCCAAATCTGTCAGAAGTTCTTACTGTAATACTTCCAAATATTTGAAGGGAAGAGAACACTACATGGCTCAGTAATTTAGTGAGCACGTCTACAGATGGCACCTCATTGGTTAGAAATTCATAGAGAAATACATTTCTCATTACAAATTACTGTACGCTGTTTGCAGTGGCTCACACATGTAATCCCAGCACTTTGGGAGGCCAAGACAGGAGGATCCTTTGAGCCCGGGAATTTAAGATCAGCCTGGGCAACATGTCGAAACCCTATCTCCACAAAAAATACAAAAACTGAGCCGGGCATGGTGGCGTACACCTGTAGTCCCAGCTACCTGGGGGGCTGAGATGAGAGAATCACTTGAGCCCAGGAGGTTGAGGCTGCAGTGAGCTGTGATTGCACCACTGCACTCCAGCTTGTGCAACACAGTGAGATCCTATCTCAAAAAAAAAGAAAAAAAAAAGAAAGAAATTACTGTAAAGCAACCAATACCATAACAAATACAAGAGTAATAGTGAACACACAAATGATTATTAAAAACAGTATTTTTTCTTCAATGAAATTCACTACCCAATTAAATCCTGCAGTGCACCTGCTTTTTGCAGTAAACATGATGTTGACTTTCCAGTTTGGCTCTGTGAGACTAAGAATTCATCGTTTTTTGTCACTGTACAACTTAAAATAAAAGCAGCAAAATCAATTTTAATTTATTCGGGACCCAAGACTTCCATTAAAAGCTAGACATCTTACTGTGCCTTGGATGACAAGCATAATAGCATAGCTTTCTTTAATTAATAGACCTGGTATCTTAATTCAATGAGTTGGTCTCCTCACTCAGGTATAATTTATGTCATTGAGTGCATTTTTTTTTTTCTTACTTTAAGTTGTATTTCTTTCCAGGTTGTGTTCTTAAATTTGTATTCTTGTTCTTCTTCAAAATATTGTTATTCTGTTTATATCTTTGTTCTATTGGCAGATTCTACCAATCCAAATTTTCCCTGAAGTGTTTTTTTTTTTTTTGTCAGAAGTTTTATTTTGAAAACTCAATTATCCAACTGGGAAATATAAAGCTCAAATGAGGACATAAAAGTGGATGAATTTCTTCCATTGTTCATTTTTGCAAATATTAATAAACTAAGTTTTTTTTGTTTTAACAAATGAAAATATTGTTTTGACAATGCACATTAAACATGAATATTGCACTACACTCAAATGAACAAAAATTATAAACAATATATCATGATTTCAGAATTAAAATGTTTTCAGAGTTGTGTGTGTATTTTGTTATGCCAGTCCCCATACCTAAAATCTCAATGACAATTTTTAAAAACTTTGATGCGTTGAATAACTTGAAGTACATTAAAGAATCTATCACTCAACTGCATGTGAATATCAATATTTTAATGTTTATATAAAGGTGTCAAATCTCCTCCAATTTACCTATCAAGTATGAATTCACCATAAAAAAATCAAAATTAAAGCTGGGCTTCTGTGAAAATCAATGTCGATAATGAACTGTAATGGAAATGACTAATGCTAAGATTTGGTGAGACAATCTTGAGAGATAAGAAGTTTGGAAAACATACACCAGTCACTAATTACTGCAACAATTAAAGCAATGTGCTTTAAACACAAAGAGAGACACTAAGATGAATTAGAAAAGAACGGAGTGTTGATCAGACATATATTGTCACTTGATTCATGACAAAGGCAGCAGCACAGAGAGATACAAAGAATCCTTAGCTATAGGGTAAAAAAAAAAAAGGAATATTGATGTCTACCTCACATTATGCACAAAAGACAATTTCTATTATATTTCAGATCTCACTGTGAAGGGTAACACAAAGCATCAATTTGACTTTGACAATTTTCAGCTAATAATTGTAACAGGTGACCAGATACTGGCAGTCCACCCAAAACCTTCCTGAAGTTCCCTGTATCTTCTTTGAGCAAGTATGTTCATGTATTTTCATAAATTTTTGTATTTTTACTTTATTAATAAAAAACTTCACCTGATTTATATGAATATATTGTAACAATGTGTTAAATATTAGTTAATATTTATGTTTGATATGTTTTCAATTTTTTTCTACTTTATATGGTTAACTACTAGTGTATTAGTCCGTTCTCACACTGCTATGAAGAAATACCTGAGACTGGGTAATTTATAAATGATAGAGATTTAATTGACTTACAGTTCTGCATTGCCGGGGAGGCCTCAGGAAACTTACAATCATGGTGGAAGGCAAAGGAGAAGCAGGTACATTCTTCACAGGGCAGCAGGACAGAGTGAGTTCAAGCAGGGGAAATGCTAGATGCTTATAAAACCGTAAGATCTCGTGAGATTCACTCATTATCAGGAGAACAGCATGGGGGAAATGATTCAATTACGGCCTCCCAAAGTGCTGGGATTACAGGTGTGAGCCACCGCACCTGGCCCATACCTGCCAGTTTTATATAAACCCCGTGATTCAATTACCTCCACCTAGTTCCTCCCTCAACACCTGGGGACTACAGGGATTACTATTCAAGATGAGACTTGAGTGGGGACACAAAGCCTAACCATATCAACTCAGTTACAAAAGGAATCACAATCTTATTTGTTTAGTTTGGAGTAAAAGAAGAAAAAGTATTTCATCTAGAGCAATAACTGTTATTTAAAAAGCAAATTTATTAATAAACTCCATTTGATGTTCAATTTTAATGATTAATTTTTTTCTTTTTTTTAAAAAAAGCATTCTTTCCTATTTGATAAAGTAATGAGAATCAAACTGGGTACAATTTCCAGATAAACAACTACATGCACACAGTCAAAAACTTGAACAAATGTTTTACTAATTTAGTTGCATTGATGATACAATTACATTAACAAGTATTCATAATAATGCAGTTTGTTGAGGTATAGTAGCTCTCAATTGTGTATGGTTATATTATTACAAAAATATTAAAAATAAAAGTTTATCACTTGAGCCCAGGAGTTCAAGACGGGCAAGACCCCATCTCTACGAAAAATAAAAGTTAAAAAAAAAAACAGCCAGGCATGATGGTGTGCACCTGTGGTCCCAGATACTCGAAAGGCTGAGATGGGAAGATTGCTTGAGTCCAGGAGATCAAAGCTGGAGTGAGCCATGATCATGCCACTGCCCTCCAGCCTAGGAGACAGAATGAGACCCTATCTCAAAGATATAAAAAAAAAAAAAAAAGAAATGAAAAAGAAAATTCAAAGGATGTGTTACGATACAGAATAGACTCAGCTATAAAAAGTACTAGAATTCTGAGGGCCTGAGGAGTTGACTTGGAAAAATAAAAAATTCTGCATGAAGAGGTAGAGATCTGAAAATATAAATGCATTATTAAAAAATTATTGTACATAATTCTGATTAAAATTCAGGAGAAAAATAGAATTGTAATAAAAGCAATATCTAACAGCATTTTGACTAGAAATGTCAAAAGTGCTATTATTTAGTTTCAGGAAGATGGGATTTAAGGATTCCCATCCAGACTGGGAAAAATGTCATATATTTATTCAAAATATATAAAAAAGAAATAAGAGAAGCAGAGTAAAAGTTCAGCAAAGAAGAAAGTTTGAATTAAATACAAACAGACAAAAATATCTTGCTATGTACTTTGTACAAACAAGAGACATATCTAAAATTTAAGGATATAAAGGTTTGTATAAAACTGGCAGTTATGGGTCGGGTGCAGTGGCTCACACCTGTAATCCCGGCACTTTGGGAGGCTGAGGCAGGCGGATCATTTGAGGTCGGGAGTTCAAGACCAGCCTGAACATCGTGGAGAAACCTCATTTCTACTAAAAATACAAAATTAGCCGGGCGTGGTGGCACATGCCTTTAATCCCAGCTACTCAGGAGGCTGAGGCAGGAGAATCGCTTGAACCCGCGAGGTGAAGGTTGCAGTGAGCCGAGATCATGCCATTGTACTCTATCCTGGGCAACAAGAGCGAAACTCCATCTCAAAAAAAAAAAAAAAAAAAAAAAAAAGTTACCCAGGAGCGGTGGCTCATGCCTGTAATCCCAGCACTTTGGGAAGGCCGAGGCAGGTGGAGCACGAGGTCAGGAGATCGAGACCATCCTGGCTAACACGGTGAATCCCCGTCTCTCTTAAAAAAAAAATACAAAAAATAATAATAATAATTAGCTGGGCGTGGTGATGGGCGCCTGTAGTCCCAGCTACTCCGGAGGCTGAGGCAGGAGAATGGCGTGAACCCGGAAGGCGGAGTTTGCAGTGAGCGGAGATCGCACCACGGCACTCCAGCCTGGGTGACAGAGCAAGACTCCGTCTCAAAAAAAAAAAAAAAAAAAAAAAAAAAATAGGTGAACAATAAGTAACCAAAGAAAAAGTAGTGTAACTACATTAATATCAGATGAATAACTTTTAGAGAAAAAGCTTACTGTATAATGATATAAAATGGTGTTGTATATGGAATCCAAATTTACATGCAATTTTAATTTATTCTGGACCTAAGAGTTCAATTAAAACCTAAACATCTCCCTGTCTCCAGTTTACATGCATATAGCTACAAAATACGGAGACAAAAGCAAAATCATTATGGTCTCTCATTTATGGAAAGAACAATTGGAAAATATTTTTTAAAATGAACAGCGAAGTTAACAATCTTGATCTAATTGATAAGTATAAAACTACAATCAGAATCCTTTACAAGCAGAGAGACAGAATTTTTAAAATTCACATAAATTAGGCCACAAATTAAGTCTCAACCAACACCTGGATACAGGTACATTACAGATTATGTTTTGAAAGATAGAATGTCATCGCATTAGAAATAAATATAAATTTAAATGAATGAATGAGATAATAACTAAATAAATATCTGTCTGGAATTTTAAACTATAATTTCAAAATAAAATGGGTCACATAAGGAATGAAAATGAAAGTTTAAAAATTAAAACTTGTTTCATGTACATGAAGAAAATAGAAAAAAGATAAGAAGGTCTAAAAATCAATTATGTAAATGCACAACTTAAGAAGTTGATCTCTGAAAAAGAAGTTAAGAAAAGTAAAGAGAAGAAATAAAAGCAAACAAAAATGAATAACAAACCTGAGAGCCTGATTTAATTAAAGTGAAATAAAAATACATGGAAAACGTCAACTACACCACACATAAAGAGATTTCATGAAAAATGCCATTCGTTCAGAAGAATTAGATATGAGAGAAGAAAAATGGACTGATGATGCAAAAATGTACGCATTAGAAGAGAAAACCAAGACATACTATGAAGTTTTTAAAAATTATATTGCAATAACTAATTTTATACTGATAAATATGAAAATAGATGAAATGGATACTTGGAAAGTAGTGAAATTACTCAAGAAGAAACAGAAACCTTCAATAGACCCACAATCAGGAGAGAAGTAAAATTAGTGACTAAATCTTATTTACGCTTTATTGCCGAAATACATTTTAAAAGATGGACATGCCTAGAGAGATAAGGGCGCAATGTAACTCTCAACCCCTAAATGGTTTCCTTCCTTAGAGTAGAAGTTAAGCACTTACCATGGCCCTATAAAATGCCCATGAGGTCTCATCGCTATTTTTTCTCTGACACCTTTTATCAAGATTACTCCTGCCTCCTCCCCTCGAACCACACTGAACTTCTATATAATCCTGCCTCAGAACGTTGTTTTTGTTTTCCTTAGTCTATGATGAATTTTCAAAATATTTGTTTTTTGGTTGACACATAAAAATGGTATATGTTTCTGGTGTGCACTGAGATGTTTTGATATATGTATCCAATGTCAAATGATTAAATCAAGTTGATTAACATATCCATCACCTCGTATACTTGTTTCCTTGTGGTTAGGATTTTGGTACTTGATGTTTTCCCTGCTTTGACCATGCTCTCTGCAGATATACTTGTCCTCTCTCTTCACTTTCTGTGCCCAAATATCCCTTCAGTGAGTCATTTCCTTACATTCCAACACAATACTCCATCTCTGGCATGTCACGTACTCTTCATCATGCTTTTTTTTTTATGTAAAATTGTAAGGTTTGTAGTACAACATCCATTACAAGCTAGGTATGTCTTTAGGTTAGGAAGAGATGTCTTCAGTCATTAAAAAAATAAATAGTCCACAAAGGAGAATATAGATTGATTTCAAAACATCAGGATTACACATTTTTTTGCTCTAAAATAATTCTTAAACAAAAAGAAGTGAAAAAAAATTTCTCAGATATTATGTTCAATGCATAACACTAAAAAATGATCCTATGTATCTAAATCCTAGGATGAAAAAAGTAAAAATCAATAAGAAAACTTAAAGGACCCCATACAAAAATGGTTAAATAATATTAACAAATAAATTATAAAGACTCTATACAGGGGAGCTGAATGAAGATTCTTTTACTGTAACAATATTTGACTAAAATTGCCAATCAGTCAATGGACAAAATTCTCACTCTACAAGCTAACAGCTTATTAATATGTGAAAATATTTAGCCATTTATGCTTGTGATTTGCTATGCAAGACAACTTTTTCATAGAAAAATCCAACTGTGAGATTTTTCCAGCTTGTGTCCTAAAATTAACTTTCTATCTTTATTCCAAAAAAGAAAGGAGAAAACAGTCACTATTAGTCACTTTGGTCCCAAATGAAGGGGAAAATTATTTTTGCATACCAAATAATGAAGGGTTTTAAAAAATTTGTATATATATATATCTATCTTTATTTTTGAGAAGAAGTCTTTCTCTGTTGCCCAGGCTGGAGTGCAATGGTACAATCTCAGCTCACTGTCACCTCCACTTCTGCGGCTCAAGCTCTAAGCCTCAGCCTCCCGAGTAGCTAAGATAACAGGTGCACACCACCATGCCTGGCCAATTTTTGTATTTTCAGTAGAGACTGGGTTTTCCCATGTTGGTCAGGCTGGTCTCGAACTCCTGACCTCAAGTAATCTGCCGCCTGAGCCTCCCAAAGTGTTGGTATTACAGGCATGCCCCATAGCCCAGCCAATGAAGGGCTTTTCAAATTCATCTTTAAATATTTTAAGCAAGCATGTCTTGCGGTTTTCTCCTTTAAATAAACAGAATTTGTCTGAATTTAGGCTTATGGGATCTGCAGGAGGGAAATCCTAAGAAAATACCTGCTTAAGGAGGCTGTACACTGAATCCATGCTTTTCTGTCCCTTTTCCGCCATTGCTAGAGTGCTTAAGTGTTATTTTTATGTTCATTTTAAAGATTAGCCTCTCCAAAGTTTATTTCTAAATGTTGTAGAATTGGATTTTAAAACAAAATTTGTTTGTAATGATCGTGTAAAGGACATGATCAGAATTTCATTAATAAACTATTTGGAGTAGCAGATAATTCTTGGTGTTGAAGGTATCACTGTGTTCAATAGTTACTTATGGCAAATTACATTTCTTTTGCTGTAGCAGTTTCAAAGTTAATAAACCTAAACAAATGCTCCTAGATTCAAATGGAAAATGAAGAAATAGTGACACATTAGGAGTGACTTTGTGCAGAGCTTCAATCTTCGCGCATTTAAACAATTTATTTGAGATTCAGTAGCTTACTATGGCAAAGAAAATCCTCAAATGTACTAAGATGTGGAATAAGAGATGTTAAAAAAATACCTTCTTTACTTTTGCGTAATCTTACTGAGAAACTGTGATAGGTTTTGTATTTATATATAAACATAACATAATTTTAATATAATAATATGTTAAGCATCTAAGATATTTACATATAAACAACATACATCTAGATAGTATACATTTGGAACCATTACCTTATTAAACTCTCTATTATAGAAATGATTGCCAGTAAATTACAAGTCAATTTGGCAAGGGAAATTTTCTATATATAGGTATAAAATATATAGGTATTCTATACATGAGATTCTATATATATAGAATCTTCACAGATTTAAAAGAAAGTTCAATAAGTATTTGGAAAAGTGTAGATTACTGATAAGACTCTAAGATTAATAAAAAACTGTATGTTGGGTAATAAATTCTGTAAGATCATATATTCCTCAGTGGAAGGTTTTCCAATGGAGAGTCAATAGATTCCAATCAGTTTTAAAGAAATATTTATATTTTTAAAAAATTTAAGGCAGAGATATATGTTATACAATCAGTACAAATGGAAATAAATTAGAAAATTGTAAAGTCATTCACATGTAGTAGAAATCTTTAGATTTCAAAGCAAGCAGAACACTTAGCTACATCTGATGGTACCATATACCAATAAAGGGAGCACTTCCTCACAAATTGCACATTTTCAAAAAATGAAAGATGAAGAGCCCAATTTTAGTGTTTTACCAGATAGTCCTGTGAAAATTTCCGTTTTAGAACTATATGAACTAGAGATTTAAGTTAGCTTGGTAAGTTTGTTTTTCTTGGGGATGGATGTATCCAACCATCACCTTGCTGGCATATTTTCTTTTCTCCTTTGATTCCATACTTACCAAGTCATTTAGAGTCTAATAAAGCAAGAGGAGATGGTGTATAAGTCACAGCTTCCAGTAAATCTCTGACATTTTCATCTCTCTATATAACTTTGTCCTCTGGTTGGATTTTTTTCAAAGACATTTGATAGGAGAGATTGGTCAGAGTTAGCATTTGGGAGCTGAGTCATGCCTGGGTCATAATTGGATTAAGCTTTGAACCTTACAGCTCTGGATGATAAAATTCCTAAACTGATGAAATTCTGTGGGTATTTGGGGCATCCGCCGATGGCGGCAATTTTAACACACAGATGATTTTCATCTCAGTGCCCATCACTAATTACAGAAGTAAAGACAGAAGTGTAAGCATGAGTTGACAACCACAAAAATTAGGCTTCCACCCATAACTGTTAGATATCGTATGTTATCTATTAGGTAAGAAATACTGTATAGCAGTTGACTCAATTGATGTTAGAGAAAATGGGAGAGTAGAAAAAAATAGACCTTTGCATAATTTTGAAAGGTTTAACTTAACATGGTGGTGCCATTTTAAGCACAAATAATCACATTAAAGAGAGACACTAATTTAGGTAATTTTAATCAAATTATGTTAAGGTTCTTAAAACTGATGGAGCAACCACCTAAAAAGTAGGCGATTCTGTAATTACATATTTGTAATCATTGAATAACTTTCTTCGCCCTCTTAGAACACATAGAAGTCTCTCTCTCTCTCCTCCCCCTCCTTTCTCTCTCTCTGCCTTTCTCTCTCTTTCTCTTTCTCTCTCTCTCTCCTGTCCATTTCTCCATTCATCTTCCTCCCATTTCTCCCTTCTTCTCTCTCTCTCTCACTGAAATGATAGCTCAATTTCACAAGGCCAATTAGCAAGATATTTTATACTTTTTTTCTCTTAAATCTTCTCTATATGACCCCTTCACAGCTTCTAAAAACAGGAGCGTCTGTCTCCTTCCAAATTGCAAAAAGAGAAGTAGATTTTGATCCATGCACGGAGCAATTGTCTCTGTGCCACATGAAGTCCACTGAACCCTTGATCTGGACTGATTAATAGGGTATGACTTAGTTACCATTTCAGGAAGCACAAACACCAATTCGGCATGTCTAAATACTAAGATCTGAATGTAAATTCCTCTGCATCAACCGAAGACTCTTCTCAAAATAGCTTGCCCCAATTCTAAGGACTCTCATGTTGCACCAGGCTCACCAAACTAGGCCTATTTTCTTTCCATAAGGTATTATGTTTGGGATCCACTGTTCCCTTCCGCTAACTGCAGGACTTGATTGAAGACAACGTCCTTCAAGTATTTTTGTCCTTGTTCTTCTAAAACTATGTAAGCCTTCTTGCAAAGGTATTTCTTCCACCCTTATTATCAGCTCAGGTTAAGGCAACCTTGGCTGCATCATAAGAAGCACACTTATTCCCCTTTTTCTCTCTCCTAGACAATAGATGTTCATCCCCTTTACATTAGTATAACTTAGTGGGGTCGTTCAATTATAAATAAGGACAACTTTCCATGTTAGGTGATTTTGTCTTCTCTCCCATAGCTAGGCGAGCAGTTGATTTAAAAAATGTAACTTTTCCTGAACATGTACCTATTTCATATTTGCGCCCTATTAAACGTGTGTAATAGTGCAAACACAATAACGCCTTCTAGATCTCCATTCTGTTTATCAAGGTAAATATCAGAGACATTTGTTCCACACAGTGAGAAGAACTGAGACACGATGATGGACAGTTGACTTTGTGGTTAGAGAGAAGGTTATAGGCATTGCTTACAAAATCAGAGTACCATGAGACATTCAGAAAAGGAAGAATGATTCTCATAATGATAATGACCTCCAGTTTTATTATATCTTACATACAAAAGGATCATAAATTGCCTAACAACTCCACAACTACAAATGAATATGAGAATCATTTTGTATACAACTAAAATGTGTCAGCTGTCCCACAGAGCACAGCAAAATTACTCAACAGTTTAGGACCGGAACTGAACAAAAGCAGTTGAAAGCAAAAATGACTGAGAAAGGCATGAGGTAATTATATAATCTGGAAGTGGTCCACATATCTAGGAGGGTGAGTGAAGTTTCCCCCAAGTGCTTAGGAAACTGAGAATTTAATCTCTCTCTCTCTCTCTCACACACACACACACACACATACTTATTCCTTCAGAACTGAGACTTGAAAATAAACTGAGAATATGAAAAAAAATGAAGTCATCTTAAATGTATTGGATGGTCCATTTCGATCTGTAACTATATTTAATGTCTTAACCTATCTAAAGACATTCTGTGTCTATCAGAAGGAAAACCAGGCCAGGCACAGTGGCTCATGCCTGTAATCCCAGCACTTTAGGAAGCCAAGGCGGGCAGATCACTTGAGGTCAGGAGTACAAGACCAGCCTGGCCAACATGGCAAAACCCCTTCTGTACTAAAAATACAAAAAATTTAGCCAGGCATGGTGGCACATTCCTGTAATCCCAGCTACTCAGGAGGCTGAGGCAGGAGAATTGCTTGAATCTGGGAGGCAGAGGTTGCAGTGAGCTGAGATTGCACCACTGCACTCCAGCCTGGGTGACAGAGGGAAACTGTGTCTCAAAAAAAAAAAAAAAAAAGAACGCCTTCACTGACTGGTAAATTGGAATACAAGACAAAGACCCAGTAACCAGCCACCATTTCTGCAACAACCTGGACAGAGACAACGGATACCATAATCCCACTTAGTAAACCACTGCTCTTCTGGAGGAGGACAGATTAAATTATCTCAGTCTGATCAATTAAAATAGTTTAGTTTACCTTTCCCACTCTTTGCTCACGAAAAAAACAAACAAGAAAACCCCAAATTATCATTTTGCTTGCCACGTAGGTCTACACATGGATAGAAAATGCACTAGTTTTATGTTTCTCTTAAAATCGTAGCTTCAGTGAGAGGTGTGCATTGTAAATTAACAATCTGGCATGCTAGCATTGTCAGTCTTGGAATTTGTTTATTTTACATCTTCTGCCTCTGAGCAACAGATCAACTTGCCATGCATTCATAAGCTCACGTTTCTGAATCTTCATGGTTAAGATACAGCCCCTGGAAGGTCACAAAATGACCTCTTAAGACACGTCTAATAAACGAGGAAAACATTGAAGGAGCACGTATTTGTTTGTGCAGTCAAAACACCCTGCATGATATGCTTAATAAGTATTATTCTAGTGCTAGGCTCTGCAAGACTGAAGTCCACCTGCCCAAAAAGAGGTTGAAATTTGGCAAACTGTGTTTAGGCTGGAAAATTCCCTACACTTTTTGATACAAGCGTTACCTTCTATATTTTATGCACACACACAAACTCAGAGAAAATGTGTAATTTTCAAGTGCACACAAGTAATTCAATGGGGGAAAAATAAAGTGCATTGATTCATGTTGATGAGGATTTCTTAATAAATATTTTTCTCTGTAGATATATACTCAACACTGCCAATTGTGTAATAAGGACAATTGCTTCACATATCATGAGGTACTGGTATGTAATTCCTTGCCTTAATCATTGCAACCTTTTGCACTAGCAGTCAAATTCTCTAATTTTCCCATACCACATGACAATCGTTAGACTTTAGTATCTCGCAAATACATTTAACTACTGCCTTTTTCTATTTACTATCCCCAAACCATTGATATTTCCTCATAAGTGTAGCATTTTTGATCATTACTTGTTTAAAATCACTTGTTTTTCAATAGTGATGGTTTGGAGGCTTTGTGGAAAATAAATAGACCATACTTAGGCGGGTGGGTCAATATCTAAACTTTCTATGCAATTGCCATACTTTTATTGCTTGCACTAATTTATTACTGTTATTTTAGAGATGAGGTCTTGCTATGTTGCCCAGGTTGGACTCCAATTCCTGGGCTCAAGTTTTCCTCCCACCTCAGCCTCCCGAGAAGCTGGAATTACAGGCACATGCCACCACACCCAGCTTATTTACTCTAATTTTAAAGTAAGTCATAAAATTAGGTAAAGTCCTCTAACTTCGCTCTTCCAAAACTTGTCTTAGCTCTTCTAGATCCTCCCTCCCCCCAAAAATGCCTGCTTTTAAAAGATAACCTGACTTTCATTTGATTCAGCTGAAAGTATATATCAATTTTAAGATATTGGAAATTATCACACTACTGAGTCTTCCAGTCTATAAACATGTGACTTATCTGTGTTTATTTGAGTTTTTTGACATCCTCCATCAAGGTTATATAGTTTTTTAATATAGAGATTTACACATTTTCATTAGATTTATTCCCAAGAATTTTATGAATTTTATAGTCTTGTAATCAATTATTTTTTATTTTGATTTTCTACTTGTGTATATGCATAAAGGTAATCCACCAGGAGGTATGATTTTAAGTTCTTTTTTATTATACAGTCCCTTTATCATATATAGGAAGGTTACTTATTGTGCTAATTTGCTGAGAGCTTTTACCATGAACGTCGGTAGATGTTTGTCAAATACTTTCTCTTTTACATCTGAGATGAGCATACATTTTCTCTTCAATTAATAAGGTATATGAGATGTAAATTTATTCAGTGAAAGATGTGAATGCTCAGTGATTTAACTAATTCACATTTTATTATATCTGTATAAAATATTTAACTGCTACCAAGAATTTTGTTTTCTAATTTAATTTTATTTAAAGAGAAATACTAGTTAACTCCTCGGGGAATTTCTATTATTTCTCTCAGTGTAACTTTGAAAACTAGATTAAAATCTTTAAATCCAAATGGTACTTTTAAAAGGATTACAGTAGCTCAACTATAAAGATAATTAGCTATATTCTATTCTAAAAGAAAAAATCAGGGCTGGACACAGTAGCTCATGACTGTAATCCCAGCACTTTAGGAGGCTGAGGCAGGTGGATCACTCTAGCCCAGGAGCCTGAGACCAGCCTGGGCAACCAAGAGACACCCCGTCTTTACCAAAACATTAACAAATTAGCTGGTGTGGTGGTACATGCCTGTAGTCCCAGCTACTTCAGAGGCTGAGGTGGGAGGATTGGTTGGGCTCAGTACTTCTAGGCTGCAGTGAGCTCTGTTTGAACGCCACTGCACTTCAGCCTGGGCGACTCTATCTCTGAAAAGAAAGAAAGAATGGCCAGGCGCGGTGGCTAACGCCTGTAATCCCAGCACTTTGGGAGGCCGAGGCGAGTGGGGATCACGAGGTCAGGAGATCAAAATCATCCTGGATAACAGGGTGAAACCCCGTCTCTACTACAAATACAAAAAAATTAGTCGGGTGTGGTGGCGGGCGCCTGTAGTCCCAGCTACTGGGGAGGCTGTGGCGGAAGAATGGCGTGAACCCGGGAGGTGGAGCTTCCTGGGCGACAGAGCGAGACTCTGTCTCCAAACAAAAAAAAAAGAAAGAAAAGAAAGGAAGAGGAAAGAAAGAAAGAAAGAAAAAAGAAAGAAAGAGAGAGAGAGAAAGAGAGGGAGAAAGAATAAAGAGAGAAAGAGAGAAGAGAGAGAAGAGAAGAAAGAAAGAAAGAAAAAAGAAAGAGAGAGAGAAAGAGAGAGAGAGAAAGAGAGGGAGAAAGAGAGAACAAAGAGAGAGAGAAGAGAGAGAAGAGAAGAAAGAAAGAAAGGAAAAGAAAAAATAAAGAAAGAAAGAAGAAAGAGGGAGAAAGAGAGAAGAAAGAAAGAGAGAAAGAGAGAAGAAAGAAGAAAGAAAGAAAGAAAAAGAAAAAGAAGAAAGAAAGAAAAGAAAAGAAAGAAGAAAGAAAAAAGGAAGGAAGGAAGAAATTTTTTCTTATTGGCATATAGTTAGGCAAATAATTTGCAATCTCAGCTCACTGCAACTTCCGCCTCCTGGATTCAAGCAATTCTCCTGCCTCAGTCTCCCAAGTAGCTTGGACTACAGGTGTATGCCACCATGCTGGGCTAATTTTTGTATTTTTAGTAGAGATGGGGTTTTGCCAGGTTGGCCAGGCTGTTCTCAAACTCCTGGCCTTGGATCCATCCACCTCCACTTCCCAAAGTGCTGGGATTACAGGCGTGAGCCACCATGCCTGGCCTAGATATGTATATTTTTAAAATAAAATATGCCAAATGTCCTCCTGTGTCTGACTTGTTTTACTTAGTCCAGTGTTCTCTAGGTTCACGCATGTTGTTGAAGATGGCAGCATTTCTTTCTTTTTTATGGCTGCCTAATATCATTTTTCTTTCTCCATTCATCTGTAGACAGCCACCGAGGTTGTTTCCATCTTGGCCATTGTGAATAATGCTGCAATGAATCCTAGGGTTCATTCCATTTCTCTTCTCTCTTCCTGTAGAACGGAACTCCAGAAGCCTCATGCTTTTAGGAAAGCAATAAGCACAGCTTTTTTGGATGATACTGCAACGGTGGCTGCATGGCATGATACATTTGTTCAAGCCCATAGCATGCACAGCACTGAGTGAACCCTAATGTAAACTGTGGACATTGGTTTGTAACTGAACACAGGTCCGGATGCTCACTGCGTACAGAGTCCAGTAACAAGAGTGAGGTCTGGTAGAAAGAAAATGACTTTATTAACCAAAACTAGTGAAGGGGAAATGATTGGATGCCTATCCAAAGTAACCACTTCAATTTGGTGGGGGGAAGGAAGGGGTTTAAAAAGGGGAAAACTTGTTAAGAAAGGCATGCAAGAATTGGGCTGAGTACAATGCCTTTGTGTCTTGTCCTGGTGGCTGTCTTGGGACCCAGTCCACCTGGACCTCGGGCTGAGCAAAATGTCTGTGTGTCTTATGCTGGTGGCTGTCTTGGGTCCCAGTCCACCTGGCCTTTGGGCTGATGTCATCTCCACAATGGCTGGGTTGTTGGCTAGCCACCTTGAAGTAATCTCTGGAACTTTGCAGCTGGATCTCTAGGCTTGGTGTGTCTGTCTCAAGATCAGCCCCGGAACATCTACGAAGACACGAAGTCAGATACTAGCATACAGTTAGATAAAAAAGAAGGAAGTATATATGGTGAAAAAGAGTGGTACGTGGAGTGTATTTTAAGGCTAAGGAAAAAAGGCTCTGCGGTTTGCCTCCAGTTTACCTCTTGAAACCTAAGAGAAAGAGAAAAAAAATGTTTCAGAATGCATTTTGAAATTGCCTGGTTACAGGTTGATAACGATATGTTGTGTAGGTGCATCAATGGTAATAAATGTATCACCATGGTGGGTTAATGTCAAACATGAAAGAGGTTGTGCATGTGTGGAGATAGGGGGTACATGGAAAATGTCTGTAGCTTCTGCTAAATTTTGCTGTGAACTTAAAGCTGCTCTAAAAAATAAGGTTTTATTTTTTAAAAGTTCATAATTCTAGGGAGTGATGGACAGATGCAGAAAAAATGAACAAATAAAGAAAAGAAGATGCTGGGAAGTCCATGGACAAAGTCAATTCGAGCAAAAAAAGCTAAAAATGACAGAAAAGCCATCAGTGAACTTCACTGAAACTGTACCCAAGCGTAAAACACTTTCTGTTTCAGAACCGAGAAACAAAGCTGCCACTCAAGCTCATACCATCACTAAGGGTAGAGCTGCAACTCAAACCCAGGTGTGTCCACTTTATTCGTTCCTCTGTAGCAAATCACCAATGACATTAAAAAAAACAGTAACCAGAAATAAGTGTGGGATATAATTATCGCAATGTGCAGATGAAGAAGGGTTTCTCATGCAGGAAGTTAACAAGATAATATATAGTTTTAATTAAAATGAGCTATTTTTGGATGGTGACAAACTGCAGAACATACATTACTTACTGTGGTAGGACATGAAAATAAATCAATTTACAATATAACATCCAGCAGATAGCTGTTTTTCTGTGTACAGGAAAGTAAAAAGTCTACTTACAAGGATACAAAGAACACAAATGTTTCACTGAGATGTTTAGTGAATTGAAGGAGGCCTCACTTATGTTAACCTCATAATCACCATGCTGCTTTATTTTCTAAGATCTCTGAAGAGACAGCCTCACAGGCAACTTAATTCATTTGTTGCTAGTCAACTTCATAAAGCAAACACTTCATTTTGTGGTTGTGGTAGATTTTTTTTTTCCTTAGTATGTTTTCTAGGAACTTAGTGTAAATTTGCCACAGGGCACACTACTTCAGAAGGCTTTCTCTCTTTAAAAATTATTTTGAGTTATTAAAAATACTTCAAATCATTTATCTATCATCTTCTCTGTTTATCTATCTGTCAATCATCTTATCTATATATTATCTACCTATATCTATGATCTATATAAGCTATAATCTCTATATAAATTATCTATTGATGTATCTATCATCATATCTATGTATAAACTCGATCTATTATCTATCTATATAATCAATCACCTATTTACCATCTATATCTCTATCATCCTATCTATCTATATATCTATCGTCTACCTATATCTATCAATCATCTATCATCTATCTGTCTACTTATCTATCATTTATGTATCATCCTATATATTTATATATTATCTATCTATATTCTGTAGCTATCATCTGTCTAAACTATTATCTATTTCTCCATATATATATATATATAATTATTATTATACCAAAACTGAGAAGCCACTTCTCAGTTTGCAAAATGTTTCACCTATATTTTCATAACTGATCCTGATAACTCAAAATAAATTTGTAACTTTTTTTTGGAATTATGCCTCTCTAGTGAGAAAAAAAATAGGTCCTTGCTTGCACTACTTTAAGGAAGTCAACTTGCTCTCCGATTGCCCCAGTTCTTATTGCCTTTTTTCCATCTCCTCAAGTTTTCCTTTAATCATTTATCTTTATCTCTAATCCTTTCCTGTGGGTTTTTCTGTTCTTTGAGCTGCTAAATGCTCATTTGTATCTTAGCTTCTAGATTTCATCCTATTAACAATTTCTACATTACTCAAATTAATTGTTTGGTTGTTTTCTTCATCTTCTTTCTTGCACACAATGGTATTTCTTGGAAACGTCCCTCAGGATGCATAGCGGAAATATTTTGGATTATGTATGGAGGATGCTAAGAACATGTGTAGCATCATCTTACTTCCAAAGGTATGCACAAATTAACGATTATTGTATATATTTTTTCTTTCAATAAATAAGAGATCTTTTAATGAAACTCAAACAGTCCCATTTGATAGCAACAGAATGTTCCAGAGGCCAGTTCAAACCACTCAGGGATCCCTTTGTGTAACTCAACCTTGTCAAGAGATGGAGGACTATTTCTGAAAAAGGGAGCAAAAATCATTCTTGGAACAATGCTTAATAATACTTTCCTCAGGTCATTGCAAAGAGTTCACAGTTATATTTAGACTGTCATTGTAAATGGAGAATTCTAAACATGAGACTGTATTAAAGCAATCAAAATTTTGCGCAAAACAAAATACCAAGAAAAAAAAGAAACATTGCATAATCACGAAAGCACCGGAATTGTCAAAACGTTGTAACAAAGCGAATACAATGAAAGAATTAAGGTTGAACAGATCACTACCTGGTAAGCATCACTCTCTTTGTCTGGAATATGCAGGTAACACTATGATTATCTACCTAGGGCTCTGTGAAGAATAAATGAGGAAATGCCTACATGGCACTGAGTCTTGCCACCACATACCAAGCTCCACATTAGTGTCAAGTGTCGTCACTTTAGAACACTTACATTGGCCCTGCTTGCTGAGTGCATGCATTCATATTTCAAATATTTTTTCTAAGTATATTATTTTTCTTTACTCCTATTGTCCAGATTGCAATTAACTGTTACTGTCTAGTATCTTACTTTTGCCTGCATTTTTCTACACTTTTATCTCTTGCAAGCACCTTCTAGGAGATTTCCATAATCTGAAATTGTGACTCAATAAAATGGTTTTGTAGATTTTTCATGCTTGTCCAATTTATTGGTTCTGTATTCAATTGTGTGTGTGAGTGTGGATATATGTATGTATATATATAATTGCATATATGCCCCTATAGTTACATTTAAATATGTACAAATACATTTTCTTATTGTGCATATATTTACTATACGTGAATATATTATATATACTATAACTGTGTGTATGTATATATATTTATGTGTGTGTGTATATATATATATTTTTTTCTATTATTTCCATGGGATGCCCTTTATATATGTGTATCAGGATATATGAAATATATATACACACATATATGTATATACATGTATGTATATATAATTGCACATATGTGTTGATATAAATATATAAATTTTCTTCTTGTGTGTATATTATATATAAAAATTATATATAAAGTATATATGTTATATAATCATGTGTGTACAAATATGTTTACATATACATATTATTTATTTCCTAATATTTCCACAGTACCTTTTAATGCCTTTCATGGCTTCATTTTATATATATGAACACAAACACACAAACTTATACATGTATGTATGTCAGGAGATATGACATCTATATAATTACATATTTATTTTCTGATATTTACATATATAATTTTGTGCATATTTGTTATATATAAACACATATAAATAAGGTATATATACTATATACTTTATAACTTCATATCATTGTGTGTATATATGTGCTTATATATGTTTATATATATAATTTCTGATATTTTCTCAGTATATCTTTATTTCTCTTTCTTAATTTTATGCACACACACACACATATATATCTAACTAGTATAAGTTTATGGCAGGAGATGTGAGATATATATCTTCATCTTCATATGTATATATAAATATATATAAAGTTTCTTCTTGTGCATATAGTTATATATAAATATGTTATATATACTATATATAATTGTGTGTATGTATGTGTTTATATAATTAGACAGGTATATAATTCCTAAGATTTCCATAAGATAACTTTTTTGGCTTTATTATATATACACACACATATATATGTATATATATATAAAAGTTCTATAAATATATGTCAGGAGATGTGAGAGATAGATAGATACACACACATATACACACACTATATATATACATACGTCTGTAATATTTCTGTTTTTTTTAGACATTCTCACTTTGTCGTCGCCCAGGCTGGAGTGCAGTGGCAGGATCTCGGCTCACTGCAACTTCTGCTGACTGGATTCAAGTGATTCTCTTCCCTCAGCCTCCCGAGTAGCTTGGATTACACATATGCACCACCACCCCCGGCTAATTTTTGTGTTTTTAGTAGAAACAGCATTTCATCATGTTGGCCAGTTTGGTCTTGAACTCCTGACCTCAAGTGATCTGCCTGCCTCAGCCTCCCAAAGTGCTGGAATTACAGGCTTGAGCCACCACCCCGGCCATATTTCATTAAGCACTTTGCTCACTTGTTCTGATAAATTAGCTTTAGATGTGTCGGTCAGTCCAGTCAGGATACCAAAAATCTCACTACGTGCTTCAACAGAGAAATTTCACGCAGAGATTGTTAGAGTATCAAGAGCTGAAAGCACCAAAAAGAATCACCGGGGTGCCCGAGGTAATATCCAAAGGAAGATGCTGCCGTCACAAGGTTGGGAATATCTGACAGGGAGGGGCCCCAGCAGAACTCAGGGCAGATAGCTTTGCTGGGCTACCTGTTTGTATGTCCAAGTGTATGGAGTGAGCCCAGTTCTGGGAGTGCTGCAAGAAGCTGGAAGCTGCCGGAACTCATGGCTGTGGACAGAGTGGCCTGGAGAAAGAAGGCTGCTCTTTCTCTTCTATTCTTTGATTCTCTTCCGTGTCTACTCTCTAGTAAAACATCTAGAGAAGAGCTAAAGAGCAAGCCCTAGTCTAGTCCACCAGGTAAATGGAAAGATCAGGGATCAACCTCAGGTGGACCTGTTAGCCATTCTCACTTTATCCTGATCCATCAGCTCATTCCTTCAGTTAGTTTCATCTAACGTATCAGAAAATTTCAGCACTTCAAAGACGCTGTCTTCCTAGTTTGTAATTCACCAGCACCAGAAGTTTGCTTGGAGAGGAGGCTGAGGCAGAAACGAAGAAGGACGGCTGGGTGACTTATGTGGAGTAATATCCTTCCTCTATCACCCTAGACGTCTTGGTGATGCTGGCTGGGATACTGCCCTGCCTAGGACAGGGGATAATTTCCCTAAGGGAACATGCAGAGCCCTTCTTGAAATCAGTGCTCAAGTCCTATATCTCTCTGGGTCTGCCTAGACTTCTCACAGTTTTAGAAACCAAAGTTTGTGGGTGTCCCTGAAACCAAGATAACATTTTCACCATTGTTTGCTTTTATTTCTATTGATTTCTTACTTCTCTCTGCAGAAAAAAAAAATTACATCAAATTTAAAAGGTAAGACTTTGTTTTGGGGATGCTGCCAGAAAATTGAATCTCTCTCTCTCTCTCTCTCTCTCTCACACACACACACACACACACACACACACACACACACACACATATTCAAGCAAAAAAATTTTAAGTTACAAAGCTGCTTTATTATTTTGGAGGGCTATGAGCAGAAATCCTGCTAAGAGTCATTGGACATATCTAAAATCATCATTTTAAAGACAGAAAACAACACAAGGAAACTTGCAATGTGGGTTTAAATTATATCCTCCCATTAATGAATGAAATGCATGTGGAGATGAGATGGTAGACGTTTTATTTATTTTATTTATTTTTTAGAAGAGAAAGAGTTTAATAGACACAAGGACAGCCACGCCACATGGGAGATGGAGTTCCTACTCAAATCATCTCCTTAGAAGCTCCTAGGTTAGGGGTTTGTCAAAGGCAGTTTGGAGGAAGGGGTGGGGGTAGCCAACAGGTGCTTGCTGCTGATTGGTTGGGGAGGAGATGAAATCATAGGGAATTGAAGCTGTCCTCCTTCTGGCTGAATCACTTCTGAATGGGGCCACAGGAGAGGGGTTGGCGGTGGAGGTGAAGTCATGGGTGTTAGACATGCAAAAAACCTGGAAAGATATCTCAAAAGGCCAATCTTAGGTTCTACAATAGTGACGTTAATCACAGGTATCAATGGGGAAGTTGCATATCTTATAACCTCTGGAATATTGGCTAGCAATAAGTCGTTTATGTCTGTCCCTTAGCCGGACTCTGGGGTGCCTCTCCTCACCCCAGCCTGATGGCCCCCCATTAGCTTTACAAAAACAGTTGAATTTCGGGGCAAGGCTGTTATCATTTAAACTATAGCCTAAATGTCTTTCAAAGTTAGCTAGGCCCAAGAGTCCAGGAATAATTAAGGAAAAGGCAAAATGGGAGGGTGGGTTAGCTTAGTTTACTGTTATAATTCTATCTTCTGCTACCGTGTTTTGCATTTCCTATGTGTTAATAATATTCTGGCCCAGATATAGATTATAGATATAGATATAGATGTAGGTACAGATACTTGTGCAGAACGACTGCCAGTTTGAATAATGCATGTTGTCCCCCTAAAATTGAACTTTGATAGACACTTTTCATATTCTGATTTTAAATTCAGGGACGATTAGGTATGTTTTTATCTGAAATCTGGCTTCTGAGAAAGGTAATGTGAAAGGAAAATAAATCCTAGGGTCCCCAAATCACTAAGCTAAAGGGAAAAGTCAAGCTGGGAACTGGGTCATGCAAACCTGCCTCCCCTTTTGGTTCTTAAATAAGATGGCTACAGGATGAAAAGCCACATGCCTCCCCCGTATTTTGCCCACAAGGATATTCCTAGTGAGCTGCAAGATCTTTATCCTAAGGTGTTTCTGTGAAGATTTCACCATGGCAATGATAGCTTATCTTTACAGGTAAAGTCACCCCTGGCCCACCAGACACAAATGCATATCTGATTGCTCCCCTGTCACATTTTGTCTATGTTATCTTATGTAACATGCAGATTCCTTGCATTTTTTGCTGTGTTCCATTTGTCTATGTCATCTTATGTAAAAAAAAATAAATAAATAAATGTAGATTCACCAGACCAAAGGCATGAATGACTATTTTTCCCTACCCCGCCATATATGAAAATTGTGTACTTCTCAATAACCCGCCCTTTCCCTTTTAAATATGGAGCCCTCAAAATCATCTCCAGAGAAAGGCGTAGACCTGTCTCCTGGGCACGCATCCTTAGTTTAGTTTACACACAATGATTTTTTAAAACTATGAAGGCTTTGAGTCACCCACAAGTTGTTTTTTCTCATTTTCCAGTTCAGCCTCTCATCAACCCTGGCATGACTCTTTACTATCAAAGCAGAATGCTTCTGTTTGTAAATAAACTACTTATCCATTAGAATAAGGAGAAATAAAATGACTATGATTGTTTCTTCTAGTTTCAGAAATCTATGATTGCTATCACTGCATCTTATTCATCATGTCCCTTTGAATCACCCTCTTTGCATTTGATTCTCCTTGAATTCCTGCATCTCACTCCAGCAAAAAAAAGTGATGGAATATACAGAATATAAGAATGTAAGAATTGCTTTTTGGAATTCAGGGAGGAATTGGATTTAATGTGTTAATGTGGTTTGTCTTAGTCATATGTTCCAAGATTAAAAAAAAAACTTTGAAATATATGTTCAAATGTTTAGCTTTTATAGAGGTTGAGATTTTTCACAATTGCAGGTCATTTTTTCCCCTTAAAAGTAGAGGGCTATATTTGATGCAACCTTGCTAAAAAGAAAGTAAAAATGTGTTAAAGAAAATGAAAGAAGACATTTAAATATATGCCCTGCATGAAGAAGAGGAGAACTTGCAACATCACTAATGATCAGGGAAATGCAAACCAAAACCACAATCTGATACTACCTCACTCCTGCAAGAATGGCCATAATCAAAAAATCAAAAAATAATAGATGTTGGCATGGACGTGGTGAAAAGGGAACACTTTTATAGTTGGTAGGAATGTCAACTACTACAATCACTGTGGGAAACAGTGTGGAGTTTCCTTAAATCACTAAAAGTAGATCTACCATTTAATCCAGTAATCCCACTCCTGGGTATCTACCATTTAATCCAGTAATCCCTCTCCTGGGTATCTACCCAAAGGAAAAGAAGTCATTATATGGAAAAGATACTCGCACACACATATTTATAGCAGCACAATTCGTAATTGCAAATATATGGAACCAGCCCAAATGCCCATCAATCAACAAGTGGATAAAGAAAATGTGATATGTATATTTCATGGAATACTACTCAGCCATAAAAAGGAATGAAATAATGGCATCTGCAGCAACCTGGATGGAACTGGGGACCATTTTTCTTAGTGAAGTAACTCAGGAATGGAAAATCAAACATGTATGTTCTCACTCATAATTGGGAGCTACGCTATGAGAACGCAAAGGCATAAGAATAAAATAATGGACTTCAGGGACTTGGGGGAAAGGGTGGGATGGGGTGAGGGATAAAAGAATAAACATCGGGTACAGTGTACACTGCTCAGGTGACGGGGGCACCAAAATCTCAGAAATCACCACTAAAGAACTTATTTATGTAACCAAACACCATCTGTTCCCCAAAAACCTATTGAAATAAAAATAAAAATAATAAAAAGAAGAGGACAGCTTGGATTGTATTTGGTTATTTGCATTGGCAGAATAGAGAAAAAGATTTGGAAGCAGGAGTTTCTCCAGAGAATCAATTCATGTTTATATTTTTTAAAAGGTGATTTTGTGATTCCTATGTATAGATATATACATGCATATATACATGTACGTGGATCTATACATGAACATATATTTATATATGTACATGTGCATGTATGCATAAGACTTTTTTCCCCTAAGTTGCCCATAAAAATATTATTCCATATAGAGATTATGTTCTCTTTAATTCTGAATTAAATTTTTATGGTGCAAAAATAAC
Organism: Homo sapiens; assembly: GCF_000001405.40. Lineage (NCBI taxonomy): Eukaryota > Metazoa > Chordata > Mammalia > Primates > Hominidae > Homo > Homo sapiens. Next base: position 4,746,829 of record NC_000023.11, on the reverse strand, counting down.
ATGGGATAATATGAATGCTATTGTCACTTTGACCACAAAAATAAAAGAACAGAAGAGTGCTATGGGAGTGATTGTCTGCCAGAGTAGAGTTACCAATGCCCAGAAGGTGAATTATGTTGAAATGGTGCTTTTCTAAATGTTACTGCTAACTGGGTCATTTTCTTCTTACAATTAAGGACTATTCTAACAGTGATATGTTAGTTGAAAATAATTGCTAATAATGCTAATTCGAACAACAATAGAGTTCATATGACTGGAAAGAATCCTTGGCTTGTACTGAATTAAGACAAATGAGTAAACCAAGTTTCCTGCTTTGAAGATTTTCACAGCCTGTGATTGTACTTAGATCCGTGCAAGTAAAAGTCTCTAACTTCTGCAATAGAAACCTCAATTTAGCACAGATAACGAGAGTAAAAGGGAGCAATTAAGGTTACTTAATAGGGAGAAGAGCTTCAAGGAAGAACAGAAATGAAGGGCCATTATTTGCAATTGGTTTTAGATTAAGAAGGCAGGGATTTGTTTTCTGAGCCGACTGTATGGCTAAGTAGTCACGCTTGATATGTTGCAGACTTAGAGAGATGTTTGAGATATTGAATAAGCTGTTTGAGCATCAGCCATGTACAGTCCTTTAAAGAGGCAATGAAGCAATTATTTCTGGAGTCTATGATTCCCTCTCTTCTCTCCCAATTTAGTCACGGCATGAGTATTAGAGAGACACATGGATTTCTGAAACTTGGTTATTATATGATTCACAGCCTCGTGGCATTGTCCCTGTTCAATGGCACTATTTTTTTTAATTATTATTTCAATAGTTTTAGGGAAACAGGTGGTGTTTGGTTACATGGATAAGTTCTTGAGTAGTGATTTCTGAGGTTTCAGTGCACCCGTAAACGGAACAGTGTACACTGAACCCAATGTGTATTTTTTTAATCCCTCACCCCCCTCCCACCCTTCCCCCGAGTCCCCAGAGTTCACTGTGTCATTTCTTTTTTTTTTTTTTTTTTTTTTTTTTGAGACGGAGTCTTGCTCTGTCACCCAGGCTGGAGTGCAATGGCACAATCTCAGCTCACTGCAACCTCGGCCTACCGGGTTCAAGCGATTCTCCTGCCTCAGCCTCCCGAGTAGCTGGGATTGCAGGCACCTGCCACCATGCCCAGCTAATTTTTGTACTTTTTAGTAAAGACGGGGTTTCACCATGTTGGGCAGGCTGGTCTCGAACTCCTGACCTGAGGTGATCCACCCGCCGAGGCCTCCCAAAATGGTGGGATTACAGGTGTAAGCCACTGTGCCTGGCCCATTGTGTCATTCTTACGTCTTTGCATCCTTATAGCTTAGCTCCCACTTGTGAGAACATATGGTATTTCGTTTTCCATTCCTGAGTAACTTCACTTAGAATAATGGTCTCCAGTTCCATCCAGGTTTCTGCAAATGCCATTATTTCATTCCTTTTTATGGCTGAGTAGTATTCCATGGTATACATATACACTACATTTTCTTTATCCATGGCATATATTATATATATATATGTGTGTGTGTGCGTATGTATATATACATACCAAATTTTCTTTCTATGATGGGCATTTGGGCTGTTTTTATATTTTTGCTATTGTGAACTGTGCTGCTATAAACATGAATGTGCAAGTTTCTTTTTCATATAATGCCTTCTTTTCCTCTGGGTAGATACCCAGGAGTGGGATTACTGAATCAAATGGTAGTTCGCCTTTTAGTTCTTTAAGGAATCTCCACACTGTTTTCCATAGTGGCTGTACTAGTTTACTTTCCCACCAGCAGTGTAAAAGTGCACTGATTTAATTATATATTCATGGCCTGAAGGTATCAGACATCCGAGCTAATTCCCAGGTGATAAGCAGTTTAGAAGATTCCCCGACCTCCTCTATTAAATAGGCGTAGAAAACAGGAAAGGGCAAATCTAAATAGACATGCTATTTTAAAGGCATGACAGGCTAGGAGGGCAGAAATAGGGCCTCTAAGAAGTTGAATTTGCTCATCTGTCTTTGCTCTTCACTCCACCAGCCCCATTCCTTCCTTAGTTATAGGGTCACACTCTCAAATTCCCATTTGCAAATAAACTGGCTTCCTTGTGACCTTACTCTAACTCAGAGCCTTCAATTCCCTATTGCACAATATGTCACATAATAATGAGTGCATACGTTTAATTATGCTGGTAAATATTTTAAGATTGGATACATTCTAGTAATGATGCTCTATTTTGTTAGGATTTTTTTTTAAATAAACTTCTATCTAACTCTCATTTGTATTCACTCTCCAACATTCACTTTATCCTGGTCAGAGTTAAGTTCCTAAACACTGGACTCTTTACACATCTCCAACGTCCACCAAGAGCAGGAATTTTAGTGGACGTGTTTTCAAGCGTTTTTGATAAAGATCACATTACTTCATTAAAAAGAAACAGTTGCTCAAGCAGGAATCTTTGACAAGGTCCTGTAAGTAGGAAAAAAATGGGTATGTAATTAAGTATTTTATTTTCTCCTTAAAAGTAAAAATAACAAAAATAGTAATTATATCACCTTAAGATATCAAACAAAGGAATAATATGTACTAAAGGCACAGAAAAAAGAGCAGATATAACAAATAATTAAAGTAAGAAAACCTTTGCATTTGCTTTTGTTTTTAACAGCTATATTGGAAAGAAACATCACAAATAGAGATGTTTGGATAGTGAATTAAAGCACAAAATTAAGAGGAGCATGTGCTAACCAAGGTCACAGAGTGTTCAGTGGAATTTCTTCACATTTTTCATTTGCTCATGTTGTGGTGACTTTGCTGAAGTCAGAAAACATTATAGGTAAGAACTAGCCATTCCTATCTTTGAAGTGCTCTGAGACTTAATACATTTCTCTCATTTCTGCGTGGAGATACATCACAACAATTTTTACTGTGAAGAATGATGATTGCTATAAAATGAAATGAAAGGAAGAGACATTTGCCCATGATTCTATAAATCTCAATTTACAGAGTGTTATAGTACTTAGTGGAAAGAAGAGATTAACACTGTCTAATTATGTATACTTAACAAAGAGAAGAAACCCAATAAGGAACTTAATCAAGTAACCAAGGGTTAAAATTGTAGCAATGAGATGACCTGAGAAGGACAAAGTATGACCTCTGTGGTAATAGCACCAAAAATTGTTAACATCAAGGGGATCACTTACAACCTGCCAATGGAAGTGAAAATTATTTAAAACATGCACGCCTCCTCTAACATTGAAAATGGATAACATACATCATAACAGTCTGCAATTTTGGTTCTAGGCATGTAACCTAAAGGCAGTCTTACTCATGGTGTGCCAAGTGGATAAATAAGATGAGGTTCATTCATGACAACTGTGTTGATATATTATAAAGAGTAAAAGCAATCAAAATTTTCACCCAGAGCAGAATGTGCAATGCAACGCAATAAAATCCAGCAGTTGAAATAATGGACAATATATACTATAGTAACACTGATAGATGTAAAATACATTGAGTAAAAAGTTGCAAAACCGCCCCATACCCATAGTATATAGTTTATATAAAGTTTTTAAGGTCTGCATCACTTGGGGATATACAGCTTTGTTATAAAACCGTAATACCTGAATGGGAAGAATCCACACCAAATCTATGTTGTTGGTTGCCCTTTAGGAGGGGATTAGATTGAAATGAGATGAAGAAGGCTTGGAAAGTAGAGAAGATGTGGAATTGATAGTTGATATTCTGTATATTTTGTAAGACTGAAAAATAATTATCTGCAGCATTATCACTAATAGTTGTCCATGTGTTTACAATGCTGATATAGACACACACACACACACACACACACACACACATAGTTACACTAGAATTACCTCATTGTCAACTGAAGATACTTTGAAAGTACGAGAAAAAATATTCAAGTGTTTGCACATCTACATGAAATATCACATGACCTGTTCAGAAAGGTGAAGCAGCTACGGTGTGGATGTGTTCTTCCTTCATGGTGGGCTCTTTGGGACACACTTTGCATGCATGTTTCCCTTTAATTGCCATGATCTCTGCTGGAAGTGGGCACTATTACTGTATGTAGCTTAATCCGTATAGAGTTCACAGAAGTATAGGATTGTTAGAGTGGAGTCAGAATGTGGAGGCCAGTGCCTGTGCTCCTCCCAGCTGCACTACATTGACATCGCTTTTCAGAACTTTAAAGTCTTTCTTCTCAGTAGGTTAAGTGTGAAGGATTATCACCAAAAGAAAACAAAAACAAAAACTAGGAGCAATATAGAAACAACCACTAGCCAGGCGGGGTGGCTCACGCCTGTAATCCCAGCACTTTGGGAGGCTGAGGCGGGTGGATGGCCTGAGGTCAGGAGTTGGAGACCAGCCTGGCCAACACAATGAAACCCTGTCTCTACTAAAAATACAAAAAATTAGCTGGGCATGGTGGCAGGTGCCTATAATCCCAGCCTCTAGGGAGGCTGAGGCAGGAGAATCGCTTGAACCCGGGAGGCGGAGGCTGCAGTGAGATGAGATCGCACGATTGTACTCCAGCCTGGGTGACAAGAGCAAAATTCCATCTCAAAAAAAAAAAAAAAAAAAAAAAGAAACAACCACTAATTAAATGTAACTCTTCTCAATGAAAAAGGAGTGGAACTAGACTGACTTGTGTCATATCCCTACATGGGAAGGCTCTGTTCAGACGGCACTCCTTGGCACAGAATCATAACAGCACTGATCACATCGCCTCTCCTGTGTTAGGTATAGAGACATAACAGAGCTGTGAGAAGCCAAGCTCTAAATGCAAACATGAACAAAGATACGATGAAACGAGGTGACCAGCGATCATAAATAAACACACTCATAACAACTGGCAGCCCATATATGTCCCTACAAATGTTCACAAATCAAGTGGTCACTTATATTCTTCAACCCGATTTCCCCCACCATAAAATTGGCAATCTTTTTTCCAAAGCTGCTTCTGAACAAATAGAAATTCCTTTATAATCTTTGTTCTGCCTCTTCTATTTTGCACACTATTGTTGCTGTAGCTGTTGTTTCTGGATTTGTTTTGTTTTTATAGTAGGTTGGTTACCCTCCTGTTTTAGAGATGATATGCTTATTGCAAAGTATACTATAATAAGTACACTTTTATACTTACATACTTTGATACTTATATATTTTTATACTTTTAATTCTTATGCTGAGCAAAATCAGACTTTGGTGAAAACACATGTTTTCAGTATCATATATTCAGCCCTTTCATTTTTTAATTAAAAATTTTAAATTAAAAATTAATTTTAATTTAAAAATTTACTTTACAAAGTAATTTATTTTAGGGCTGACTTTCCATGACCTGTTATTGTGAAGGTCTGTACTATAAATTTTTTCCAAATGTATATGATAAGAACATACACATAACATACCATCGCATTCATTTGTTAGTGTACAGTTAAGTGATATTAAATATGTTATTCATGTTGTGGCAGCGTCATGACGATTCATCCTCAGAATAGTTTCTTCTACCCAAACTAAAGCTCTGTCCCCATTAAACACTCACTCACTATTTCTCCCTTCCCCAGCCCCTGGCAACCACCATTCTGTGGCAGGCCAGGTCTCACAAACACAGGCCTCCGTAACAACTGTTTCAGCACTGACAGAGTGTTGAAGTTAAATATTAAAAGCTGAAAGAGCCAGCACCCTTATACAAAGGCTGGAATGTAACAAAAGTCCACCAAGAGTTCTGCCCAGGCCTCTCCTGGGCCTTGAAGCATGACAAGATAATGAAGGGATTCTTAACACGACCTGTTTAGGATTAAACAAGTTTTACTGAGGGTCTGAAGGAACTCCCCAGACCTCCACAAACAAGCTTTATCTGGGTCTAAAGGAACTCCCCAAACTTCCACAATTTAGCGGGAGACAAGATAAGGGTAATCACCCCAGGCACCTGGATCCATTTGGATTAAGTCAATTTACTGAGACTCCAGAGGAAGGTCTCCAGGACTCAGACCTTAGTTCTAGATTAGAAGTTCATCACTTATGTCTTTAGATGAATGCACACTTACATGTAGACATATTGATTAGAAGGTATAGAAGCTCTGGAAAACTTTGTAACTTTGAGTTGGTCTGGCGATAATTTCCAGGCCTTCTCCCTGTAACCGGTTACAGAAATAAAAACTCTCCTCCTACCCAGTTCATCTGCATCTCATTACTGGGCCACAAGAATAAGCAGCCCGACCCTCAGTTTGGTCCAGGAACAATTCTTCTTTCTGTCTCTATGAATTTGACTACTCTTGCGATCTCACAAAAGTTGAATTAAACAGTATTTGTCATTTTGTGCCTGGCTTATTTCACTGAGGATAATGGCCTCAAGGTTCCTCCATGTTGTAGCCTGTGTTAGGATTTCCTTCCTTCTATGGCTGAATAATAACCCTTGTATGTATATGCTATACTTTGTTTATCCATTCATTCACAATGGACACTTAGTTTGCTTCCACCCTTTCACTGCTATGAATAATGCTGCTATGAACATGGGAACAAATATCTCTTGGAGACCTTGCTTTCAATTATTTTGGATATTTACCCAGAAGTGCTGTTGCAGAATCATAGGGTAGTTCTGTTTTTATATTTTTTAGGGACCATCATGTTGTTTTTCACAGCAGCTTTACCATTTTACAATCCCACCAATAGTACATGCACACGTATGTTTATTGCGGCACTATTCACAATAGCAAAGACTTGGAACCGACCCAAATGTCCATCAATGATAGATTGGATTAAGAAAATGTGGCACATATACACCGTGGAATACTATGCAGCCATAAAATAGGATGAGTTCATGTCCTTTGTAGGGACATGGATGAAGATGGAAACCATCATTCTCAGCAAACTATCGCAAGGACAAAAAACCAAACACCGCATGTTCTCACTCATAGGTGGGAATTAAACAATGAGAACACTTGGACACAGGAAGGGGAACATCACACACAGGGGCCTATCGTGGGGTGGGGGGAGGGGGGAGGGATAGCATTAGGAGATATACCTAAGGCAGATGATGAGTTAATGGGTGCAGCACACCAACATGGCACATGTATACATATGTAACAAACCTGCACGTTGTGCACATGTACCCTAGAACTTAAAGAATAATAATAAAAAAGTAAACAAAACAAACAAACAAAACAAACAAGGCTTTCAATTTCCCCACAACCTGGCCAACACTTGTTATTTTCTATTTTTTAAAATTGTGCTTATCCCAGTGAGTGTGTCAATCCCTGTATTTCTAAAGATACATTTTAGGCTGGGCATAGTGGCTCATGCCTGTAATCCCAGCACTTTGGGAGGCTAAGGCATGCAGATCAATTGAGGTCAGGAGTTCGAGACCAGCCCGGTCAATATGGTGAAATCCCATCTCTACTATAAATTTAAAAAATTAGCCGGGCGTGGTGGCGGGCGCTTGTAATCCCAGCTACTCCAGAAGCTGAGGCAGGAGAATCACTTGAACCCGGGAGGCGGAGGTTGCAGTGAGCTGAGATTGTGCCACTGTACTCCAGCCTGGGCAACAGAGTGAGACTCTTCTCAAAAAATAAAATAAAATAAAGATATATTTTCATTTTGCTGTAACTACCTGTTGCCTTCTTCCCTGAAGTACGGAGCCTGTGTGTGTGTGTGTGTGTGTGTGTGTGTGTGTGTGTGTGTGCGCACATGTAACTGTGTGTCCACATATTTGCAACTTGCTGTCATGCAGAAGATAAAAAACAAGTTTTCATATATTTATCTTTTAATCCATGACACGACCAGCTTTACCCTCTCCTGCTGTAGATATAGAAAGTGCTAAGTGTAACAATTTTGTACTCATTTTTCATGTGGACTAAACCTATATTTAGGGAGGGAAGTCCAGAACATATTACAGATAACATATATTTTGTTGTTGGGGTTGGTACGTGTTCTTGCTGCCAAGTTGTTATAAAAGTTTCTTGCCTACAGCCTCCTTTGCTCCAGCAATTCAGAGCAGCTGGATAAAATTGTATCCCATAAGGACAGATGTCATTAGAAATGCACAGGCTTTCATCTAAATTTGGCTTTCATTCATTCTTTCGTCAAATATTTATTGAGTCTCTACTATATTCCAGTTGCAAGGCATAAGGGGAAAATCGTGAAGCTGTGCAGCAGAATGAATGCAACCTTCCACCTGCTCCCAAAGAGGTGCACATCCTGCCTTTCAGCCCTTCAAACCCAAGAGGCTTTGCACCACGCATGCATGCTTCACCACGTAGTGCATGCTTCACCACGCAGTAGGCAATGTGGAGCTCTGGTATAAAGCAGACTGGAAGTAAGTGGCTTCTATGAGAGATCTAAGGGAGGATGTTTATTTCCTGTTTAATTGAAATACTGAGACCAAGCAACTCTGGCACAGCTTGCAGAGGAAAAAACAAAACGGAACATGAAGATGCTATGGCCTGGGTGCAGTAGCTCAGGCCTGTCATCCCAGTGGTTTGGGAGGCTGAGGAGGGAGGATTGTTTGAGCCCAAAAGTTTGACACCAGCTGGGCAACATATGGAGACTCTGCCTCCACAAAAAAAAAAAAAGAAAAAAGAAAAAAGACATTAGATGGGCATGGTGGTGCGTGCCTGTAATCCCAGCTACTTGAAAGACTGAGGCAGGATGATTGCTTGAGCCTGCAAGTTGGAGGCTGTGGTGAGCTATGATTCCACCACTGCACTCCAGCCTGGGTGGCAGAGCAAGACTCTGTCTCAAAAAAAAGCATACATATATACAATATATACATAATGTAAAAGAAGCTATGGACAGCTCAAGATGATTAATTCCGAGGCTCATCTGTAAGTAAATGTGACTAAAACAATTTCTCAGCTTCTTACCCATCTCCTCGGCAGCCGGTCCCTACAACGATTTAGGAAATAGATGAGCATGAGCAAAGGCCTCACGCCTTAGGTGGTGGCAGCAAAATAGAACAATGACACACAGCACCATGCTCTCAAGAGTTTGGGCTCCCTTGGAGAGGAAACTCAACATTTGGCATTTCAATTATCCACTCACCTTTCAGTCTTCCTACCAGCCATATAACCAACTTCTGGGAACTTTTAAAAATAGCTCACAGAAGTGATATTTGCATTTTATTGTGGATTTAATTCGCATTCTTAATAACTAGTGATTTTAAGCATTTTCTTTTTTTTTTTTTTTTTTTTTTTTTTGAGGTGGTGTCTTGCTCTGTTGCCCAGGCTGGAGTGTAATGGCATGATCTTGGCATACTGCAACCTCCATCTCCCGGGGTTCAAACAATTCTCCTGCCTCAGCCACCTGAGTAGTTGGGAGTACAGGCACCCATCACCACACACACTCTACTGAAAATTTTTGTGTTTTTAGTAGAGATGGGTTTTCGCCATGTTGGCCAGGCTGGTCTCAAACTCCTTGGCCTCAAGCAATCCTCCTGCTTTGGCCTCCCAAAGTGCTGGGAATACAGTCATGAGCCCTGACACCCAGCCAAGGTTTTTATTATTATTATTATTATTATTATTATTATAAAAATTCAAACTCCATCAAAGGTAATTGAGGAGTGCCTACTCCCCATAAGTTTACCAACTTCCAGGGTTCTGTGATATTAATATTTGACAAACTGACATGTATAATTAAAATTATTTTAATTTGTAATTTTCTAATTGCAAATTTTATTTATTCATGATTCTGTATTCTCTGAAAAAAATCATGTATTTTGCGTAATTTTCTATGGAAATGTGTATTTGCTATAAAAAAATGGATGTTTCTCTCTGTGTGTCTATTGCATCTGTATCAACTCTCTGTTACGTATGTTGCAAGTAGATGGTTGGAAGGTGAAAATTGCCAACTTGTTATGTCTATGGTGTCATATTGAAAATAAGCTCCTAATCATTTATCAACTCTTTGCTTTATTGTATATATAAATTTATATACAATAAAAATCCCAGTGTGTAACTAGAGGAGTTGAAGAATGAAGCCACCAGCAGTACCATCCAGTAATAAATTATTCCCCAAGCACATATTGCCTGTTTCACAAATCATCACCACTGCACTGTTTTTATTAATATTTCATCCATCCCTTGTCACCACCATAAAATCTTTCCAATACTTTTGTTTTCATTTTAATTACTTTTTTGTCTTTGAAGAAAATGTTTCTGAATTTTTAAATTATTTTCTCATTGTTGAACAAAATGTTTCACTTTTTTGTGGGTTTTTACCCAAAATAACGTGTTGCGTTTTCTTTAGTTCTTCTCAGTGTCCTGGAGAATTCTTGAAATCAGGCTCAGAGCTACAAGCTAGGGACTGACCACTAGGATACCAGTACCTCTTCCTTTTTTCAGCATCCTGACAGGATGCTACACCAACAAGTGTTCAATTAAGAGTGTACCTCTTTATTTAATTTATTGTCTTTGTTCATTAGTACCTTTCAATTAAATACAGACTACCTATCTTTTCCCTACCATGTCTAACTGAATTTTTCCCCAGCTACGTAGAATATTTTTAATACTTTCATACTTAAGTGTTCTCCTTCCAGGCTATTGCATTTTCCCTATTGCTGCTGTAAAAAATCGCCACTAATTTAGTTGCTCAAAAGGTGATCCATTTAGAATCTGGCAGTTCTCTAGATTAGAAATCCAACACAAGTTTCTCTGGGCAAAAATCAATGTCTTGGGAGGCTGTGTTCTTTTCCAGAAGCTCTTGCAAAGAATTTGTTTTTAAGTTAATTCAAGTTGTTGGCAGATTAACACCCAATTTTCTTGCCAGCTGTCAGTTAAGTTATCCCCAGATTCTAGAGCCTGCCAACCTTTCTGGGCAAGTGGTCCCCTCTTCCTCCTAAAATCCATTAATGGTGCATTCATCCTTCTCAGGTCATATAACTAGGAGTCCTCCTTAACTGCATATTTTCACCTTGAAAAACTCATGTAATGACATTTGGTCTATCTGGATGAAACACCCCATCTCAAAGTCCTTAATCACATTTACAATGTCCTGTTTGCCAGATAAAGTCAAATATTCACAGGTTTCATGAGAGCCACCTTTGGAGGGCCATTATTCTGCTGACTACAGACATTGTGTCTCTTAATATGAAGGAAATCTCTGGATCGTCATGCAAGACATTGTGAGGGATGATGATGATAGTGTTGATGATAGCAATGATGATAGTGATGGTGATGGTGATGATGATAACGATGGTGATGTAAGTGGGGATGATGGCGATGGTGATGATGATAGTGATGGGGATGATGCTGATGATGCTGATAATTATTGGGATGATGATGATGATGGTGATAATGGTGATGATGATGGTGATGATAATAGTGATGTGATGGTGGTGATGATTATGATAATGATGGCAAAGATGATGATGATGATAGTGGTGATGATGGTAATGATGATGATTGTATTGATGGTGGTGATGATAATAATAATGATGGTGGTGATGAGGATGATGGTGATGGATGATGGTGGTGTTGGATGATAGTGATGATGTGGATGATGATGATGATGGTGATGTTGATAATGATGGTGGTGATGGTGATGATGATGGTGATGATGATAATGGTGATGGTGATGATGGTGGTGATGATGAAGACAATGATAGTGATGATAGTCATAATATGGTAGTTGTAGTGGTAGTGATAGTGATTGTAATTATAAGATTATAAAATCTTCTCATCGTTGTAAGGATTTAATCAGATAGAATATGTTATTGAAATGTGTGAAATAATAAAGAAATTGAGGTATTTTTTCTTTCCTACTTATGTAGAAATGTCATGTCCAACTTACAAACACATCCAGGACAAAATCAGATTTTGCATTATATTTTTAAGGTCTTCCCTGTAGAATAAATTGAGCCATTTATTATAAACTTTCCTTATCTTTGCTTAACTCCCTTGGCAGACTGCTCTTTTCAGATGTAGGTGATGTGTCACCTGTTAAGGAGTTGAAACTGGCTGAAGTAACTCCCATGAGGATTTTCCTAAAGTTCGGTAGCTATGAGATCTAAGAACCTTGTGGGCTTGGTGACCATACCTATTCTGCCTGTGGCTTTGTTGTTTACAAAGCTATGAACAATTTTAGTTAGTACTCGAGAATAAGTCATGGTGCCTTATGAAGGTAATGTTTTGACAACGAATGGAAGGAAACTACTCTAGCAAAGGAGCCCCCATCTCAGATCAAATAGATCAACAATGTCATTTGTAATGTTTATATTTTTTTGAATTAAAAACTCATTTATTTAAAAATATATATTTAAAACACATTTACATATATATTAAACATATATATACATATTAAATACCCATTTATGAAAATACACACACACACACACACACACACACACACACACACACACACACACATTCCTGGCTTTTATTTGAGCAGAGACAAATCCAGGTGATATGGTTTGTCTGTGTGCCCACCCAAATCTCACCTTGAATTGTAAATCCCCATGTGTCAAGAGCGGGGCCAGGTGGAGATAATTAAATCATGGGGGTGGTTTCCCCCATACTGTTCTCATGGTAGTGAATGAGTCTCATGAGACCTGATGGATTTATAAGTGGGAGTTTCCCTGCACAAGCTCTCTTGCCTGCCACCATGTAAAACATGCCTTTGCTCCTCCTTGCCTTCCACCATGATTGTGAGGCCTACCCAGACACATGGAACTGTGAGTCCATTAAACCTCTTTCCTTTATAAATTACCCAGTCTCAGGTATATCTTTATAGTCTCAGGTATATCTTTATTACCAGCATGAGAACAGACTAATATGGAGTCTTGCTCTGTTGCCCAGGCTGGAGTGCAGTGGTGTGATCTCAGCTCACTGAAACCTCTGCCTCCCAGGTTCAAGTGATTCTCATGCCTCAGTCTCCCAAATAGCTGGGACCACAGGTGTGCACCACTATGCCTGGCTAATTTTTGTATTTTTAGTAGAGATGGCATTTTCCCTTGTTGTCCAGGGGTCTCAAACTTCTGACCTCAAGTGATCCACCTGCCTCTGCCTCCCAAAGTGCTGGGATTACAGACGTGAGCCACCATGCCCAACCATTCTCGGGGGATTTCTAAGAGATAGCAAGGATCCAGATGACTGACTGTAGTATAGCTCATAAAAGATACCTCAAGGGAAACCAGAATGGCTGGCTCTGTTCAGCTTAGATGGCACTCTTGTTTGGCCAAGTTACTGACCTTCAATTAAATACACTCCTACTCTATCTGAAAGGGGTTCATGGGGTGGTGTTGGTGTTCATTAATTAATGACAATTTGATTCATAAACCAAGAATGGTGAAATAAGTGATTTGGCAGAGTTGAGGAACATTTTCTTTCAAGTTGTAACTTGGAAAACTACCCTGAATATCAGATCTCTGCTTTGAAAGGGAAGAAGAGGAACAGAACACCATGCCCCTTTAATGAGTTTGTGTCTTGAAAAAAATAGGCAGAAATGTACACTGGAGTCATTTTTTGGGTAGCCAAGAGGAGGGAGTATTGGCCTGTTCCCTAAAGGCATATCATAGGCATAGATTCAGGGAGCTGGACACCATGTCATGGAGGCTTCTGAAAAGTGCCAGAAGAAATCTGTTTTTACCTTTCTTTAATACCAAGTATATTTATTGGAGAGTAAAACTTGAACATGTTGAATAGTTGCTTGGGATATGCCTTAAAATATAAGATAAAGGTAAGATGTGTGTCCTTAGTCTTTATGAAAGCTTTCTAACCCCACCTCACTCCTTCGACATGCACGCTAATCAAAAGTCACAAAAAAGAAGGAAGATAATGATTCTCAAGACAATTATCCACCCTTTGAAGGCTACAGAACCAATACATTGGGTTCTTTGATCCAAATGCTTGTCTGCAATCACCTCTACTCAGTCATTGCAAATCAATCACTAGACCAGAATTCTATGCTAAGTTCTGGACCCTAATACAACTTGATAAATATATTACATATATTTATTTAATATATTACATTCAATATTTTATTTATATTAATATTATATATTAATATATTTGTTATATTATCAATATTATATAATATATTATATTAATATATTATAATATATAATTATATAATATATTATATTATATATAATTATATATTATAATATATATTATATTAATATATAATATAAATTATATATTGATTTATATTAATATATTATATATTGATATGAATAAATATAAAATAAATATATTTATATTAAATGTATTAATATAGTAAATAAATATATTTAATACATATAAACTTATTAAATTTTTTTTTGAGACAGAGTCTTGTTCTGTTGCCCAGGTTGGAATGTGGTGGTGTGATCTCTGCTCACGACAACCTCTGCCTCCCAGGTTCAAGTGATTCTCCTGCTTCAGCCTCCTGAGTAGCTGGGATTACAGGTGCACACTAACCACGCCTGGCTAACTTTTGTATTTTTAGTAGAAACGGGTTTCACCATGTTGGTCAGGCTGGTCTCAAATTCCTGACCTCAAGTGATCCGCCTGCCTCAGCCTCCCAAAGTGCTGGGATTATATGCCTGAGCTACTATGCCAGGCCATGATATTAAAATGTCTTTAGTAAATGTAACTGTAATCTCTCACACATACACATTTGGATATCACATAAATATACTTAATATGCTTATCCAAAATGAATCTAAGATTAGCTAAAGGATTCCAAAATTATAAGAGGAAGACTTATGATTTATCCAAATTCCATAATATTCTTCCTCCTATATTTCTTAAGGGATGATGATTTCCAACACGTTAGTATCCCAAACAAAAAACGAGGGCTCATGCACGATTCATTTAATTTTCCTCCCTAAATATGTTTGGGCTCGACCTTTGTCCCTTCGAAAGCTCCTACAGACCAGACATGTGGCTCATGTCTGTAATACCAGCAGTTTGGGAGGCTGAAGTGGGAGGATCACTTAGGCCCAGAAGTTTGAGACCAGCTTGGGCAACATAGTGAGACCCCATCTCTACAATATATTGTATGTGTATATATATATGTGTGTGTGTGTGTGTGTGTGTATACACATATATATATACACACATATATATACACATATATATACACACATATATACACATATATATATACACACATATATATACACATATATATATACACATATATATATATACACATATTATATATATATATTAGCCAGGTGTGGTGGCATGTGACTATGGTCCCAGCTACTTAGGAGGCTGAGGTAGGAGGATTGCTTGAGCCCAGGAGGTCAAGGTTGCAGTGAGCTGTGATAACTTCACTGCACTCAGGCCTGGACAACAGAGCAAGACCGTGTCTCAAAGGAAAAAAAAAAAAAAAGATTCCTACATGGCATTCAAAAGACACCAGGATGGCTAAACAGTCGAAAGAAGAGCTTTATTGGTGATAATTGGTTTGCGAACTGGGAAGAGATAGTTTCTGGGGTGGACTGAAGATACTCTCTTTTTGAAGAGGGGAAGGGCAGGTTGGGTTTTATGCCTCACAGGGTCCATATTACACAATAGAGTCGCACATATTCAGCAGCCTTGGGAGGAAAGCTATCCATATTTATGAGAGGAGCCAAGCTCATGCAGATTGGGTAGACATATATGTAACATACATCCCATGTTCACTTTGGTGTGAAGTTTTAGCATTTAAAATGGTGGTGGTGGTGATGATGATGATGACAATGATGATGGGGATGTTGATAATGATGATGACGGTTATGATGGCGATAAGGTAGAATTAAGCTCTTTATGTCAAAAAGTGGACAATAGGACACAAAGACAATTTGTGTACAGCCTCTGTAAGCTGCTGAAACTGATGGTAAGGTCTGAAGTTGCTTAGCAGAAAAGAAGGTTTGTGGGGCCAGTCCTCTGTCCAGTCAGAGTTGTAGTGATCTGGATTGAAAATCAGAGTTAGAAGGGGTTGGGTAATTTGCCTGATAGCTCTTATCTTAGGGAGTTGAGCCATGGGAATTTAGAAATTTGCCTTGCCAACCAGAGCCTGAACCCTTCACACATAGGTAACTTTTGTTTCCTTAATTTTAGGATCCCTCTTTGTTGATAAAAAGGCATCTCTCTTTGGTCTCTCAGATGACATAGGACAGCTGACTTAAATGACACATTATGAGCATTCATTGAAAGAATGGCCAGTGCTTGGCAGTACTGGAACTTAAAAGATAATCAAAGTCTAGTGTAATTCCAGCACTTTGGGAGGCCGAGGCTGGTGGATCACTTGAGGTCAGGAGTACGAGACCAGCCTGGCCAACATGGTGAAACCCTGTCTCTACGAAAAATACAAAAAAAATTAGCTGGGCATGTTGGTGGGCACCTGTAATCCCAGCTACTCAGGAGGCTGAGGCAGGAGAATCACTTGAACCCAGTAAGTGGAGGTTTCAGTGAGCCGAGATTGCACCATTGCACTCCAGCCTGGGTGACAGAGCAAAACCTTGTCTTGAAAAAAAAAAAAAAAAAGGCAACCAATTTAATTTTTTTGCTGACTACATTTATCAATGAATTAATAATTTTATTAACTCTGAGCAATAGGATGAAGATCTTTTGAAAAGATTTTTATTTCTGGCTATTAAGTGGATGGCCTTATTTGATGGCAGCACAAGGTTATTTTTATTTTCGGCATCTTTTGAAATGACACATTGGTTTTACTTAGGGTGGCCACCAGTTATTTTTGCTTAGGAAATCCATGGATTATCGCACATGTGTCACATATTTACGACTTTCCCCTTCCACCACAAACATGTCCCAGTGTGTTAGATGGTCTGCCTAATTATAGATGGTCTGCCTAATAATATTTAGGTAGTCTGATTAATTACATTTCAAAAGAAAAACCTTTATTTTGAATATTTCACTGAATGATCAGCAACATGGCATGTGCTGAAAAGACAGAGAATTAGGACTGTTTGCATAGCAACTCACTTGTAACCTTGAACTTTAAAAAATGCCGTAAAAACAATTTGATACAGGTTATAAATTACACTTTTTTAAAACCGGAAATTGTCCTCTGTGCAACCTATACTTTTTCTAACGTAGCCTTATTTTCCCTTCTGAGTATAATTTAAATATTAATTCAACTCAATTTTATTGCATTTATCTTTGCAGTAAGTCAGTTGTTTTATTGTCTGAGCTGAGTTTTCAGTAAACTATTTAGAATGGCAAGAACATTGCCACTTTGCCACGGGTGTATTTCTGATAATTTCTGCATCTAGTATTTGGAATGTAGTCTTAAAAGGTAATTGTTTTGTCTTGGGAGTGAGTGTTTAATGTCACTCTATTCACTGCATTAGAGACTAAGTGAATAATAAAAATTGTAGTTCATTCTAAAATTTATTCCCTTCATCACCACCTAAGTTCCTAGGAGAATGTCATGTAAACCAAGCGGCATTAGAGTTAACTATTCCTAAAATCTTTTGATTATTTTTTTGGGAAGATATTCTGAAAATATGAACAGTTTACCAAAACGCTTTCGAGTAATTTTGGAAAATCAACAATTGTAATATTTCTATCGGAGAGTGAAACATATTTAATAAGTTGTATTTTATTGGATGATTCTAAATCCTTATAAAAAGTTATAGCCTGAAAACAATGATCTTGTTTTGGTGTTGATGTTTTATCTTCAAAGCACCTGTATCATAAACGTTAAATCAAATTTCAATAGCATTGATGTTTTCTGGCTATTTCTTAGACTTTCGATTTTTTTGTTTGTTTGTTTTGTTTTGACAGAGTCTTGCTCTGTCACCCAGGTTGGAGTGCAGTGATGCGATCTCCGCTCACTGCAACCTCTGCCTCCCAGGTTCAAGCGATTCTCCCACCTCAGCTTCCCGAGTAGCTGGGACTATAGGCACCTGCCACCATACCCAACTAATTTTTTTTTGTATTTTTATTAGTGACAGGGTTTTGCCATGTTGGCCAGGCTGGTCTCAAACTCCTGACTTCAAGTGATCTGCCTGCATAGGCCTCCCAAAGTGTTAGGATTACAGGTGTGAGCCACTGCGCCTGGCCTTCTTGGACTTTTGAATTTCAATTATTGAGTCAGGAATCCAAGAATGCATTTAACAAGTGTTTGTTTTGTGCCTACTTTGTATGGTGAACCAGCAAAGTGCTGGGAATATAGCAACACACTCTTATGGAGTTGGAAATCATGTAGGGAGAGAGGCAATAAACAAACTCATATGATATGGTATCAAGTCCTCATAGTTGTAGGCCCTATAACAAAACAATTATAACTATAGCAAAGAATGTCTGGAAACTACAGCCCATGGGCCAGGTGTTGCTCTCCACCCATTTTTGTAAATAAAGTTTTATTGGAACACTGCCACACTCATTCACTTATATACAGCATATGAATGCTTTCCCACTAAAACAGCAGAGTTAAGCATATGTGGCTGAAACCACTGACTCACAAAGCCTAAAATATCTATTATCTGACCATTTGTAGTAACAGTTGGAGACCCCTGGTATAGAGATTTTAGGGTGATTCCATTTTATTATAGGATGGACAGAGGGTTTCTATGAGAATGTGAATTTTCAGCAGCAGAGTCTACAATTAAATATGAGAGAAACCCATGGATATATTAGGGAAAAGATATTTTCCTGTTGGGAAAATAACTGGTACATGATTTGTTTTGAAAGCCCCCCTCCAAAAAAAAAAATCAAAACCAAGTCATAACTCAGACTATTGGATTTTAAAATGTGATGTGTGTTGAAGGTGGGGTGTCTATATTTTGTTTCTTTGTTATTAGGATACTTATGAGTTTTTTCTTTTACTTTTTTTTATTTTAAAATGGTCTCAGAGGAAGTTGCAAAAATAGCACAGAGTCCCATATAATGCTTCGCTCCATCCATGTGCAATGGTGACATCTCACACAGCTGTAGTATGCTATAAAAACCAGGAAATTGGCATTGGTACAATCCTGGTAAGGAGACTACAGACCTTGTTTAGTTTTTACTACTTTTATAATCCCACAATAACGTGTTTTTGTCCTTGTGTGTGTAATTCTATGTCATTTTATCCCATGTGTAGATTCGCATGACTACTAAACAATCAAGATTAAAAATTGTTCCATCGTCACAAAAGATGCCTCTCCTGGTGCTTCTGTTAGCACCTGCTGCACCCATGCAATTTTCCTGACAACCACTCATCTCTTCTCTATCTCTGTCATTTTGTCATTTTGAGGACATTTTGTAAATGAGATCATGCAGTGTATGACCTTTTGATATGTACTTTTTTTCACTCAGCATAATGCCTTTAGGTCTACTTAGGTTGTTGTGTGCGTCAATAGTTTATTCTTTTCTATCGTTCACTCATATACCACGGTATGGAGATACCACAGTTTATTCAACCATTCACTCATTCAATGACTTTTAGCTTCTTCCTAGGATTTTAATCTTTTTAATTAATTTATTTTTTAAAGGCAGCGTCGCTCTGTCGACCAGGCTGGAGTGCAGTTTGTGCAAGCATGGTTCACGGCAGCCTCGACCTCCCAGGCTCAAATAATCCTCCTACCTCAGCCTCCTGAGTAGCTGGGAACACAGGCACATGCCACCAAACCAGGCTAATTTTTTGTATTTTTTTTTTTTGTAAATACAGGATTTTGCCATGTTGCCCAGGCTGGTCTCAAAGTCCTGGGCTCAGGCGATCCTTCTGCCTTGGCCTCCCAAAGTGCCGTGATTACAGGTATGAGCCACTGTGCCTGGCTAGAGTTTGCTCTTCTAAATAAAGTTGCCATGAACATTTGAGTACAGGTTTTTATTTGAATGTTGTTTTGATCTCTCTGGCATAATTTCCAATGAGTACAATTATGAGTTGTACGTGTCCATGTACATTACAATGGTTTCTTTCTTGATATTATGCTTAGTCTATTTTTTATAATTTACATGCACTGTTGGCAGTAAGATGGACAGTTTATTGCCCTAAAATTATTTAGGAAAACCTACACAAACCCACATAAAATGATTTTAATTCTCTTTTAAGAATTTTTTTCTTGCATACCAAATATAGATTTTCCAGACCTTTTTAGATACCTGATTTGGTAGAAATGATTGTTTCTTTTTTTTACCTAGTTTCAGAAATCATAATCAATTGACATAATATTACATTTTTTATTTAAATTTTTTTAAAAATCCTTTTGGAAATTACAAAATTCTATGTTCTAATCACTCACTTTATCTCATTTAAAAGGTATCAGTTTTTGTGAGGCTATCACTATATAAATTTGTTTGGTGTATGATTCTTTCTCCATTGTCTTAACACATGGCTTGTCAACATAGAGTACTGAAGAAACTCCACAAGCAGAAAATGTTCTCAAAGGGCAACAGACATTTATTTTGTCTTCACCACTCTCATATGCTATACATCTTCCCAGAAGCATGTTCTACAACTTATCACACTCACAGAGAAAACACTGCCATAAACAGATGTGTATGCCACTCGCAGACAGAATTCAGCAAATCTTAAACATAAAGCAAACCAAACCTTTAATAAATTACCAACAATGGACAAATACGGTGCTGTCAACAAGATCCCCTGAACTTACGTTCAGAGAATGACAAAGTCAAAGAAACTCAGAGAAAACAGAACAACGTTTTAAATAAACTACACTGAATATCTTCAAAGACATTGTCTGCCATATGCTGGAGAATATCACATCAGAAGGAGAGGAAGAAAATTAATTTTTCATCATTGACATGTAAAAATCAATGGATGGCATGAATAGCAATTTAGATATGGGTGAAGAACAAATATGAGAATAGGAATTTCAAACCAAGAATGATCATGAAAAAAGAAAGAAAAAAAAAAGCCAAGCAACATTAAGGCTGAATCCATTCATTATGAAATTAAGTTAAAATGAATTTCATGACAAGAGAATAAAGAGTAGGCTGTATGCAAAATTCCTAATAGTAGAGGAAAATTTTGTGAAGCTGAAGAAATAAATATATCCCACATTAGTGAGATGTGAAGCTGGCTGGACTTCTAGGGCGAGTGGGGACTTGGAGAACTTTTCTGTCTAGCTAAAGGTTTGTAAATGCACCAATCAGCACTCTGTCAAAATGGACCAATCAGCTCTCTGTAAAACAGACCAATCAGCTCTCTGTAAAATGGACCAATCAGCAGAATGTGGGTGGGGCCAAATAAGGGAATAAAAGCAGGCCACCCGAGCTAGCAGCAGCAATGTGCTCAGGTCCCCTTCCACTCTATGGGGGTTTTGTTCTTTCCTCTTCACAATAAAACTTGCTGCTGCTTACTCTTTGGGTCCGCGCTGCCTTTATGAGCTGTAACACTTAACGACGAAGGTCTGCAGCTTCACTTCTGAAGCCAGCGAGACCACGAACCCCCCTGGGAGGGATGAACAACTCCGGACTTGAGGAACGAACAACTCCGGACTTGAGGAATGAACTCAGGACGCGCCACCTTTAGGAACTGTAACACTCACCGCGATGGTCTGTCACTCTTTGGGTCTGCACTGCCTTTATGAGCTGTAACACTCACCGTGGAGGTCTGCAGCTCCACTCCTGAAGTCAGCAAGACCACGAACCCACGGGGAGGAACGAACAACTCCAGACGCGCCATCTTTATGAACTGTACCACTCACCTCGAAGGTCTGCAGCGTCACTCCTGCAGTCAGCGAGACCACGAACCCACCAGAAGGAAGAAACTCCGGACATGTCCGAACATCAGAAGGAACAAACTCCGGACACACCATCTTTAAGAACTGTAACACACTCACCGTGACGGTCCGTAGCTTCATTCTTGAAGTCAGCGAGACCAAGAATCCACCAATTCCGGACACGTTAGGAGACCATAATCGGCTAAAAAAGACTTGTGACCAAAAATTTGTAATTAGACATAACATGTACACATTTAGAATGTCAAGAACAGAGTTGGACATGTTGGCTTATGCCTGTAATCCCAGCACTTTGGGAAACTAAGGCGGGAGAATCACTTGAAGCCAGGTGTTTGAGACCACCTTGGGTGACATAGGAAGACCCCATCTCTATAAATAACAATATTAAAAATTAGCCTGGCAGGGTGGCACATGCCTGTGGTCCCAGCTACTCAAGAGACTGAGGTTGGAAGATTGCTTGAGCCCAAGAGGTCGAGGCTGCAGTGAGCTATGATTGCACCACTGCACACCAAGTTGGGCTACAGAGTGAGACCCTGTCTCTAAAAAACGAGAAAGTTATTAAATATATTTCACCTTTTCTCAAGACATAGCTTGAAGCAGGGACCTTCCCCTTGTTAAGCACAGCTTTCTTCAGTAACGAGATAAAGATACAATAAAAAAAAAGATGCCATAAAGTAAATTGTATTTTTAAGGAAGATGCCAGCATGAATGGAATGATGTATCTGTTATGTGGCAGCAGCTTTACCTTAAAAATTCAGTACATCTGAAACATCCAATTGCCTCAGCATCTCAGACCAACATCAGAGTCGGATTTTTATTGGGGGGGGGTAGGAATCTACATGGAAGTCAAACACAGAAAGAAGGCACCAAGCCAATGCTAAAGATGCCTCAACCCAGATAGTCAAATAAATGGGGTAAAATAAAGGGGAATTTTCACCATCAATGCCATGAGACACAGCATCTGAGTGCATGCAAACCTCATGGTCAGACAGGAAGTCAGAGTGAGACATAACCTCCCACCTCTCATTTTCATGACGGACAGCGAGAAACATAGTGACTCCCTCTGTAACAACGTAGACACTGAGGGTAACACCCACCAAACTTTGAGCAGGAGAAAAGCAACAAAAAGGACACTGAAAGGGCTACAAAATAAAAACTTTTCACCATCTCACCTAAGAAACTCTTTGTAGACTTTCAGAATTAAATGTATGGTACAGAATTAACTGCATAAGACTCTGATGGAAGCTTAGCACACGAGTTGCCAGTGAAATCTATTTTTTCTCTACTTGGTACCTATTGTCTGACCTTAGGAAACAGATGGATTAGAGAGAGCAAACCAATATCAATGACAATTTCAGGTAGACAATGTATGATACGTAAGGACATACTACGGTATTGTTAACCTGTCAGATATGCAAAGTCAGAAGCCCACAGTGAGAAGAAAATGTTTGTTATATATAATTATGAACAGATTAGACAACGCATAGGCTGTAGTGTGGACAACTTTCTGGTTTAGAAATTGGTACCTTTGTAAAAAAGAGGAAAGGCAGAATTTGACTGATGACAGGAACTATATTCCAATAGACTTTGGAGGTATTAAGAGGGAGGAAATGGAATCCTGGGGTAAAATTGAGTTTAAATTCAATTTTTAATTTGCATGAAGACTCAGTTGTCATGGACGCTTAAGGTAGATAATTATGTAGGATGATGTGAATGGAAATAAATCAATTTCATTGAGTGCAAGAGTGTGCATTTCTCAGTGTTAAGGATATTCTTCAAACGAATGTCCAAGAACTTGTATGTGTGTTAGAGACAGTGTCTCACTATGCTGCCCAATCTGGTCTGAATCTCCTGGCCTCAAGTGATCCACCAACCTCTGCCTCCCAAAGTGCTCGGATTACAGGCAACAGCCATTGCACCTGGCCCAGAAACTCTTGAATAGTGATTTAACAGAGTGCATGAGAACCCAAAATTAGCTTGAAAGATGGATTTGTTTTAAACATGCTTATACAGCCACACAGTATTGGGTCCAGTAAATGCCAATGCTCAGCTATGACTCAATCTCAGTCTAGCAGTGCTCATTTCCTTTAACTTGAAAACAGGAATGGACAGCCTTCCTTACTTAAATATTATCTTAAAAATAATTAAATATTATCTTTAATGGAAGATTATCTTAATTTAAAAATTAGACACTGCCATCAAATCTTCCGTGTGTTGCAGAAGTCATCCTATTATGTAATTTTAACCAAAAGAGATGAATATTTTAGCTTTCTCCAGGCACAGCTAGACAGAAATTAGACATTAGAACATACTCGTATTGTGGGTAAAATGCATAATTCTTCCCTGGGAGCCTGATGTCTAATTGAACTGATGTGTAATTAAAATATATGCCTGAAACAAAGAAACTGATGTGACTGAAACAAGGTTATTACATTACCACAATGTACACAATGCTGGTGTTAACAATAAAACTGAAATCATTAGAATTCAGAAAATAATTGACAAACACAAAATAATTACTTAAGAAAGACTTGTTGCAAAACTGACATGAATGTAACAATGTGAAAGTTATGCAAAAATTATTAACTTAAAATCATTCATAAACTACCTTAAATACAAAAATTTAATAGAAAAATAATACACCCAAACATTCAAAAAAGTATTTCTGAATTTTGCACTTAATGTTCTATGGAAAATATCTGACATAAGGGAGGATGCAATAAAAGGTTTTTATTAGTAGTTTTTTCCCCTGCTACTACAAACTGCTTGTGATAAAAATAATAATAATAATAAAAAAGTGGGACCGGGCTTGGTGGCTCACGCCTGTAATCCCAGCACTTTGGGACGCCGAGGCGGGTGGATCACAAGGTCAGGAGATCGAGACCATCCTGGCTAACATGGTGAAACCCTGTCTTTACTAAAAATACAAAAAAAAAATAGCGGGACGTGGTGGCAGGCACCTGTAATCCCAGCTACTCGGGAGGCTGAGGCAGGAGAATAGCTTGAATCCAGGAGGCGGAGTTGCAGTGAGCCAAGATCTTGCCATTGCACTCCAGCCGGGGTGACAGAGTGAGACTCCTTCACAAAAAAAAAAAAAAAAAAAAAAAAAAAAGGGGTAGAACCTAGCAAGGTTTCTGTACAAAGTTACTAAAAATAAAGTTCCTTCATTTTCTTGAGATGTTTATAGACAGCGTGTCTCTTGGGAGATGCTCAAAGAATAAGCAGTTTCCTCTCTTGCAGAGTACGTTCAGTTCCACCTCATTCCAATTAAAAAATTGACTTCTCTTTGTTGAGGTGATTTTTTTATACTGAATTTCTACTCAGAAAAGGGCATTGATAAGCTTTTCTACTTTCAAAGCAAGATACCATTTTTATTCCACAATGATGTAACTTTTTAAAAATTTGTATTATAATGATATCCATTCTTTGCAATTTCACTTAAAAAGTAACACCAATTCTATACAGAAAAAATTTCAAAGGGAGATGAAGAAAATGAAATAAATCAAATGAGAAACTCAGTTCTACCTATCAGGTAGAGCAAATGTTATACACACACACACACACACACACACACATACACACACACACACATATCTGCTACCCATTCTTCTATTTTGCTTGAGGGTGGTTATGAATATCATTCTAGCAGTGGGATTCTAGCAGTGGGAAAAGTGCAGAAATAAGAAAAATGTTTCATTTCCTTTGTAACATATCTCCAAGTCATGGTGTAGTCTTAAAATTCCAACCCTGAGAATGAGTTAGTCGAAAACATCCCAGTTGCCCTCCTGGGTGAATGTTAATGAGAAGAACTGATCTTGTTGTCATTTTTGTGTGTGTGCATTTCATGCTTATTTGCTTTTATTTTGGGGGTTTTTTGGTTTGCTTGTTTTTTGAGACAAAGTCTTGCTCTGTCGACCAAGCTGGAGTGCAATAGTGCAATCATGGCTCATTGCAGCTTCGACTTCCTGGGCTTAAGTGATCCTTCACCTCAGCCTCCAGAGTAGCTTGGGTTACAGGTGCACACCACCACATCTGGCTAATTCTTTTCATTTTATTTTTTGTAGAGACAGAGTTTTGCTGTTTCCCAGGCTGGTCTTGAACTTCTGGGCTAAAGTGATCCACCTTCCTCAGCCTCCCAAAGTGCTCACAGACGTGAGCCACGGCACCCAGCCTATTTGTTTATTTTACCTTTTATTGACTTAATTTTTAATGTCTTATCTTTCATTGGTCAACTTTTCATTGTATGTCTCTATCAAAAACCATTTACTTATTTCTCAGCATATTTTGCATGTTTAATTATGTGTGGAATTTAAAAATTGTCCTTTCCCATACTTTGATTATTCTTGATATATATCTTTTTTTTTTAATTGTTTAGAATACTGGATAGTTTTTGCACATTGTTATTAACTCATCTTAATATCTTATGTTTAGCTTCTTTTGAATAACTATCAATTTTACTTTACTTTGTATATCTTATGTTTTACCATACTGCCTTGTTAATTACTGATTAATCAATGTTAAGTAAAAATTTCAGTTTGCCTTTCTTTTTTAACTGGGCTCATAGTGTTGACAAAAAAGAGCCAAACTCTGTAAATTACTGAAGAGGTTTATTCTGAACCAAATATGAGTGACACAGTCTCAAGAGGTCCTGAGAATATGTGCCCAATGTGCTTGGGTTGCAGGTTCATTTTATACATTTTAGGAAGACAGAAGTTACAGGCAAAGGCATAAATCAATACATGTAATGAATACATTAGTTCGGCTGGGAAAGACAAGGCATCTCCAAGCAGGGGCTTCCAGGTCATAGGTGGATTCAAAGGTTTCCTGATTGACAGTTGGTTGAAAGAGTTAAGCTTTGCCTAAAGAGTTGAAATCAGTGGAGAGAAATACTTGAGTTTAGGGGGTTGCAGAAGCCAAGGTTCTTGTTACATAGATGAAGTCTCTAAGTAGCATGGTTCAGAGAGAATAGATGGTAAATGTCTCTCTTTACAGGGCTTAAATGTCAGATTGTTAGTTAAATCTCTCAGGATCAGGAAAAGAAAGGGAAGGAGATTTCCTAAAAAATCCACATTTGTCCCACGAGCAATGGCTTTGCAGGGCCACTTCAAAATATCTCAAAGAAAATCTATTTTGGTGTAAAGTACTTTGATTTCCTTCAGGGTCTACAATCTGTCATGTGATGCTATACCAGAGTCAGGTTGGAATTTGGTATCTTATTGCCACAGAGGGTCTGTTTTGTCAGTCTTATGAGCTCTGTTTTAGCCTTAGGTCAGTTGGATATAAGCTCCAAAGGGAGCAGGTATAACAAGGCCTGTCTGACACCTTCCAGTCATGGCCTGAACTAGTTTTTCAGATTATTTGTGGTGGGGGGAGATCCCCTTGGCCAAGAGAAGACGGGGTCTATTCAGTTGATTGGGGATTTAGAATTTCATTTTTGTTTTACAGTAGCAATAGAACCTTAATGAATACTCCACAGCCTGCAAAGTTACAACTTTAATTTGGATGTCTCTGGATTCATGCAAGTACTTCCCAAGTGACAAAGGTCACTAAGAGAATAGCAGAGGAATTGGAGGTTGAATAAAGGGCAGAATGAGTGAGAGCATGAGAGCAGAAGAAAGGTAAAGGGGCAGGTGAGCAAGAAGCAAGATATGAAGCGGAAGTTGAGCAGCCAAAATAAAAGTGAGATTAAAAAAAAAAAGTGAGGCCGGACGCGGTGGCTCATGCCTGTAATCCCAGCACTTTGGGAGGCCAAGACGGGTGGATCACGAGGTCAGGAGATCGAGACCATCTTGGCTAACATGGTGAAACCCCGTCTCTACTAAAAATACAAAAAAATTAGCCGTGCGTGGTGGCGGGTGCCTGTAGTCCCAGCTACTCGGGAGGCTGCGGCAGGAGAATGGCGTGAACCCAGGAGGTGGAGCTTGCAGAGAGCCGAGATCACGCCACTGCACTCCAGCCTGGGCGACAGAGGGAGACTCCGGCTCAAAAAAAAAAAAAAAAAAGTGAGTAAGAAGTCCCAAAGACCGGCTAGATCTGGACCAAACCTTTCAGGTGAAGCTCTTCAGAGATGGGCATGCTCATTAGAGAGAAAAAGTATCCTTAAAATGACCCCACATGGTAATCAGCTACTTAAAGTGTATACATATGGACTGCATATCATGAATGTAATTAAAATTGTGGGATGGAGGCGTTGCGCAAGGGCATAAGTGCCTCAGTAACTAAGCAATCCACCTGTCAATCAAAAGGCAGACACTTGGGAGAAGAAGATAAAAAAACACACAAAAGAATCTGAACTATTAGGTTGGTGCAAAAGTAACTGCGGCTTTTGCCGCTAAAAGTAAAGGCAAAAACCGCAATCTAATACGGCGAGCTGGGGCTGTTTTCATCTCGCAGAGGTCAGTCTGCGCTCCCTCTCCCAGAGTGGAATACTGTGCTGAATAAACTTTTGCCGCTTTGCTTTCCTCTGTGTGTGTGCCAAGTCCAGTTATTTGTTCGGGACACCAAGAGCCTGTAACTGTGCAGCACCATCTGGTAACATATGAACTGCTTGAATTTTCCCTCTCCCCTCTCTCTCTCTCTTTCTCTGCCTCTCTTTCTCTCCCTCTCTTCAACAGGTTCACATGGACATTCACACGTGCATAAGGTTGAAGGCAATACTGTGTGTCATAGGCATTCTTTACTTGGTGAAGTTTCAGAATAATTGGTGGGTGGTAGCACCGTAGCAATGTGACTTGCCCAATGCTGTGGATTTCATGACCCTGGGAAATGTCTGTGTTCCCGTCTACCAGCTTGGCGTGCTGTCTGTGCAGGAACGCTTCGTGGGTGATTACCATCTGCCGTACTTTCCATCCCACCTAAGTGAAAGTGATGCTTTCCCAACAGCAATTTATTCTTCAGAAACAGGCAATTAAACTCTCTAAGGGTCTCAGCTCCTTCAAAATGGAGTTTTAAACTAGATGTTAAGGATTGGTTTAATAGTGACTTTTAGACAAAATTTGTTCATTAATCATCATTGATAACAAAGGATGCAGATAAAAATTAGGCAATCTTAGAATATCACAGAATGTCGCTGTTTTCTCAGTAGCTAACCCAATGTTTGGCACAAACAATGCATGAAATAAATATTTTTAAGTTGACATTTAGAAGGCTAATTAACTGGTTAACATATTATGCTTGTTTTCATAAATCAGAGAAAAATCAAATTGTTATACAAATTAGAGCTACTAAACTATGTCAGAAATGTTGTTTTTAACTATTAGCATTTTTCTTCAGCGCAACAATATTTTTATGATAAAAGACGTTGCTCATTTGTTGATTAGAAAAACTACAGATTTTTCGTTTTCTGTATAGCTATTAATTAGATAAAAGTTATGGATATTATAATTAGCCAAATATGTGTAGCACTGCCACAAACTCTGGACTTATTTGAAGACTATCAGTAGGATTCTTATTAATGGTGGATAAATAACATCTCTGAATTTATAAATTAGACCTTCAATGTATGCATTTTCCAAGTTTATTGATTTATATTATAAATTTTATGTGTTCAAGGGATTCAGTGTTAGTGATTATTGCCCTAATGAATGCCTGTGTTTGAATATTTTAATGATTTGTAATAGAAA
Source organism: Homo sapiens (assembly GCF_000001405.40). Lineage (NCBI taxonomy): Eukaryota > Metazoa > Chordata > Mammalia > Primates > Hominidae > Homo > Homo sapiens. Next base: position 4,717,585 of record NC_000023.11, on the reverse strand, counting down.
ATGAAAGAAATTTGGAATTACTAACAAATGTAGGATAAACATGTGTCAATTATAAGATTTTGATTATAGTTATGAATCTAGATGACATTCAGAGAATCTCTTTAAATCTTTGGTTCAGTTGGGCACAGTGGATCACATCCATAATCCTAGCACTTTGGGAGACCAAGGTGGGCAAATTGCTTGAGCCCAGGAGTTCAAGACCAGCCTGGGCAACATAGTGAGACCCCGTCTCTAAAAATCAATCAATCAGTCAGTCAGTCAGTCTTTGGTTCAGCTCCACTTTGAAATAAGAAAATTGGATATGTAATTTCTATAAATCCTGATATTTTTGGCCCAGTAAATATATTTTCTAAATAATGTGATTAAAGGCCAGGCTAAGTTTTTGTCAATTATTTTTAATGTTTTTCAAATATTTCTTTAAAGTTTCAGATAGAAACACAGCAATCTGAAATACTCCAATCACTAAAATGAATTTTGGTTTGTTTAGATATTTGTACAGTTCTTCAAGTTATCTATGTGGATGCTTTTATGGACTACGATGGTCTCCATTTCTGAAAGAAATATTGATAATGTGATACTGGATAATTTACATTCAAGCCAAAGAAGATATAAATTTTAACAGCAGAAGTACCTAGCAGTTTCTCATAGCTAAATATTCACCTTAGCTGAGCAGCCAAAACAAAAGTGAGATTAAAAAAAAAAAAAAAAGTGAGTAAGAAGCCCCAGTAGCCAGCTAGATCTGGACCAAAAAATTGCCAAAAATAGATCATTTCCAATATTCCCTTCAAGCTCGCCAAGTCTGTATTTTCTTCCAATGACAGTTACAGATAGATGTAGAGATGTATAAAATGTAAAGAATCAAAAGTTACAACCTAAAACTATTTTTATAGATGACTATTAACATTGCTGCTTGCGGACAGACATGGTGGCTCATGCCTGTAATCCCAGCACTCTGGGAGGCTGAGGTAGGTAGATCACTTGAGGCCAGCAGTTCGAGACTAGCCTGCCCAACATGGTGAAATCTCATCTCTACTGAAAGTACAAAAATTATCCGAGTGTGGTGGCACCTGTAGTACCAGCTACTTGGAGGCTGAGGTGAGAGGATCCCTTGAACTCAGGAGGTGGAGGTTGCAGTGAGCTGAGATCGCACTATTGCACTCCAGGCTGGGCAACTGAGTGAGACCCTGTCTCAAAAAAAGAAAAGCAGCTTGCAAAAATGACACTAATTAACAGTATTAGAAAAGTTTTATATTACAATGATGTCATTTATAGATATTTTTTATTTATAGTTTATATACTTTTTATGTTACTTTCATACACACAGACACAATCAGTCCCATTTGTCTTGTGCCTTCAAGCAGGAAGCTTCAGAGCATATAGTAAGAATTAAGGATAAAGTCTGTACTAGAAAGCATTAATCTTCAATCAATTTAATTTAAATTTGGGGTTCATTGGTCACGTTCCCGGAATAACTTATTTAACTACTTGAAAACTTCCGGTGGAAGGAAGGAAAGACAAAAGGACATAAATTGCATTTATCCTACACATTCAATTAATGTGTGAACACATTATTTAAAGCAGCATCTTTATTTTGTTGAGAGCTGTATCTTCAATAGTAACAACTATGATTGGCATTTAGTAGCGAATATATATTTGTTGAAAAGTTGACCAGTTTCAGGTATTAAACTCGTAACTTGAGTCATTGGCATAGTCTTAGTGTGATGATACATTTTTATCCTCAGTTGGGTGATACCAGAACATAGTGGCATTTATTTTCCTTACCCATGTTATTAACTAATTAGATGAGTGAAAGCTCTCTTGTAGCAATGCATGCAACATTTAATTACTGTCATTAATCAAATTATAATGATTACGAGCATGTTTAATAAACCTCAGAAACTAGTTACTCTCCCCTCCACCAACTATGTTACATAGAGCAGCTGTGTGGTTTATCTTAGAAAGGTTGAAGAACAAGGCCGGGTGCAGTGGCTGATGGCTGTAATCCCAACACTTTGGAAGGCCCAGATAGGAAGATTGCTTGAGGCCAGGAGTTTGAGACCAGCCTGGACAACATGGCAAAACTCCATCTCCACAAAAAAGTTAAAAAATTATCTGGGTGTGGTGGAGCACACCTGTAGTCCCTGCTATATGGGAGGCTGAGGTGGGAGGATTGCTTGAGCCCAGGAGCTTGAGGCTACAGTGAGCCATGATTGTGGCACTGCACTCCAGTCTGGGCAACAGAGTGAGACCTAGGAAGAAAGAAAGAAAGAAAGAGAGAGAGAGAGAGAGGGAGGGAGGGAGGGAGGGAGGGAGGGAAACAAAGAAAGAAAGAAAGAAAAGAAAGAAAGAAGAAAGAAAAGTCAGTGAAGAAAGAAAGAAAAAGAAAGAAAGAAAAGTTTGAAGAATATGGAGGAAAAAACACAAACCACCAAATATTCCGCACATTTGTTCAGGGTGTTACAGAGCTGAAATGTAGAGAGAATTCATGGAATACACACTTTCAAGAATACAATTGCTTTCCCACAGAGATTTGTTCCTTTACCAAATGTGATGGATTCTGGTGCTAAATGTCAAAGCAGTGGTTGTTCTGGTGTTTAATGGCCCCAGTTGAGGTGTAATGTATTGAGGGAATTCTTTCCAACACAAAAATATACATAGCTGGTTGACTGTCACTTCAAAATTCATATTTTCAATCTTGCTCCTTTGTAGAATTTGTTTAGATTCCATTTGTACCAGCTGGGGCAAGAAAAAAGAATATTTTTGCTTAAAACTGATTGGAAATTTCATTTTCTCTGAGGAATATGTGAAATTTCTGTCAAGCAGAGCTATTTCATTGAATCTGTTATCCCAGTGGATTTCTCAGAGAAAAGTGTGTGGTCTCTACAATGTAGAAAAGCAAAATCAAAAAGATGCTGCAGAATTCACAGTAGCATTTTACATGAAAAGTGACATGTTTCATCAAAAAACCCCACTGAGACAGGAGAGTTCCCGTGACCCCCTTGCGGGATGGACTTGGGACAGGGATGTGGTTCATTTACTCCCCCTTGTGGGAGGGGGAGCATGCCAGTGAGCGGGCGCAAGAGCTGCGGCGAGTGATTTTGAGTTCTGGCCCCAAGGCCAAGGCGGCGTCTAGGAGTGTGTTACAATTAATGTTCTTTTAGCAGTTGCCGTCCACAGCCGGCTAAGTGTTAACCAGATCAGTGGAGAGTCAGGGTGACAGCCTTTTACACCCTGCTCTCTTGGTACCCGGGTCCTTGTCCCGCCTCCAGGAAGAATCAGCTCACATGGACTTGAAGGATGATGAATGCAGAGGTTTTCTTAAGCAGTGGAAGTGGCTCTCAGCAGAAGGGGAACTGGAAAGGGGAGGGTGCGGAAGAAGGTGATCTTTCCCTGAAGCCTGGCCATCTCTGGGCAAGCTTCTCTCCGAAGTCGTGCCATCTGAATTTAAGCTGCGTCTATCTGTAGTCTCTGATGCTCAGTTGCTTCTTCTCCTCTCGACATGTGCCACTTGTCTCTCTGCCAGCTGAGGTCTGGAGTTTATATGGGCACAGGAAAGGGAGGGAGAGTGGGCCAAAAAAGTAACATTTGGGCAGAAAAACAGGGATAACTGTTCTCATTTAGGGCCACGGTTTCCAGGGGTGGGGCCTTTGCCAGGGAACCGCCCACTTCTACCCAGTATTTCCCTACCTCCTGTCTGTATCACCATGACTAGCATTACACAGGAATCATTTCCAGGAAGTTCTCACAAGGAAGTAATAATCCATAATTTAAAAAGGTATATGGGGCCGGGGGCAGGCATGGTGGCTCATGCCTGTAATCCCAGCACTTTGGGAAGCCGCGGTAGGCAGATCACTTGAGGCCAACAGTTTGAGACCAGCCTGGCCAGCATGGTGAAACCCCATCTCTACTAAAAATACAAAACTTAGCTGGGTGTGGTGGCGGGTGTCTGTAACCTCAGCTATTCAGGAGGCTGAGGCAGGAGAATCACTTGAACCCAGGAGGCGGAGATTGCAGTGAGCCAAGATTGTGCCACTGCACTCCAGCTTGGCAATAAAGTGAGACTCTGCCTCCAAAAAACAAAAAAAAACAAACAAACAAACAAACAAAAAACTTATTGGGTCTGGGCACCATGGGTCACACCTGTAATCCCAGCACGTTTGGAGGGCAAGACAGGTGGATCGCTTGAGCTCAGGAGTTCAAGACCAGCCTGGGCAACACGGTGAGACCTATTAATTTTTTTTTTTTTTTTTTAACAAATAAAGAGTACATAAGAATCCTTATTTGTAAATATGTAAGTAGGTTGTAATTACCATTACTATAAATTACTTCTTTAGACAAAATCAACACTTGGTCCTGAATTCTCTCTTCTGTAGGGAAAATTTTTAAAGGAAAGAGTTGTTGTTGACAATGTATTTTAAAAATTAAAATATCATTATTCAGCCAGGGCAGAAAAAATAAGAATGCTATATTTTTGCTTTAGTTTTATATTTAGTGTACATTATGAACATTTGTCTATTTTTTTTTTACTTGTTGTTTATTTCCAATAATATTTTAAACCTGCTTGGATACCATGAGAAGAAAATCTAATTAAATAAAATTGAAAATTATTTTTTAAACTCATAGTGTTGTTTTTAGTATCACTTGAGCAATAGGTTTCCTGTTTTTGCTTTTCGTTTTTTGTTTTAATCTGAAAAGCATGTGAACTCCCAAAAATCAGAGGTCATTTGGAAGGAATTAAAAAGAGCAGACTGGTGCAGTGGCTCACGCCTGTAATCCCAGCATTTTGAGTGGCTAAGATGGGCAGATTGCTTGAGCCCAGGAGTTCAAAACCAGACTAGAAAACTTAGTTGGGCCCTGTCTCTACAGAAAAATTAGCCAGGCGTGGTGGTGCACACCTGTAGTCCCAGCTACTTGGGATGCTGAGGTGGGAGGATCATTTGAGCCTGGGATGTCCAGGTTGCAGTGAGCAGAGATGGTGCCACTGCACTCCAGCCTGGGCGACAGAATGAAACCCTGTATCAAAAATAGATAAGAAAAAATATTAATATTATTACTAAAAATATAATGTTCAAAAAAAAGAGCAAATGGCTGTGGTTTCAATTCCAGAGATTATAGACTACAAATGGGGAGAACTATGAAAGAACAAGGAAATTTTAGTTGGCTCTGTATCCACACACAATTTGAATTTATTTAATACATTTAGAGAGGAAAAATATCTACTATGAAACAGTCATTCAAAATTTAATGACATTTTTTCTATTTTTATAAAGCCTATTTTATGTGTATTCATGGTCTTAAGCTAATATTTTTGTATCATTTACAAACTATTGCTTGAGATTTGAAAAAAGATATTTCTAAACTTTAGGGATAATTTTAATGCAATTCATATACATTAAAGTCATTTTTTTTTTACATTTGACTCATTCACACCTTTCCCTCTCCTTGCTTCATACTATACATCTAAAAGTTAACTGCTTATAGAAGCATCTTTGCTCTGCTATACCCTGAGTTATTTTTCCAAGACCAGCACTCTCCAACACAACTATTTGAAATAATGCAAATGTTCTATTCTTGGCTGTCCAGTATGGTAGCCACTAGCCATGTATGGGTACAGAGCACTTGAAATGTAGCAATTATAACTCAGATACTGAATGGTTAATCATTATTCATTTTAATTAACTTAAAGTAGTCACATATGGCTAATGACCAATGTAAACCAAAAATAAAATTCTAAGGACCCCAAACCATCTGAATGGGCTTCCTCCTCAGCTAGGGCACTTTTAACCTGAAAGATTTGTTCAGACTATGATGGAAATTGGGGGTCGAATATGCCTCATTACATCTCTCTGGCATTAACATCAACAGACCTTAAGTCTGGTAAGAAGCATTTACAGTTTATTCTTTCTGAAGCCTGCTACTTGGAGGCTGCATCTGCGTAATAAAACTTTGGACTCCATAACCTCTTATTGCGTTGCAGATATTTCCTTTCTATTAATCCCAGGTCTTTGGATAAACTCAACCAATTTTCAACCAGAAAAATTTAAATCTACCTATAACCTGGAAGCACCCCCCTGCCCGCCTTGCTTCAGGTTGTCCTGCCTTTCTGGACTGAACCACTGTCTTTCTTAAATGTATTTGATTGATGTCTCATGTCTCCCTAAAATGTATAAAACCAAGCTGCACCCCGACCATCTTGGACACATGTTCTCAGGATCTCCTGAGGGCTGTGTCACGGGCCAAGGTCACTCATATTTGGCTCAGAATAAATCTCTTCAAATATTTTACAGAGTTGGACTCTCGTCAACACCACCATACTGGGCAGTCCAAGTCTTGCCAAGACCCTCCTCCATTTCTTTACTCAATGTTTTGTTTTTATCAGGAATGACACTGTTGCAGTCTCGCCAGTGCACCACATTGTAGCAGTCTCTCATTGTGAGGTATCACCCAGAGTTCTGTGTCTCATGACTAAGAGAATCAAGGAGCATGGACAGAAAGGATGAAGTTGGAGTGAAAGTTTAATAAGTGAAAGAAGAAAGCTCTCTGCTGCGGAGAGGGGACCTGGAAGAGGGTTGCTGTTTTTACAATTGAATGCAAAGGCTTTTATAAGAAACCAGTGAGGTCTGGGCCTCTCATTTGCATAAGGCACACATATCTAGTAGCTCTACCCCATCCTCCTAATGCACACACGGCCCCTTAGCTTGAGTTAGTCCGTATTGTTTTGTTCCATTTACTGGGCATGTGTCAGGAGATGGAAATTTCCATTGCTTGCATGTCTGGGCAAGTCACCTGTGTAGCCTTTCTTATCTGTGTGGCTGCGGGCATGTCTTGGGCAAGCCCCACTGTGTAACTTCCCTTATCTCTGCCTGCAGGCTGTTCCTTTGTTTCAAAGGATTCAACGGAGGACCCACGCTAACTGCCTGCCTGACTGTTTTTTTCCTTTCTCCTCTCTTACCACCTTTCACTACTTCACCTACCCAAATAGAACCTTTATCTTTAAAGATTCCATAGTCAACATCACCTGCTCCCTATTTATTTTTTTCCTTTGTAGCCCCAAACCTTGTCCCTCTCCATAATTTGACTTTCCTGGATACTCGATTTTTAATTACATTTCCTTTCTGCCTTACATGTATCTTACATCCTCTTCTCCCTTCTGTCCGTTGGTTTAGAAGAGGAAGTTTTGGGTACAAATTATAATACTTGTGTCTTTGTAGTGAATTAGAAAAATATATAACTACATTTTAACGATGAAGGCACAAGATCCTTGGTGAAACTGCTTGGATTGAGATATAAGAATAACCATTTACTAGTTATGTAAACATACAGTGGGTTCACCTTGCCCCCTGCCTAGACAGAGCCCATTTATCAAGACAAGGGAATTACAATGGAGAAGGAGTAATTCATGCACAGCTGGCTGTGCATGAGACCCGAGTTTTATTATTACTCAAATCAGTCTCCCTGAGCATTCAGGGATCAGAGGGGTTTTTTTTTGTTGTTCTCATTTGTGTTTTTGTTTGTTTGTTTGTTTTTGTTTTTGTTTTTGTTTTGAGACAGACTCTCACTTTGTCATCCATGCTGGAGTGCGGTGGTACGATCTCGGCTCACTGCAACCTCTGCCTCCCAGGTTCAAGCGATTCTTGTGCCTCAGCCTCCCAGGTAACTGGGATTACAAGTAAGCACCACCAAGCCTAATTTTTTTTTTTTTTTTTTGTATTTTTAGTAAAGACAGGGTTTCGCCAGGTTGGCCAGGCTGGTCTTGAACTCCTGACCTCAAGTGATCAGCCCACCTCAACTGGCTGGTCTTGAACTCCTTACCTCAAGTGATCAGCCTACCTCAACCTCTCAAAGTTTTGAGATTACAGGCATGAGCCACTGCATCCAGCCAGGACCAGAGTTTTAAAGGATAATTTGGCAGGTAGGGGCTCCAGAAGTGGGGAGTGCTAATTGGTTGAGTTGGAGATGGAATCATAGGGGGTTAAAGTGAGGTTTTCTTGTTGTTTTCTGTTCCTGGGTGGGGTGGCAGAACTGGTTGAGCCAGATTACCTGTCTGAGTGATGTCAGCTGATCGATCCAGTGCAGGGTCTGCAAAATACCTCAAGCACTGATCTGAGGTTTTACAACAGTGGTGTTATCCCCAGGAGCAATTTGAGGAAGTTCAGACTCTTGCAGCCAAAGGCTATATGACCTCTAAACTGTAATTTCTAATCTTGTAGCTAATTTGTTAATACTACAAAGGCAGACTGGTCCCAGGCACGAAGAGTTTTTTGTTCAGGAAAGAGTTATTATCAATTTTGTTTCAGAGTCAAACCATAAACTGAATTCCTTCCCAAGACTAGATCGGCCTACACCCAGGAATGAAGAAGGACAGTTTAAAGATTAGAAGCAAGATGGAGTTGGTTAGGTCTGACCTCTTTCACTGTCATAATTTCCTCAGTTATAATTTTTGCAAAGTTAGTTTCAGTGAGATGAAAATTAAATGCTGTAAGACTCGATTTTCCCATCCATGAGTTGAAGTATCACCAGTGCCACAGTAGTTTATAGGTAGTCATTAAGTGAACAAGGGTGAGGACTTAAGGACTGTTTCAGCTCATCACTACATAAAAAGTAAACAAATAAGAGCCAAGCTGAACATTGATTGTGATACTTTGTCTAATGGAGCAAAATGTAATCGAAGCAGGATTTACTTGAATCCATTAAAATGCATAATTATAAAATATACCATAATGATTTGTGCTGTAATATTATGCCACAGGTCCCATTTAAAACGTTGTTATATTAGCTTAGGGACAACATCTGTCTTTGCATTTGATATTAAGAACTAAGCCTCTTCATCTTTTGCATAACTGACAAAAAATCCTAATGTTCTGAATGTCAGTATGTATACGTGGCAGTAGGAAAAGTAAACACATATTCAGCCATGCAGTTCTGTCTCAAACTAGATAGATTTTGTAATAAACACATTACAAATGATGGGGAGAAATAAAAGGGTTCACTTAAGTTGACATCAAAATTCGCCCTTTCTCACAACAGTTTACTGAGTATCTAAAATACCCTACAATGACCCTATAATTAAACCTATTGTACCCAAAATGGATAATATTGCTGCATTTCAAAGATTGTCATGGAACAGGGCTGTCTATTCCCTTGTTAGCTAGAATAGCGGGTTTGATTTTAACTGTCAGGATACTGCTTACAGAATTGAGCAAACATTATAGAAGCATTCATAAGTATTCCCCAAACTAAAAGCATTTAGCATTGTTATTGAGTTATATTGTGCAGGCAAAATAGCTTTTCAGAATCATATTTGTTGGTTATAGCTTTGAGCTACGATTTCATTATGCAGCTGGATAGTTTTTTGGTCGTTATATTTCAGTTCTTTTTTGTCTTTGGAGTGAAAATATTGAGAAACTATAATAAAGAGGCAAATACGCAATGGGAACTTCCAGATTACAATTATATAATTATATGTATTATATATGAAAGGATAAACTGTGCTTTTATTATAATATGAAAGGATGCATGATTAAAAAGTGGGAATTTTATCTTTCTTTTTAGATTGTTCAAAGTCAATGTCTGAGTTTATCAGAAATAGAGATACATAATACTTTGTAGCTTACAACCAATACATTTAATTTTGGCGGAATGAAGAGGTAGGAAGAACAAATCATAAATGCACCAGAGGAGAGAATTTATGTTGACCAAGGCAATTACCTGAGTGCATGTTTCCCTTTTGGTAGAATGGCACAATGTGTTTGAAGTATTTATCAAAGAACAACAAAAAAGTTAGCTTAGAAAAGTTACTCAATAAAGATAATTTAATAAATTGAATTAGATATTTCCAAAGCCAAATCCCAAAGTCAAATATGTGCGGAATTTTTTTTTTTTTTTTTTGAGACGGAGTCTCGCTCTGTCTCCCAGGCTGGAGTGCAGTGACGCGATCTCGGCTCACTGCAACCTCCGCCTCCCAGGTTCACGCCATTCTCCTGCCTCAGCCTCCCGAGTAACTGGGACTACAGGCGCCCACCACCATGTCTGGCTAATTGTTTTTGTATTTTTAGTAGAGACGGGGTTTCACCATGTTAGCCAGGATGGTCTCGATCTCCTGACCTTGTGATCCACCCGCCTCGGCCTCCCAAAGTGCTGGGATTACAGGCGTGAGCCACCGTGACTGGCCAAATATGTGTGGAATTCTAATCTGAATGCCTTACTTCTCAGGATCTACAAGAGCCCCAGTTTTCAGACAATGTTAGAACTGAGAGGCACTTCGTGGCGTTTAAGCAAACTGAATATGGCCTGAGAAGGACTCCGTATTTCTATATTTGAGTCCTTGTGGATGAACTGCAACCTAACTTAATAGGTAGACAAGATTGAAAGCCTAACATAGAAGTATGCACCTGTAACAATAGCTCAGTGTTGGCCAATCCCAGCGGCGGTACTTCAACCACTCATAGACAGCTGAGTATTCAAACTATGTTCACACAAGGCAAACGCCAACCAGTAACCAATCCAGTTGCCCTGTACCTCACTTCTGATTCCTGTAGGTCACTTTACTTTTTTTTTGTTGATAAATTTGTTCTGACCACAAGGCACCCCTGGAGTCTCTCTGAATCTGCTGCGATTCTGGGGGCTGCCAGATTTGCGAATCCTTCATTGCTCAATTAAACTCCTTTAAATTTAATTTGGCTGAAGTTTTTCTTTTAACAGTGGATTCACCGGCTGAGTGGTCCTTGTCTTTGTTTGAGCCAGACATAACATTGAGACTGGGCAAAGCTGTAATCATCTCCCTGAAAGAATTCATACAGGCACTTCTGGATCATCAGAGGGTCCCTTTGAAGACAATTCATGGGGTGGTGTCCAACAATTAAGTCAATCTATCAACTTGTTTTAGAATTCAGGAATCCAAATGCCAGGAAGATGAGGTGTGTACCAACAGACTATCAGTCAGTGACAATGCCAGAGTCTGATCTCCTCCATTTTTACTGTAATGAAGTCCATGATGTGGTACTATCTCCTTTCATTATAATGTTTTAATTAATAATTTTGAAAATATTCTCATGGTAACCCATAGAAGTTGTAGAAGAGCTCTCTTATTTTTTCTCTTCTCTCTTCCCCACATCTGGCCAGGTCATACATCATTGCCTCTCAGCACAAGAGATGGATCTCTGGAATTCAGAGGATTCTCTTATTTGTTTGTTTGTTTATTTATTTATTTATTTATTTATACTTACAGTTATTTTGAAGAGCAGGCATACTCTGTCATAGATTCATGTTGGGAATGTGGGTGTCCTGCAGGTGCCTTTGTCCTTTTAGTTGTTCTGTGTTGTTTTTGGAGGAAATATTGGGAAATGTACTGACAACTGTCTCTCTTTGGTAAATAGTGAATCAGTGGTTGTTGCTTCTTTGATGGTGGTATTAGGAAGTATGCATCTTAATTGCTAAGCTTTCAACTTTACATTTTATTTGGATGCTGTTTTATTTGTATTGACTGGTGGGGATAGATTTTGCCCTGAAAATTAACTAAGTATTTATTTTTATGCAAGTTTCACTGATATTTTAAAGAGTAGATCTGTTTATAGAGGGCTTATTGTTGGAAGTTCAACACTAGCTTTGTTTCATTTATTGCTTTTTAAAAGTAATATTTGATTTATTCAAACATATCTAGCATTTATTAAGTCAGAAAACAAATATTTAAATTAACTCTTAGAGAATCTATCTACCTATCCATCTCTATCTATCAAGTATCTATCATCCATCTATCAATCAATCAATCAATCATCTATCTTTCCAATCTATTGGCCTATCTATCTATCCATCTATCTATCTCATCTCATCTGTCTATCTGTATCATCTATCATCATCTCTAACATCTATTTATTTATCTAAATAATCAATCATTTTTTCTGAAGCATTTAAAAATAATTTGTAAAAATAATGCTTTTTATCCCTAAGAAGGTCAATAGATATCTGTCTCATTTTATACAAATGTGTGATAATTTATGGTGTATATATGCACTTTTTAATAAACACAATCTCTTATAGTCAGTTATTTATACAACTTTCTATATTTTGCAATTACAGACAATGTAGGAATATGCAACTTTGTAAATATGTATATTTGCATTTATCAGGGTATGTTTTCAGTGGTAATTTCCCAGAAGTGAGACTGTTGGTCAAAGGGTAAAAATATATGTAGCTCTGGTACAAGTTGTCAAATCCATTTCCATAAACATTGTCCGTTTTTAATTATTACTCTCTGTGTATGTGTGAGACATACTCCAGTAGCCTCATCACCAGAATGTGATGTCAAACTTTTATAATTTTGCTGATTTAATAATTGAGAAATGGTATCTACTATGTACCCATAATCTATCTATCTATCTATCTATCTATCTATCTATCTATCTATCTATCTATTCATCCATCCATCATCTAATTGCATTTGTACTTTGCATCACTTTTAAAGCATTCCTACATATCCAGGTTTTAGAAAAATTATTCATTTTTATTGATAAAATTGTACACTTTCAAATTTTTCCACGTAGACCTGTAATTCATTTGGATTTTATTTTTGTGCATTGTGTGGGGGTAGGGAATCTATTTTATTTCAGTTTCTCAAAAGTGTATATGAAGAAGTCCCTACTGACTGGCAATATCATTGTTTTATTTGTTAAATTTCCATGTGTATTTGGGTGTATTTCTGGACTTTTCATTCTGTTGAAATTGTCTGTCACTCCATATTTGGATACTATTAATATTTTACTTAAACAGGGTTGTCAATATGTTTCAATACACGGTAGGGCTTGTCTCCTTATATAGAACTGCTTATCAGGTCTTCCATGGCTCTGGTTAGCACATCAGAACTCTACAGGCTCTGATAAGCATTCCCTTTTTCTTTACTGCCAAGGTTGGTTAAAACGTAATAATCTTGCTAGTGCAAATCCGAGGGTGCAAATTGCCCAAAGGTGTGAAGAAGTGCAATCTTCTTTATAAATAGTCTTTTCATTAAACCCTCTTGTTTAAAACTTTTGAGTAGATCTGTTTGCAGCTAGGATCTTGCTACCCTGCCCCTCCCCAGGGACATGGTTGTTACCGTACCTTCTTCTATGTTAGAAAATTATTTCCTAGGGCCAATACCTAGGTCAGTTACCCATTTGCTGCTGACTCAAGCCCTTGGTTAGAGCAGTGTGTTTTCTCAATATCATTTATGTGGCTCTTTGCTTTGCTTTTTTTTTTTCTGTTGGCATTAGGCAATTTCTTTGCAAAAGCCATAAAGTTCCAATGTTGATTACTTTAACTGACTTGACTCAATCCACAAAGTGATTTTCTATTGAGGAATGCATTATTTATATGTGTAAAAAGAGAGATCTCATGTGAAATTTTCATCAATCAATGTGGCATAGTTCTATCATTTTTTTAATTGATAAAAAATTATATATATATTTATGAGGTACAATATGATGTTTTTATATATGTATGCATTGTGGAATTATGAAATTGAGCTAGTTATCATATGCACTACTTCACATTCTTATCATACTTTTGTATTGAGAACAGTTAAAGTCTACTCTCTTAGCAATTTTCAAGTGTACAAAACATAGTTATTAATTCTAATTATCATGTTGTACAGTATATCTCTTGAATGTATTCCCTCAGTCTAGTTGAAACTTTCTATCCTTTGGCCAACATTTCCTCAATCCTCTAACCCCCACCCCCTCACTCCTGGTAACCACCATTCTATGTTTGGGGGTATTTTTCCTTAATTTCAATTCTCTTTTTCCCTTTTTAGTTCCATCAAGAAGACAGTCATAGCAATACACCAAATTCAGGCTCCAGGGAATATACAAACTCACATGTATTTGGCATCATCCTTATACTTTTATATTTGTGTATCCTTATGTGATTGGTAACCAACAGCCTGATTTTGAAATTTAAAGAAAAACAAAAACTCTAAAACAGCTCTAATGTAAAGCATTTCCTGCTTTGGTGGAAAGATGGCAAAAATGTTGTCTGGGTTAAAAATAACAGACCCTGTAATCCCAGCACTTTGGGAGGCCGAGGCGGGCGGATCACGAGGTCAGGAGATCGAGACCATCCCGGCTAAAACGGTGAAACCCCGTCTCTACTAAAAATACAAAAAATTAGCCGGGCGTAGTGGCGGGCGCCTGTAGTCCCAGCTACTCGGGAGGCTGAGGCAGGAGAATGGCGTGAACCCGGGAGGCGGAGCTTGCAGTGAGCCGAGATCCCGCCACTGCACTCCAGCCTGGGCGACAGAGCGAGACTCCGTCTCAAAAAAAAAAAAAATAAAAAAATAACAGACCACGTGTAAGCTGTGACTTAATAATAGCTTCTTAGAAAATGGCAGGTCTTTGTTTTGCTTTGCAGGCAGTGCTTTCTAAAGTCTGTGGTCAAATCATGAGCTGTCCATTCAGCACAGCTGATCATTTTTAGACTCATCTCCGATGCTGACCTCCCCTAACCAAGCAACAGAGTGACACCCGGTCTTTAAAAAATAGATAAATGAAAGAATGTGGAATCCTTCAATAGATCCTCACATAACACTATTGTGAGTCTTTTGAACCTCACGGAAACTTTTTTCTGGATTTGCCGTAGTTTTACAATGTGTGTCTTAAAATGTGGCCATCAGAAATAAATGCATCACCCTGGGTATGATCTAATCAGAATCTGAGATGGTAATCTTTCTCTTGACAGCATGCATCTATCAAATGGAGTTAATAAACTGTTAAACTAGGAGTCCTCAATGCTGCCTTTAAAAAATGAAATTTAAAACTTTATGCTTTCCCTGTTCAGTTTCATCGTATTTTGGCCAGTCATTTTCATTTTCTCTACAATATAAAATATTGCTCCAAGCCATGTAGGATGAACATGTCTTTATGTCTTCATCTAAGCTCTGGACAATCATGTCAAACAGGGAAAATCCAGAGAAGACGCATTTTCAGTTAGCCCTAAGGAACTTCCAACAGCTTAAAAATAAGCCATAAAGAGTCACTCCTCATCACTTCCTGAGGACTGTCACTCAAGCAGCTGCAGAATAATGTGCTCATATTGTTACCCAGCTCAAAACTTTTCATATTCCCCAAAATAATATTTCCAGAAATGTTGCCAGATATCTTGTAGCAATTTCAATATATAATGTTTTGAGTATTTCTCTCATTCTTTTTCTACAAGTTCAAGTATAAATTTGTAATATATGTTTATTTTTTGTTATAGGATTATAGAAGAAACAAGCTTCTTGTTTTATGTCATGAAAACTCTCTCTCTCTATATATATATATATAAATCTCCCTAGATATATAGATTTCTATCATATATATCAGTATATATAAATATATAGAAATCTATATATAGCATCTATATATAGATTTCTATATATATAAAATCTGTATACATAGATTTTGCATATATAAAACTATATATAAAAGATTTTATACAAATGTGTATATGTAGAAATGTGTACATATGTGTGTCTGTGTGAGAGAAGGAACACCAAGAGGAAATCATAAAAAGTCACTTTTTACTTAATATGAGAAAGTAAAATTAAAATAACGTTTTCTCTGGGAAGGCTACTACATCTTCCAAATCCTACCCCATGACAGCAAACCCTGAGGAAACTATAATCACAGGAGACCAGACAATGTTAAAATCACTTTATCAATGGATGGAGGTTTACCTCAAATCATAATGTAGAATGCTGTCCAGCTAAATTGATTCATGGGAAAGAATATGCCACCTAAGCCAGAAATAAGGCAGATTTTTGAAAGGGATTTCCTTTGTTCTATGTTCCCAAAATCCGTATGTAACTCTCAGTTCTTTCTATGTCAAAATTCAGATTTCAAGGATGGCATACTCCAGAAAAAAATCAGGCAACCAGAGTGTATTTGTCCATTTTCATGCTGTTGATAAACACATATCTGAGATGGGGTAAGTTATAAAGAACAACAGGTTTAATGGACTCACAGTTCCACGTGGCTGGGGAGGCCTCACAATCATGGCAGAAGGTGAAAGTCACGTCTTACATAGAATCAGGCAAGAAAGAAAGAGCCAAGTGAAAGGGGAAACCCCTTATAAAACCATCAGACCACTAGGATGAAAACAATATGGGGGAAACTGCCCCCACGATTCAATTATCTCCCACCAGGTCCTTCCCACAACACATGGGAATTATGGGAGCTACAGTTGAAGATGTGATTTGGGTGGGGACACAGCCAATCCACATCACAGAGGAAAATATAGAAAGAGCAATGCATTCCTCTTAAGCTAGGCCAAGTGGCTCATATCATGCTAGCCCATCTAGGACTAAACATGGGTCCACCTACTAATTGATAGAATTGGTGCTGAAAACCAGGGAGGTCACCCCATCAGGGACAGGACTTCTGCTCCACTGCATATCATGGGGATAACTAGTAGTCCATTGAGATGTATTTGACTAGGGCCTTGGCTCACTTTAAAGTGTGAAGTCATTTAGTAGGTGGAGCTCAACAGTACCTAGGTTCCCGGAGGAAGACCACAATCACTGGAACTGAACTTTCATTCTTTTAGAAGACTTGAAATACAACATAAAGAGTAGCCACTTTAGGTAGATTATCTGTAATCCTTCCAAAGTCATCAATATTATTATTACCATGCTAGAAGATGAGAAAAGGAGGGTCAGAGGGTGTCAGTGGTTTTTCTTGGGTGAAACATCCAAAATACAAACATGAAAAGGAGAAGTTTTGAAATCAGCAAGAAAACAAAAATGACATGGTACATACAGGAAAACAATGGTATGAATAATAGCTGACTTCCCCTTGGTAACAATGCAGGACAGAAAACATTGGAATTGCTTATTAAAAGTTAAAGTTTGCATAAAAGTGTACTCTATTTTGTGTTATAACCCAGAATAGGGTTAGTCTACCTTAGTTAAACTTCCCTGTGCACTTGAAAAAAAATGCACATTCTGGAAATTTTTAGTGTCTATGCAGTAAGTATAAATAACGTTTGGTGGTGAATAATATTGTTCAGATATTCTATACTGACTGTCTTTTAGTCTATTTAGCTTATTTGTTCTATCAATTACTGTGACTGTTGTTTTAGAATATCCACCTATTTTTTGTTATTGGTTTTGTCTATCTTTCTTATTTACTCAGTTTCTCATTCACAGATTTTGAAGCCATTGTATTGAACACATATACATTCATAATTTCGATCTCTCCTGGATACACTGAGCTTTGTCATCATGCAAAGTCTCTTATTACCAAAGTAGCACACCCTGTCTTGAAATCTACTTTTTCTGATATCAATATACGTTTTCTAGCTTTCCATCTTTAGTGTTATGTCACATCTTTTTTCCATTCTTTTAATCTCAACCAATGCATTTCTTCAAATTTAAAGTATTCCTCTTGTAGACAGCATAAATTTTAAAGAAACTTTTTTTTTTGAGGCAGGGTCTTGTTCTGTCACCTAGGCTGGAATGCAAAGGTGCAATTATGGCTCACTGCAGCCTCAAGCTCCTGGGCTCAAGCGATCCTCCCACGTCAGCCTCCCTCAGCCTCCCAAGTAGCTGGGACTACAGGCATCTACCACCATGCCCAGCTAATAGCATAAGTTTACATCTTATTACTTCTCTTTGGTAAATTATGCCTTGTGATTTTATGCAATTTTTCATATATTTGGAGAAAGACCTCTCATTTTTACTATTTGTTTTGCACTTCTTTCAACATATTTTTCCTTTCTCCTCTGGTTTTTCTTTACTGTCTATTTTGATCAAATATTTTCTTGTATTTTATGCTAATTACCAATCCCAATGACGTTAAATTAGAAGTCAATAAACACTGTATATGTAGAATATCCTCAAATATTTAGGAACTAAAGAACACCCTTCTTAATTACCATTGATCACAGAAGCTATCTTCGGGAAAGTTGGAAAAATATTTTGAGTTGGAAGAAAATGAAAACAAAATATATCACAATTTGTCATATGCAAGCAAAGCAGAAATTAAAGAAAATATCTAATTCTTTAGATCCTTATATGAATAAACAAACATAAATTCAACTAAGTTTTCACGTTTAAAAAGCTAACAAACGAGAAATTTAATGGAATATAAGGAGGAATTGAAAAAAACAAATAGTAAATCATTGAAACAGAATATTGAATCATTAAAGAAAATTAAAATCAAATGTTGATTTTTCCTTACATGCACACACACACACACACACACACACACACACACACACAGTGCATATAAAAACTGGTGAAGTCTGAAAAAAGTCTGTAGTATAATTAACAGTAGCACTGAATAAATTCTGATGTCCCTGTGTTGATATTGTGATATTGTGCTGCAGTTACAGAAGATGGTACCATTCAGCACATTGTATAAAAGATACAGGTGACCCTCTGAATCATTTTTGCAACTTCTTTGAGTCTCTACTTCAAAAATTTTTTTAAAGTTTTTAAAAAGTTATTTTTATATAACTAATGAAAATTATATATACCTAGTAAGACTTGTCAAGAACAAAGAAACTTTTACAATTTCCAATATAGTAATAAAATAGAAGACACCATACATATATTGAGGAAATAGTAAGGAACTATGGATAACAACTTTATGCCAATGAACTATGGACAACCTTTCTGAAATGAACAAATTCTGGAAAAACACGCATTACCTAAAGTGCATGTTAGTACAAGAAAACTTGAATTGCCATACATACATTTTAAAAATCAAATGTGAATATTAAAAACCTTCGAAAAAGGAACTCCAGGTTCAAGTGGCTTTCTGATGAAGTCTATCAGAGATTTAAGAAAAAAATTATTTCAATCTTATGCAAAATCTCAGAAAACTGTAGAGGAGTATAATCACTATGCATTTGATGTACATTACGAAGGCTGACATTTTCCCATCTGGGTATCCAAATGGGAAAAAAATAATGAACCTCAAGTTTCCTCACATTATGGACAAAAACTAACTGCATAAATAATAAATCCTGTTAATGTTAAAATATAAAATGCTAAACCTAAATTTAAGAGAAAAGTGTTTGTACCACTGAGTTAAACAAAGATCTCATACTGAACACACACACACTCCCCACATACCACAAAAAATTTTTTTTAAATATAGACAATAAAAATTGAAATATTTTTATTTTCAAAAGACACTGTTACTATATATATGTAACAGACTGGGGAAAAACCATTAGCGACTCATGTAACAGGCATGGATCTTGTATATGGGGTATCTAAAACAAAAACTTATAACTTGATGATGAGAGACAACATCTTTTTAAAATTTGCATTGGGTAAAAGAACATTATATATGTGTGTGTGTATATGTATATATGTCAAATAAACATATTAATTGATATTTGGCATCATTAGTTATCAGTGAAATGCAAATTAAATCCAAAAATAAATATTAGTGCACACATATTAAAATGGGTAAAATGAAAAATAGTAACACAATATTGGCAAACCATTCTCATACATTACTGGTGGGAAAGTAAATGGTTAAACCACATAGTTTTTGTTTGTGTTTTTGGAAACAGAGTTTCACTTCCTCACCCAGGCTGGAGTGCAGTGGCACAATCTCAACTCACTGCAAACTCTGCCTCCTGGGTTCTCCTGCCTCAGCCTCCCAAGTAGCTAGGACTACAGGTGTGCACCACCCAACCCAGCTAATTTTTGTATTTTTAGTAGGGACGGGGTTTCACCATGTTGGCCAGGCTGGTCTCTAACTCCTTACCTCAGGTGATCCATCTGCCTCGGCCTCCCAAAGTGCTTGGATTACAGGCCTGAGCCATTGCACCCAGCAAAATGGTTAAACCACCTTGGAAAAAAGGTTTGGCATATTCTTATCAAGCTAAATATAAACATTCTTCATGACACAGTAATTTCACTCTTAGATATTTGCTCAAGAGAGAAAAAATGTATTTTCTCTAATAACGTGCCTGTGAATTTTTATAGCAGCCTTAGTAATAGCTGCTAGAAACTAGAAATGACTCAAATGTCCATGAGCGGCTGAGGAAAAGACAAAGTGTAGCCTAGCCATAGAACGGAATTCTCTGCAGAAATAAAGTCTAAGGAACTTCTGGTACCTACGCCATCATGGAACATCAAAAATACAATGCTTATCTGGGGACAACTGAATACCTACTGAAGCTTTCATGGCTATGAAAATTCCAGTAAAAGCAAAACAGATGTGTACTGATAGTGATGGTTGGGTTTAAGGATGAAGGACAGAGAAAGCCAAATGCTAATAGGCAACACTCTGAGTTGATGTAAATGTGCTTTAGCTCGACTCTGGGGTCTCACACAAGGATATTCCCAGGTGCTACAATTCTTTCAGGGTCTATTGATTTTCTTGATCTTTTGAAAGAAACAACTTTTAGGCTCTCTTAAATATCTCTATTGTTTTCTCTTTAGTGGAATCCTACTTCTTATCTTTATTACTTCCTTTCACTTGCTTTGGTTTAATTGGACCTCGGTTCATTATTTCATTATCTTATCTCCTGTCCCATCTCTGAGTTTAATGGCTCTTCTTTTTATAGCTTCTTAAGTTGATAAAATGAGTTCCTTAATATATCACATTTCTTCTTGATCTGATTTGGCTGTGTCCCCACCCAATCTCATCTTGAATTGTAGTTCCCATAATTCCCACATGCTGTGGGAGGGATCCAGTGGGAGTTAATTGAATCATGGGGGCGATTTCCCCTACACTGTTCTCGTGGTAGTCATTAAGTTTCATGAGAGCTGAAGATTTTAGAAAGGAAATCCCTTTCACTTGGCTCTCATTCTCTCTTGTCTGCCACCAGGTAAGACGTGGCTTTCGCCTGCTGCCTTGATTGTGAGGCCTCCCCAGCCATGTGAAACTGTGAGTCCATTAAACCTGTTTTTCTTTATAAATTACCCAGTCTCGGGTATGTCTCTATTAGCAGTGTGAAAACGGACTAATACACTTATCTTTTAGGATGTGTATGCGATGCTATGCAAGTGTATTTGTCATTGCTTTAGGTCCATCTCACAAATTGTCACATACTATGTTTCATTTACCCCACATCTATTGGAAAAAGTTATTCACCATGCATATATCAATAAAATGAAATTTATCTAGATTAAGGACTATATAAATATATATAAATAAATATTATATAGATATACATGAATATTCATTTAAATCCATAAATATTTAAATAAATCATTTGTGTAGCACAGATATAAAACGTAAATGATTTATTCATATTAATATGTTTGTGTATACATGCATAAATATTTGAATGTATACTTTTTACTAAATATTTTATAAGTACAGGCATTATAGGAAACATACACATGGCATATACCTATGTATAATAATCCCCACGAGTCAAGGGTGGGACCAGGTGCATATATATATATATATATATATATATATATATATATATATATATATATACACATACACACACACACACACACACACACACATATGCCACATACATATTTCCTATTGTATCTGTATTTATTTGTAAACTATTTGCCCATTTTGACCACGTTCATGGGCATATATATACATACAACAAATTACACACATATACACCCATGACCACTTCATTCTACACGTAGGTGTTTATGGACACACACATGAATTATCATTTCAACTTGTTTCGTACAGGCCTTAAGGTAAAAGCAGCCAAATGCCCTTTAATAGGAGAATACGCAGCTACACTGCAATGTTTTTCATATAATGAAATGCTGTTCAATAGTTAAAATGTTTTAAGAAAGGTAATAGGCACAACAAAGTGAATGAATCCCCTAAACATTATGTGTAGTAAAAGGGGCTGGAGAAAAAAAAATGCCTACTATAAGATGCTGTTCATAAAAAATTTCAAGAGCAAAGAAGCTAACCTGGGATGTTAAATGACAGAATCATGTCTGCCTCTGGGCATAAAAGGGGTTTACCAGAAAGTCATTTTTCTGGTGTGGTAGGAATACACTTTTCATGTTTTCTTCTGGTGTTGGTAATGCATACCTACTTATACATATTTGAGAATATTCATTGAATTATGATATGGTTTGGCTCTGCATCCCCACCCAAATCTCACCTTGAATTGTAATAATCCACACATGTCAAGGGTGGGACCAGGTGGAGATAATTGAGTTATGGGGGCGGTTTCCCCCATACTGTTCTCGTGATAGTGAGTGAGTCTTCATGAGATCTGATGGTTTTATAAGGGGCTTTTCCCCCTTTGGCTCAGCACTTCTCCTTGCTACCACCATGTGAAGAAGGCCATGTTTGCTTCCTCTTCCGCCATGATTGTAAGTTTCCTGAAGCCCCCAGCAATGCTGAACTGTGAGTCCATTAAGCCTTTTTTTCTTTATAAATTACCCAGTCTCGGGTATTCTTTCATAGCAGTATAAAAGTGGACTAATACAAATTGTATATTTAAAACCATGACTTTCACTTATGTATATTTCAATAAAAATTGTACAGTTCTATTTATAGCTCCAAAAAGCATAGGCTAATGCATGCAAAAATTAGTTCAATCATACAGGAAACTGCCACCCAAGCAGAATTTACACAAACAGAACTTATGAGAGTTTAATCACTTATCAAGTAGTATGTTGTGTTTCTGGTTTCACTGTTGGCAATCATAGAAGCTTCTCTTAATTATTCCAGGACATCCAACTTTTAAACTCATCTTATTCTCTCTTAAGTAACATAATGTATGGAATTGTTC
The DNA here is from genome assembly GCF_000001405.40 of Homo sapiens. Classification (NCBI taxonomy): domain Eukaryota; kingdom Metazoa; phylum Chordata; class Mammalia; order Primates; family Hominidae; genus Homo; species Homo sapiens. Next base: position 4,694,878 of record NC_000023.11, on the reverse strand, counting down.
TGAATTAGAAGGTTTTCTTGCACAGTAGTAGAATCTTTTCATTTGTCTTTCAATTAGGATTCTGAATGAATTTAGATCTATTTTCTTTTCTAGGAAGAATCTTTTACTAGAAGGCTTCTGTACTTTTCCTTCCCTGGAAACTCCGATTGGGTATTTCCCATTGGACACAGGTGCTTCTCTCTCCTACACTGTAGACAAAAACAGAGATTATTTTTCTCAAGCTCAAACCATAGCTCTCATTTCCTTATTTCTCCAAATGTTACTGAATTATTCCTAAAAGTGCAGCATGATAGTTTCCCTCTGTCCCATTTCTGGTCCAATTTGATTGAAATACCTATAAGACCTTCTTTCTGTATTCTAGCTTGGAACAAATATGGCAGTTATTTTTCTCGGTTCTTAATAAGCAGTGCGTGGCCTTTAGCTCAGGGGTACTGGGAATTTTACTATGATATCAGCATGTCAGTTATCCAAAGTAATGTTTTAAAGATTAAACTGGGCTTATGTCATTTTCCCAAAGTAAACAATGCTGCCTTCCACTGCTTTTTAGATTTCTACTCAAACTTCATCTATATCATAATGACATATATTCTTTAATCAGTGTTTCTTTCTTTCTGAAGCCAGGTGTTATGTTGTTTATCTGTTGTCTTCAATTTTCGCAATTATTTAAAAGTGGAAAGAATGGCACATTTAATCCATATCATTGAATTTTAAGAAAAATCTAAGGCTGGTGCAGTGGCTCACACCTGTAATCGCGGAAGGGACCCAGTGGTGGGAGGTAATTGAATCCCCGGAGCAGGTTTTTCCCATGCTGTTCTCGTGATAGTAAATAAGTCTCACGAGATCTGATGGTTTTATGAAGAGGTGTTCCCCTGCACATGTTCTTTTGTGTGCTGCCGTGTGAGATGTGCCTTTGTCCCTCACCTTCCACCATGATTTTGAGGCCTCCCCAGCCACGTGGAACTGTGAGTCCATTAAACCTCTTTCCTTTATAAATTACTCAGTCTCGGCTAAGTTTTTATTAGCAGCATGAAAATGGACTAATCAGACCCTTTCAAAATGTCTCCATACAATGTGAATGGACATTGTATGGACCGTGAGTATTCCCCAGACTTAGAAATACAGAATATCAACATGCATTCATAGAGATATAGTCAGTTATTGGCATGTATTCTTAACCAATTCAATCCTAGCATTTCACCCTCCAAATACAGAAGTATGCTTCTCTCCAAAGGTAAAAGAAAATTTTCCCGCATCACAGCAATGCTACAACACATCAAATGAAAACAAAGTAAATTTTCCACTATCATAAAATGTCACTATTGATATCCAAGTTTCATCAGAGGTATCCAATAAAATATCTCACTTTACATTTGTTCTTTTTAGTTTCTTTTAACTGGAATAGCCACTCCATTCCTACTTTTATCTAATTTTATAATTTTTGGTGGGGAGGAGGGGTGATCTGACATGACTTATAAAATGACCTTCACTTATCCTGGATGCATCTGATCATACCTGCTGCAGTTAACATGTACCCATGCACCCTTTAATTCCTGTTGAGGTGAAAATTAGATCTAAGGCATGATTGGAGTGAAGTTAGCTATCTGAACAGTGATGCCGTGCTGGCTCATGTCAATATACAAGAAGCTGTGATTGATAGATCACTGGTGGAACCAGCTCAGTCATTTCACTTTGCAGATAATGATATCTTCTATTGAAATGCAGTACTTCTTTTATCAATAAGAGCTCACAGCCCACTTCTGACATGGTTCCAAAATAACTTACAGGAAAAGGATATGCATGTATCTGCACAGAAAATAACAGTGCAAACAGCATATCTATGCCATGTGTGAGTAAACATTTAAAATCCTTCTACCCCATAGTTAGAATCTGCCCTGTGATTTCATCATAGGCATTCAATATGACTATATTTTAGTGTATAATTATCTAACTAGCGGAAGGACTTATTTTATATAGATAAAATAGTTCATAAGGCTTATAAACCACATTTGAATCTTCATTTACGAACTCCATAACTCAAAAGAAAAAATGACACTTTGTGGCTTTCAACTTAATACAATTAATTTCAAATAACAACTCAGTTTCTACTAATGTTTTTTCTTATTTTGTTTTGTATCATACAGTTATAAACAGGTAGAGTCAGAAATGAGTTAGAAGACGAGAGCTCTTAGATCAAGAGTTATAAATAAGAGGTCATTTCCCTTCTCATAGCATCTGATAATTCTCAAAACGACATCCAAAAATTGTCATGATCAGAAAACTGACTTCCTTGATTCTGAGTCAGCTTTTCTCTAAACAGAGACTTCTACGTGGTTGTCTGTTCTACCACAGACATTTGGCCATTAAGAGTGTGAAGCAGCCGAGTGTGGTGGCTCAGGCCTGTAATCCCAGCACTTTGGGAGGCCGAGGCGGGTGGATCACGAGGTCAGGAGATCGAGACCATCCTGGCTAACACAGTGAAACCCCGTCTCTACTAAAAATACAAAAAATTAGCCGGGCATGGTGGTGGGCGCCTGTAGTCCCAGCTACTCGGGAGGCTGAAGCAGGAGAATGGCATGAGCCCAGGAGGCGGAACTTGCAGTGAGCCGAGATCGCGCCACTGCACTCCAGCCTGGGCGACAGAGCGAGACTCCATCTCAAAAAAAAAAAAAAAAAAAAAAAAGAGTATGAAGCTCAGAGGTTCAAAGTGGCATATTTGATAAAAATTTCAAGAGATTGCTTTTGGTGTAGTTACATACTGGATTCATTTTTTTGCTACATTTAATACAACACCTTCAAAAATATCCAAAATATTAATACCATACACATCATATTTGGCCTTGAAGTAAGTTCAAAGACTCTTTCAATTTGTAAAAAATTATTCAATTAACAAATTAATTATTTAATTAACAATTTCTATAATTAATAATACCTTCATTAATTGCCTGAATAAGCATTGCAGAAAAATTCTAAGTTAGACTTTTAAATGCATGAGATATTTTGTTTGATGAGACTGGCTTGATTTCTTCTGGCACTGGAGCAATGAATAGGAGATCTAGATAGAAAGTGTAAAGCCATAAATTTGGGTTAACTATTACTTTCTGTTCTAACCAATATGGATCTATTTCATAAAATAAATGTGCATTTAGTTTTTCTCTCTCAAATATCAAGCATTCCAGCATTTCAAAAAATAAATCTGGTTTCAATATTATTTTTTATTCATTTTCCATATAGCTAATGAGAAAAATGACTACCTTGAGCCACTTTCCATACCAGCATTCAGGAACCCAACAATGAAAAAACCTTGATGTCTATTAAAAAAAAAAAAAAAACCGAAGCAGGAAGGGGAATTAAAACGCACATGTCATAGAACCAACTCATGTGCCTATCAAGAGTGGACTGGGTAAAGAAAATGTGGTACATCTAAATTATGGAATACTATGCAGCCATAAAAAAGAATGCAATCATGTCCTTTGCAGCCAAGTGGATTCATCTGGAGACCATCATCCTAAGCAAATTAAAGCAGGAACAGAAAGCCAAACACTGCATGTTCTCACTTATAAGTAGGAGCTGAACATTGGGTGCTCATGGACACAAAGGTAGAAACAACAAACAGTGGAGATCCCAAAAGTGAGGAAGAAGGGAGACCCGTGTTGAAAAACTTCCTGTATTAGTCCATTTTCACGCTGCTGATAAAGACATAACCAAGACTGGGAAATTTACAAAAGAAAGAGGTTTATTGGACTCACAGTTCCATGTGGTTGGGGAGGCTTCACAATCATGGTGGAAAGTGAAAGACACCTCTCACATGGAAGCAGACAAGAGAAGAGAGCTTTTACAGGGAGACTTCCATTTTTAAAACCATCTGAGAATCAAAAGTGTTGTAGAATTATAGTTTTGTAACATGAAATTAAATAAAAATGCTGCAGTGATGGGCATAGTTTTGCCAGCGGAACAAAAATGGCCTTTCTGTATACTAGTTCTTTTCTGGCATTAATTAAAAGGAGGAGTTAAACCATTATTCATAGTGGAGTGTAGAAGCCTTATTTTTTGGCATTAGGGATGGCATGGGGGCTTAGGACCACAAAATTCTGTAACTGGAGAAAGCAACTGCTCAAAGGGTTTTTTCTAGTGAGTGGTTTTCCATCTGTGGTTTGATCTGTCTCTTAAAAACTTCTTCCCTTTTTCCATTTCCTCTTCACTCTCACTGCCTAAGGAGTTTGCACTTAAATTATACATTATGTGCATCTCCAATGAGAAGAGTCTGTGAATTACAACATCTTTGAATTAAAAGTCTCCATCTTTATCAAATCAATAGCCTCTTACCTTGTGCCCGCAACGTCTGGCCCAAAGTCTGGCAGATGGACACATCTCTAACATACAAATACGTTTTTGAACTAATTTAAGAAAAATTTCATTGGCAAGACAAAAAGCACTTAAAAAAAACCTCTTCATCCTATCTATAAATTGATTTTGGCAAAGTGCTGAAGGTCAATGCAGATATTGTGGCAAATGGCCAAGGATAGAGAACGGTTGTTCTCATTCTCTAATTTTGCGTGTAATAAAGTAAAGCCATTTGACTCTGAAGCATTAAGTCAGACTCTCATTAGCATGTGTGATATTATCATGGCAGGTTAGTGCGACTGAAGATGTGGGGCACAATGGCCCTATTGGAAGGCAGCCTTGCAAGTCAAGCTGGCCTCTCAGTCAGGTGTAAAAAACATCTGATAATTTAAAGGATGAAAAGTCCCTTGTGATTTAAAATAAAGTCCAATGGTGAAGGGACAAGGTAATATAAATATATTATTATGCATATTTATATGTATTATAATGTATACCATGTATATTTATATATTTATATAAATATATCATATTTATATATAATATGCTTATAATTTATAATATATATTATATACCATATATAAATATATGATATATAATAAAATTATATATAAATATATATAATAAAATTATATATAAATATATATAATAAAATTATATATAAATATATATAATAAAATTATATATAAATATATATAATAAAATTATATATAAATATATATAATAAAATTATATATAAATATATATAATAAAATTATATATAAATATATAATAAAATTATATATAAATATATATAATAAAATTATATATAAATATATAATAAAATAAAATTACATATAAATATATAATATAATAAAATTATATATAATATAATAAAATTATATATATAATATAATAAAATTATATATAAAATTTAATAAAATTATATATCAATATATAATATAATAAAATTATATATCAATATATAATATAATAAAATTATATATCAATATATAATAAAATTATATATCAATATATAATATAATAAAATTATATATCAATATATAATATAATAAAATTATATATCAATATATTATATATGTAATATATTTATATTATTATATATAATTTATATTACATATATTTATATTATTTTATATGTATAAATATATTATAAATATGTGATATATTTATGTAAATATGATATATTGAAATAAATATACCATATTTATATAAAATGTATGCTATATAATATCTATATAATATATATAATATCAATATATATAAATATATGTGATATTTTTATGTGACATATTTATATATCATATATCATGTATATTTTATTTTACATGTGTTTCTATATCCTATGCATTTTTATATTTGATTTATATTATACTTATATACTGATACATTTTATAAATTATATATTTATATATTATATATTTTTATATATATTCTCTATATATGAATTTATATAGTTTATATAAATACATATCAAATCTATACATAAAATACTTCTAAAATAATATGTAAATATATACTATAGAAATGTATATTATAAATTATTCTATAAATGTATATATTTATATATGGAATCTATATACTTACATATAAACTAATATATAGAATATATTCATATATATACAGAGAGTATATATACATCTATACATATGCAGACACACACATACACACATAAAATCATTCTGCTCACAGCCGGGCACAGTGGCTCACACCTGTAATCCCAGCACTTTGGGAGGCTGAGGCGGGCGGATCATGAGGTCAGGAGATCAAGACCATTCTGGCTACCACGGTGAAACCCCGTCTCTACTAAAATTACAAAACACTCAGCCGGGCGTGGTGGCGGGCGCCTGTAGTCCCAGCTACTCGAGACGCTGAGGCAGGAGAATGGCGTTAACCCGGGAGGCGGAGCTTGCAGTGAGCCGAGATCGCGCCACTGCACTCCAGGCTGGGCAACAGAGTGAGAAGCCGTCTAAAAAAAAAAATGCTATTTAATTTACAAATAAGCTATCACTCATCACATTGGGAGAAATGTCAATTAAAATTTAAACCTTTACTTCATAGATTCAAAAAAAATCATTCTGCTCACTTATTGGGTCATTTTTATAATGTTCAAGATATGTTTTCCTATCATGAAGTCACAAGTTTATCCGGGTTGGTTTCTTTCAAAGACATGAAGATTTTCTTTTCACTAGTAAATCTCTGATCCATTTAGACTTAATTTTCTTTTTCTGTTTCTCATGGTGAAGAAAATGAAAATATTTCACCCCAATATATGGCTCCCTTATAATGAGTACTTTGAATTAAAAACTCCTGGAGACGAACGAGCATTAGAAGATAATGTCCTCATCTATATAAGGACAGGACTGACCTACCAAGGACAACAATTCTTCTTATTCCTCTCCTTTTGTCTCATTATCTATTACTAAAAATATAATTACACCAGAACAGACCCTTTTACAAGATAATGACTGTCTCCAAGGATCATTTAAATGAAAAAGAAAAAACTATTTACAAGTTGATCTCTGTCTCCAGATCAAATCGTTCTCCCTACTAATCATTTATTGCCCCTCGATAGAATTCCTCCTCTCCTCCTCCCATCACCTGTTTTACCATGACCCAAACCCCCATCCCTTCTGTCACCTCACGATGGTATTTAAGTTTCTGGCCCTGATTGGGAAGTTGGATCTTCATTCTGAAGGCCCCTGCATATAAATAAATTTGTATGCCTTGTTTTCTGTTAATCAATCTGCCACATGCCAGTGATCTTCTGTGAATCTTTAGCTGGTTCTGTGAACCAGAGCTTTTTGCTCCTACAATGAATAGCTACATGTCCAGCTCTGCAGAAACATTCCACTCTCTACCCACTGAATTCTGATAACTCCTCTGTTAATGCCGTACTTTTGCCTTTCAGTGAACTCATTGCTGGGCTCTCACAGTTCCAAATTGAGTTAATGGTCTATCCCTGCATAAGCACCACATCATTTCAATTGATATAACTCTTGGGTAAAATTTTACTTGTCCAAAATTGCTGTTTCTTCACATTTTCCATGGTTCACATTGCTCCTTACAATTTCAAATGCTTTTAAGAATCTTGTTTTTATTTTTTTTCGAAACCCTTCTTAGAACATGATAGATTTAAATTTACTTGGGAGTCTATTTTGGAAATGATTTCCATCTTTATTGGATCTTTTCATCTATGAACATTGAATACATTCCCATTTACTCAAATGCACTTTTAAATAATTTTAAGTATATAATTTTAATAATTTTTTGACAAGAGATTTGGCTATGTTAGACCTATCCCTAAGTACCCCATAAATTTTTGGTGCTATTGTAAATGTATTGCTGTCTTCTTTCATACTAAATCATCAATAAGTAACGAGAACACTTAAGTTTTTATTCTTATTGAATACGTTTATGACGAGATGCAGGCAGGAAAGGGAACGGTGTCAACTCTGGAGAAATAAGAAAGGCTTATGTGAGAAATCACACCCGAATGGGTTTGCAAAGGATATTTGAGTTAGTCAGAATCCCATGTGTTGTGGATAGGACCAGGTACCTCAGGGAAAGGGAAAAGTCTTTCAGAAATACGTATGTCTGGGGTGGGCACAGTGGCTCTCGCCTGTAATCCCAGCACTTTGGGAAGCAAAGGCAGGAGAATTGCTTGAAGCTAGGAGTTTGAGACCAGCCTAGGCAATATAGCAAGATCCTGTCTCTATGAAAAAAAAAAAAAAAAAAAGTTGGGCATGTTGGTGCACACCTGTGGTCCCAGCTTTTTGTGAGGCTGAGGCAGGAGGATTCCTTGAGCATGGGAGTTCAAGACTGCAATGAGCCATGATGGTGCCACTGCACTCAACCTGGGTGACAGAGTGAAACACTATTAAAAAAAAAAAGCATGAGAGAGTTATCACCCAATAGATTCTTCTTGTCTGCTGCACAGATAACACCAATTCACTAAGACAGCAGTATTGCAGTAGGGAAAGAGTTTAATTAATGCAGGGCTAGCCAACCAGAAGATGGAAGTTTATTATTCCAATCAGTCTCTCTGAAAGCTCAGAGGCTAGGGTTTTTTAAGGATAGTTTGGTGGGCAGGGTGCTAGGGAATAGGGAATGCTGATTGATTGGGTCAGGGATGGAATCATAGATGGTAGAAGCTGTCTTCTAGCCCTGAGTCAGTTCCTGGGTTGAGATCACAAGATTAGTTGAGCCAGTTTCTTGGCATGGGTTACCAGTCTAGGTGGTACAATAATCTTACATTTTTCAATAGTATTATTATCTGTAGGAGCAACTGGAGAGATTATAAATCTTTTGACCTCTGGTTATATGATTCCTAAGCCGTAATTCCATAATTCTTTTTTTTTCTTTTTTTTTTTTTTTGAGACAGGGTCTCTCTCTGTTGCCCAGGCTGCAATGCAATGCACAAACATGGCTCAGTGCAGCCTGGAACTCTTGGAACAATCCTCGCACCTCAGCCTCCTGGGTAGCTGGGACGAGAGGCACAAGCCACCACAACTGGTTAGTTTTTTGATGTTTTGTAGACATGAGATCTCACCATATTGCCCAGGCTGGTCTCAACTCCTGGCTGAGCCATAATTCTGATCTTGTGCCCTTTCAGTGGTTTCACAAAGGTAGTTTCAGTCTCCAAAAAAGAAATGGATAGTTTTGGAGAGGGCTGTTATCATCCTTGCTTTAAGCTTAAACTATAAACTAAATTCCTTCCAAAGTTAGCTTGGCCTGTGCCCAAGAATGACCAAGGACAGCTTGGAGGTTAGAAGCAAGATGGAGTCATGTGTGTTAGATTTCTCTTACTGTCATAATTTTGCAAAGGTGGTTTCAACAGTTGGCAAGTTCCAACAATTCACAATAATTTTAATTCCACTGGCTTATAGCATATGGTGTGGATACATAACCACATGAGATTGAGGAGGTAGATAGGGACTAGGTCATGGGGGTCATTTGCACATTTTCAAGGACAGCAGGCTATATTATCTGGGACTGCTCTATCCAGCATGCTAGCCACTAACCACATGGGGCTATTCAGCACATGCAATGCTGCAGGTCCAATGTGTAATGTGCTGTAAATGGAAAATACACCACGGATTTCAAAGACTTGGTATGAAAAAATTAACTATTTCATTAATAATGATTACATTAATTACACGTTAAATTTTGCATATGTTAGGTTAAATAATATATATTTTAAAGTTAGATTCTCCTGTCTCTTTTCACATACTTTAATGTCACTGCCAGAAAATTTAAGTGACGGTGGGTGTCTCTTATTCTATTTCCGACTCACCACACTGATCTTGAAAAGTACATTTCCCATCAAAGGCCTCACAGCACTATGGATGGGATAAGAAGTCTCTGAGATGATGAGAATTTGGAATGGAAGCGATGAGAACACAGATCTTCCCCTCACCTGACCTTCCCCATAGTAGCCTCGTATTATCTATTTCAGACACTGGTATCTGAAGAAAGAAATGCCTCGATTTTAAAATGGCTGGAAACCACTGCCTTTAAAAGGAGCAGAACATTGCAGGGTCAAAGGATCAAGCTTGTCTTGTCAACATCATGAGCCTCAATTTGGAGGCTGTTAGAAGAAAGGAAAAACCAACTTTGGGCAATAGACGGTGTCAAGCCCATGGGCATAGGTATATCAACAATGAAGGGGAGAGAGATATTTCGGTGGCAAAATGGACTTGAGGAAGATATTGCCATTAAAGGCAGCAAGATAGGGCAGGCAATCTCCAAACTCTGGCTCATTTCAATACGCAGGAGTCAAGAGGATCTTCATGAGATCCACAAGAAGATCTGTTCAGCAGGTGGGGGTATGCAAGAGAGAGTTGAATAACTGGAAAATACTTGATTGCTATTTTCATAGGTGAACAGCTCTAAATGGAAGGAGGATAGGGCTGCTTGTGGCTATTTACAGGGGGAAAACTTGCTATCAACATGAGGAAAGAACTGTGAGTATCGAGGCTTTTCATCAACCAAAAATCTAAGTCACCAAACAGTGAGCTTCATAGGGTGGTAACCTGTTTGCTTCCAGATGCTGGGTCATAATCTATCCACAAAACTATGGGAGATGTATTTTATTTCTTTTTATTTTATTCTATTTATTATTTTATATTTGAGACAGGGTCTCACTTTGTCACCCAGGCTTGAGTGCAGTGGCATGATCACGGCTCACTGCAGCCTCAACCTCCCAGGCTCAAGTAATCATCCTGCCTCAGCCTCCCAAGTAGCTGGGACCACAGGCACACACTACCACGCCTATGCCACCACACAGGTTAATTATATATATATTTTATATATATATATATATATATATGGTGGAGAAATTGTATTTTTGGCTCACTATATATATGTGTGTGTGTGTATATATATATATGTGTATATGTGTGTGTGTGTGTGTGTGTGTATATATATATATATATATATATATATATATATATATATATATATATATAGTAGAGACAGGGTCTTGCTATGTTGCCCAGGCTAGTCTCCCACACTAAGCAATTCTCCCACCTCAACCTCCCAAAGTGCTAAGATTATAGGCCTGATCCATTGCACCTGGCCATTTTTATTTCTTTTTAATGTGCAGATTTAATAAATAAACTACAAAACATTTACAATTCCATAACCATGATAGGCTAGAATTTCAGTGAACCTTACCATGGAGAAATCATTTTCGGGAAAAAAAATGTATGCTAGGATCCGGTTTCTCTCCTGCCACATGTAGAATTTAGGACAGAAAAATATTTATTAATAGGCATTATATAGATAGGATTTATGAACAGTCTTGGTGTTTTTTTCAAGGAAATTTTGCTAGGGAATATTTGGATCTGGGAGACCTAGAAAAAAACATAAAACATCTGATGTCAAATAATAGAAGTTTTGAGGAAATAAAAAAGGCTTTTATTTCTGAATAATTATGTGTGCTGGTTTCCCTTAAAGCTTCCTTCTGAGGACAGCGTTTCTTCCAAAACTGCATGGGTTACTTTTTCACTTAAGCTGCAATTCTTTTTTTTAAACTCTTGAACATCCCACTTAATCTTTTCTCAGTAGGAAAGGGTTTGCTTCCTTTTAAAAAGAAGTGGATTTTTCTTTCATCTTTAAATGTTTATTCAACTGCAAATAGCTTACAATAAATGTATTTAATTATTCCTATATTTTCAGTATTCCCAATTGCATTTTAAACCATTTTTTCTTTCATATATGAGGCTGATGTTAAAGTTTAAATGAAGCTCTAAAATATAACACCAAGTGACTAGGAGATAGCTTAGTGTCTCCTAATTCCAAAATGAGGTCCTCATATTTCATTTACTGACATCAAACCAACACAAGGATTGTTCTTCTAGTCTTGTTTCTGTTTATCTGTTTATCTATTTATCTCGGACCAGCCATAACTCAGACTAGATTTCTTGTAGCAGGAGGAGATGCGTTCAATCAATCATGACATTACTCAGTGCCTTCAGAAATTTCTTTGGTGGAGGAATTGTATTTTTGGCTCCCTGATTTGTTTTTTACTCGCTACATATTGCATATTTCTTGTTTTATGAGTCTCATCGACTCAAGATAGAATTCAGAAAATTCAAATTTGAAGCCTCTTGGGACCCAAACCTGTGATTCAGGCTCCTCCAATCATAGGCATTTTTATGGGTGTTGCCGGCAGCTGGAGTTTCCAGGTTTCCACGGTCAGGCTATGCTGGGAGCAGGTCACAGCCTTGACTTAAAGAGTTGCGTCATGGTGTGGCTTTGCAGATGACAAAAACTCCCCAAGTGGCCTGTGGACCAGCTGCAGAATTGACAACATCTCCATCAGGCCAGTTCATGAGCTTTATTTTAGACATTGTTGCTGGAAGATTTCCCTATAGCCTGCTTCTCTAGCCGTTCCTAACAATTTCGGTATCTATGCAATATCTTTTCCTAAGCCTCTTTCTGCTTAATCCACTGCAGTCAGCTTCAGATGGCTGCAATTCAGAACCCTGACTAGCATAAATCTAGGCATACCCTTGGCCAGAGGCTCCCTCAGAGATGTGCAGTATTCGGCAAGGTCACCTCCAAAACAAATTGACAAACAGTTAATGGGAACCTATATGTCTTTCCTTCTCAGTTTTCTTCAACTCTGATGAAGAAGCCAATTTATTTATTTTATTTTTTGAGACAGGGTCTCACTCTGTCACCCAGGCTGGAGTGCAGTGGCATGATCACGGCTCCGTGCAGCCTCTGCCTCCCAGGCTCAAGTGATCCCCCTGCCTCAGCCTCCTGAGTAGCTGGGACCAGAGGCATGCACCACCATGCCCAGCTAATTTTTGCTCAAGGTTTCTTGCATTTGGGTTTTCTTCAGGCAGTTGTCATTCATATTGGCTCAGAATAAACCTCCTTGTTTCCTTCCTTCCTTCCTTCCTTCCTCCCTCCCTCCCTTTCCTTCCTTCCTTCCTTCCCTCCCTCCCTTCCTTCCTTCCCTCCTTCCTTCCTTCCTTCCCTCCCTCCCTTCCTTCCTTCCCTCCCTCCCTTCCTTCCTTCCCTTCCTTCCTTCCCTCCTTCCTTCCTTCCTTCCCTCCCTCCCTTCCTTCCTTCCCTTCCTTCCTTCCCTCCTTCCTTCCTTCCCTCCTTCCTTCCTTCCTTCCCTCCTTTCCTTCCTTCCTTCCCTCCTCTCCTTCTTCCTTCCTTCCTTCATTCCCTCCCTCCCTCCCTTCCTTCCTTCTTTCCTTCCCTCCTTTCCTTCCTTCCTTCCCTCTCTCCTTCCTTCCTTATACTCTTCCTTTCTTCAACGAAGATTCATTGATCAACTTATTTCAGCTAACAAAAAACATCATTCTTTTCCTCCACTTGCATTCTATCCCTACAACTATATGTTTAGTTTTGCACTTCCAATACATTTATCGCTCCTCCTTTAACTGTAGACTATTCAGTATTCTACCAGTCACTAGCTCAACTTTGTAGCTGTGCTCATGGCCAGGCAACAGATTAGCTGGCAGGTCCTGGAGTGACTGTCTTAAAAGACAGGGTGAGGCTAGATGTGGTGGCTCACGCCTTAATCCCAGCAGTTTGGGAGGCCAAGGCAGGTGGATCACTTGAGCTCAGGAGTGTGAGACCAGCCCAGCAACATGGCAAAACCCTGTCTCTATAAACAATACAAAAATGAACTAGGTGTGGTAACATGAGCCTGTGGTCTCAGCTACTTGGGAGGCTGAGGTGGGAGGATTGCTTAAGCCCAGGAGGTCGAGGCTACAGTGAGCCAAGATCGTGCCACTGCACTCCAGCCTGGGCAACAGAGCCAGATCCTGTCTCAAAAAAACAAAACAAAACAAGACAAGACAAAATAAAACAAAACAAAGACAGGATGAAGCTGGAGAGTATAGTCAATGACAGTTGCCTGTATACACCCAAAAAGTAAAATCAAGGAATACGCAGAATCTCAAAAGCTCAGTTTTGAATTTAAACAAGAAATGCAAGAGAAAGCATAAAATAAAACACTTGGAAACAACAGAATATCAGAAAATTTTATTTTGTAATAGCTATTTTATTTTAAATATGCTGGTAGGTAAAAAGTAAGAATAATAAAAGGTTGATCTGTGGCAGAATAACTTCATGTTTCTATCTATGCTTATGTTTCTTATAAATCAGAGTGTAGGTTTTTATCAGGATAAAACATGCCCTATTGGATTTATACATTTTTCTCTGACAATTAAATATATCTATATTTCCAAAAAGTGTTCCAGATTGTGTTTTGATGTTTGTGTTATTGTAAGGTGCAATGTTTGCTATAAACAAGCTAAGAAAAATTGTATGGATTTGTTCCAGTAAATAATACTTTATATTTTGGACTTATCCTTTACACTGATGCAGAGTTTAGACATTTGGTCATTTTCTTTTCTTTTTTTTTTTTTTTCTGAGACAGAGTCTTGCTCTGTTGCTCAGGCTGGAGTGCACTGGCACGATCCAAGATCTAAGCTCACTGCAACCTCTGCCTCCTGGGTTCAAGTGAAACTCCTGCCTCAGCCTCTCGAGTGGCTGGGATTACAGGCATGCACCACCACGCCAGGCTAATTTTTGTTTTTTTAGTAGAGGCAGGGTTTCACCATGTTGTCCAGGCTGGTCTCAAACTCCTGACCTCAGGTGATCTGCCCACCTCGGCCTCCCAAAGTGCTAGGAGTAAAGGCGTGAGCCACCGCACCCAACCTGGACATTTTCTAAAGGCTTAATTTAATATTATCTGTATACAATTCTTAAAGTAATTAATTATTTCCTGATATTTAAAATGGTGTATGGGGACTTGTGTGGTGGCTCAGGCCTGTAATCCCAGCACGTTGGTAGGCCGAGGCAAAAGGATTGCTTGAGCCCAAGAGTTTGAGACCAGCCTGGGCAACATAGGGAGACCCTATTTCTACAAATAAAAAATAAATTAGCTGGGCATCGTGGCTCATGCCTGTGTTGCCAGCTACTCAGGAGGCTGATGTAGGTGGATCGCTTGGGTCCAGGAGGTTGAGACAGCAGTAAGCCGTGATTGTGCCACTGCTCTCCAGCCTGGGTGACAGAGTGAGACTCACCCTGTCTCAAAAAATAAAAATAAAAAAATAAAAAATAAAATGGCATATGATTTATACTGATGCAGTGTTTACTTTATCAGGAGATAGAGCTTATTTTGAGGAACAAAATAATAATAAATCAAACACACCCTGATGAGTTTGAGTTCTTACTATGTTTATCTCAATAGTATTACTAATATTTTTTCCATTTTATAGTTAATACAATGTTATGAAGCGAAGCCACAGTTATTATCATAGGCAATCTCTTTCTTTCCTATTGTGGATATGTTGAGGCTTTCTAATGCTTTAACTGTAGCAGTGAAATGTTGTATATATTTACGATTGCATTTAATTTAAAAAGGAAATGTATTTCCTGAAAAAGAAAAGTATAACACTCCCCTTTCTTGATAAAATAGCACAGGTGCTGTGATTTTATCAGTTGTCTATTTTTCAAAAGTAAAATGAATTTGACTTTTCCCATTTCAGTCTAACAAGGTGTTAGAGTATCTACCCAATTATTTTAAAAAGCAAGTAAAGCAGACATCAATGGCTTATTTTAAAAACATACAGTATTTTCTTGAACGCAGAGCAGTTATTCACCTCCTTGAGCTGTTTAACTTTTGTTCAGTTGTATACCCTCACTCAGAAGAATATCTTTTTTTTTTTTATTTTACACAGTCTCACTCTGTCATCCAGGCTGGAGTGCAGTGGCGCCATCTCAGTTCACTGCAACCTCCACCTCCTGGGTTTAAGTGATTCTCCTGCCTCAGCCTCCCGAGTGGCTGGGATTACAGGTGTGCACCACCATGCCTGGCAAATTTTTGTATTTTTTATAGAGACGGGGTTTCGCCATTTTGGCCAGGCTGGTCTCGAACTCAAGTGATCCGCCTGCCTTGGCCGCCCAAAGTGCTAGGATTACAGGTGTGAGCCCTGTGCCCGGCCGCTTTTCCTTAATTTCTTACTTTATATTACTATCCATATAATAACTGAAAACATAATTTTACATGTTCGTTTATTTATACAACCCAATTGAACTAATTCATATAGAGACGATGCTCACCATCAACATGTTTGATTGGCACGTATTTCACTTTAGTTATAACTGCAATTGGTAGAAAATACTGTCAGGGTCTAGCCAGGAAAACAAGTTAGACAATTTGCTTAAAATAAAATGGAAAATGTAGGGGAAGGCAAAAGGAGACCACTGAGTGGACTGAACAGTAGTGATGTTGAAAAGCAGCCTCCAGCCCCTACACCCAGGGCAGGAAAGAAAGAAGTTGATTTGATAAAATGCAGCAGCTACATTTTGTCACGTCCTATAGCATATTGCTATGACAATAACATTGATCTGATTAGAGTATCATTATAGCATGTCCTGTATGTGGTAGCAAATGCCCTATATCATGTATTATTTCTCTCATTGATTTCCTAACTATACTTGTATAATACATCTTTCTATATGAACTGTGAGATCATTTTCTACAATGCAAAAGATTAAACACCTTGTTATGATTGGCAATTGGATGACAATTGATTCATCCATCAATTTTGGTGGAGTTGGCATTTTTGTGATGTATAATTTAAGCATTTGAGGATATAACATGTACTTCCATTTGTTTGGGTATTCCGTGTTTCAGTTTAATTCAATGTATTTCTTCCCAGCGCCCCTCTTATTATATGCACTCCTAAGTTTTTTAACATAATTATTGGATTTTCAATAGAATGCTCCCATATTGCTTTCTAGGTTCCTACTGCAGTATGTAAAAAACACTAATAATTTTTGTTTATTTACTTTGTATTCAGCAATTTTACCAAATTACCTTATTTTTCGAATAGGTTTTTAGATTTTCTCAGGTAAACATTCATGCTATCAGCAAAAGTGCTCTAATTTTATCTGTTCTTTTCCAATAGCTATCACAAATTTTCATTTACTCATTTCACTGCATTTGCCACAATCTTCCCGAAGTCGTTGGATAATAATAGAAATAAAAGGCATTCTCATGTGCTCTCTAATTTTTCTTGAAATTACTTTAGTATTTTGCTTTTTAGGCTGCAATCGGTATTCATTTTAGAAGAGTGCTTTTTGTTTTGTTTCGTTTGAGACTAGCTCTTGCTCTGTTGCCCAGGCTGGAGTGCAGTGGTGCAATCCTAGCTCACGGTAGGCTCAACATCCTGGGCTCAAGCAATCCTCCCACCTCAGCCTCCCCGAGTAGCTGGGACTACAGGCGTGTGTCACCACACCCAGCTAATTTTGTTTATTTTTTATAAAGATGGGAATTTGCTATGTTTCCCAGGCTGCTCTCAAACGCTTGGGCTCAAGCAATCCTCCAAACTGGGTCTGCTAAAGAGCTGGGATTACCAGCACAAGCCACGCACCAAGCTAGTGTGCTTCTGTTATTTACGTATTTGTTAAAATGTCTTATCCTTTTCTTCTTACCATTTTAGATTCAGTTTCATAATTTTTCCATGACTATTGATGGAATTACACTTTTGCCTTTCATTGGTTGAATTAGTGGATTACACTGACACTTTCTAACACGGTGCATTTTTCTAAAGCATTGTCATCTTTGCGGCTACTCTTCTTAGCCATGTGGAGTGTTATTCCTTGCTCTGCTACTGGATTTTAAACAAATTTTAAAGGTACTGATATCATTAGGAAGATTGAATTATATTTGTCTATGCTATAATAATTATTTTAGTACCAAAGATGAATATATGCTTTATGTAGATAGTACCTTATTTCATGTGTTAACTCACGTAATCCAAAAAAGAGTCATCTAGCCTAGGCAACATAACAAAACCTTGTCTCTACATTATATATATATATATATATATATATATATATATATATATTAGCCAGGCATGGTGGTGCACACCCGTGGTTCCTGCTACTTGGGAGGCTGAGGTAGGAGGTTTGCTTGAGCTCAGAAGGTCAAGGCTACAGTCCATGGGCCAGTTGCAGTGGCTCACACCTGTAATCCCAGCACTTTAGGAGGCTGAGGCAGGCAGATCTCTTGAGGCCACGAGTTCGAGACTAGCCTGGCCAACATGGTGAAACCACGTATCTACTAAAAATACAAAAATTAGTCAGATGTGGTGGTGGGTGACTGTAATCCTGGCTACTCAGGAGGCTGAGGCAGGAGAATTGCTTGAATCCAGGAGGCAAGGTTTGCAGTGAGCTGAGATGGTGCCACTGCACTGCAGCCTGGGCAATGGAGCTAGACTCCATCTCAAAAAAAAAAAAAAAGGCTGCAGTCCATGATTGAACCACTGCACTCCAGCCTGGGCAACAGAGTAAGACCCTGTCTCTAAAACAAACAAAAAAGCAGTCATAGGATGGCAGGTTTACATCTCATTCTGTGGAGTGGTAAAACCTCCCTGGGTGTCTAAGTGCTTCTGTGAGAAGACCTAGCATTCCTTCTGAGAATGTTTGCTTTCATTTCTCTTTGAAGCATCTCCTCATACTGTGAGAACTGGATAAGTAGCCATATGTCTAGTTAATTGCTCTTATTGGAAAGGGTAATAAAACTTCTTATCTCCCCAAAGCCAAATGCTTATAGCTCTGACTTGTTCTTAGGTTAAAGCCCCTAGACACTTTTTAGACTGGAGCAAGTACCCAAGTAGGTATTTACATTTCAAGAAGGAATTCACCCAGATCTTGGCATCACCTCTAGGTGATAAAAGACACAGGGTCCTTCAGCTCCCGGAGAGGTTTTATTTTATATTCCAAAGGGCTGGAGAAAGGAGGTGATCCGTTCAGCAGGGAAGGGATATCTCCTTCCTTTTCTTTTATAAACAGATAATATTTGTTTTGTTCTGATCTCTCAATCTAAGAAATGTGTTAGGCTGCTTGCTTAAGGCAATTGACCTGGTTCTCATTGTATTTCCCCAGGGTAAAAACTAGGGCAGAGGGCGAGAACACACTTCTTATTTGTTGTGTGGTTTTTAATAAAAAAAATCTGTCTCTGAACCAGAACACCTTGTGTGCACATTCTTGTTAACCAATGAAGATGCTAAAATTCATGCTGATAGGTGCAAAGCTAGCTGGGACCTACACCTTGTGTTTGTCATATTTCTATACTGTCCTTGTCAGAGGCATTTGAACCAGAGCAACTCCATCTTGAATAGGGGCTGGGTAAAATAAGGCTGAGACGTGCTGGACTGCATTTCTTGTAGGGTAAGCATTCTAAGTCATAGTATGAGAGAGGTTGGCAGAACTGGTATCACAGGTCACAAAGACCTTGCTGATAAAACAGGATGTGATAAAGAAGCTGACCAAAACTGGCCAAATCCAAGATGGTGACAAAAGTGACCTCTGGTCGTCCTCACTGCTCATATGCTAATTATAATGCATTAGCAGCTAAAAGACACTCCCTCCAGTGCCGTGACAGTTTTCAAATGCCATGGCAGTGTCCAGAAATTACCCTCTATGGTCTATAAAGGGGAGGAAACCTCAGTTCCAGGAACTGCCCACCCCTTTCCCAGAAAACTCATGAATAATCCACCCCTTGTTTAGCCTACAATCAAGAAATAACTAAAATTATACTCAGTCAGCAGCCCAAGCCACTGCTCTGCCTATGGAATAGCCATTCTTTATTCCTTTACTTTCTTAATAAACTTGCTTTCACTTTACTCTATGGACTTACCCTGAGTTCTTTCTTTTGCGAGGTACAAAAACCCTCTCTTGGGGTCTGGTTCAGGACCCCTTTCTGGTAACATCCTCATCAAATAAATTAGTGGGCTCTGTATCATTTTCTGTGGAATGAAAGAGTTTAACATCAAGATTATGGTTTTTTTAAATTTCAATATGAGCTGCAATTCAGCTGTGAAACCACCTATTCCTGCTGCATATTTCAATAGTAGATCTTTAATGGGCTTGACATTTACTTCCATGAAAACCAGCTAATTTAGGTTTCTCAATTTTCTTCCATCAAATTTGGTAATTTTTCTTTCCCACAAAATCATCTGCTTCTTCTATGTTTTCAAATTAAATGTCGTAGATTTTCATGTAGTTTTTTATTGTTAATATCTATTTCTTTAAATTCCTCTGTGTTTGTTTTAAGCCCCTTTTTTATAACATAATCTTGCTATTTGTTTCCTTGCAATCCATCGGACTCACAGAAGCTTTATCTATTTTATTTCATTGTATAATTTTAAGAAATTATCTTGGGTGATAGGTACAATTTTTATTTCCCATTTCATTAATTTCAGCTTTAAGCTTTATTAGCATTTTTCTATTTAATTTCATGTTGTTTTGTTCTTTAATTTATTCAAACAAATATTGAGTTCCTTTTCGTCTCTCATTTCTCTTAGATAATAAAGGCATTTGAGGCTGTGTTTTCCTTAAAGTGTTCCTAAAACTGCTTTTGCAAAAATTATAACAGTGAGAAAATTATGACAGTGAAAAGGCATCTGCCCTAACTGACTCCATGTTGCTCTTAAACTCCAAGCGGTCTTTGTTCATTCCTGGACATCTGAACTAACTTTGGGAGGAATTTTGTTCATAGTTTAACTTTGACAAAGATAATAGCCCTTTCCTGAAACAAACCACCTTCTTGCCTGGGGACCAGACTGCCTTTGTAGGATGAAGAAATGAAGCCCAAAATTAGAAATTATGTTTTAGGACTCATGAAGCCAGAGGCCACAATATTCTAAACCTTCCCAGTTACTCCTAAGGATAACATCACTATCGTAAAACCTAAGATTGATGCTTGAGATATTTTTCAGATGCTGCACTCGATGAATCAGCTGCCACCACCCAGTAAACTGGCTCAACTGGTCTTGTGGCCCCCACGCAGGAACTGACACAGCGCAAAAGCACAGCTTCAACTCCCTATGACTTCATCTTCAACCCAACCAATCAGCACTCCCCACTCTGTGGCCCTCTGCTTGCAAAATTATCCTTAAAAATCCCTAGTCTCCAAATCTTCAGGGAGGCTAGTTTGAGTAAAAACTCTGTCTCCTATGTGGCATGGCTGGCCTTGCACCAATTAAACTCTTTCTTTACCGCAATGCCATGGATTTACTTTGTGCAGAGGGCAGGAAGAACCCGTAGAGCAGTTACACTCTTACTGCTGAAGGCTACGCTGTTGATGTAATGTTGTCATTATAGTTACTCTCAGATATTTTATAGGTTCAGATTTGATACCTTCTTTGAATACAGAGTTAGATTACATTCCTTAATTTGTAAACAATGTGGAAGTTTAGGGTCAATTATCTGTGCTTATTTATATCTTATTTAGGTTATGATTTCAGCATACAGCACACACAATTTTCACTTTTTCAGATTTGTTGAAGTTTCTTATATGCAAATTATATTGATACTGTATATGTGTATGTTCTCAATAATGCATATGGCCATTATATGTACATAAAGATATTATGACATATATATATGCATGTATATGCCTGTGTGTATATATGCATAAATGAGAGGCATATTAAATTGAACCTATCATTTGAATTCTTATGTTTTTCTCTTTCCTTATTTTTCACTGTTAGATTTACTAATTTCTCAAATTCATGAAGTAGTAGAGGCATGCAAACTATGCCTCTATAAATATAATCTTAAAAATTTCCCCTTTCACTCCTAATGATTTTTGTTTCACTCATTTAGCTGTTATTTTTACTTAATGTAAATAAAATTACTCTCATTACATTTTTTTAACACTAGATCTCTTCTTGACAAATTCTTATTGCCTCTGCTACATAGCATTGTTTTCTGAAACTTTTTTATCACTTTATTTTTTAGTATGCTTGCATAAATAGGATGCAGCTTAGTTTTTGTAATATGGATGAGGTAATTCAGTTCATTAATAATTAATGAGTCATTTTTCTATTCTTCTCATTATATCTCATATTTAACATAATTAGCATGTAATGATATTCTTTCTCCTATTTCAAGTCACCACTGTTTCCGCATCTTAGAATCTCTGTTTCAGTAGATTGATGTTAAGGAGAGAGTTGCATTTTTTATCTGGATCTCCTTAAGTCCTAGGTCCTGTTTTGTTATTCAAATTGACTTCAAGGTCTGAGCATCTGTTTTCTGGACTTCTGCAGGCTCTGCTGCATTTCTTGCTCCAGCTGCTGGCCCCCTTGTATTTGGGGGATCCCTTATCCTAGACCCCTTTGTTGCTGGAGTACCTACACTGCTGCCCTCCACAAAGCAGAATGTGCGGTGGCGTCCATGCCTGTGAACCTACAGGGTTCAAACAGCCAGAAAGTCCGTGTCACAGGTATACCTGGTCAAGTCTCTCTATTCCCAAGTGTATTCACACGTCCAGGTTGTTTTTTTGTTTTGCTTTTTTGAGATGGAGTCTGCTCTGTTACCCAGGCTGGAGTGCAGTGGCACAATCTCGGCTCACTGCAACCTCTGCCTCCGGGGTTCAAGTGATTCTCCTGCCTCAGCCTTCCAAATAGCTGGGATTACAGGTGCGCACCACTACGCTTGACTAATTTTTGTATTTTAAGTAGAGATGGGGTTTTGCCTTGTTGGTCAGGCTGGTCCCAATCTCCTGACGTTAAGTGATCTGCCTGCCCACCTCGGCCTTCCAAAGTGCTGCAATTACAGGCATGAGCCACCGTGCCCAGCCTACACTTCCAGGTTTAAAGCAAAGATAAATCAAGCTACCTATCCACTTCCTCTTAGCTTTGATAATGGAAAAACCAAACTCTGTCAAATATTTTAAAAGTTTATTCTGAGCCAATATGAGTGACCACGGCCTGGGGAAACAGTCTTAGGAGGTCCTGAGAAAGTGTGCCCGAGGCAGTTACAGTTTGGTTTTATACATTTTAGGGTGACAGGAAATGTAGGTGACATCATTAATCACTACATGGAAAGTGTACATTGGTTCAGCCTAAAGAGGCAGGATCTCTTGAAGTGGGGCCTTACAGGTCATAGGTAGATTTAAAGATTTCTGATTGGCAATTGGTTGAAAGAGTTAAGTTTTGTCTAAAGAGTTGAAGTCAGTAGAAATAAATGCTAAGATAAAGGGCGAGGAGTTGTGGAAGCCAAGGTACTTATCATGTAGAAGACACCTCCAGGTAGCAGCCTTCAGAGAGAACAGATGGTAAATGTCTCTTTTCAGACCTTTCAAGGTGTCAGACTTAGAGTTAATCTTTCCTAGATACAGCAAAGTCCTGGCTGTATGAATGGAGATTCTCCACAGATGCAAATTTCTGCCAGGAAAGATGGTTTTGCAGGGCCATTTCAAAATATGACAAAGAAATCTATGTTGGGGTGAGATATTTTGATTTCCTTCCGGGTCTGCTATCTGTCATACGATGCTATACCAGAGTCAGGTTGGAATTTGGTAATTTCCTGTCCCAGGGGTCTGTTTTGTCAGTCTTTTGAGCCGTACTTTAATGTGAATGCTGGTGGGTTGTGCCTAGACTCCAAAAGGCAGGAGGGGTAAGGAAGGACGTATGTCTGACCTCTCTTCCTGTCATGGCTGGGAATCCAGTTTTTCAGGTTTCTCTGGGGTCCCTTTGGCCCAGAGGGGGTTTGTTCAGTTAGTTGAGGAGCTTAGGATTTTATTTTTGGTTTACAGTCTTTTAAGTACTAGGGAGCAATAGCACACTAACTCAGAGAGGAAAGGAAAAATTTTTTGAGAGCCTGCCTCTTTTGCAGTGAACTGGACTCCACTTTGTACTTCTGGGCTCCTCAAATTTTGTATTGAATCTCACTAGGGCAATTGGAGGAAAGCTTCGTTCAAGTACTCCTTGTCCTAAATGGCTTTAGGTCCAAGCAACCATTAGGACAGGCCTCTCCCTAGAGACAAGAGGGTTAGAGCAGCAGTCCCAAACCTTTTTGGTACCAGGGACCAGTTTCAGGGAAGACAATTTTTCCATCAACCAGTGGCAGGGGGATGGTTTCAGGATGATTCAAGAGCATTACATATATTGTGCACTTTATTTCCACCATTATTACATTGTAATATATAATGAAATTATTCTACAGCTCATCATAATGTAAAATCAGTGGGATCTTTGAGCATGTTTTCCTGCAGTCAGACAGTCCTATCTGGGGGTGATGGGAGACAGTGATAGATCATCAGGAATTAGATTCTCATAAGGAGCACGCAACCTAGATCCCTCACATGCGCAGTTCACAATAGAGTTTGCACTCTTATGATAATCTACTGCTGCCACTGATCTGCCAGGAGGTGGAGCTCAGGTGGTAATGTGAGCCATGGGGAGCAGCTGTAAATACAGATGAAGTTTTGTTTGCTCACTCGCCACTCACCTTCGGCCATGTGGCCTGGTTCCTAACATGCCACGGACTGGTATCTCTAACCTGGGGCTCCCCAACCCCCAGGCCACAGTACCAGTCTGTGGCCTGGGGGTTGGGGAGCCCCAGGTTAGAGGATTCTCCCCCTTGGTTAAGAGAATGAACAATGTCTGGTGACCTGGCATCTGTAGCCCACTGAGAGTAGATTGAAGGAGGGAGCAAATTGTTATTCTTTATTGTGTTGGAGATGCAATGCTATTTTTAACAGAAAAATTGAACACATATATGTTTATCTGTTGGTTCCACACACATATCCTTCTGAAAACCTTCACTATTTTGCCACACAAACTATGCAAAAATGCACTTTAATATAATGCCAAAAGATGGCTTGACAATGTGTTTTCTTAATAAATGTAAGAAAGCTACACATTTAGCCTAGCAGTATGATTTGTTTTTGTGTATTATGCCTGCTTTGTAAAGAATTGCTTAATATTGCATTTATAAATATTAGAATAAGTCTCTACTTTCTATGAATACATGTTTCTTTTGGAGAAGCAAAATTTATCAGCTTGTGATTCACTCTTTTATTTTGTATATGTAAAAATGTTTGCTCCTTTATTTTTCTGCTCTTAAAAATATAGAAGCCATAGTGCATTTAAATTGTAACAAAAGTACCATCTTTGAGCTCACATATTTTGAAGAGCAACAATAATCTAGGTTTTTGTTAGCCTCCCAATTAAATTCTGACTAGGGTTATTAGTGTTCTAAACTGAATTTTATTGCAGTGCTTAAATGCATACAATAATTCATCAACAATGAAGTCTCAAGTATTTTTATTTTATGTTTTGAAGGGTTTTTTTAACGTTATCTACAAAAGGAGATGTTTTAGAGAGCTTTTTACTGATGTTTCTTCTAAAACATTAAATGAAAATCTAATAAGGCTCTGTTTCCATTACATTTATGCCACTTCTAAGAGGTGCAAGAAAGCTAGATCCTGGCTGGGTGAGGTGGCTCATGTCCGTAATCCTGGCACTTTGGGAGGCTGAGGTGGGAGGATGGCTCAAGCCCAGGAGTCTGAGACCAGCCCAGACAACATAGCGAGACTCAGTCTCTACAAAATATAAAAGAAAAAAAATATTAGCCAGACGTGGTGGCACACATCTGTGGTTCCAGCTACTCCAAAGGCTGAAGTGGGAGGATTGCTTGAGCCCAGTAGGTTAAGGCTGCAGTGTGCTGTGATTGCACTTCTGCACTCAAGCCTGGGTGACAGAGTGAGACCCTGTCTCAAAAAAAGAAAAATAAAGCTAGATTCTCAAAATGTTTCTACTCTAAAGAAATGTTTCTTTTTGTTACATGTTGCTGTGATGAACACACAAAAGCGAAGTTGATTGTGTATTTAGAATCTTCCTCTATTTTAATTTCTAGAATGCTGAGTCATACTGAGCTATTAAGTCAGGGAAACAACTAGAAAAAAATAGTTTGGGCAAACACAGTTACATAATATTTCTCTGTTATTGAAGGCAGAACAAACGTAAAAAGATGAAAAATTGCATTTAATGGGAAGAATAAAAAGAAAGTTAATCTGAAGAACAGGAAACGAAATAGCAAATCAAAAGCTGATTGAACTGAGAGAGAAAGAAAATCGTGAGATCTTGAAAGTTTGCTTAGGCATTGCAGGTGATAATAAACAATACTGTTAATGCGTTTGTGAGTTATTTCCAATCTGGAATTTTATTTCTCAAGCAAGAGTAAACAGTGAATCATGGTGTCAAATTATTGTAAGCATTTGAAAATACCCAAAGGAGAAAGTAAGCAAATATGTGAAATATAAAACACGGAAATATTCACTTCTAAAGTAAGACCGCATACCATTAGGTTTAAACTATTCAGAAAAAGAATCAGAAGTGACATGAAAGCATACCATTTAAGGTATTAAGTTTAATCTCTGTAAAGACAGTTTAAACCTGACATTCACTGATACCGTATTTTTAAAACTAATTTTGGTAGAATTAGAGATTCATAGGAATTTGTGAAGATAGCACAGAGGTCTTGTATACCCTTCAACCAGGTTTTCCTAATGGCAATACCTTATTTACCTATACTACAATGTCAAAGAAATTAATATGGGTCCAATGTATATATAGTTTTATGACATAATTTTTCTCATGTCTACTTTTGAGGAACCACCACTGAAAAGATACAGAACTATTTCATTACCATAAAAATCCCTTTTTCTAATGAAACTGGTTCACCTCTGACATGGTTTGGCTATGTCCCTACCTAAATCTCATCTTGAATTGTAGCTCCCATAATCTGCACATGGTGTGGGAGGGACCTAGTGGGAGGTAATTGAATCATGGGGGTGGGTTTTTCCTGTGCTGTTCTGGTTATAGTAAATAAGTCTCATGAGATCTGCTGGTTTATAAAGGGCAGTTTCCCTGCACACGATCTCTTGCCTGCCACCATGTAAGAGGTGCCTTTGCTCCTCTTTTTGCCTTCTGCCATGATTGTGAGGTCTTCCCAGCCATGTGGAACTGTGAGTCCATTAAACCTCTTTTGCTTTATAAATTACCCAGTCTTGGGTATGTCTTTATTAGTGGCGTGAGAACAGATTAATACAACCTCCTCTCCACTATCCACAACCCTTGGCAATGCTAATTATTACAATTATTTCTAGAATTTTGTCACTATAAGTGGAGTAATACAGTATAAGATCTTTTGAATGGGCTTTTATTGACTTAACACACATGGCATTCACCCAAGTTGTTGAGTATGTAAATCTTTTTCTTTGATTTAATGGCCGAATAAAATGTTGTGAAGATGCCATTTTGTTGAACCATTCCATTTCCTTCAAGTCAGATAAAAAGTTTTTTCAAAAAATACATAAATTTACATATTCTACAAATTTTACTTCTTTCTTTTTTGCAAGTCAGGGTCTCATTCAATCATTCGGGCTGGTGTACAGTGGCATCATCTTGGTTCACTGCAGCTTCCACCTCCCAGGCTCAAGTGATCCTCTCACCTCAGACTCCCAAGGAGCTGGGACCACAGGCACAAGCCACCACACCTAGCTAATATTTTTATTTTTGTAGAGACCTGCTTTTTCCATGTTCCCCAGGTTGGTCTCAAACTCCTGGGCTCAAGTGATCTTCCCTCCTCAGCCTCCCAAAGTTCAGAGAATACACATGCAAGCCACCACGCCCAGCCTAAGATTTGACTTTCAGTAAGATTTGTGTTACTCTTTTCTCGGTAAATATGTCTACAGGTTTAATAATATGTGTGATACCATTTTAATTTACGATTGCATTTCTAGTTATCATATACTATTTTCAAAATAACTGAAAAGTGACCTTTTATACACATCCCTTGTATCCAACCATGTTGGAAAACCTATGTATTAGCCACACTCACTTACTAATGTTTATTAGATAAGAATAAACATATTTTTTCTTACTCTTCTAATTATTCCAATGCCTTGTCTTATTATACTAGCAGAACCTCCAAAAAGGTGTTTCTATCATTTTCTCCTCAAATTTCAATGCGATTTTGGTTTCATTAATTTGATATGTGGCTTCGTACACAAACATATATCATATACATATGATATATGTGATATATAGATAAATACATATCATATATATGACATATAGATACATAGATATGTATCATATATATCTGTATATATAATATAGATATATTTATGATTTATACCTTATACCTTTTTTTCCCAAAACACAATATAGCACTTAGGATGCTTTCAAATTTAATAATTAAAAACATAACTAAATAAAAGTAGCTTGAACAATAAGGGTTTATATTTCTCAGGTAAAAAGAAAGAGGCCAGAAAACACTTCCAGGACCTGTTAATTCAGCAACTCAACAATTCCAGGGGTCTTAATCAGTTTCTTTCTTTGCCTTTTTTTTTTTTAACTCTTCTTTTTCTTATTGCAATTGTTTTGTCCTCAAAGTGGCTGCAGTGGCTCTGAGTATCACATAATATACATACAATGTTCAAAGCCAGAAAAGAGCAGAGGCTTTTTTATTGCATGCACCCATCTGTGTTTATTCAAGGCTGGGGGTCCCAGCATTTATCTTCCAAATCTCAATGAAGAACCTCAATTCTGCTCCATCTGCTGTGAACACGACCAATCAATCCTTTTCTTAAAATTTACATTTCCATGTGGGTATTTTCTTGTGTCTTAGTTTATTGTTTTCCTTTTTAATTGCTTTACTGTGTATCATTTCAAAAGCATTGCAAATACATTTTATCTTTATTTATTTATTTATTTATTTTTGAGACAGGGTTTCACTCTGTCACCCAGGCTGGAGTGCAGTGGCACGATCATGGCTTACTGGAGGCTTGACCTCCTGGGTTTAGGCAATCCTCTCACCTCAGCCTCCC
The DNA here is from genome assembly GCF_000001405.40 of Homo sapiens. Classification (NCBI taxonomy): domain Eukaryota; kingdom Metazoa; phylum Chordata; class Mammalia; order Primates; family Hominidae; genus Homo; species Homo sapiens. Next base: position 4,666,371 of record NC_000023.11, on the reverse strand, counting down.
AAGTAACAGGGCTCACAAGTGCGTACCTCCATGCCTAGCTAATTGTTTTTTTTTTTTTTCCTGGGAAAGATAGGATCTCACCCTGTTGCTCAGGCTGGTCTCAAACTCCTGGACTCAAGCGATCCTTCCATCTTAGCCTCCCAAAGTGCTGGGATTACAGCCATGAGCCACTATGCCCAACCTGATTTTATCTGCATAACCTTATCTGATAGTCTTTAGTTTGATAGGAAAATTGATTTTCTCCATATTTATTGAGATAACATATTTAATACAGTACCTGATCGTTTTCATCTTTTATCTTACTCTATGCACATTGTTTTTATGCTGGGCCATTGTTTCTTCTTTATTTACATTTATATTTACATTTTTTGTAGCTTGACCAAATTTCAAATCACACTTTAATCTTGATCTAATTCCCACTCTAATTTGGAAATTGGACAGATATATTTATAAATATATATAATATATAAATTAATATAAACATATCACATTGATATTATATACAAAATATAAACACATCACATTTATATTATATATATAAAATATATATTATATACATGCATAAAGTTCATGTGCCAAGTTAAAAAACATACAATAATACACAATTGAAAGTAAGTGCTGTTCCTATATTTGAGCTCCCATTTTCCCCTCTTAAGTAGTCACTTGAAACACGTCCTTCCTTTGTTATTTGGTCTACTCATATATTATCATAGCATACTCTATGCAATATATTTTAATTTTGTTCTAGAGATGCCTATACTTATACCTCTATTAAATCTTTTTAAATTATTAAATATAGATCACCTTTATTTTTATAGGGTCTGCATTTTCTTCTACAATATTGATGTGGTACAATTTGTTTAAATCATACAGAAATTTGACTCATTATAATATATTTCTACTTCAAATAATGCTGCATTATTTTACATTAATATTTTGGGGCACATTTGAGAATGTGTTAAGATGAATTCCAACAATCACAATGGAAGGAACAATGATACGTTTTTAACTTTGCAAATATTGCACCAAAAAAAAAAAAAAAGTCCCTTAAAGAAGTCAAATCAATGGACACCATAGTCCAAAATATCTGGAAGACTTTTTTTCTTTAGCTCCCCAAGCTTTCACCAACATATTATGAAACTTTGTAATCTTTGCTAATAGTTGAAAAATGCATATTTGTAGCTAATGTTTGCAGTTCTCTGGTTATGTGTGGGGGATGATTGTATTTATGACTAAAAGCCATTTTCTGCAACACTTTTAAATTGAGTTCATGGTTTAATTCTCAACTCAAACACTTCTCTATAAACTATATGAATCCATCACCTTATCTAATGAAATGTCAACTATGTTCCTTTTGCAGGACATTTCAATCAACGAGTCACATTTTCTCTACTCCTTACTTGGGATTTTGCATTAATAATGCTTTTAAATGCCCATATCCATACTCTGATGAAAACCCAGGTTTTGCTGAAATACTTTAAAATGTATTCTCCCAAGCTTCTAATCGTTTTCTCCTTATGAATATACATATGCCATAATGGTTTCTTATTTAGCACATATTATCAATCCAAGCTGTATAAAATGTGTTGTGAGTCTATGTGTATTCTTACTATTTTCTTACCTCACTCTCTGTTAAGATCTCAGGTACCACGCAATGTATATTTGGCTAGTCAGTTTCTGCATTGCGATACTCACTTAATATTCACATGAGGAAAATAAATGTCATATGGAAACTGCATCCTGGCAAGTGTGAAACCGGACTGTCAGCTCTGCTAGGTGAGTGTTTCATGGATGGGTACAGAAATCCACCCTCAGTTTGCAGACTTATCTCATTGCATTCAGGAATGGAGTGATGTTCATCCACATTCCTAAGATGATTTCCTTTCATATTCAGGAAATGCTGTTCCCTTGTGGAGACTTCTAAAATGTACTCCATATCAATGAAATTTTACCAAAATATATCTCTGTGTCATTTGGTCATGGTGCAAAGTCCTTTTTATATGGTACTGAATTTGGTTTGCTAAAATATTATTGATGATTGTTGTACATATGTTCATAAGGCATATTGATTGTAATTTTGTTTCCTTGTGATAGCTTTGCCTGGCTTTGTTATCAGGACTATCCTGCCCTCATAGGATGACTTTGGAAAAGTTTTCTCCTGTGCTCATTTTCAAAAGCGTTCATGAAGTTATGGTATTCATTTTCATTGACAGCGTCATCTGGTCTTGGGCTTTTCTTTGAAGGAAATTTTGCAGTTTTGTTTTTTTCTTTGTTTTTAATCACTATTTCACTCCCTTTAGTTCATAGGCCTATTCAGATTTTCTGTTGTTTTAAATTAGTCCCAGTAGTTTCTGTCTTTTTTAGGAATCCATCCATTTCACCTAGATTGCCTCATATATATTTTATGATTATTCATTGTATTATACTCATTTTTAAAATTTCCGTAAGGTCAGTAGTAATGTCCCTCTTTTATTTCTGATGTCAACTACTTAAATCATTTTTCTGGTCAACGTAACTAAAGAATTGCCAATTTTGTTTATCTTTTCAAATAATCGACCTTTGATTTCATTAAGTTTCTTTACTGTTTTTCTGTTCTCTATTTTATTTATTTCCAATCCAATATTAATTATTTCTTCCCTCCTGCTCATGTTTGGTTTAATTTTCTGTTCTTAATCTATGATCTAAAGGTGAATGGTTAGAGAACTGCTTTGAGATATTCTTAATTTTACATGTAGACATTTACAGCTATAAATTGACCTTTAAGCACTACTTTACCTCTATATAATGTATAAAATCCTGTTCATTTTGGTATGCCATGCTTTTCATTGGTCTCACATCATTGTCTAAAGGCTTTCCTAATTCCATATTTGACCCATTGGTTATTTATGAGTGTGCTGTTTAATTTCCACGTATTTGCAAATTTTCCAAATTTCTCTCTGCTCTTAATTTATAATTTATTTCCTCTAGGGTCAGAGACATACTTTGTACAATTTCAATTCCCTTAACTTCACTTAGTCTTGTTGTATGACCTAACCCATGGTCTGCCTAAGAATAAGTTGCATGGGCACTTGAGAAGAATGTGTATGCTGCTGTTGCTAGGCAAAGTGGGGAAACATCTTTTCCCACTGTGCAACCTCTTTGTCAAGTCAAATAAAAACAAATTCCATAAATGGAGCTTTTCCGGGGAGCTACCAGGTCAAATGCACAAAGTTTTCTCTACATGGAGCTTTTTGAGGAGCTCCATTCTCGTTCTGTCCCCTCTCAGTGGCTATTAGGCTGTTAGTTTTCACAGCTATACGGCCTTCAAGGCTGGAGTACAAGGCTACCATGAAATTGGGGAGAAGACAAGGAGAATAGACCATGTTAAAACACCACAAAGCCTTCTGCCCTTACCAAAATTCAACTATCCTTCTTAAATCAATCCGCCTCTGACTGTTGAAAGCTTTTGGTTAATTATTAGCATTCTGAACATTCTTATTTTGACAACATTTCCAAGTGCTCTCTTTGCTTTTAAGGAGGGGAGGATTTTCAGAGGTTTTCACAATTTTGGAAGTGATTTCTTTTTTTTTATTTTATTAATATTTTCTCTTACTTTAATTTACCTTCTTCTAATATCTTGCGTTCAAGAGGTTGAATTTTTTTCTAGATGGCTCAGATACTTACAGCATCAATTTTCTGCATTAATTAATTCTTATTTATCAACAGTGATTTATAGTAATAAATATTCAGCATTAATTAACCATTATAGGCAACGAAGGCTGTTGCTATGGTCTGAACATTGGTATCCCCCTAAAATTCATGTTAGAACCTAATACTCAATATGACAGCATTAGGAGGTGGGGCCTTTGGAAGGTGACTAGGTCATAAGGGTGGAGCCCTAATGAAGGGAATTAGTGCCCTCATAAAAGAAACCAAAGAGAGCTCCCTTGCCTCTTCCAATATGTGAGGACACAGCGAGAAGGTGCCTTGTATAAGTTAGGAAGTGAATCCTCACCAGGCACTGAATCTGCTGGTATCTTGATCTTGAACTTCCCAGGGTCCAGCAATATGAGTTATAAATTTCAGTCATTTATTATAAGCCACTCAGTTTATAGTGCTTTGTTACAACAGCCCAAACAAACTGAGACAGCTGCATTTATCTTTCCAAGCCTAAATATGGATGTATTCACAGGGTTTCATATGTCACATTTTAATTATCATTAAATTTAAAATATTTTCTAATCACCCGTGTGTATCTTCTTTAACTCCTGAGTTGATTATGTGTCGTTTAATTTACAAACATTTGGGTTTTTCTAGTTGTATTTGTGCCCTTGAATTGCTGCTAATTCCATTGTGATGAGAGCACATCGCTTTGATATTTTCATTCCTATAAAATGTGTCAACATTTGTTTTACAGTGCAGCATATGGTCAATGTTGATGCACGTCCCTTGGGCATTTGACACAAATAAGAACTATGTGGTCACTGGCTGCATTGCCCTACATATGCCAATTAAGTCACTTGTGTTTCCAATTCTTCCTTATCATTTCTAATTATGTGCCTTCTTGTTCAATCAGGCACTGTGATCGATGTATTAAAATAGTTGACCATCATGAATGTGTCTATTTCTCATCTATGATATGTGACATTTTGATTTACAGAGTTTGAACCTCTCTTCTGAGTCACCAATGGATTTATAACTTTATGGCTTCCTGTTAAATTTGAAATAGCCCTCCTTAATTTTAGTAATTGGTTTGCCTTGTGTTTTACTTTGACTGATACTAGTATTACTACATATATTTTTTAATGGTTAGTTTTTAGTTAATATACATTTTTCTGTACTTATAATTTTAATCTTTGTCTATTTTTGTGCTTTGTGTTTGTGTCATGGAAGCAGCATATCTTTGGATTTTATTTTTACTCAGTATGAGAATTCCCTTTAATTGTACTCTTTGGACAACTTGTATTTATGATATAAAGGCACATTTACATTTTGTGAAGAAATTAAATAATTATTATGCATTTTTGTATTTATTAAATCATTTTTACTTCTTTTAAATTTTATTCACACTACTTTTTGTAGTTACTCTGGAAGATACACAAAGAAACAATGCCTTCTACAAGTCTAACAAAAATTAGCATGTTTACCACATCACTTTCCAGAAAATGCAATTAACTTACAAGGATACTGTATGATAATTTATTATCTCTCATCTTCTTTTACTGTTTTAACTTCCTTTACACACATATACATAAGTAAGACGTTATTAATATGGTTTTATAAAACCCATATTGCTCATGCATTCAACTGTGCTGAAATTTTCAACCATTTCTGGGCCTCAATCTGGCACTACTTTCCATTGGTTTTTAAAAATTGAGTATTTCCCTTAGATCTGGTCTGCTGATAAATTTGTAAGTTTCATTGTTTTGGAAAATGTATATATTTGGCTAATGTTCCCAAAGGCATATTCATTGGCCATTAATTTCTAGGATGGCACCGTATTTTTGTGACACTTTGATGAAGTTCTTTTTTTTTTTTTTCCAGCATTTCATTATTTCTACCTGTCTTGTTCCTTCTATGAAAGTCATGTGCTTTTCCTCACCAATGGCTGCCTTGAGATGTTTTTCTATGTCTTTGGTTTGTCATTCTGATATGTGTTGTGATGTTTACTTTGTTTCTTGTTCGGGCTTTGTAGTTCTGCTTAATTCTCTATTTGATGCTTTTGTCAGTTTTGTAAAATCCTTTGGCAACTTCTGTTAACTGTTTGTCATTGACTGTCTTCTATTTCCCCTTCAAATACTCTCCAATTACATGCATTTTGGCAGTGTTTACCCAGTTTCATAAGTTTCTTAGGCTCTTTCTTCTGTATTTTCCACCCTTTGTTTTCACTTGCCATCTTTCTTTCTGGGTATTTTCTTTCAATCAGTCTTCCAAGTCACTAACCATTTCTTCAACAGAATCTACACTGCTGTTAAGCCTATTTAGTTTCCTACTTCAGATCGGGAGTTTTTCAGCTGTAGAACTTTCACTTGATTCTTTTTAAAATTGTTTAGTTACCTACCAGAATGTTTCATCTGGTCTTCTAATTTCTTTATATATTAATCATAGTTATTTAAAAGTTGAATTTAACAATCAATATTTTGATATCACATAGAGCTATTTATATTGCCTGTAAGTTTTACTTTTCCTTGCCTTTTATTTTATTAATATACTTGATAACTTTGAGTGAATTCTGGACATTTTATATAATATTCTTTTATGTTTTTTTAAATTTCTTTTTTGTATATCTTATTCTTCCAGAAAGGACTTATTTTTCTGTCAAGCAGTTAGGGTGAGAGAATATTTCCTGAATTCAAATAGGAATGGAGCCACTTAGTGCCTGTACTGGTACTGCAGCATTTCTGAAAGCTTTTCTATTGCTAACTTTCCCCTACTCTTAACATCCAGCCTTTACCAAGAGTCTCATGTTATCCACATGGTGTTATCATGTTGTCCACATTCATGGACTTTGATCTCCAGTTTTTTTCCCCTTCTACCTTATAATTTTACTTCAGAAAAATTATACTGCTTGATGGTGTTTTCTGTTCATCTTCTCACTATGTTATTTATTCTATTTTATTTTAGGAAAAAAAAAATTTAATTATTTTTTGAGATGAGGCCTTGCTATGCTGCCCAAACTGGTCTCCAACTCCTGGGCTCAAGCGATCCTCCTACCTCAGCGTCCCAAAGTGCTGTGATTACAGCTGTGAGCCACTGTGACTGGGCTTCTTCCTATCTTAATAGACAGGTGCAAATCTGTTTACAGATGGACCATATAACTCAGAATCAATGCTTCTCTCATCTGTTTCCTTTTTTTCTATTATGCTGATCTCTCAGGACCAATCTTCTACTAGCTCTCTGCTCCCTTAACACTGAGTATTCTTTATATATCATGGCCAGATTTTCTAGTTATTTTCAGCAATAGGGTTGGAACACAGTGGAAAATTTACCAAATATGATGGGCTGCAGAGGTTATAAATACATATGAATTTATTTAACACATATGAAAAATGTAGCCTTTTGATGGACTGGTAAAAGGACAGCCAATTTGATAGATAGGCTTGGCTAATGTACCTCTCCATCTAGAACAATGGGCAGCAAAGTGCAGCTGAAGGGCTAAATCTGGCCCTCCATGTGTTTTTGTAAGTAAAGTTTTATTGGAACATGACCACTTGTGTGTGTGCTTGCTGTGCCTTCTTTGTCACTGTAATGAGAGAGCCCATGTGGTCTGCAAAGCCTAAAATATTTACCAAAACAAAAAATGTTCATTGCCCACTTAGAAGTAAGTCAGCCCATACCCACAATTCATGCTATATGAGTACATTTCAGATGTAAGACATGTTTAAATGAAAATTAATGAAGATAAAGATATTATCCTGGTGGGCATGATCTAATCACACGAGGCCTAAAAAAGCAGAGTGTTTCTCTAGCTGCTGGCAGATGAGCAAGTCAGAGAAATCCACAGGTTGAGAAGGATCTGATCTGCTATCTTTGGCTTTGAAGGGACCCCATGCCAAGGAATGTAATTGGTTTCCATAAGCATTCCTTGGCTGATAGCTGCTAAGGAAAAGAAGAATGTTCTACAACCATACAAAACTGAATTCTGCCAACAACCCAAAGGAACACTCTTCTGAGAGCCTGCAGTTAAGAGCCCAACCCAGGCTTATTGAGGGCAAGACTGTGAACAAAGAATCCAGCCACATGCAACTGGATTTCCAACCTACAGAACTCTGAGCTAAAGAAAAAAAAGTGTGTGTTGGTCTAAACCATTATGTGCATACAATAGGATGCATGGAATTTGGGGAGAAAGAAAGTCATCAGGGTTATTGGGGTTATGGATGTAAGATAACAAACCATACTTGGAGCAAAAATAAGCATAAATCATTAAAATGCCACCTCACCTTACCATACGTTGTATTTCCAGGTTTACAAACATCTCCAATTTGCATTGAAAGTTGTGGTTCGACATGGAATACTACCATAAAAAAGAATGAAATCCTGTCCTTTGCAGCAATATAGATGCAGCTAGAGGCCATGATCCTAAGCGAATTAATGCAGGAACAGAAAATCAAATACCACATGTTCTCACTTATAGGTGGGAGCTAAATATTGGGTACACATGAACATAAAGATGGGAATAATAGACACTGGGGACTACTAGAGTGCAGAGAGAGGGAGAGGGGCAAGGGCTGCAAAACTACCTATTGGTATGCTCACTACCTGTTTGACAGTATCATTCATATCACAAACCTCAGCATCATACCATATATCCATGCAACAAATCTGCACATGCACCCTCTCCATCTAAAATAGCAGTTAAAATTATATTTTTTTAAAGTTAAAAAAGAAAACTTGAAAAATTAAAATCTACAAGATCTACATTTTTTGAAAAAAAAAATGGTTCAAGCTTCTTTTATATGTCCTATTTCATAAAGCACAGGGAAAATGCCAGAAGTCACCCTTGCTAGTCCTGGAGGTTCATATAAGATACAAATAATCATGGAGACTGATAGTTAAGCAAATAAATAACAAAATAACAAGAAAAGAAAAAATCCCACCGAGGTTCAAAGGTTGTATGTTTCTCTTCTTTTTCTTCCCCACCTCCCTAACACTTATTTCTCTTTTTTACTTTATCCTCGTTTTATTGTCTCTTTTCTTTCTTCATCTCTACACATTATAAAAAATATACCTTGATTATTAATTTGAGAAATGTGGACAATTATTGGCTTAATAAACATCTTTATATTAGGGAACAGGGGCCTGGGGTAGGGAAAGAGGAAGCAAGAAAGTGGAAGATCGGAAGGAAGAAAGTATGGTCCCATGTAACTCAGTAAGAGAGAAAAGGTGAAGTAGATATAGAGATGAATACATTGAATTGACAGATGATGGATAAATGGATAATTCACCGATAGATAAGTAGATGATAGATGATAAATAGATAATTCACATATAGATAGAAGTTAGACAGTTCATATATAGGTGGATGATAGAAGATTAATAGATAGAAGTTAGAAAATAGATGGATAGATGATTAATGAATAGATGATCGATAGATGATTGATAGATACATAATGGATAATAGACAGATAGACATATAGATAGAATATAATTGATGCATAGGTAATAAATAGGTAGATTATGGATAAACACATACATAGATCATAAATAGCTAGATGATTGATAGATGATAAATGATAAATAGAAGATAGATAATGAATATATAAATAGATGATAGATAGAAGATAGATTATAAATAGATATATAGATGATAGAAAATAGATGATAGGTGATTGATAGATGATAGACAAATAGCTACACAGATAGATGGATAAATAGGTCATAGATGATTGATAGATAATAGCAGCTAGATGGAACATAGATGATAGATAAATAAATGATAGATAAAGCTTTAAGAAAAAGAGAAAAGAAAGAAATAGTCTCTATCAGATAGCTAAAATGAATGAATGAATAAATGAAACAACAATCATGTTGGATATGAATGACAGATATGGCGTCCCAAGTGAAGATGTTGCCAAATTAATTCTCCTATGAGGGCATCAGGGGCTGAGGGTGGTTCGGAAGTGACAAGCATCCTCTGCTGCTGAAGGATCGATTTCCCCAAAGCTTTTTCCTCTCAAGAAGCACTAAATCCCACGGCGGTGACCACAAAATATCTGCAAGATGTGCAGTCTTCCCATGTGGCTTGTTGAAAGTGAATGATCAATAAACCTTTGGCAGTCTGCCTGCGTCAACATGCAGGGAACCACAGAATAAGCAGGTTATGGTGAAGGAGGCTCAAGAAACGTTCTGAGGTGGAGACAGAGACATCATCTCCATCTGTGACAACATCTCCATCTATTAATATGGATCACAGCAAGAAAGTCAGTAGGTTATCCTACTGTAGCTGGAAGCACTTTTTGTCTTATAAAACACTATTCTTCTTTAACTTATTCAAAAATGGATAAATTTGCTTTATTTTTTTTTGTAAAGGAATGCTTTTTATTTTATCACCTTTTAGAACTTTGAGCCAGGACAGTGAGCATTTTTTCTTTTCTTTTCTTTTCACAGTCTTGCTCTGCCACCTAGGCTAGAGTGCAGTGGCATGATCTCAGTTCACTGCAGCTACTGCCTCCGGGCTTAAGTGATCCTCCTGCCTCAGCCCCCTGAGAAGCTGGGACTAAAGGCATGCACCTCCATCCCTGGCTACTTTTTATGTTTTTTGTAGAGACGGGGTCTTGTTATGTTGCCCAGGTTGGTCTTGAACTCCTGGGCTCAAGTGATTTGCTCACCTTGGCCTCTCAAAGTGCCAGGATTCTAGGGTAGTGAGCGTTTTCATTCACCAGCTGATCTCTTTGCAGATACATGGAGGCCAGCCAATGACGTTCCCAGCATCTGCAGGAGGTTCTTTGAGCTTGCTTAACCACATTCTTTTGGGTACAATTTAACATTAATTAAAGAGCACCGAAGGATACTGGCCAGGGAGAAACACAATGTAGAAATTCAGAAGCCAACCTGAGTAGGTATGACTAATTACCCCATTCCCTACATGTTCTTTTTTTTTTTCTAACAGGCTTCCTAACCTCAAATATATCCTCTTCACCATTGTATGTTTTCATCTCTTACTATTTTTCATACCTGCTTCACTTCGTAAGGTCATCATTAATTTTTTTTTCTTTAGTACTCGGAAGTCCCTCTAAAAACATTAGTTTGTAAATAACACATTCTGCAAAGCAGAATTTCACGCCAAAATCCACGCTTTGTAAATAAAAGTAAAAGGTACAGAAACTTGAAACTCACTGTATTAGTCTGCTCTCATGCTGCTAATGAAGACATACACTAGACTGGGCAATTTATAAAGGGAATAGGTTTAATGGACTCACAGTTCCACATGGCTGGGGAGGCCTCACAATCATGGTAGACGAGCAAGGGACATCTTACATGGCAGCAGGCAAGATAGAGCTTGTGCAGGGGAACTCCCCTTTATAAACCCATCAGATCTCATGAGACTCATTCACTACCACGAGAACAGCACGGGAAAGACCTGCCCCCATGATTCAATTACCTCCCACCAGGTCCCTCCCATGACATGAGGAAATTGTGGGAGCTATAATTCACGATGAAATTTGGATGGGGACACAGCCAGATCATATCACTCACATAACAGTATAACCATGATGTTATCTGAAGTTCCTGAGAAATCTATTGGTATCATTATGCTCTGTCCTCTGTCCAAATGACAGGTAAATCCACATGTTCTCTCCACACTTACACCCAACCTTCAATCCATGGAAGGGATCACATTGTCTTGGGTTGGTCTCCTTCTCATTCTTACACCAACTGCTCACCTCTGAAACATCCGACCTTCTACTGAGTTTCCCCAAGGGCTTGAGTGGGTTCAATCATGGCACTTCAAAAGATATATCCAAATCTAACCCCAAGAATCTGTGAATGTGGCCCTGTTTGGAATAAGGGTTTTTGCAGATGTAATTACTGAAACGAGGTCATAGTGGATTAGAATGGGCCCTACATCCAGTGACATGTGTCCTTCTAAGAGACAGAAGAGGAGACACAGACACAGAGAAGGCCACGTGGAGATGGAGGCAGGGACTGGAGTCATGTGGCCACTAGCTCAGGGACGCCTGGAGCCCCCAGGAGCTGGAAGAGGAAGTAAGGAGCCTCCTCCAGAGCCTCCAGAGGGAGCACAGTCCTGTCCACACCTTGATCTCAGACTTCTGGTCTCCAGAACTGGGAGAGAATACATTTCTTTGGTTTTAGGGTGCCCAAGTTTTTGTACTAAGACAGCTCTAGGAAACTCCTACACTGTATACAATGCACTTCCTTGTGTACATTCTACTGAATGTCTGCATGGGGTGGGGTTGTGACATCAAAATGCAATGAAACCAATAAATACATTTTTTTTTTTTTTTTAGACACAGGGTCTCACTATGTTGCCCAGGCTGATCTCGATCTCCTGGCCTCAAGTGATCCTCCTAACTCAGCCTCTCAAAGTGCTGGTATTACAGGCATGAGCCATAGTACCTGGCCCAAATTTATTTATTTATTATTATTTTTTAATGTTTTGTAGGGATGGGGTCTTGCTATGTTGCCCAGGCTGATCTGAAACTCCAGGCCTCAAGTGATCCTCCTATTCCAGCCTCCCAAAATACTGAGATTACAAGTACAAGCCACTGCACCTGGCTAAAGTAAATGTTGATACTGTTAGAAATATCTATCCCTCTAACTCCATCAATAATCAATTACCTTTGCTGCACAAAGTGCCTCCCGCAGCCAGTGTTTCCCAAACACTACTCCTGTTGTCCATGGATTTGGCCCCAGGCTCTCTCCTCTCCTGTCCTCCTCTTTTCTCTCTATCCTTCCTCTTCTTCTTCTTCTTCCTCTCTCTCTCTCTCTCTGTCTCCAGCTTCTTTTCATGCCCCAGCCCTCCTCTACAACCAAACTACAGTCATTTATCTTGCAGCACTCCATGAACATCCTTGATTTCATTGACTTCTCAGAAACCTCCGCTAAGAGCTCTTTGAACACAAAGCAGCCTCTTAAAATATGTTAAACTTGGCCGGGCATGGTGGTTCACACCTGTAATTCTAGCACTTTGGGATGCTAAGGTGGGTGGATCACATGAGGTCAGGAGTCCAAGACCAGCCTGGGGCCGACATGACAAGAACCCATTTCTATGCAAACCTGTAGTCCCAGATACTGGAGAGGCTGAGGCAGGAGAATCACTTGAACCTGGCAGGTGGAGTTTGCAGTGAGCTGAGATTGCACCACTGCACTCCAGCCTTGGAGACAGAGCAAGACTCAGTCTCAAAAAAAAAAAAAAAAAAAAAAAAAAAAAAAAGTTAAGCAAAAGGTTCTTTGAAGAAGTGGTCAACTCTCCTAGGAATTAAAGTGGCCTCATTCTTCTCAGTGACAATGATAAAAATGCATGATTTAGGAAATTTCCTCCCTATTTTTTTTTCTAGTGACTCTACATTTTATGGCAGCAAATATTTCAATTTCTCCCCTACACAAATATATTCAGTATCCTGGCTATCTCTACTTCTTTGAAACTTCTGTTGACTGACAATTGTTTCCTAAAACATATATAGGACCATCTTTATTTCTCTGAAAACACAAATTTCATTTTTTGACTATGGAGATAACTCATAGTTTAATCTCAGTGAATCTCTTCCGTTTTACAAATTTATATTTCCTCCTATGAAACCTTATGATCTATGAAATAATGCCTGCCTTCATGGGTGATCTCATTGTCTTATCCTCTTTTTAACTATTCTTAAATGTCCATTCTTTCTATTTGCTTTTTAAAAAAGTCTATTCTTAAATATCCAATACATTCCTATCTCAACATGACAGTCTTCTTCAGTGGGAAATGGCCTTTCTACATGTTCTTGCCAAGCACTTGTTTTTTGTATCAATAAATACAGGATGCAATTCAATAACAGTTAATCTAAACACACTAGGCCTACAGTAGTTTCAAAAACAGATTCCCATTATCACCAATAAATATTCTTTCTGGAAGGGTATACAAAGTCAGAGAGATGCAGGGATTGTTTTAGAGACTATGATTCTGTACTATGTGGAAAACGTTCTGATAGACCCCTCATAGGATGTCATAGGACGTGATATCACTTGGGATAAAGAAGGTTAAAAGCACATCTTCAAAGAAAACTGATTTACCCAACTATGGAGACTCAGCTCTCTAGGGTTAGATAGAGTTGGAAAATTAGGGCTGGGCACAGTGGCTCACGCCTGTCATCCAACACTTTGGGATGCCAAGGCAGGAGGGTGGCTTGAGCCCAGGAGTTCAAGATCAGCCTGGGCAACATAGTGAGACCTTCTCTCTACCAAAGATTAAAAACAACAACAACAAAATGGGCATGGTGGCACATGTTTATAGTCCCAGCTACTCAGGAGGCTGAGGTGGGAGGATTGCTTGAGCCCAGGAACTTGAGGTTGCAGCAAGCTGAGATATTGCCATTGTGCTCCAGCCTGGGTGACAGAGTGAGACCCTGTCTCAAAAATAAATAAATAAATAAACAAATAAATAAAACAAAAAGCATGAAAAAACCCAACCAAACAAAAAGGGAGTTGGAGAATTAAAATCAGCACTGTAGTTCTGTACAAAAGCATAGGAGAAAAGTTCAAAAACACACAGAGACCTCTATTCTAACTGTATTATTTAATTTTACAAAAAGTATTGAGTAGCATGTATAGGATAGACTCCGATTAAATGCTAGAATTAAAAAAAAACACACAGAGTTGTCAAGAAGAATATGAAGCAATGCCTTAGTGTTGCATGCGATCAGAACGTTCCCATAAGGGTCTGTCCTGGAATAAAACTTGTAGCTTTTATTCTAAAGGATGGTCATAAGATGATCAAAGGATAATGAAGTCTTCTCAAGAAGAGAAATAATAGATGTTGAGTGCATTATATTAAATAATGTATAGTAATTACATATCTCCATGCTTTTAGACATGGGTCCAGACATTCTCCAACAAATACCTCATCTTCATCAAATCCTACATAGAGTTTTTTTAAAAAAGTCATTTCTACATCAATACATCTTGTCCTGCAAAGCACACCCACAACTATTGATCTCTATTAAGACCACATACTTGTTTGCTTCAAGAAGGGATGATGTCTAAACATCCGTAGGCTGACAATCCCCAGTTTCGAGCATTTTAAAAGTAACATTAAAGCAACAATGATAGATTAAATGCTGTTCCCTAAGTCCAGAAATGATGCTCTTGACACATTCAGACGGCCTGAGATGACACTTTTCTCCTTGATGTAGTGATGGGTTTGCATGGAAGACTGATCTCTTACAGCCTTTTTATTTTTAATTACCCTGTGCACAGCAGAGACTTTTAAAATATGAGTCTGAGCAACAGACTAAAACTCACTGCTATTATTCCTGTGGGGTTGTTTTCATCAAAACCACAGGCAGGCAGACCCTGTAGAAAATTGAAGCTAATGCGAGATAATCAATAGGAAGACAGTATCAAAGCACCCAAAATATAGTAAAAATGTTCTCCTTAGGCGTATTATCTGATGAATTTCAATCATTCTCAATTATGAAGGAACTGAAATTAAGCTCTTCCTTTGCTCTAACTAAAATAAACATCCAGGTTGTGTACAAGGTGGTGGTGTTGGGGGTCTAGGGAATTGATTAGATACTTACACATTAAGATTCCATTATAGTAAACAAGTATATGGTTTATAATCTGTAGTGTGAGTTTTAGCATACGTAATACATTTGTTTAGTGATAAAGTAGAAATCAAACATAAGTGGGAAGATTTTCTCACTTATCATTAAAAGAGGATCTGGCCGGGTGTGGTGGCTCATACCTGTAATCCTAGCACTTAAGGAGGCCAAGGTGGGAGAACGGCTTGAACCCAGGAGTTTGAGACCAGCTTGGGCAATAAACCTCATCTCTACAAAAACTTAAAAGAAAACATTAGCCAGACATGGTGGTTCATGCCTGTAGCCCAGCTACTAGGGAGGCTGAGGCGGAAGGATTACTTGACCCTGGGAGTTTGAGGCTGTAATAAGCCATGATTGCACCACTGCACTCCAGTAGCCTGGGTGACAGAGCAAGACCCTGTCTCAAAAAAAAAAAAAAAAAAAAAAAGAAAGAAAAAGGAAAAGAAAGGAAACAAACAAACAAAAAAACCAGATCACCTCTATGCATAAATCCTAAAAAAGAAAAAAAGCTTCAAAACTCTGTATCTGTATCCCCAAATGGGAGCCCAAGAAAATCATCCTTTTAAGAAAGCAAAATTGCTTCTCCCTTAATACTCTAGATTGTGTAAAACAATCATATCCACTGTTATAATTTCAGTTGGGGAACTACAACTCTATGATATTGAGTTGTATTTATTCACAGGTATCTCATGGAATAATGAAAATCCAAGTCCATTTATTCTTTTGTGCAAATACAGCAAGGGTAAGATAGATGAGTTCTTACATTTTGTATGTCTCATTACTTACTGTTAGTGATTTAAAATTAAAAGCAGCACAGAGGAGTAACGCCTATTTTAAATTATTAAGTGGAGAGTCCCTCCTGTCTCACACCAATACTCACTTATACTATTATTGCATAATCACTGGAAGCTGGGAACAAGTCATAATAGTAAGGCATGTGTAGAAGAGAGCTATTATCTTATGACTGTATGTAGATCATCACCAAAGGGTCTTCAGAACATTGCATAGAATCAAACACATTAACTAATTAAACAAAACCCATTCTCTAGAATATACCCTCTTTTTTTTTTTTTTTTTTTTTTTTTTTTTTGAGAGGAAATCTTGCTCTGTCGCCCAGGCTGGAGTGCAATGGTGCGATCTCGGCTCACTGCAACCTCCGTCTCCCAGGTTCAAGCGATTCTCCTGCCTCAGCCTCCCGAGTAGCTGGGATTACAGGCACCCACCACTGCGCCCATCTAATTTTTGTATGTTTTACTAGAGACGGGTTTCACCATCTTGGCCAGGCTGGTCTTGAACTCCTGACCTCGTGATCCGCCCACCTCAGCCTACCAAAGTGCTGGGATGAATATACTCTATATTTTATACATAAACGTACAGCTGAAATTAAGCAGGGTACATTTTAAGACTTAAACACCCTATAAGAGTTGGCCTGGAAATGGAGATGAGTTTTTGTGTACTGCACCTTGGATGTTTTATGGTGGTGACAACACTTTAGAGCATTTGTTGTTCTATATAGCATTCTATTTTTTTAAAGAAGAATTTAGATTTGGAGGTTCATATGCATGTTTGTTACATGGGCATATTGCATGATGTTGAGGTTTGGAGTACAAATTAACCTGTCACCCAGGTACTGAACATAGTACCCAATAGGTAGTTTTTCAACCTTTGTACTCTTCCTTCATTCCCTGCTCTAGAGATCCCAGTGTCTATTGTTACCATCTTTATGTCCCTAAGTACCCAAGGTTTAGCTCCCCCTTATAAGTGACAATATGAGATACTTGGTTTTCTTTTTGTGTTTTTGTTTTTACGATCTGGGCACTATGTGATATTCAGAATGTACCTAATTACCTTGAAGAGTCTTGGCATTCGGTGCGACTTATTAGAGATCATCAATACTAAATGTATACATCAGATAGGAAAAATTCACATATATCCAAAGAATGCAAACATGTTTGTTCAACAGAGGTATTCTACCCACTTTGTTTGGGACATATAAAATATAAACACAGAGCTATTTGAAGCTTTAACTACTTGGTCTGCTCTCCAGCAATGATAAGGGATAAAGCTTGAAATCATTTAGCAGCCCCTCAGTTCATATTCAGGTCTGTGTAAAGCATTAGAAGACTCTTGTAAAATTACTATGTCCTAACTCTACCTTGCTACCTAAAGAGGAGATTTTTGCACAGGGAAAGCCTGGAATATGACCTGAGTGTGTTGTTAGTTTTGAAGGTGGTCAATCCATGCAATGTCCTCTTTGCCTGTAGCCTCCTACCAGCCATAGCACTCAGTGCCTGGTGTCAGTACCCGAAATGGGCTGCTGTCCATCTGCCAAGATGCCTCAAACTGCACATATAGCTTCCTGCTCAAACTAAGGGCAGCCTGTCCCTGGACACACTAGGTATCTGACTCCAGAGTTCGTTCCTTGCATTAAATACCAGTCTTTTCATAAAATCCAGGCTACTCTTTCAAGGCCATAAATGTAAAATAGAAATACAATTGCATTTCCTTTCTGTAGTCACCCTTACAGTCTTCATAAATATACCAGAATGTCAGGCGACCATCAGGTGATGATCAGGCGGTTGTTAACTACCTCTCCAAAAGAATCACTGGTCACAGCCAGCGCCAGCGAAAGGCAGTCTCCAGATAGAAAACACCTGAAACGGATCATCAGCAGCTTCCCAACAAGATCTCTGGAGTTGGGCTAGTGGGCTCAAGCATGCACATTAAGAGGCAAAATGTCAGAGTTTAATGAATATATGAGCTTCTAGGGACATTTGGCTGGTAAGGAAAAATGCTTCAAGTGAGCATGCGTATAGCCTCTAGTAAACACAATGAGCATGCTCACCTCCCAAACACTAGCAGGCCACTGCACATGCAGACAGCCCACTCCAAGGGAAGAATCCGGAGAGAAGTAATGCAAGACCATGGAAGCATGCCAATGCATGAAACCCCGAGTCAAAAAGTCAAACTGGGTGCTTGAATCTCTCAAGTCGCTCACTTGGCACTCTTCCAAGTATACTTTACTTCCTTTCATTCTTGCTCTAAAGCTTTTTAATAAACTTTCACTCCTGTTCTCAAACTTGCCTCAGTCTCTCCTTCTACCTTGTGCTCCTCTGTTGAATTCTTTCTTCTGAGGAGGCAAGAATTGAGGTTGTTGCAGACTCATATGGATTTGCTACCACTAACATATGTTGGTGCCGTGTGACTTGAATACCTTCCACTGCTAACATATCCATATGGTCTGGCTGTGTCTCCACCCAAATATCATCTTGAATTGTACTTCTCATAATCCCCACGTGTAGTGGGAGGAGTTGGTGGGAGATAATTGAATCATGGGGACAGTTTCCCCAGTTTTCCCCATCCTGTTCTCATGAAGTGAGTGAGTTCTCACAAGATCTGAGGGTTTTATAAAAGCCTTTTCACCCTTTTGCTAGGCACTTCTCCTTGCTACCACCATGTGAAGAAACACGTGTTTGCTTCCACTTCCGCCATGACTGTAAGTTTCCTGAGGCCTCCCCAGCCATGCTGAACTGTGAGTCAATTAAACCCCTTTTCTTTATAAATTACCCAGTCCTGGGTATGTCTTTATTAGCAACAAGAGAATAAACTAATACACATACCCACAGCACTGTAAGATTTATAAGTCTATTAAACACATGCCTTGTTTCCCTTAAGTTGTAAAATATGATTTCTCAAACTTCAATGCTGTTGGTATTTGAGGCTGTATACTTTTTGCTGTGAGTGGCTGTCCTGGCAATTACAAGGATGCTATGGCAGTGTCCCTGGTGTCTTTGCAGTAGATACTGGTAGAACTTTCTCCCCCTCACTGGTGAGACCAAAAACATCTCCAGACATTGCCAAATGTTTCCTGGAGAGAAGCAAAATCACCTTTTGTTAAGAGCCACTGCTGTCAACTATCAGGATGGTAAGACCTATATTTTATTTAGCACTAAATATACCCAAGACTAGAGCACAGCCTGGTTATAGTAAGTCCTCAATCAATATTTATTACACTAAATTGACTAAACTTAGCAATTAAAAAACTCTTGAAAGAGCAGAGAAGTCCCTGGACTCTCTACCATGTAAAGTTTCATATATCACTGCTGTCATTTCAAAAGATGATGATTTCTATGGAGAAGAATATTGTATAGGTCTAACTGTGGAAATGTAATGTGAAATCCTCATAAATCTTAATTATTATAATATGCAAAGGCAAAGAAAGCAACTTCCACATCTCAGAGGGAGACACAGCATTTTTTTATTCCATAACTCAAAGTTTAGGAGCAGAAGAGACTGATTATTACCCTGGAGATCCATTTCACTTCGATGAGAGTCCATTTCATTCTCTTTTTCTTTGGATAAACAACCACCAGTGTATCTTCCATTCAGATACTTTTTCTTGAATTATATGTCCAGGATGATAAAGTCTTGGGAGAGTATAAAGCCTGCCTCTTTGCAGACCAAATTGCTCTTTTAGCTGTGCAATTTTTCTTCTCTGCAGAGGTGTAGACATGAGCACCTTATCAGTGTTTGACGATTTCTATTTATTTCCTTTCCTATGCAGACATGAGGAAGAAAATGGGATCCTGAAGTCTGATCCCTGGCTGCTAGAAAGAAAAACTCTGTGTTAACTGTACAGAGAAATCATTTCAAGATGTGTGCACTAAATTGGCATGTGACAGGTTTCCATGTTTGCTTCAAATGTTATGTTTAGAATTTCATGGACAGGGAAGGCTGTATTTCAGTGCAGACTCCCAAAATGCAGAGGGTAATGATAGCAAGATTGAAGGGGGTAACCACCAACTTTACAGAGAGACTAATACAGGAGTATGCCCAGCAGCAACAACAAGACTGGCTACAGTTTTGGGTTCAATTCTACATGAAATGGAAAACCAATGGACACATTTTGCATAAGGGAAGGATGTAATCAGATGTATGCTTGACACGCATCTCCTTGGCTGCTCTGTGGGGGGTGAATTTTGCTATCCTGGCTGAAGAGTGACCAGGTGGGAAGCTGAACATGTTTGGGATTAATGTCAGATGGGAATGAAGTTGAAAATGTGAAGGAAGTGGGTTGCCTTTTGGAAGCAGAGCCAATGGAACTCGCTGAGGCATTAGTTGCACAGAGTTAGGGAAAAGATGAATCTCATATAATCCTTCCCTTGTGGGCTTCGACGACTAAGTAGTGGCATATGCACAAGTAGTAAAACTGGAAAAAAGGCAGTTCTAGGGGATGAGAATCAAGAGTTTTCTTTGGAGCATGTTAAATTTGGATGTATATAGATAATAAAATTGAGATAACAGTCAACATCTGGACTTGAAATAGAATTTTGAAGAATTTTTTAATACTAAAAAATTAAATATTAATTATATACTTTTTCATTTAATGTTTTTATTTTTAATTATTATGGTGACATAATAGCTGTACATATTTATGGAGTACATCTGATGTTTTGATACAGTCAGATAGTGTATGATGATCGAATCAGGGTAATTGGGGTGTCCATCATCTCAAGCATTTATGATTTGTGCTGGGAGCATTCCACTTCTATTTTTTAGTTATGTTTAAATATATAATAAATTGTTGTTAATTATAGTAATCCTATCATGCTAATGGCTACAGATCTTATTCATTCTATCTAACAATATTTTTGTACGTAAGAAAAATGGATATAATCGTTACAATTTCATAGAAATTGTGGTTCTCTGTGTGCATTTGTCTGTGTGTGTGTATGTGTGTGTGCATGTGTGTGGTATCATTTGTTGTTTTTTTGTAATCATATTTAGAAAGATTACACAGGTTATGGGGGTCTTTCTCAATAGGCTTCTTTTCGATTACCAGCTCCTGTTGCAGTCTCTCCTGTAAAATGGTTTAGAAGATGACACTATTCATGAATAAACCACTTCAGTATCTTGTTTAATAAAGAAAGGTTGAGCACAGCCAACATACCCATCCAGAGATAAATGAATAAGTATGTGTATGATGCACCTAAACAGAGGAATTCTATGCATCCTTTACAACAGAGAAAAGGCATACACCATTCTGTAGTAACATGGAATCCTGCTCTACAATATATAAAGTACAAAAATGTCACAGGCAGTAAGCATGCAATGATCCTGTATTAGTCCAGGTTCTCCAGAGAGACAGAACTAAGGAAGAGATGCATTTTAAGGAGTTGGCTTATATGATCGTGGGGACTGGCAAGTCTGTACAGTGTAGGGCAGCCGCGATGGCTGGGAATTCAGGCAGGAGTTGCCACCTTGAATCCAAAATCTACAAGACAAGCTGGAAACTCAGGATGAATTCTTATGTTGCACTCCTGAGGTGGAATTTCTTCTTTTTCGAGAACCTTCACCTTTTGCTCCCAATCAGAGGAAATCCAACCACATTATGAAAGGTTGCCTTTCTTTCTTAAAGTCTACTGATTGTAAATGTTAATCCCATCTACAAAAGTACCTTCACATCAACGTCTAGACTATTCGACCAAACAACTGGGCACCACAGCCCAGCCAATTGGCATATAAATTTAACCATCAGAATTCTATTTACCTTCAAAAAATTAAATGTATGTATATATAGACAGATGTATGTAAATAAAGGAAATGGCTAGAATGATACATAGCCAAACTTTTAATTGATTAAAGGAGTCATCTCTGAAATTCATTGGGAATAAGAAAAAGGAAAGTCTTCTATTTTACATTACTTTGTATTATTTAGTTCTTTTTACAGTGAGGATATAATTATAAATTACATGTGTAATAGGAAGTAATATAAAACATAGCCAAAAGGTTATACTGTAAAGGAACATGTAATTCTATGAATAAAATGAATTAAAATAAAATCTGGCAAGAGATAACAATAACTAAAAAATGAAAACTATAAAATGACCCTTTAGTATCCTTCTGAACTAAGAATAGAATGTGTTTGTTTTTTTTTTTTTAATGGTAGAATCAGTAAAATTGAGTGGAAATATGACACTCCTTGAAGTGGAAGGGTTAGAATGGAAAACTGAGGCTTCCTGATGTTGCAAATTCCACAGAGCAGAGAAGTTCCTCTGTATGTTAAAGACAATGGGATGCAAATTAATACAGGTGTGTGGGAGATGCCACAGAACAGAGTCCAGCATCAGGGAAATTCTTGGTCCCTTAATCTTTCATAAGGCTGTATTGGGGATATTGATGTTGAATTAACACAAATTATGTATATGGAAATATGACTAGTCTGATAGCTATTGGTGGTGTTTTTTTTTTTTTTTCTGTTTGTTTTGTTTTTGGGTTTTTTGTTTGTTGGTTTGTTTTCTGACACAGAGTCTCGCTCTGTTGCCAGGCCAGGCTGGAGTGCAGTGGCACAATCTCGGCTCACTGCAACCTCTGCCTCCTGGGTTCAAGTGCTTTTCCTGCCTCAGCCTCCCAAGTAGCTAGGACTACAGGCGCTCACAATCATGCCCAGCTAATTTTTGTATTCTTAGTAGAGATTTCACCATGTTGGCCAGGATGGTCTCTCTCTCCCAACTCATGATCTGCCTGCCTCGGCCTCCCAAAGTGCTGGGATTGCAGGCGTGAGCCACCACACCCAGGCTTGTTTTTTTTAAGTCATTGACAGCAGCTTCCCAGACAGACTTTTTTACTGTTTAAAGTAAGTGGACTTTAAAAAAGTAATTATTTTATTAGAAATCATTTTAATTAACTAACAAATTTATTTAGTGAATTATTTATTTTGGCAAAGAGTACATTTCAAATATTCTCTCAGCAATGGACTTCAAGATGCTTTCCTAGATCTCATTATTTAACAATCCCCCTTCCCCTCTAAAAGTACCTCCTGCAGCTCTCACGACCTGCAGCTTTGTTGTCTGTTTTTGTTGCTGTTGTTCTTTTTACTAAGATTTGCTTTTCTGAAGCTGAAAGCAGTAAGCTTGATTCCAGTTAGCTTCAATATAGCAGTTTTACGAATTACAGTTGCTAGATTTCTACAAAATGAGTGTGAGACTGTATTAGTCCGTTTTCACGCCGCTGTAAAGAACTACCTGAGACTGGGTAATTTATAAAGAAAAGAGGTATAATTGACTCACAGTTCCTCATGGCTGGGGAGGAGGCCTCAGGAAACTTATAATCATGGCAGAAGGCGAAGGGGAAGCAAGGCCCATCTTTTATGGTGGCAGGTGAGAGGGCAAGGGAGATCCAATCACCTCCCACCAGGCCTCACCTTCAGCACATGGGGACTACAATTCAAGATGTGATTTGGGTGGGGACACAGAGTCAAACCATATCAGAGACTAAGGATATTTCTCTGAAATCATGCCATTGCTATAAGAAGAAAAAGAGTAAATCATATTGTGTTCTCATGGGAAGTAAATATATATATATAATTTTCCTATGCCTAAAAAAAACACAGAAATGAAAAAATCAAATTTGATATTTTATCAGGAAATAAAAGTTGGAGACAGAATCCTTAACCTGAAGTGTCCGTGTACCCAGACATTCACACGTAAGACAGGAAAGTGGGAAAGGCCCCAAATCTGATGGTATTCATCCTCAACCCAAAGAGCTAAGGTAACACTTCAATTTTCAACAACTTAATCTGCTTTTTTTTCTTTTTTTTACATTCAGCTGCTTAAAATCTATTTTTAAATGAATTTATTAAAAATGCTAATTACCATAGTTGCCAAAAAAAAAAAAGGTGAATCAACACAACTACTAGACAAGGGAATCTGCACTGCTGAAAACTTTTCCAAAAATTATATTTATTTAAGAGATGATGTCTCATTTTGTTGACTAGGCTGGAGTACAATGGCACATTCATAGCTCCAGCCTTGACCGCCTGGGCTTAGGAAATCCTTGCACATCAGGTTCCCGAATAAATAGGACTAAAGTCATGCACCACCACACCTAGCTGATTTTTAAAATGTTTAGTTTACTGTAGAGATGGAGTCTTGCTATGTTGCTCAGACCAGTCTTGAACTTTTGGCCTCAACCTCCATCCTCCTGCCTCATCTTCCCAAAGTGCTGGCATTATAGGTGTGAGCCACTGCATCTGGCTACTGCAAACATTTTTTAGAACAATTCACAATATGTAACAAATATCTTAAAACGTTCATACTCTTTTTTTTTTTTTTTTTTTTTTTTGAGATGGAGTCTCACTCTGTCTCCCAGGCTCAAGTGCAGTGGTGCGATCTTGGCTTACAGCAACCTCTGCTTCCTGGGTTCAACTGATTCTCATGCCTCAACCTCCCGGGTAGCTGGGATTACAGGTGCCTGCCACCACACCATGCCCAGCTAATTTTTGTTTTTTTGTATTTTTAGTAGAGATGGGATTTCACCATGTTGGCCAGGCTGGTTTTGAACTCCTGACCTCAAGTGATCCTCCCACCTTGGCTTCCCAAAGCGCTAGGATTACAGGTGTGAGCCACTGCGCCCAGCTCACATTCTTAAACTCACTAATTCCACTCCTAAGAATATATTCTAAGTAATGAGTCAAAGAGGCAAATTGTGTTTATTATAGGAGGGTGTTCACAGCATTCCGAAACTTTAAAAATCACTTAAGTCCTCAATGATAAATACATTAAAAGAGGGTTTTATCATGTGACTTTCACTGAAAAGGTTTGGTACAAAACATTTAATATAATATGGTCCCAATTATGTAAATATATACATAGGTGTAGCAGCAGCAGATATATAAGAAAGAGAAAAGAAAAGAGAGACAGTGAGAGAGAGAGCAAGAGACAGAGAGCAAGGGAGAGAGAGAGAGAGATTATGAAGGATACATACATTGAAAAAAACTACAGGGAAAAATTAGCAACATTCTAACAGGAATCAGACAAACATTTTTTCATCTTTTGTCTCAATCTCCTTTTTTCTCTATTATTGATGGGTTAGTTTTGCATCAGTCTACTGAGGATAAAGAATCTTCGAAAAATTGTATGAGAACCCGTCATAGTATGTTTGGGGTGCTATACAAACTACCATAGCCTGGGTGGCTTATAAACTACAGACATTTGTTGCTCACAGTTCTGGAGGCTGGGAGTCCAAGATCAAGGCGTGGCAGATTCAGTGTCTAGTGAGGGCTTCCTGGTTCTTAGACGGTGACTTCTTGCTGTGTCCTCACATGCTGGAAGGGACGAGGGAGCTCTCTGGGGTCCCTTTTATGAGGGCACTGATCCCATTCATGAGGCTCCACCTTCATGACCTCATCACCTACCATAGTCCCCCACTCCTAACACTATCACTTTGGGGGTTAAGATGTCAACACATGAATTTCGGGGGCACAAAAACATTCAACTTATAGCAGAGCCTCTGATTAGAAACTGGGCGAAGAAAGCAGGCTCAACTAAAAATAGTCTTTAGAAGTGATTATTTTCCCTGAATTTAGATGTTGTTCAAAATAAAAACAGTGTCACTTAGAAAGGACAGTGCTTCAAAGCATAATTAATGATATGAATGTTGAAACTTGTTTGACCTCTTTAAGAAATTTTAGCATTTTCACTGTGTCATGATGCATTCTTTATTCTTAATTGTGCTCCATTGCAGAAAAATTTGAAAAGAATGAAGATTGTGACTGGGAACTTTCTTCAGGGCAATTTAATTATAAAAGATATAAACCCTCAAAGATTGTGTCACAATGAGTTAGTGTTACACAACAGGGAAATAAAATAGGTCATAACTTCAAAGAAATACATCTGAACTCCTGGTTTTTATTCAGGTGTTCAGTCTGTCTTGCATGAGAGGAGTGGTTTTGACATAAATAGATGCAGCTTCTTAGAACTAAATTTGGTTATAAATCACATAGTAGAAAACATTCTTTCATTTAAAAAGAAAGAAAGCATGCCTCCATCTTCAGGGAATCTTCATTTATTTTTACTTTATCTTTAAAGACAATATATTGTTTTGAAAGAAGGTTTTGAAGAAACAACATCCAAAAATGAGTTGAATTATTCATTTTCATGAAACATCATATTATGATTGGTTTAAAGGACTCCATAGTACTTGTCAGTAATACATAGAGTTACTGCATTTTAAAAATGTTTGGACAGAAAGAGACTGCACTATTAAGAAAGTTGGTAAAGAGCTTTCAACTCTATAATTGATATGACAGAGACTCAATGCAATGTTTTCTATGGGTTCTTTTCTATAGTAAAAGAAAGCAAAATAAACACAGTGGGTACAATTGCAGTATTGGAAATCATTTTTTATTCATTTGCTTTTTGAATTGCAACCAAACTTTCATGTAACCAATTCCTACTGAAAAGGTTAAAATCAGACATGTCCCTTTCTGAATATTACTTTTTAAAAATGTCACCATGATGTTCTGCTGTTGTTATAAGTAAACACACAAATATCTTAGGAAGCTGTTATTTCAACCTTGAGGTAGGTTATGCTATCAAGATTCACATAGAACACAAACCACGTACCAACGGATAAACTCTTACAGATTTTTTTCATAGTATGATTATATATTAGTCTGTTCTCACACTGCTATAAAGAAGTTCCTGAGATTGGGTAATTTATAAAGGGAAGAGATTTAATTGGCTCACGGTTCTGCAGGCTGCACAGGAAGCATGGCGGCTTCTGCTTTTGGGGAGGCCTCAGGAAACTAATAATCATGGTGAAAGGCAAAGGGAGAGCAGGCCCATCTTACATGACCAGAGCAGGAGGAAGAGAGAGAAGGGAAGAAGTGCCACACACTTTTAAACAACCAGATCTCATGAGAACTCACTCACTAACATAACAGTACCAAGGAAGAAATCCACCTCCATGATCCATTCACCTCCCACTAGGCCCCACCTTCAACATTAGGGATTACAATTCAACAAGCGATTTGGGAAGGGACACAAATACAAACCATATCAGATTATAATATTCTTTTACAAATAAATCAACTTGTCAAAGTTCTATAATAATCCTATTACGGTTGAATACCCCAAAGAAAATTAAATATACCGCCAAAGAAAGTTTTCTGCTTTCAGGTGTTTCATTCCACAGGTTGTTCCTTCTATGGCAAAGAACTACCTGTTCTAAATAAACCAAAGCTATTTCTCCCTTTTCTAATTATGAGCTGAGAGCTGGATATGGTTAAGCCAAAGACTAAGCTGACAGAATTTGTGTTGCAGTAATTTGAATGACTAAGTTCTCTCTAATTAATTACAAGTGGAAGTGATGTGCTTCTCTTGCTGACATGGGGATATAGAAACAGCTAGAGTTTCTCCTACCTGTGCCTTCCCTCAAAACTGAATGGGATCAACCACAAGTGGGGGTTTGGAAAAGATGTAGTTGGAATGGACAAAGCTATTAAGAGCTTGGAGTCCTGCATCACTCTGTGGAACTGAGGCACTCACCAACCCAAATTATGAAAGACAAAGAAACTTGCAGACATGGAGTCTACAAAGAGCTAGCATGGGGTACCTAAAAAACTGGAATTTCTCCTACCTGTGCCTTACCCCCAAATTAAATGGAATCAACCACAAGTGGGGCTATGTAAATATGCTGTTAAAAATGGCAAAGCTATTAGTATCCCAGGGTCCTGCATCACTCTGTGGAACCAAGACAGCCAACCACCCAGATCGTGGAAGACAAAGGAGCTAGCAGACATGGGATATATAAAGAGCTGATATGGGGTATATAAACAGCTGGAGTCCCTCCTTTATATGCTCATCCCACCTCCTAGATTGACTACAATCAAGCACAAGTGAGGTTTCAGAAAATATATAGTTGAAATGGACAAAGCCATAAATAGTCCGGGTTCCTGCATCACTCTGTGGAACCGAGCCAGCCACCAACCCAGATTATGAAAGAAAAAGGAGCTTGCCGACATGGAGTATATAAAGGTCTTATATTGGGTATGTAAACAGCTGGAGACCTCCTTTATATCCCTTCCCAACCCCTAACTTGACTGGACTCAACAACAAGTGGGGCTTTGTTAAAATGTAGTTGAAAATCACGAAGCTATTCATAGCTTGGGGCTCTGCATGACTCTGTGGAACTGAGACAGCCACCAACTCAGAAATGGAAGACAAACAAATTCTTTCTTTTAGAGCTTTTGGTTTTTAGACTTTCATATTTCAGCATCTTAACCTTTTGGCTAAATAATGCAGCCTGAGTTATTTGTTTTTCCACGTCTTTCTTTATGAAAAGTCTGCCCATTTAACCAAGCCATTCAAAAATATATAAATTTGAAGGCATTTTCATTCTTATATATTTTTAATGGGAAAATATACAATTTTATTATTTTCCAAACATTTCCCTTGTAGTATGATGTTTCCTTAAAGGTGAAGTTGTCCCCTGGAAAGGCCTGCTAGAGGCAAGTAAGGTAACATTAATGTTTTTTCATGCTTGCTAATAAATGTATGTAAAGTTTTTCTTTCAAGTTTTTTGCACTTATTTTTCAAATAAGTGTACATTTCATTAAATGGCAACCACGAAATACAGAGAAGATCGTCAAACTAAAGTCAGAGAAACTGCTTCTATTGCTATTCCTTAAGACTTTTGGCTAATTAATAAATGTCTTTGATTCATATATATGTATGTATGGAAAGGGGGTATGAATTGAAATAAAATAATGTTACAAATAATTTAAAAATCTGAAGTATATGCATAATAAATACTGAACTTATTTTTTACCAGCTTGGGGATTCAGCTACTCTAAAATAA